>NC_000012.12:20209650-20834650 GCF_000001405.40 Homo sapiens
CATGGGTATATACTGCATTGGTACCTATGGCCGGTTGAGGGATGAGGGGTGGAAAGTGAAGGGAGGATGTTTGCTTTCTTTCTCCATCACACCCTGAGTTTTCACTGTAAGAAGGAAGGGAATGAGGGAGCCTCTATTCCCTGTCTTTCAGAATGGGCAACCAGTTCTCTTCACCACCCCCAGCTTATACTCTTCCAGAGTGTATCTTTAAACATTGGGACTGTTTTTATCTTCAGAACCTGGAGGAAAAATACTTCATAGCCCTCTGCACAAAGGCTTGGCCAAATTGTGATGTATAGGAAGGACCGGCTTGGCCTCAGGAAGGGACCATTCATTTTGATAACATCCAGCAGTTGGAACTTCTCTGTAGATGTGAGGACACATGGTCTGAGGCCCCATATGCGCAGGCTTTGTTTTGGGGGAAAATGGCGGTCAGATTCCTCCCTGAGGTTTATCTAAGTGTTCCTAGCAAAGGAAACTTTGTCCCCTCCTCTTTCTCTCCCTTCCCCTCCTCTTTCTCTCCCTTCCCCTCCTCTTTCTCTCCCTTCCCCTCCCCTCCCACTTCCCACCTCCTCTCCCCTCCCCCTTCCCACCTCCTCTCCCCTCCCCCTTCCCACCTCCTCTCCTTCCCCCTTCCCCTCTCCCCTCTCCCCTCTCTCCCCTTCCCTTCCCCTTTCTCTCCTCTCCTCTCTTCTCCTGTCCTCTCTGTCCCGTCCTGTCCTGTCCTGTTCCATTCCATCTCTATTCCTGTCATCTTTGTTGTTGTTTGTGCTGGGAAAGTCTGTGCTGGGAAAAGGAGTTTGGGCCAATTTGGTAAAAAGAAATTTGTTTCTTTGTATATCCATTTATTCATTCAACATACATTTATGTAGTACCTACATTATGTTCCTGGGAAATGAAGAGAAAATGACTTGATCCATGGCCTTAACTTGTCTATTTTACAGCATAGTGGGGAGAAGATATAGGAACTACTACAATACAATGTAATAATTCCATAATGAAGGTATGTATGAGCTGCAGAGGAAATGCAGAACATAGTAAGTACTTGAGGTCAGACTTAAAAAAAATGAGTAATTTTCTGTGGGGAGAGGAAATCAGACAGAATAAATACATTTTATATTCAAAATTTCAGACAAGTTAGGGAACCTGGCATGTTTAAAGAAAAACAAATGGCTTAGAACGACCTGAGGAAGATAGATGGGTGAAACCATTGAAGCTAAGTGAGGGCCAGATTTGGAGAGGACTTCATGACAAAATTTTTAAGAGCTATGATCTGATCAGAATTGCATGAGCAGAGTAAAAAAAAAAAAAGGAACTAACATTAGTTAAGCATGTGTGCTAGCTCTGTAATGACTATTTTTACTCTTTTCCTCTTTTTTAAGAGATGTGGATCTCTCTCTGTTGCCCAGGCTGGAGTTCAGTGGTGCAATCATAGCTCTCTCCAGCCTCGACCTCCTGGGCTCAAGCAATCCTATCATCTCAGCCTCCCCAGTAGCAAGGGGTACAGGCACATGCCACCATACTTGGCTAACTTAATTTTTTTTTTTTTAAGAGACAGGGTTTCACTATGTTGCCCAGGCTGTTGTCAAATTCCTGGCCTCAAGTGATCTCACACCTTGACCTCCCAAAGTGTTGAGATTACAAGCATGAGCCACCACACCCGGCATGTGATGACTCCTTTGGATATAATATCTCAGTATGATCCAGTGGGAAGAGCACAACTTTGAGTCTAGACAAACTTGGGTTCAAATCTTAGATCTTCTTCATTAATTTTAAGAGTTGGGCCAATTATTTAAGTTCTTTGAACTCCTACCCTCTTCATAATGTTTAATTCATAACCTGCAGGCTTGTTATAAAGAACAGATGCTAGGTGTAAAATGAATAACATAGGAAGTATAGCTATATTGTTACTACTAATAAACTTTGTTAGAGCCAAAATTCAAAGCCATGCTTCATTCCAAAGAATACACTTAACACGGACCTAGTCAATAGGAGGCTGCAGCCCTTTGGCCAGAGTGCTTTGTTTAGCAGTGAACACACAATTCATTCTGAGTACACCAAAGTTAACCCCGAGAATTATACGGGAGTTGTGATCTAACAGCTGTGTTTTTCTGATATATTTACAGCAATGAGGAAGTAAGTGTAAAAATCACTTTTTACCACCATGAAGCATGAACCAGCCAAGAAGTAAAGCCAAAATAGAAGGAGGCAGAGTGAGGAAAAGGAGAGCAAGTCCTAGTTCAGCTGCACCTAAGTCAGTACAAGCAATGAGCTTTTTTTAGGTAAATGAGCTAAATACTAGTAATAACTACAATAATAACAACAGCTTTTCTTTAACTCAACTTGCATTGAGTCTTCAGTCACTTGTATCCAATAGTACACTGACTAATTAAATTGGAATGAGCAACCTAGAAGCTCACTTTGGAATAGCAATAATGTAGACCTGGAAGAGTTTTCATCAATAAGGGAAAGAAACTAAATATGAGGAAGTGAAGACAGTCCATGTAGACTGCTTGTTCTAGAAGCTGATCTATTTTTAAAAAATTACAAAGGAGAAGATTCAGTAGCTAGAGTGGAGGCAGAATCGAGGAAGTATTTATTCCTAAGATGGGAGAGACTTGAGCATGTTTATGCACAAAGGGAAAGATGCCAGTGGAAAGGAAAAGGTTGACAGTACTGAGAAGAGAGTGGATAATTAATGGCAGAAATCCAGACGGACACAGAATGTGATGACTATTTCTGTTGCCATGAAATCTCTAGTAAGGTCTAGGGTCTGCTCAGACGGTAAATTTGACTGAAAGTGTTCAATATTTTTATTTTTTATTTATATATCTATTTTGGCTTTTCAGCATGTCTATTATTTTTATGTCTCCTCTAGTCTTGTCTACTGTCCTAAAATCAAGTGAAGTCTGATAATACCCCACTGTCCCCACCAAAAGCAAACAAACACAAAAATAAACAGAACTCAACTAAACCTCCCTATTCAAACTAGTGGAGATCTTCATGGCCAAAGAATACCCCAGATTACTAAAGGCATCTCAGAACAGTCATTTTGCAGGCTTTCAGTTTCTGCTTTCCTTTTTTGCCTGCAATTTTGCACAATCAAATGCACAAAAACAATGGGAAAGGGGATTACGTCAAATGTACGAAAGAAATGGCAGGAATCCAGTGGGAAAGACATGCCCTCCACATTTGGCAGGAGGCGTGCTGGGAGGCAGTGGCTTTGCAGAGTGATGAGTCACACTTGAACAGAGGCTCTGGAAGGAATTAGTTCAAGAGAAGGCTGGAGAGCTCCCTGAAATGTATGAGTGCCTCAGGCCATTAGCAATGTGTGTGTGATCACAATGAGACAAAGGAAACCCTGAGATCCGCAGACTTTCTTTCAGGAACCAGCAGAGTGTCCCTAGCTGCTCTTTCCTCCCTGGTGGGTGTAAAACCACAGCCCTTCTGTTTTAGTGGGAAAACGTTTCAAGAGGACCACTTTTTAGAAAACTTTGTCTGGGCCAAAGAATGCAATATGAGTGTAAAATACGTAAATAGATAAAGCAAGCCATGACTCTGAAGGAGAGATTTGATCTGCTCAAAGGTCAATTGGGCCACAAAATTAATGAGCTTGAGAAAGACAGGACAAGAGATGGGAGAGAAGAAATCTGTGTGTTGAACTCTGCATCAATTAACAAAAGCAAGTAAGTATCTGACTGGCAGCAAATTAGCTAGCATATGGACGAACTCTAAAATAACCAGGCATAGAACAAAACCAAATTTAAATATCAGACTTATCTATTGAACGGTATTGCAAATATCAAATGCCTTGTACTATAAATATAAAGCTCCCAATTCTTATGCTAGTAAACTGCTGAATATTTAATACCTTGAGAAGGGGTGGGCCACGTTTTTGAAATAATGTTAAAAGTATATAAATATAAATATCTATCTACATAAATAACATCTATGCTGATCCTGTTTATGTACAGTTTCACAGCATTCATGTAACTTTGCGAGCAGTAGTAAAATTCTAATTCTACAAGAATGAATTACATTTTAAGCTTGTGATATAGAATAACATGACTCTTTGTTACACTGTATGTTCAGATTTTGCCAGAAAATAAAAGAGAAGTGAGGTTTTTATAGGCTGAATTATCAAAATGTCACCTAAAACCCCACAAATTGGTTTTTAAGTGAAGTGCTATGAAATAAATAAAATTCTCTAGTAGACAATGCCGTTGAGTTTGTCAGTTAGTTTATAAAGTATCACGTGATAGAGCATTGTGTTTCTAAAGCATTAAATAATAGATCAAATGCTATGGCTATTGAAGGATGGATCAGTGCTGGATCACCTAAAATAGATTAAAAAAAACTGCTAGTGTAGAGGCAGTTGTGCAATAATGTCAGAACGCAAGTTCAGAGTGTGCCAAAACATCTGCTAATTTCTAGCTGTTATAATATAAAACTTACTTTTTTCATTTCAAAAGACCAAAAAGTACTTGAGATGAGAGGAGGGAAATGTCTTCACTTTGGGGACTTACGGCGAAGACACAAAGTCCTTACAACACAATTGTGATAAGATGACTTGAACATTTCATTATTCTACTTTCATTTACTTAGGAGAATAACCTTGACACTAAATTAATGTAGAATAAAATGGAAGTTTCTACAAAGTGTAAACATCTCTACCATGTGACTAGAATGATGTCAGCAAAACTAGTGATCTGAGGCCAACAGTGAGCTGTGGAAGGATGTCCTCTAACAATAATTGAAGGGAGTGGGCTGGTTTGGCTTTGACTTTTAAAAATTACTAGAGATGCGTGTTCTATGTCTCTCCTGCCATTTGAAAGGCACGTGTGTACATGAGAGCTGATTGTGTCCATTCTCCCTTTGCATGATAATTCTTGGCCCTTTGCCTGGTTTACTTTAGAGTTTGTATTACCTCATTATTTATATTTTTCTCCAAAGTCCTGCTCTGAAGAGCTTTTCCTGAATGTGATTTTTCTGTCTCCATCTTCAGAGTTGGCCATGCAGAAATCTAATAATGTCAAACCATTGCCCTCAAGGATGTGATAATAATGACTTCTGCTTGGAGATGGCAACCAGTTAATGCAGTATACTCAGGAGGGCTTTTGAAAGACTGCAATACAATTTCCCCATTTTACAGATAAAGAAACTGAGGTATATTTGAAAATGGAAGAAATAACAATTTTAATGGTCAGATGCCAAAATATTAAGGTAAATAAGAGCTGACATCTGCTATGCATCATATCCTGTGCGAGATGCTAGGCTTTTTAAATGTGTTAATTCTAATTATTCCATTAATTTTGTAAATTAAACGGGACTGTTTCCATTTGTTGCTAGGTGACAGGGCTGGGATTTGACACCAAGCCTGTCTCCTTCCAAAGTCTGTTCTTTATGATATCACACAATGCTGCCTCTCCATTGAAAAGATAAGTTTATTATGTTTTTAAGTAGTAGATTGCTTCTTAAAGCATTTTATTAACTATTGTTTTATCCTCAAAGAATCTTTTCAGTTTAATAGGTATTGTTAACTTTTTGTTATAGAAAAAGAAACTGAGGTAAATGAAGACCCACTGACTTGCTTACAAAGGTTAATCACGTTATGGGAAATAAAATTCAGGTCTTTTGTGTTGAAAGACTGTGCCATTTACATTGTCTATTTCAAGTATTCATTTTTGGATAAACCCAAAGCAGTTAAGGTCAATGATACATGTATAGGGATTTCCACAAATAACCACATAATTTTACATGCCATTACCAAGACTGTAGGTAAGAGGTACTATTGTACACTGTAAAGAAAAATACAATTAAATGTTTCCTGAGAGCAGGAACCCTACATCCTCAACAACTAACATAGTGCCTTGGCAAATAGTAGGTATTCAATAACTGTTTGCCAAATGAATAAAGAATAACTTAATAACATTCACAGTTAGAGGGAACTTGTTAGTGAGGATGAAAATGAATAGTCAACATTGATTTGCAGTTGAAACTGTAAAGCTGCAACTTCTTAGCTTGTCTGTTAGGCCGCTGATGAAAAACAGAGAGAATACCTTCTCTCAAAAAGCTTCACGGGGAAAATATGGTCTGAGAAATAATTTTTAATTTGAATATGCACATAATCCAAATTCATCTATACACCAAAAATTCCATAAGTGGTATATACACTATTCAGTGGATACACCAAAAATGGCCTTATGTCCTAAGAATTTGTTCTTTCAGTCAATAAACAAATTTTTTGGAGTGCCTACAGTGTGTTAGTCATGGTTCTAAATAGTAGAAAAATGGTAGTAAAAAAACAGAGAAAAATGTTTCCCTCATATACCATACATTCTAGTATAAGAAGTGAGAGTAAACAGTTAAATTTATATTATGTCAAAACAGTGAAGAAAACCAAGCAGGAAATTAGTACTGGTGTGTATATATGTGTGTCTATATGTAAGTAGGTGCAGTTTTAAATACAGTTATGTAGGAGTCCTCACACATAAGATGACATCTGACTGAGGATATGAAGGAGGAGAGATGTAAATATTTGGGGACAGGGGGAGATGATGGGAAAAGCATTTTTAGAAATGGACTAGTACATGCAAAGTTCCTAAGGCTGGAGAGTGCTTACATTGTTGGAGAAGAGAAAGAAGCGTGGTGCTGGAAGAGGGAGCATGGTACGCAACAAAGTCAGAGCAGTCAGATGGGGATAATATAGGCCCTTACACATGGTTGTAAGGGCTCAGAATTTTCTCAGCATGGGAAATCATTAGTGGGCTTTGAGCAAAAGAATGACATGATTTAAATTGTGCTTCATAAGAATTTCTCCCACTACTTACTGTTTTTTGAATGGAACAGGGTCAAGAGTAAAAGCTATTACAATGATCCAGGTGAGAGATGATAGCAATGAAGTGGTAAAAAGTGGTCATATATTGAATATATAGTTGAAGGCAGAATTGCCAAGATTTGTCAAGGGACTGGATATGGGGCAGAAAAGAGATTAGTCAAGGATGACACAGAGGTTTTCAGCTGGAGCAACTGGAAGGTTTGAGTTGCCATTTACTGAGATGGGAAGGGGTCGAAGAGGAGATTTAAGAGATTAGGAATTCAGATTGGAGACGTAAAATAGGAAGCTGGGTGTGTGAGCTCAGAGGAAATGTCTAGGCCTGATATATAAACTGGAGAGTCATCAGCTCATCAGCCTATAGATGTTATTTAAAGTCCTAAAACTGAATGAGCTCACCAATGAAAGTCTGTTTGATAGATAAGAGAAGTCCACAGATCAATCCATTGCGAGAGTGAGGATAAACACTGAGAAATAGCATCCAGTGAAGTAGTAGACAAGGCAGAATTTAATATTTAAAAGCCAAGTGTTACAAGTGTTTTAAGGATGTTGATTAATGGTGCCAAATGTTGCTTAACAATCATGGAGGTGAGAACAGAGAACTCATCAAAATAATTAACAATGGGAGATCATTCCTGACCTCAGCAAGAGCTGTTTCACTGGAGAGATGGGGCCTGATGTGGTTTGGCTCTGTGTCCTCGCCCAAATCTCATGTTGAATTGTAATCCCCAATGTTGGATGTGGAGCCTGATGGGAGGTGATTGGCTCATGGGGCCAGTTTCTTGTGGTTTAGCACCATGTCCCCTTAGTACTGTCCTCATGAGTTCTCATGAGATCTGGTTGTTTAAAAGCGTGTAGCTCCTCTCTTCCCTCTCGCTCTTGCTCCTGCTCCCACCATGTGAGACATCTCATTCCCCCTTTGCCTTCTGCCATGATTGGAAGCTTCCTGAGGCCTCCCAGAAGCAGAAGCTGCTGTGCTTCTTGTACAGCCTGCAGAACCATAAGCCAATTAAACCTCTTTAAAAAAAAAAAAAAAATTACCCAGTCTCAGGTCTCTCTTTATAGCAATGCAAGAATGGACTAAAACAGGGCCAAAGATCTGAATTAGTTTGGGTTAAATAGAGAACAGAAAGAGAGGAATTGAAGGCAAAAATAAATATACAATTTTATATTTTGATAAGAGAAGAGCCAGTGGGTTAGTGAAGATAACAGGGTAATGGACAGTGAGTGTCCGTGTGAAAACATCTACCAGCATACCTGGGAATAGTATGACCACAGCAGAAAAATCAGCTATCATGTTATACGGCTGTGTGGAAATCTATGTCCCTGGTGGGGAGACATTTCTCAGAGTAAAAAGATGAAGGAAAACTTAATTGACACATTTGAAGATATAGAGTATTTTCCCTGTGACTGACCCATTAGTCCGGTGGGCCTAACGAATGGTTTTAGGAATTGGAGAATATTAGGTGACAAGGTCAGGTTAGGAGATATACAGAGCGATATGGGTTTGGGGTCCCAGAGACAGGTAATGACCTAGGAGTCAAGTGCTTCTCTGACTAATGTAAACAATAATAGATAATCTTAAGCAAATCATATGCACAAGGTTGTGAGTAATGGAGACGAGGGAGGAGGAGATGGGAGTATTGCCAGGAATATACAGAGTGCTGGGGCATTTGTTATGTGATACCTAGACTTGCCCAAATTTTCTTCTTTTTCTAGATGGTAGATTTTTTTGAACTTTCTGCCTGACTCCACTTTTCTTGTAGTGTATGATACAATGGTCATTAAGTAAATATTTGTTGAAAAAACAGAATAGAGAAATAAATATGTGATTCCAGAAGATGATAAAATGATGAATACAGCTTCATCCGAAAGGGGGTGGAGTAACATGTGGCAGACCAAGACTCCCATTAAAAACAACTAGAAAAGCCATGTAAGATCATAATCAGTTTGATGATGTCAAAAGTTGATGAGCAAGTAAATATCGAAGGACTAAATCAGGAGATTTGGATTTGGAGTGCATGGATCTTGTGGCTGATTTTCTCATCAAAACAATTATTAGATTCCGGAGTTGCACAGGATTGAAGATAGCAAACAAACTGATGTCCAATACCTAATAGTTCTTGAAGTAACTCTCAATTCCCCCTATTTTGGGGATGTATACAGTCACTGGAGTGAATAACCCAAGGACCCTGTGGGAGGGACAAAAGGGAATCATCACAGTACACACTTGCCATTATGTTACAGGGTTCTTCTTACTGTGGATCCCTGGGGCCTAGATAATGGCCCTCCAAATCGGGAAGCTCCAAATCTGAAAATTGTCTCAGACCTGATAACTGAGCAAGGCTTACGGTATTTTATTTGGGAAATAGCCCTCATCTCCCTACCCCTCCATTCATGATTTGTTGTTTTTATTGATTTTGAGCAGAACCTTTCCTGGCTACATATTTCTTTTACTTATAGGGATGGCATATGCTATTAATGGTCTGCATGGCCCCCTGTGAGTCAAGCTTGCTTTGCTTGGCTCCTACTTTGTTCATCTTTCAACCTTGCTGGTCATTATAATAATTGCATAACCATAATGCTAATGATAATTGCTTAACTTATTATTAAGCCCTGCCACTTGGTCTCTATTATTGGGATGAGGAAGCCCAAACATCATCTTCATGGTTATAAATGAGCCCAGCTCTGTGACTGCCTTTCCTACTGACATTTCTACCTTGCAGAACAAAACATCTTCTGAATATTTTAGTGATGCTGGAGCCCCTCATGTCAACGCATGCCTGAGGGCTTTCATGAACATGTGGTCCTCTGGGCCTTCTTGTGGAATATAATCTTCTGATGGGTGATGGGTCTTTCAGCCTTATATATTTATTGACGTGTGCTCATTTCTTTCAGCCTCTCTTTCCCTTCCTATACTATCGGTCAGAATAATTCAAGCATTTCCACCTTGCTGAGAGTTTTTCACTCCTTTTTCCAGACTTCTATGAGCCAAGCAGTGAGTTTTATCCCATCTCCAATGTCCTAACTTAGAGCATGTAGTCCTGCTATAATTTGAATGTTCTGACCCTTTCAAAATCATGGTGAAACTTAATGCCCAATGCAACAGTATTAAGAGGTGTCACCTGTGGGAGCTGATTGAATAATGAGGCCTCTTCCCTCAGGAGTATGATTAGAAGCCCCTATAAAGTGACATGACAGAGGGAGTTCACCCCATTCTTGCACATTTCAGCCCTTCTGCCATGTGAGAACACCTAGATGGTATCATGTATGAGAAATGGGCTCTCATCAGGTAACGAACCTGTGGGCACCTTGATCTTGGGCTTTCTAGCCTCCATAACTGTGAGAAATAAGTTTCTGTTTTTTATAAATTACTTGGAGACTTCTGGTTCCAAACTGGTGGCATAGACACAAGCTGGCTTTACTCCCCAACCCCTTTTCCCCCAGAAGACCAAAACCAAATATACAGCACTGAGATCATCAACAGCAATATATCAAAACTCAAATGTGAGGATAAGTCAGTTTCCTGGGTCACAAATAATTAAAAAAAAAAAAAACTCAGTGGATTGTAAGAGAATCAGATTTTTATATTTATGACACCCTTCCCCTCACTCTGCCTGGCACCAGACATGTGGAAACTTTTCCCCAACTCATGGCTTCT
Source organism: Homo sapiens (assembly GCF_000001405.40). NCBI lineage: Eukaryota > Metazoa > Chordata > Mammalia > Primates > Hominidae > Homo > Homo sapiens. Next base: position 20,220,147 of record NC_000012.12, read on the forward strand.
ACACTGGAAAAGTGAGAATAAAGTGAACAACCAGCTTTCCCACCATCTTGGGTTCTTTAGCAGGTGACTCGTCCATGCCTCAACCCAAGAGAAGCATTCCGAGTGCCTGAAGTGAGACGTATCCCTGAGGACAGCCAGAGACAAAGCAGGGAAGTGAGACTACCAACTCCAGCCCTGGAAACTCTGCTCTGTAACTCTGTCAAAGGAGATACCAAATCATAGTGGCTGTTTGGCAGCATCATACTGTAAGAAGTATGTTCCATAGGTCTCCTGGGCATGAACCACTAGCCAGCCTTTCCACATGGCTGGACCTCCCTTTGGGACCTCCCCAGTTCTAGATAGGCAGCACTCTGATTGGTTAGTAGAGCTGACAGAAATCTGGGCTTTAGGCACCATCTAGTGCCAAAAAGGAGGCAGTGACTTAGAGAACAAATATAAGACATTCAACAGGTAAATTACAAAGATTCTCTAAGCAAACATAACCAATAGTAACGAAAACAAGCCAGACAGAGAAGTCTGGAATAAATAATCCTTAAATGCAAAGACATAGAACTGTAGCCACAAGAAACAATAGCAAAGAAAGAATGATGACCTCCCCAAAGAGACAAAGCAAGAAAATAGTGACTGACCCTAACAACATAGTGATACGTGAGCTCTCTGACCAAGAATTCAAAAGAGCAGTTTTAAGGAAACTCAGTTTCCTCAAATATCAAGTTTAGATATTTGTCCCCAACCAATTATCATATTATATTGTAATCTCCAATGCTGGAAGTGGGGCCTGGTGGGAGGTGTTTGGATCATGGGGGCAGATTTCTCGTAGCTTAGTGCTGTCTTCATGATAGTGAGTTCTCACAAGATCTGGTCATTTAAAAGTGTGTGGCACCTCCTTCCTCCATTCTCTCTCACTCCTGCTTTCACCATGTGTAAAGTGCCTTCTCCCACTTGGCCTTCTGCCATTATTTAAAATTCCCTGAAGCTTCACCAGAAGCCAAGCAGATGCCATACCATGCTTCCTGTAAATCCTGCAGAACCATGAGCCAATTAAACCTCTTGTCTTTATAAATTATGCAGTCTCCGGTGTTTCTTTATAGCAATGCAAGAATAGACTAATACACTCAGTGATCTCCAATGTAACACAAAAACAGCTCAAAAATTTATCGGAAAAATTTAACAAAGAGATCGAAATAACTTTTAAAAGTCAAACAGAAGTCTTGGAACTGAGAAATACATTTGCTGAACTAAAAGTTTTTTAGAGGCTCTCAACAGCAGAATACACCAAGCCAAAAAAAAAAAAAAAAAAAAAAATCAGTAAGCTCAAAGGCTATTTGAAATTACACAGTCAGAGAAGTAAAACAGAAAAAATAATGAAAAAGAATGAAGATTTTTTCCACAAAACATATAAACTTACCTCAAAAAACCAAATCTGAGAATTATTGATGTTCAAGAGGGAGTTGAGTAGGAGCAAGGGGTAGAAAGTTTATTTAAAAAAAGAATAATAGAAAACATTCCTAAACTTGAGAAAGAGATCAATATCCAGGTACAGAAAGATTAGAGAACACCAAACAGGTTCAATCCAAATAAGACTACCCCCCAAAATATAATAATCAATCTCTCAAAGGTCAAAGACAAAAAGAATTCAAAAAGCAGCAACAGAAAAAAAGGCAAAAAACTTATGAAGAAGCTCCAATTCATCTCCCAGAAGACTTCTCAATGGAAACCACACACACTTGGAAGTAGGGGGACAATATTTTCAAAGTTCTGAAGAAAAAAAAACCTGTCATTCAAGAATACTTTATCTTGCAAAGCTATTCTTTATATATGAAGGAGAGAGAAAGTCTTTCCCAGATAAACAAAAGCTAAGAGAATTCACCATTACCAGACCCTTCTTACAAAGAAATGCTAAGGGAGTTCTTCAAAGTTTTCTTTCCAAAAAATACACTAATGTGCACAAAGAAACCATTTGAAGACAAAATCCACATGTGAAATTAAATACAAAAACTCAGAATACTTCAATACTGTAATTGTGGCATACAGTACCCTTACAATTCTAGTATGAAGCCTAAAAAATGAGTCAATAATAAAACAATAATAGCTAAGTTATAGGCAATATACAAATATGTACATTGAGACAACCAAAAGTCAAAATGTGAAGGAATTGAGTTAAAATGCAGGGAAGTTTTTAGTTTTTTCTTCGTTTGCTTTTACTATTTTTTGTGATATAAATTGTTATCTATTTAATGTAAGTTGTTATATCTATAAGATATTTTCGTAAGCCTCATAGTAACTACAATGCAAAACCCTAGAACAGATACACTAAAAGTTAAAAGCAATGAATTAAAACATACTATCATGGAAAATTACATAGCCATAAAGGATAACAGCAAGAAAGGAAGAAAGAGAGGAGATAAAAAACAACCAGAAAACCAGCAACAAAATGTCTGTAGTAAGTCCTTACTTACTAGTAACAACACAGAATGTAAATGGACTCAGTTTTTCAATTAAAAGACGTAGAGTGACTGAATGGATACAGAAGCAAGACTCAAATATGCTGCCTACAAGAAATCCATCTCACCTATAAAGACACACACATAGACTAAAAGCGAAGGGATGGAAGGAGATATCATTCAAGAAAATTCAGCATATCTTTATGATAAAACCCCCAACAAAGGTATAGAAAGAACGTACCACAAGATAATAAAGGCTGTATATGACAAACCCACAGCCAGCATCATATTAAAAAGGGAACATTTAAAAGCCTTTCCTCTAAGATCTAGAACAAGACAAGGGCAGCCACTTACATCACTTTTATTCAAGAATATACTGAAGTTCTGGCCAGAGCAATTAGGCAGGAGAAAGAAATAAAGGGCATCTAAATTGGAAAGGAAGAAGTCAGATTAGCCTTGCATGAAGATGATGTGATCTTATATTTAGAATAACCTAAAAACTCCACCACAAAACTGTTAGAACTGATAAACAAATTCAGTAAATTTGAAGGATACAAAAATCAACATACAAAACCAATAGTATTTATATACACCAATAGTAAACATTCTATAAAAGAAATCAAGAAAGCAATAACATTTACAATTGCTATAGAGTATAAAAGACCTAGGAATTAATTTAAACAAAGAAGTAAAATATCTTTACTAGAAGAACTATAAAACATTGATTAAAAAATTGAAGAGGGCACAAAAAATGGAAATATATCCCATGTTCGTGGATTGGAAGAATTAATACTATATTATGTATTAATATAATAATACTATCCAAAGCAATTCACAGATTCAATGCAATTCCTATCAAAATACCAGTGATGCTTTTCACAGGAGAGAAATTAATATGGAACCAGAAAAGACCCTTAATAGCCAAAGCTATCCTGAGCAAAAAGAATAAAGCTGGAGGTATCACCCTACCTGACTTTAAAATATACTACAAAGCTGTAGTAAATCAGCATGGTAATGGCATAAAAACAAATACATAGACCAATGGAACACAATAGAGGACTCAGATATAAATCCACCTATTTACAGTCAACTCATTCAACAAGGTTCCAAGAACATACAATTGTGACAGTCTCTTCAATAAACAGTGCTGGAAAAACTGGATAAACATATATAGAAGAATGAAGCTAGACCCGTATCTCTTGCCATATACAAAAATCAAATCAAAATGGATTGTAGACTTAAGTCTAAGACCTGAAACTATGAAACCACTAAAAGAAAATTGGAGGAAATGCTCCAGTACATTGATGTGGGCAACAGTTTTTTGTGTAAGACCTCATAAGCACAGGCAACAACAGTAAACATAGACAAATGTGATTACATCAAATTAAAAATCTTCTGCATGGAAAAGAAAATAATCAGCAAGGTGACGAAACAGCTCACAGAATGAGAAAATATTTACAAATTATTCACCTGACAAGGAATTAATAACCAGAAAATATAAGGAGTTCAAACAACTCAATAACAAAAGACCCAAAAAATTCAGCTAAAAATGGGCAAAATAATTGAATAGACATTTCTCAAAAAAGACATACAGATGGCCATATGAAAATACTGTCAACATAAATGATCAGAGAAATACAAATTAAAACAACAATAAGATATCTCCAACAACAGTTAGAATGGCTTTTATCAAAAAGAGGGAATAACAGATGCTGGCTAGAATGTGGACAAGGAGAACTCTGTCTTCTCATACACTGTTGGTGGAAATGTAATAGCACAGCCACTATGGAAAATCGTATGGAGCTTTCTCAAAAAACTGAAAACAGAACTTCTATAAGATCCAGCAATTCCACTACTGGGTATACATCCAAAAGAAAGGAAATCAATTTATTGTACAGTTGTCTGTACTCCCATGTTTATTGCAGCACAATTTACAGTAGCCAAAATATGGAATCCACCTAAGTGTCCATCAGTGAATGAATGGATAAAGTAAATATGGTAAATATACACAATGGAATATTATTCGGCCACAAAAAAGAATGAAATTCTGTCATTTGCAACAACATAAGTGGAACTGGGGGTCATTATGAAGTGAAATAGGCCAAGCACATAAAGACAAATATGACATATTCTCACTCATACGTGCGAGCTAAAAAGTGGATCTCATTGAAATAGAGAGTAAATCGAAGGTTACCAGAGGCTGGGAAATGTAGAGGGGAAAAGGAGATAAAGAAGGGTTTATGAATGAGTAAAAATATACCTTTAGAAAAAATAAAACCTAGCATTCAGTAGGGTGACTATGGAAAACATTAATCGATGATACATTTCAAAATAGCTAGGAGAGAATAATTTGAATGTTCTCATGTAAAGATAAATATTTAGGTGACGGATATCCCAATTACCCTGATTTGACTACAGATGAATGCATCCAATTATATATACCCCCAAATATATACATCTAATATGTATCAATAAAACGAAGTGAATCAAATCATCCAGTGTCAGGTATTTTGTTTTATCGGTGGAAACAAACTAAGACAAATCTTGTGCCCCAAAAAACTGCATCTAAGTAAATAAATTGTTGCTTATCTAGTCGTACATTATAGCTCGCTTGACCAAGCAACATCAGAAGTCAACCCCAGGATTACTCACAGGGCTCACCATTGTATTCTTGGTGTGATTGTTTTAGATTGATAACATATTCCTCCCTTATCAGGCCGAGCACATCCCCTACTAGGTTATGCTGGATTTAACCCTCATTATCCTCATAGCCATGCGAGTGGGGACAGATTCTGAGAGACACATCTGATACTTCATTGAGGAGAGATTCTTGCAGCATCTTCCAGCATAGTAAAAGTGCCAGCTCTTGCTAGGGCAAGATGAGCTACGTCTGCAAGCCCAAAGGCTCACAGAGAGTTGCAGAATTTATATTTCAATGTCCCCTGTCCAGGTGTCTCCGTCTCGTGTTTCAGAATCTCAGGTTTATTCATCCGGGCTGGGTTCTTCACATAACAGGACTACTTTGGTTGAAATTTCAGATGTCTCTGGAATGCTACAACTCCAACGATTAAGTCTTCAGCCTGTGCCTCAACTGTGTCTGCCCTCCCAACACAGTTGATAAAAGGATCATTGTGAACTATCAGAGCTTTACAGAGAAGCTATCTGGCTCTCACACAGCTACCAACTGCTTGTTAACAGCCTTCACTCTTTCTGATGGGTGTCAATATAACTTAGCAATAACTAGTCAACTCTTCTGAGTTTTTAAGCATTTTCTTTCCTGCCTCTTCCATATGTTTCAAATATCGACATCATTACACCTGTCACAGCATGTCCTTCCACTAAAACATTTTCCCAGTTCAACACCGGAGAAATCTCTGCCAATTGAACTGGAACTTTGTGCCAGGAATTATCCATGCTCACTTATTAGGGAGGACGGTGTCCTCTTCACCTGCTGAGAGGTCAGTGAGTGAGTCAGTCTTCCACATCCCCATCTTGAGACCTGTTTTCTTGGACTATCCTGATACCATTTGTGTTAATCCAGATACTACAAGAAAAAGACATTAAGGCCATGTCTTTAAACTTGCAAGAGTTTAAAAGAGGAAATGCTTAAGGGTAAGAGGTCTGAGGAGCCTACAAGGTCTGTCAGACCACAGATGGAGGAGAGAGGAAAGAAAGTTCAGGAGGAAGCATCCTTGCAAGTCTGACCCTAAAATGAAAGAGAGAAGGAAGAATGTTAAAACCATGGAGGGCTGTCTCTAGAGCCTACGCTTTGCATTATAGGAACATATGACATATAAAATATGAGTAGATCATGCTTTTCTCAACATTAGGGAAATTAGAATGAGTATATTAGTTGATCCAGTGCCTTTATAACAAAATATGTATGCTTTCTCTAATTAAAGTTTAATCATTCCATAGTATTACCAATGTTTGCTTGTCTTTGCTCATTAACCTCCTCTCTATGTCTTGTAGTGTATTTTGAAAACTGTAATATTATTATTTTGCTAGTTAGATGAATGAAGATATAAAAAAAATTTACATATTGTATAGGCACTATCTGATTCACTTGAGAATCAACTCATGTAGACATGACTATATTAATATTAATTTATAAATAAGATTTCATCTTAAATCTCTGACTAAGCCTGAAGTTTATCTTAATTGAAAATTTAGACTCAAAAAGTCGGTCAAAAAATAAGTCAAACTATAGGCTAGGAGAGGCATATCTGATAAAGACTGTTATCTAAAATATAAAAAGAGGCCAGATGTGATGACTCAAACCTGTAATCTCAACACTTTGGGAGGCCAAGGTGGGAGGATTGCTTGAGATCAGGGGTTCAAGACCAGCTGGGAAACCTAGGGAGACCTCATCTCTACAAAATATAAAAAATATATGTTAGTTAGACATGATAGCATTTGCCTGTAGCCATAGCTGCTTGGGAGGCTGAGGAGGGAGGATCAGTTGAGCCCAGGGGGTCAAGGCTGCAGTGAGCTGTGATTGTGCCACCATGCTCTAGCCTGGATGACAGAGTCACCTTGCCTCTAAAAATAAAAAAAAAATAATTTTAATTTTTTTTAAATCTGCTCATTTCAGATTTAGTAAAAAAAACAAAAACAGGCCGGGCGCAGTGGCTCACGCCTGTAGTCCCAGCATTTTGGGAGGCCGAGGCGGGCGGATCATGAGGTCAGGAGATCGAGACCATCCTGGCTAACACGGTGAAGCCCCGTCTCTACTAAAAATACAGAAAATTAGCCAGGTGTGGTGGCAGGCACCTGTAGTCCCAGCTACTCGAGAGGCTGAGGAAGGAGAATGGCATGAACCTGGGAGGCAGAACTTGCAGTGAGCCGAGATCGCGCCACTGCACTCCAGCCTGGGCGACAGAGTGAGACTCTGTCTCAAAAACAAAAACAAAAACAAAAAACCAAAAGCAAAAACTTCCCAAAATAAAATATGCCATGGACTCTTAAAATCCAACAATAAAAAAAAAACCAATTGTTTAAATGGGCAAAAGCCCTGAATGTATACCTCATCAAATAAAATGTTCAGATGGAAAATAAGCATAAGAAAAGATGCTTAACATCATATGCCATTAGGGAATTTCAAAACAACAATGAGGTACCCTACACACCTTTTCAAATGGCCCAAATCCAAGACACTGACTATACCAAATGCTGATGGGGGGTGTAGAACAAGAATATTCATTCATTGCTGCAAAATGGTTCAGCTCTTTCTTACAAAACTTACCATACAATCCAGCAATTGGACCCATTGTTATTTAATCAAATAAGTTGAAAATTCATACCCACACAAAAACTTGTACATGAATATTTATAGCAGCTTTATTCGTTATTGCCAAAACTTGAAAATAACCAAAATGCCAGTTAGTAAATTAACAGGTAAATGAACGGTGGCACATCCAGAAATTGGAAAACTATTTAGCACTGAAAATAAATGAGCTATCAAAACATGAAAAGACATGAAAGCAATCTTAAATGCATGTTACTAAGTGAAGGAAGCCAGTCTGAAAAAGGCTACATACTTTATAATTCTAACTATATGACATTCTGGAAAAGGCAAACCTATAGAGTCAATGAAAAGATCAGTGGTTGCCAGAGGTTGTTGGGGAGGAATAAATAAGTAGGCAAAGCATAGACAATTTTTAAGTCATTAAAACTATTCTGTGTGATACTATAAAGGTAAATGCATGTTATTATACATTTGTCAAAGCCCATGAACTATACATCAAGAATGAGCCCTAATGAAAACTATGGACTTTGAATAATAATGACATGTCAGTGTAGGTTCATCAATTGTAAAAACAGGTACCAGTACACTGTGGGATACTGATAGTGGAGAAGGCTTGTATGTGGCAGGGTTGGTGGGGTGTGGGGTGGTTATGCGAACTCTATGTTGTGCACTATTTTACTGTGAAACTGAACTGCTCTTAAAGTCTATTGAAGAAAAAGGAAATTTTCTAGTGGACTTCAGAGAAAGATGTTCATCCTTGATTAAAAAACGTAAGTGAGTAAGGATTTTTAAAAAGTCTGAAGTCTTGGTGTTACCTAAATTTCTGCTTTATTAATAGTCAGAAGAGGACTTTTGTTTTGATTTTTGTTCATGGTACTGGTGAGATAGATCAATTTTCTAATTGTCTGGTTTCTCACAAGATCTCCATTATCATCCTGTCTGTGTATTTATGGCAAATATTCTTCCACTTAGGAATCAGATCTGTTAACTTCTGAGAAAAATCAATGCATTTTATATGATGGCTGTTGATGTGTCACCTTGAATAGTCTGAACCACAGTGCCAAGAAATCCCTCTCAAGTATGTTTAGGGTGGGTTCCCAGGGACTCAAGAGACTTGGAGAACTAAAGGGAGCAGCAGCCATTTTTAGCTACATATACCTTGTTCCAGTTATTCAGTCAAACACTGATCTATGTCTTTGTGAAGGAATTTTATGAATGAGATTAAATATTCTAATTGGTTGACTTTATTAAAAAGGGAGATTATCTTGTGTAGGCCTGATTTAATCCGTTGAAAGGTCTTTAAGTATGCTGAGGCCTTCTCTCAGTAGAGCCTCCCACTAGTGGACAACAAGCCTTAGCTCCTGCCTCTGCGCTTCTGGCCTGCTCATGATCTTCCCTTCCTGCCTGCCTGCCCAGCAGGCTTTGGGATCCTATAATTATATCAACAAATAGACATATAATTGCTCACATATATATATAAAATCTCCTACTGGGTCTGCTTCTCTGAACTCTGACTGATGCTTTTCTTTCACTGAATATCTAATATTTCATTGAAGTCTGAACTTTGATAAAATTCAGGATGGAAAAGTAGGGAGGGAAAATTGAGATAAAAAATAGGATGGAGGGAGAAAAGAAGGAAGGGTGTTTTTATTATTGTACTTTTATGTTCAGATGTTTAAATACCTTTTTTTAAAAAGGAATGCTTATTTTGTCTTTCAAATGATTATGTTCAACAACTTTTGACATCTTGTCTAAAATTGCATATTAACTATATGCTAGTAGTAGATATCAGTATTGAATCAATAACACTAGGAATATATGAAACATCAACATTTCCCAGAGTGAACCCTTGGTTTTGTATCCGGTTTTGGATTACAGGCCAGAAATTTTCCTGCTAATAGGTTTATGCATGATAATTCTCCACAGTTTAGTGTAATTAGTACTTTCCTACAGCACATTCTCTTATAACCTACTCAATAGCATCCAAGCAAAATAGAATTTCTCTTTTAATTAGTGAACACTGGAATACCAATGTATTGGTCCATTTTCATGCCGCTGATAAAGACATACCCGAGACTCAGAAGAAAAAGAGGGTTAATTGGACTTACAGTTCCACACAGATGGGGAGGCCTAGAATCGTGGCAGGAGGTGAAAGGCACTTCTTACATGGTGGTGGCAAGAGAAAATGAGGAAGATACAAAAGCAGAAACCCCTGATAAAACCATAATATCTTGTGAGACTTATTCACTACCAAGAGAACGGTATGGGGGAACCGCCCCCATGATTCAAATGATCTCCCACTGGGTCCCTCCCACAACACATTGAAAATTATGGTAGTACAATTCAAGATGAGATTTGGGTGAGGACACAGCCAAACCATATCATTTCACCCCTGGCCCCTCCAAATCTCATGTCCTCACATTTCAAAACCAATCATGCCTTCCCAACAGGTCTCCAAAGTCTTAACTCATTTCAGCATAAACCCAAAACTCCACAGTCCAAAGTCTCATCTGAGACAAGGCAAGTCGCTTCTGCCTATCAGCCTATGAAATCAAAAGCAAGCTAGCTATTTCCTAGATACAATGGGGGTACAGGTATTTGGTAAATACAGTCATTCCAAATGGGAGAAATTGGCCAAAACAAAGGGGTTACAGGGCCCATGCAAGTCTGAAATCCAGCAGGGTGGTCAAATTTTAGAGCTCCAAAATGGTCTCCTTTGGCTCCAGCTGTCACATCCAGGTCATAGTGATGCAAGAGGTGGATTCCGATGGTCTCAAGGAGCTCTGCCCCTGTGGCTTTCTCCCAGCTGCTTTCATGGGCTGGCATTGAGTGTCTCCAGCTTTTCCAGGCCTATGGTGCAAGCTGTAGGTGGATCTACCATTCTGGGGTCTGAAGGATGGTGGCCCTCTTCTCACAACTCCCCTAGGCAGTGCCCCAGTAGGGACTCTGTACTGGGGGCTCCAACCCCATATTTCCCTTCCACACTGCCCTAGCAGAGGTTCTCCATGAGGGATCCGCCCCTGCGGCAAACTTCTGCCTGGGCATCCAGGCATTTCCATGCATCTTCTGAAATCTAGGTGGAGGTTCCCAAACCCCAATTCTTGACTTCTGTGTATTTGCAGGCTCAACACCGTGTGGAAGCTGCCAAGGCTTGGGGCTTGCGCCCTCGAAGCCATGGCTCAAGCTCTATGTTGGCCCCTTTCAGCCATGGCTGGAGCAACTGGGACACAGGACACCAAGTTCCTAGGCTGCATACAGCATGGGCACCCTGGGCCCAGACCACAAAACCAATTTCTCCTAGGCCTCAAGGCCTGTGATGGGAGGGGCTGCCATGAAGTCCTCTGACACGCCCTGGAGACATTTTCCCCATTGTCTTGGGGATTAACATTTGGCTCCTCATTACTTATGCAAATTACTGCAGCCAGCTTGAATTTCTCCTCAAAAAATGGAATTTTCTTTTCTATCGCATTGTCAGAGTGCAGATTTCCCGAACTTTTATGCTCTGCTTCCCTTTTAAACTGAATACCTTTAACAGCACCCAAGTCCCCTTTTGAATGCCTTGCTGCTTAGAAATTTCTTCCACAAGGTACCCTAAATCATCCCTGTCAAGTTCAAAGTTTCACAAATCTCTAGGGCAGGGGCAAAATGCTGCCAGTCTCTTTGCTAAAACAGCAAGAGTCATCTTTGCTCCAGTTCCCAACAAGTTCCTCATCTCCATCTGAGACCACCTCAGCCTGGACCTTATTGTCCATATTGCTGTCAGGCTTTTGGTCAAAGCCATTCAACCAGTCTCTAGGAAGTTCCAAGCTTTCCCAGATTTTCCTCTCTTCTCCTGAGCCCTCCAGACTGTTTCAACCTCTGCCTGTTACCCAGACCCAAAGTCGCTTCCACATTTTCAAGTCTTTTTTCAGCAACACCCCCCTTACTGGTACCAATTTACTGTATTAGTCCATTTTCAAACTGCTGACACAGACATACCCGAGACTGGGACGAAAAAGAGGTTTAATTGGACTTACAGTTCCACGTGGCTTGTGGAATCATGGCAGGAGGTGAAAGGCACTTCTTACATGGCAGTTGCAAAAGAAAATGAGAAAGATACAAAAGCAGAAACCCCTGATAAAACCATTAGATCTTGTGATACTTATTCATTACCGTGAGAATGGTATGGGGGAAACTGGTCCCATGATTCAAATTATCTCCCACTGGGTCCCTCCCATAACACATGGGAATTACGGGAGTAAAACTCAAGATGAGATTTGGGTGGGGACGCAGCCAAACCTTATCAACCAACTCTCCAATCAAAATAATAAACAAAAAATAAGTTTTTATTTAAAATAGTGAAGTAGTAAAGTTTTATATTTATCTCAAAAAACATATACTATAAAAACATTTTTAACTTTTGCTTTTTATAGATTTATAATTTCAAGCTATATTAAATGTATGCAGAAAATATGCTAAACATCACAAATTTGGAAGAAAAATAGTTGATTTTGCAATCTGCAAGAATTAATATAGAATTCATTTGCTTAGCTGGGCACGGTGGTGCATGCCTATAGTCCCAGCTACTTGGGAGGCTGAGGTGGAAGGATTGCTTGAGCCTGGGAGGTAAAGGCTTCAGTGAGCCGAGATCACACTACTGCCCTCCAGCCTAGGCAGTAGGGTGAGACTCTGCCTCAAAATAATAATAATAATAATAATCCATCTGCTTATTGACTTTCTAACTAAGCAATGAGGGAGAGGGAGATAGTGGTTTCTTTTTTACACAGGTTAAGCATCTCTAATCCAAAATCCAATATCAAATGCCCCCAAATCTGAAATTACCTGAATGCTGACCTGATGCCACAATTGTAAAGTTCCATGCCTGACCTTCTGTGACAGGTCACAGTCTAAGCACAGGCACACAGTGGAGTTTATTCAGTGTCCCTAAGATAAAAAAGACTCTCCCAGCCCCTTCAATGATGATATGTCTTTTTTTTTGCGCAGGCCCAGATTCCCCCATCTAAGCATGCTCTCAAAGGGAAATAAAATGGCAGGTGTGCAGGCCATATTGGCCAATGGCAAGTTTCCACTGTGTTACTCTGTTCCTGAATCACTGTAAAGAAATACCTGAGACTGGGTAATTTATAAAGAAGAGGTTTAATTGGCTCATATTCTGCAGGCTGTACAAGAGTGGCACCAGCATCTGCTCAGCTTCTGATGAGGCGTTAGGAAGCTTTTACTCATGGTAACAGATGAAGTGGGAACAGACACATCACATGGTGAGAGAGAGAGCAAGAGAGAGAGAGAGAAGTGGGAGGTCCCAGACTTTTAAACGACCAGGTCTTATGTGAACTAACTGAGCAAGAACTCTCATCACCAAGCAGATAATGCTAAACCGTTCATAAGGGATTTGTCCCCGTGATTCAATCACTTCCTACCAGACCCCCACCTCCAATATTGGGAATCACATTTCAACTTGAGAGTTGGAGGGGAAAATACTGAAATTATATCACCATGATGACCCACATGGGGCAAAGACCTATGAGCATTTCTCTGTGGATTTTTGTTCATTTTGTTTGCATATTCTTTGTTCTGTGGTGTAAAGATATTGTTGAAAACATCAAAAGGGCCCACAGATACCCCATGGGTAACAGTGATAAGAAAAAGAGGAAGCATTTATGTTTATCTGTAGCACAGAAAGTCAAGCTGCTGGAGAAACTCAACAGTAGTGTGAGTATGAAACATCTCACAGAAGCGTGTGGTGGTGGAATGACCACCATATATGACCTGAAGGTAAACTGTTGAAGTTCTACCCTGAAAGTGACAAACAGCCATTAAAGGAAAACACTGCACACAGCTAAAAATAAGGATCTCAATCATGTATTGAAAGTGCAGATCCATCAGTGTCACAGTGAACACATGACACTTAATGATATGCTGATCATGAAACAAGCAAAGATCTATCATGATGAACTGATAAAGGGAAGTATGAACGTTCAATAGGCTGGCTGTAGAAGTTTTTAAAAAAGACATAGCATTAAATTTTTAAAGATCTGGTAACAAAGCATCTACTGATCTTGAAATAGAGGAGAAATTTATTGACAAATTTGCCAGGGTCATTGCTGATGAAATTTTGACTCCATGTCAAGTCTATAATGCTGAAGAAATATCACTGTTTTGGTGTTATTGCCCCAGGAAGACACTGACTACAGCTGATGAGACAACCTACAGTAATGAAGGATGCCAATAACAGAATAACTGTGTTGGGATATGCCAATGCAGCAGGCATTGCATAAGTGTAACTTGCCATGATAGACAAAAGCTTGTGTACTCAGTTTTCCAGGAGTCCATTATTATGCTAACAAAAAGGCATGGATCTCCAGGGATATCTTTTCTGATTGGTTTCTCAAATATGTTTTACCAGTGGCTCATACATACTTCAAGGAAGCTAGATTGGATGGTGACTGCAAAATTTTGTTCTTTCTTGACAACTGTTAATCTTCCAGTGAACATTCTATCAAGACTAATGTTAATGTCACGTGCTTCCCCCAAATGGTACTTTATTAATTCAGCCATATGACGAGGGTATCCTTAGATCAGTGAAAAGTAAATATAGCAACACTTTCTTGACAGCATGCTAGCAGCAGTGAACAGAGGCCTAGGTGTGGAAAGTTTTCAAAAGGAGTTTACCACAAAGGATACCATATACGCTGTTGCGAACACTTGGAACACAGGTTCTAAAGATACAGTTGTGCATCCCCAGCACAATCTTTGGCCTACAACTATGTTCATTGATCATGATGAACAAGGTAGTGAATTTGAAGGATTCCGTATATCGAGTGAGAAAAAAATGACGTCAGACATACTTACATATGCAAAAAACTTACCTTCAAAGTGTTAGTAAGCTGGAAGAAGGGGATAACAAAGTTTTTAACATCAATAATAAAGCTCCGGTTGTTCCTTCATTGACTGGTGAGGTAGCTGAAATGGTCCTGAATCAAGGTGATTATGACACTAGTGACAATGAAGATGACATTGTTAATACTGCAGAAAGAGTGCCTATAGACAACATGGTGAAAATGTGCGATGGGTTTATTGAAGGACTAGAGCAGTGTGCATTCATAACAAAACAGGAAACTGTGTCAGTTTATAAAATCAAAGGGAGACTCCTGAGATAAAAATCCTGGATAATAAGGCAGACAACTGGAGGAAACATTTAAAACTCTATGCAGCAGAATGTCTCCTCAACTGTAAAGGACCCAGTTTCTGGTCCCTCAACTGCTTCTGACATTTCTTCTTACCTACAAAAAATAAATTAATTAATTTAAAAAATGCAATTTAAAGTAACCTTTTAATCAAAACACAGCATTGTAGGTAGAGACTGAAAGGATGCCATTGTTTATTGTTGCTGTTGTATAAGAGCTGAAACAGGTGTTCTGGTGACACTACTCTGCTTCTTAGTTACTCTGAACACATTATTTTTTCACTGTATTAATGGTATGTCCTATTTTTCACTGTTATGTGTGAATAAGTGTAAGAGAATGATTGCCTATCAGTAGTTTATAAATTTAGTCAAGAATGGTGGTGATTGCCAAGGAACCACAGATTATCCTCATTAGTGACTGAGAAAGGGACCCCGTCACTTTCTGATGGTTCAGTGTACACGAACTTTGTTTCATGCACAAAAATATTAAAAATATTTTATAAAATTACCTTCAGATTATGTGTATAAAGCACATGTGAAATATAAAAAAAAATTATGTTTAGACTTGAGTTCTGTCCCCACGATATCTCATTATGTATATGCAAGTATTCCCAAAGCCAAAATTTGAAACACTTCTCATCCTAAGTATTTTAGATAAGAAATAACCTGTATTTCTTAGGTTGTTAGCTGTATTTTGCGGTGTGTCTTTTAAAAATCAAGTATACATGATATGATCTGGTACTCTAAGATAATATTAGAATTTAAGACAATTTAAGATTCAATTCATCCCTTTCTCTTTAGAAAGCATAAAAAATTCTAATCAAATGCCTACAAGATAAGGAATCTCAA
The DNA here is from genome assembly GCF_000001405.40 of Homo sapiens. Classification (NCBI taxonomy): domain Eukaryota; kingdom Metazoa; phylum Chordata; class Mammalia; order Primates; family Hominidae; genus Homo; species Homo sapiens. The sequence goes on from NC_000012.12 coordinate 20,235,871, forward strand.
AACTTTAACTCTCTTTTTTATATCTCAAGAGAAAATAAAGGAAACAAAAGTGACATCTAATAAGATTACACAGCAAAATCCAATTTAATGATGCCTTCACTAACAGTTCTTTTTTCCACTCCTAGTTTTATTCTTTTATTTAAAAACAATATCTGGCTTATCAAAGTGGTTAGGACAGATTTCTTGTCACATGATTATTTAGAAATTATAAGGCAAGAAACAGAAAGCCATAGTTAATTGAACAGAATAAATATATGGAAATGTTTTAAAACTATTCTTAAATGTCATGAAAAGCTGTTTGAAAATATATTTTCCTTTTAAAGAAAATTGGTAGAAAAGTTAATCAAAATATTTCTAATAAATTTGGCTCATCAGCATCCCTTTTTAAAACAACACACACACACTGATATGATTTGGCTGTGTTCCCACCCAAATCTCATCCTGAACTGTAGTTCCCATAATCCCCACATATTGTGGGAGGGACCCAGTGGGAGGTAATTGAACCATGGGATTGGTTACCTCCATGCTGTTCTTATGATAGTGAGTGAGTTCTCATGAGATCTGATAGTTTTATAAGGGGTTTCCCCCCTAACTTCACTCTGCACATCTCCTCGCTGCCACCATGTGAAGAAGGACATGCTTGCTTCCCCTTCTGCCATGATTGTAAAATTCCTAAGGCCTCCCCAGCCCTGAAGAACTATGAGCCAATTAAATGTCTTTCCTTTATAAATTACCCAGTCTGGGGTATGTCCTTATAGCTGTGTGAAAATTTACTAATACAGTAAATTGGAACTGAAAGTGGGTTGCTGCTGTGAAGATACTGGAAATTGTGGAAGCAACTTTGAAATTGGGTAACAGGCAGAGGTTGGAACAGTTCAGAGGGCTCAGAAGATATGAAAACATGGGAAAGTTTGGAACTTCCTAGAGACTTGGAGATCTCAGAAGACAAGAAGATATAGGAAAGTTTGGAACTTCCTAGAAACTTGTTGAATGGCTTTGACCAAAATGTGGATAGTGATATGGACAATAATGTCCAGGCTGAGGTGGTCTCAGATGGAGATGAGAAACTTGTTGGGAACTGGAGTAAAGGTCACTCTTGCTATGCATTCAAGATCTGACTTCGGTGTTGTTAAATGTATTCAGTTTTATATTCACAAAGATATGGTTTGGAATTGGAATTTATGTTTAAAAGGGAAGCAGAGCATAGAAGTTTGGAAAATTTGCAGCTGAGAATGCCGTAGAAAAGATAACCGATTTTGTAAGCAGAAATTCAAGTCAGCTGCAGAAATTTGCATAAATTATGAGGAGCCAAATGTTAATTACGAAAACAATGGGGAAAATGTCTCCAGGGCATGTCAGAGGTCTTCATGACAGCCCCTCCTATCACAAGCCAGGAGGTCTAGGAGGAAAAAATGGTTTTGTGGGCCGAGCTGAGGGTCTTGCTGCTTTGTGCAGTCTCGGGACTTGATGCCCTGCATCCCAGCTGTGGCTAAAATGGGCCAGTGTACAGCTCAGGCCATTGCTTCAGAGGGTGCCAAACCCAAGCCTTGGCAGCTCCTACATGGTGTTGAGCCTGCAGGTGCACGGAAGTCAAGAATTGAGGTTTGGGAACCTCCGCCTAGGTTTCAGAGGATGTATGGAAATGCCTGGATTTCCAGGCAGGGGTGTGCTTCAGGGGTGATCCCTTTATGGAGAAACTCTGCTAGGGCAATGTGGAAGGGAAATGTGGGATGGGAGCCTCCAAATAGAGTCCCTACTGGGGCACTGCCTAGTGGAGCTGTGGGAAGAGGCCCACCATCCTCCAGACCTCAGAATTGTAGATCCACTGACAGCTTGCACTGTAGAGGTAGAAAAACCACAGATACTCAATGCAAGCCCATGAAAGCAGCCAGGAGGGGAGCTGTACATTACAAAGCCACAGGGGCAGAGCTGTCCAGGGCTGTGGGATCCCACCTCTTGCATCAGCATGACCAGGATGTGAGACATGGAGTCCAAGGAAATCATTTTGGAACTGTAAGTTTTAATGACTGCCCTATTGGATTTCAGACTTGCATGGAGCCTGTGGCCCCTTTATTTTGGCCAATTTCTTCCATTTGGGATGGGTGTATTTACACAATGCCTGTACCCTCATTGTATCTAGGAAGTAACTAACTTGCTTTTGATTTCATAGGCCCATAGGCAGAAGGGACTTGCCTTGTCTCAGATGAGACTTTGGATTTGGACTTTTGAGTTAATTCTGAAATGAGTTAAAACTTTGGGGGACAGTTGGGAAAGCATTATTGTGTTTTGAAATGTGAGGACATGAGATTTGGAAGAGACCAGGGCAAAATGATATGGTTGGCTGTATTCTCATCCAAATTTCATCTTGAACTGTAGTTCCCATAATCCCCATGTGTCTTGAGAGCTACCCAGTGGGAGGCAATTGTATCATAAGGGTAGTTACCTCCATGCTGTTCTTGTGATAGTGAATGAGTTCTCATGAGATCTGATGGTTTAATAAGGGGTTTTTCCTTCCCTTCACTCTGCACTTCTCCTCACTGCTGCCATGTGAAGAAGGATGACTTCGCTTCCCTTTCTGCCATGATTATAAGTTTCCTGAGGCCTCCTCAGCCTTGTGGAACTGTGAGTCTATTAAATCTCTTTCCCTTATAAATTACAAAGTCTCGGGTATGTCCTTATAGTAGCATGAGTATGGACTAGTACACACACAAACACACGCACACACCCACATGCACACAAGCTGTTTGACTTATGTTCTTAGAAATAGGTTCTTAGAAATAGGTTCTTAGAAATAGGTTTAAAAATAAAGGTTTGCTGACAGGTAATAATTTCAGTTTCTGAAAGACTAGATTTAGATTGGAAACTCCAAATTCTTGACATTTGAATTGCGTCTCAACCACTATTCTAAGTTAAAATTGTACAATGCTGTTTTTAAGATGATTTGGTATCTTTGTTGATATATTTTTTTAAATCACATAAACCAAAATATAATTAAAATTTAAAAATAATTAAAATTATTCCAAGTGATTAACCACATAGCTATAAATTACAATATAAAATTAAGGTATCTGATTTAGAGTAAAGTCAAATAACAAACCAACTTTGTCAGTTAGAGGTTTTAAAAGTAATAACTTTAAGTATCCAAGGTGATCTTCTAAGTTATACCTTTTTTTTAAAAGCTTTATGAAACTTATTTGGATTAACACAAGTTGCATTGGTAATTCAATACAATCTATACTTAAGAGAATTTAAAATGTTTATTATTCCATTCTTTTTTGTTATTATTATACTTTAAATTCTGGGGTACATGTGCAGAATGTGCAGGTTTGTTACATAGGTATATAGGTGTCATGGTATATAGGTGTCATATATAGGTGTCATAGGTATATAGGTGTCACAAAGGTATATATGTGTCATGGTGGTTTGCTGCACCCATCAACCTGTCCCCTACATTAGGTATTTGCCTAATGCTATCCCTCCCCTAGCCCCCCAAGGCACCCACCGACAGGCCCCATTGTGTGATTTTTTCCCTCCCTGTGTTCTCATTGTTCAACTCCTTTTTATGAGTGAGAACATGCGGTGTTTGGTTTTCTGTTCTTGTGTTAGTTTGCTGAGAATGATGGTTCCAGCTTCATCCATGTCCCTGCAAAGGACATGAACTCATCCTTTTTTATGGCTGCATAGTGTTCTGTGGTGTATATGTGCCACATTTTCTTTATCCAGTCTATCATTGATGGACATTTGGGTTGGTTCCAAGTCTTTGCTATTGTGAACAGTGCTGCAATAAACATATGTGTGCATGTGTCTTTATAGTAGAACGATTTATAATCCTTTGGGTATATACCCAGTAATGGGATTGCTGGGTCAAATGGTATTTCTCATTCTAGATTCTTGAGGAGTCACCACACTGTCTTCCACAATGGTTGAACTAATTTACACTCCCACCAACAGTGTAAAAGTGTTCCTATTTCTCCACATCCACTCCAGCATCTGTTGTTTCCTGACTTTTTAATGATCACCATTCTAACTGGCATGAGATGGTATCTCACTGTGGTTTTGATTTGCATTTTTCTAATGACCAGTGCATAAATCAGCATTAGTTGTTTATAACAGGGATTATAATAGTAATATCTGGATTCTACATGAAATTAATTTTGTAAAATGGGTAGTAATACAAATTATTTTAGTGCTCTTTAGAGTATCAAAAGAACAGCAATGTTGGAAAAATTTTTGGGAGAAAAACATCTCATTTTTTTAGTGAACTACATAAACAGAGAATTATGTGTCTACAGACTCTCTGAGTCCCACTGTTGTTTGAATCCTACCGTGATGTCAAAGTATGGTTTTCAAAGGTTAAAAGGTGACTTTAATGTAAAAATAAGCACACATGCCCAAAATCTATTTAACACTTTAGTGAACCAGGAGGGTGAAGCTGTTTCCAACAAAGTATAGAAGAAACAAAACTATTTATAGTGACTGAATAAAAGAGTGGTTGTAAATCATACACAAGACTAAATAATGTCTTATATGACAGAAGAAGAAAGAGAAGAAAAAGGAGGCGTAATGGTGGGTTTCAGACACCAATTGCATGTCTGCAGGAGAAAAATTATTAGCATTGCTATCAATATTAGACATGCTGACATCTACCCTTTGTGAGATGTAAAATAGCCTAATCAATAGTAAGTAGTAATTCAATACAAGGGATCATAATCAGGTAATTCTTGAGTGGGCTTGTTAGACAATGCTTCAGTATGACAGTCTCCCTTTGTGATCCTAAATAAACTCTGAAGATTATTCTTGATTAAAAATATAAGTTTGTCCGAGTATTTTGTCAAGTTACAGACATAGAACCAAAGACATTACATAACTTTTGAATAGTCAGCTTCACAATTGTTTTGTTTTGTTTTAAATAACTCTTATTTGTTCTTCTATTCTGAGGCTAGGGGAAAAAAGACATTTGTTTTTATCAGGTTACATATGTACTACTTACTCGTGTGTACGAATTCTACCATTTTAAGGTCCCAGAATCTGCTAAGCGTCAGATCAGCAAGGAATTGATATTTTATGCCACCTATGAGTCTGTGATCTTGTAATCTAAATGAGGTAGCAGACCACTTTCCTGGGAGAGCTTTTTAGGCTTTGATTCCACATCTGAGTTACAGCACTTGTTCATGAATGAAGGGCTTATAGTTCTGATTAAATTGGATTTATTCTCAAATATCAGAAGATTGTCTTGTACATGATCTTGGCTGTACAATTAATTTGTGCAATGAAACTCCAATTAAAAAAGGTTCCTATTGAAGCTTGAAAATAACAACCTTGTCATTAAAATTGAAAGGATGTAGTAAAACCATTTTTTGCGAAGTAGTAAAGAAAATACTCTAAAATGTGTTTCAGTCTGCAAAAGCATAATCTAATAAGTTGAGGCTTAAAGATATGCTAATGATAAGGGGCTGCTTCATATAACCTTCATACATATCGATAATATTGCAGACAAAACAACACACACCTGGACACACAATAGATTTTATTCATCAGTTTATTTAATACTATGCAATTAATTATTGTCCCTCTTGATCTTGGGTCAATAGTGTGCTTTCATAAATTTGGTGGCTTATGGAATTAAAAAAAAAACAAACTACTGACTCAATTGTCAGGTATTGTCTTTATAGTCATCTAAGTGATACCACCTTAAGTTCCAAAGCCTGTACTTTTGAGTCTATTCCTCAGGTACAAATAATTTAAAAACATGTGATACATGTCCTTCTGGGAGACTCTGCGACTGTTTTACTTTCTTGAAGAACAAATCTCTGGCCTACAGCCGAGCCTTCCGATAAGTATGAAAGAAAAGCATAAGCTACCTATTGATGATGTAACTGAAAGACTGGGTTTAATTTATTGAGTAACCATCACTATCAGAATGGAGAAGAGGAATATTTTCCATTAAGGTGCATACATAACTGTGTCATGAAAATTTCATCAGTTTCCCCTGATGGTTGAGTAAGATATGCTTTTATTTTTTAATAGAGAGATGCTCCTTCCTCCTCACTTCATCTCCTTAGAGTGTCTTCTTGAAAGTATTACTGTTTTGACAAAAGGCCCAATCTTTTGACTTTACAATGCAAGGTTTTGGCCTTCTGACCCTTGAAACTATAAACCCTTGCCTTCAGAATTAGTTCAGTGGCTCTCTCAAGGTATACATGACATAATCACAGGTATAGCAGTTAAGTCTTAAGAAGACATGAAAAGTTTTAATTGTCTATTTTTCAACTTTACCATATAATATGTCTCAAATTCTGTCCAGACTTTGTAGACACTTTTGGGCTACCTTTACACACATGTAAATCTGAAATGCTGATTCACTGGTACCTTTTGTTTTTCCTCTCTTTTCAATATTGGTATCAAAGGTCTTTGATTGGCTCCCTAAGAGTTTTTAGGCCTTTTGATGTTGCTCTATGAAGGATAAGATGTTACCATATTTACAAGCTAACAAATTAGCCTGCCAAAGTTCCAGGGTTGCTGATAGAAGACTCAAGACTTCTGGGTCAGAAATAAAGGACTGTTTCTTACTCACAACAAAGCAAGCAGCATGATCTGAGCCAGCAGTTTTAGTGAGATGGGATTTTTCTTCTTAAAATGCAAGCACATTTAAAAATATTAGAAGTTTTGTCTTTGTTTTCTGAGAATATTAGAATTATGTCTGTGTTAATTACTTTCTTTTTTATTTCTTTTCTTTTTCCTTTTTTCTTTCTTTTTTTTTTTTTTTTGAGACAGTTTCACTCTTGTTGCCCAGGCTGGAATGCAGTGGCATGATCTTGGCTCACCGCAACCTCCACCTCCCAGGTTCAAGTGATTCTCCTGCCTCAGCCTCCAGAGTAACTGGGATTATAGGCATGCACCACCCTGCCTGGCTAATTTTGTATTTTTAGTAGAGACAGGGTTTCTCCATGTTGGCCAGGTTGGTCTCGAAATCCTGACTTTAGATGATCTGCCCACCTCGGCCTCCTAATGTGCTGGGATTACAGGCGTGAGCCACTGTGCCCGGCCTGTTACTTATTGTATAAGCACAAACCTCATTTATTTTTAGAGGCCTTGTATTTAATATATTAATACCCTCTAGAGTAAGAAAATATTTCGTATGTAATGAAAGGTCAAGGATTTTACCAATTATAGACAGACACACGAGACTTTGTAACCTCAGTCCATAACATTAGATACAGGTCAAAATTCAACAATACACACACATGTACACACACACACACACACACACACACACACACACACACATATCACTGGTCCAAATTCCAAGGTACTTTTCTTCTTTCTAATGAGCATGAAATATTTTCTTAATTGATTTACACTTACACATAGATAAGTACATATCAACAATTAATTAGCAATTTCCTCTGTTATCTATATTCAATTCCCTGATGTTACCAAAGTGTTGTATAACTCCAAACTTTACAAATTGAATGACTTTGTCAGACATGGAATTGTAAGATGTTTCCTATTTATGAGGTAAAAATTCAATATTGAAATCTACACTGAACACAGTCTCCAGTCTGACAAACACCACTAGTTTGTTCATAAGAATATAAATAGAGACTATTGGGGTGGAGCAAGATGACAGAATGGAAGGTCCTACCAATCACCTCCACTGCAAGGATACCAATTTGACAACTATCTACACCAAAAAAAAGCACGTTCATAAAAACCAAAAATCAAAGGAGCACTCCCAGTACCTAATTTTAACTTCATGTTACTGAAAGAGGCACTAATGAAGTCGAAAAACACAGTCTTGCATTGCTTATGCCACTCCTCTCCCATCCCCCAGCAGCGGCAGCATGGTGTAATATGGGTGGTAGTTTTGGTGCAGAGAGCATTTTGGTGCACTGGGGAGAAGGGAAATGGCAGCACACACATTGGATTTATGTAGTGCAGATGTTCTCAATCTTTGCTGCATGTAGAATTACCTGGAGAGCTTTTTACCAAAATATTCATGCTTTGGACACACCATACTGCATAAATCAGAGTTGCTGAGGATAGGTCTCAGGTATCAGTATTTCCCAAAACTTCTTCACATAGTTAAATGTACAGCCAATGTTTAGAAATACTGATACAGTGAGGGTTTCAGCTTCTAGGCATCCGTATATTTGTCTTGATATACTTTAAATCTAGAACAAATTGCTACTATGTCATTTTTTAAAAATAAGAGGTTTAAAATACATTCACAAAATTTTTATTTCACTATTTTTTAAAGAAATAAATATGTTCTGCTAATATTTGGAAAACTATAGCTAAAATATATCTTGGCAGAATATAAGGGCATGTTCCACATGCTGGTCTGGGCGTATAGTAAACTAGACTCCCATATTGGTTTAAGCCAATGGCTTTAATGTGTGATGGTGGGTGCAAGTGTGTAGGTGAGGGTAGGAAGAGGATGCAGGCTAATGTTATTTCAAAACTGAGAGAAGTTTTTCATATAAAAGGATGATATATCCCTTCTTAAGTAAAAAATTTGTTGTTGTTAATTGGCCTGCGGGTTATACAAAGGTACACTAACCATCTTATTCTGGGATGAGAAAGTTTAAGACAATAAAACATTATTTTTTCAAGAACAAAAATGCAAAGGTTCATTTTATTCTGGGAAGAGTTTCCAGAAATCCTTCTCACACACACATTTTTTGGTGGATATGTAAGAGTGGTGTTCTGAATTCTTTGGTGGGGAGATATAGAGAGGGAGGTATGGTGATCCCTGAAATATGATAGCTCTGTGGAAGCACAGTTGAGAATTGTCTGAGGGTACCTGTGAAGTAGCCCAGTCTAAAATCTCTCATATACTCAATCTCATTTCAAGTTTTTTATTTTTTTGAATGTGTGTGCATATGCTTCTCACCAATGAAAATTTGGGTTTCTCTACACAAACCTTTAGTAAAATCTTGCCAAACCATGTGGGCTGGTCATACCTATGCTTTGCGGAGTTAGGGAATATTCTGGGCCCATGCTTGGAAAGCAGTGCCAAAGTGGACGGCAGCAACTGCCTTAGGAAAAAGTTCCCAGAAAGCAAGACAAGATGCAGAGTAGGATGAAGATGTGATCTGGCACCAGGAGCAAGGCATTGGTAGAGGAAGAACTAGAATAATTCTGGAACTGGAAAACATTCCTCAGTGGTTCTAGGAATACCTAGGAAAAGAGTGTTCCAAGACAAGACATTCAGTTACTGAGGATTGATGCTATCTGAGGTAAAGTGAAGAGTGGCTCCTGATAGCTGAAGAAGAAGAGACAACTGGATTGTAACAGGAAAAAAACTACCTCAGCTTTATAAAAACAACTATTTATTCTATTAGCCAACAAGCATCCATTAATTGTATTAATTGCATATGTTGATAAATAATATATACTTATTTTATATATATATATATATAAACTGGGCCAGCTATCAAAAATTTTCTTTAATGAGGCATGACATTAAAATAATAAATACATAGTGAGGCACTTTGCCAGGCACTGTATAGATGCAGCTATTAATTATTATCTGCAATGGTAAGTCTTTGTTGGGAAAAATCAAAGACTTTTGTATTTTCAAAAATACAAAACAGATTATCCTATATGAGGTGTGCATTTTTATGTTTTCTATAAAGTTTTTGCTTAATTGTCATTTTCACATGTAATATTTCCATTCTATTTCTGGATGCAATTAAATAAAGGAGATTTATTTTGAAGCTGATCCGTGGAGAATCCCTTTTAGCAGGATGAGAGCATAGTGAGAGGAGGTTAAATAGCCAAGACAGCCAATGCAGCTGAGGATCATCAAAGATCAGCATAGGAAGGAAATTCAGGATATAGAAGCCATCTGGCCAGAGGTAATTTAGCAAATTCTCAAAAGGAAATCTAGCTTTTGTTAACTTCAGTTACAACACATAACAGAAATGTTTTAAACTCTCTTAATAAAATGAGTGATTCAAGATTCTGTGGGAGGATATCCTGTAATGCTGTCTTTAAACATATTGGGAATTTCCCATTCTCAAATATCCTTAGGTAAAACTAAAAATGAGCTATTGCATGCATGACCTTATAGCATATTCAGTCAGCATACACATTATGAGTGCACTTTGTCTAGATGATATTTGGAAAAATGAAATTATAACCAAAGTACTTATTGCATAGTTGAAGTTTTGTTGTTGATGATAATCCTATATTATATATGCTTATTTATATTCCCTTTGTTTTTGGTCTTCACCCTTGTTGTCCTCCCAAGGCCTCTCTTTTCTTGTATTTATCCCAGGCTGGTCCATGGTTGGAAATGACATTCTCATTAACATTTCTGGTAAAATGTGAGTAATTACCAAAGAAATTATAAAATTCAAGCATTCAATGTTATAGATTTTCGTTCAATCTTTTAATTATATCTGAAGATGTAATGCAGTTGGGTTTACAATTTGAAGACCTAAACCTTCTTGGGTTCCCTAAAATAATTACATTCTTTCTCAACAAATATTCGCTGAGTACCTGTATGTACCAGACACTGTTTTACATACTGGAGATAAAGCAGTGGACAATAAAGAAGAAAACAAGACATACTGCCCCTATGAAGCTTATAGCTAGTAAATGTGTGTATCTATATCTTTACATAAAAATATTGTAGTAAAAATCAAAATTTTTTTATAATACACAAGAATGAACACACACACACACACACACACACACACACACACACACACACACACTTACCTGTATAACAGAAAAGGGGCATTGGTGGTCCTTGAATTGGGAATAAAAAAGAAGGTATGTATTAAAAAGGATTCCTGAGAAGTTGACAGTTGAACAAAGACTTAAAGAATTTGTTTAATGTCACAGAATGCTGTTGTATGGGATTGCTAGAAGGGATTTGAACGATAGTTTGTTTTAATACATAAATTGATAGAATCCTAAAAAAAGCACACAGCTAGTTGATATAATGACATATAATCCTTCAGAGAATGGAAGCCTTCCCAGTAGTGGGAGGGTTAGAAATTAGTTATTTGATCTAAACCATCCATTCACTTGCTTTAAAGTAAATAGATACAGTTGTGGTTACTCATTGAGAATTCTAGATAAAATAACAAGTTTTAAAAATAGATACGTATGAGAGAAAGGGAAAGATGGCCAAATAGAAACCTCCACTGATTGCCACCTGCCATAGGAAAATCAAATTTATCAACAATCTATGCAAAAGAAAGCACCTTCATAAGAACTAAAAATCAGGTGGACAATCACAGCCCATAGTTTTAAATTCATATTGCTGAAAGAGGCACTGAAGAGGGTAGGAGAGACAGTCTTGAATCACCAATGCCCCCCCTTTCTCTTTCCCCAGCAGCAGGCATATGGTGTGGAGAGAGAATCTATGTGCTTGGACCAGGGGAAGTGCAGCAGTTGTGATACTTTTCATTGAACTTAGTGCTGCCCTGTCACGGTGGAGAGCAAAACTAGGATGAACTCAGCCAACACCCACTCATGAAGGGATCATTTAGATCAGCCCTAGGCAGAGAGAAATCCCACATCCCAGCATCAGAACTTGAGTTTTGACAAGCCTAGCCACTGTGGGATAAAGTGCTCTGGGGCACTAAATAAACTTGTAAGGCAGTCTAGGCCACAAGGACTGCAACTTCTAGGCAAGTCCTGGTGCTGTGCTGGGCTTGGAGATAGTGGACTTGGGCAGCATTCTACCTAGTGAGACATAAGCTAGGTGGCTAAGGGACTGCTTGTGCTACCCTTGCCACAAACGCGGGCAGCACAGCTCACAGCAACAGTAACCCTTTCCTTCTGCTTGAGGAGAAGAAAAGGAAGAGTAAAGAGGACTTTGTCTTGCATCTCAATTACCAGCTCAGCCACGCCAGGATAAGGCACTGGGCAGAGTCGTGAGGTTCTCATTCTAGGACCTAACTCTTGGACAACATTTCTAGATACACCCTAGGCCAGAAGGGAATCCTCTGCCTTGAAGGGAAAGACCCAGTCCTGGCAGAACTCATCACCTGTTGACTAACAAGCCCTGAGGCCCTAAATAATCAGTGTTGATACCAAGGTGGATCTTGGATAAGACTCTGAGACATACTGCCTTCAGGTGAGACCTAGCACATTGCTAGATATAGTGGCTACGGTGAGACTCCTTTGGCTTGAGAAAAGCAGAGGGAAAAGTAAGGGAGACTTTGTCTGACACCTTAGGTACCACCTTGGCTACAGGGAGGTAGAGAATTAAGCAGGATCTCGGGGTCCCCAATTACAGGCCTTGCTTCTTAGATGATATTTCTGGATTTGCCCTGGGCTAGAAAGGAGCCTACTGCCCTGAAGGGAGAGTACCAGGCCTGGTAGCATTCACCATGAGCTGACAGAGGAGCCCTGGGGCTTAAATGAACATCTCTGGTAGCCTCGCAGTAGTCCTGTGAGCCTACAGTGGTGGTGCCCACAGGGAGAGACCCCTCTGTCTGTGAAAAGGGAAGGGAAGAGTAAGAAGGACTTTGTCTCATGGTATGAGTTCCAGCTTGGCTGTAGTAGAAAAGGTACCAGGTAGATTTCTAAGGAGTTTTACTCCAATTCCTGGCTCCCAGATGGTAGAACCCACCCAACGCCAGAGGGAACTCACTACCCTAAAGGGAAGGACACAAGGCTGGCTGGCTTCTCCACATGATGTTTGTAGAGCCCTAGGGCCTTGAGTAAGCCTATGAAATAGCCAGTAGTGGTTACAGTCGGCCTTGGGTGAGACTCACTGCTTCAGGCCTGATCCAGTGCTGTCCTAATGGTGGAGGCCATAGAAGTGCTTGTGTCCCCCTGCCCAAGTCCAGGAGGCTCAGCACAGAGAGAGAGACTTCATTCATTTGGGAGAAAGTAAGGGAAAAAGACAAGAGTCTCTGCCCGGTAACCCAGAGAATTCTTCTGGATTTTATCCAAGACCACCAAGGTGATACCTCTATAAGTGTACAAGAACCAAAGCATTACTGGGCTTGGGGTGCCCCCTAATGCAGAAACAGCTTAGATCACAACACCCAACTCCCTTCAAATACTTGGAAAGCCTTCCCAAGAGGAAGGGTACAAACAAGCCCAGACTATAAAGACTACAATAAATACCTAACGCTTCAATGCCCAGATGAAAACCCATAAGAATTACGACCATCCAGAAAAACATGACCTCACCAAACTAACTAAATATGGCAGCAGAGATCAATCCCAGAGAGAGAGAGATGTGACCTAACAGACAGATACTTCAAAAGTGCTGTTTAAGGAAACCCAGAGACATTCAAGATAACACAGAGAAGAAATTCAGAATTTTATCAGATAAATTTAAAGCAATTGAAATAATTGAAAAGCAGCAGAAATTCTGGAGTTGAAAAATGCAATTGATATACTAAAGAATATATCAGAGTCTCTAACCAGCAGAATTGATGAAGAAGAAGAAAAGATTAGTGAGCTTGAAGACAATTTGAAAACACACAGTCAGAGGAAAAAGAAGAAAAAGAAATTTAAAAATGAAATATGCCTAGAAGATTTAGAAAATCACTTCAAAGGAACAAATCTAAGAGTTACTGGCTTTAAATAAGAGGCAGAAAGAGAGAGAGAGAGAGACAGAATGAGAATATTCAAAGGGATAACAGGAACTTTCCAAACCCAGAGAAAAATATCAATATTTAAATACAAGAAGGTTGTAGAACACTAAGCAAATTTAACCTAAAAAAGACTACTTCAAGGTGTTTAATAATCGAACTTCTAAAAATAAAGGATAGAGAAAGGATCCTAAAAGAAGCAAGATAAAAGAAACAAGTAACATGCAATGGAGCTCTAATACACTTGGCAGCAGACTTTTCAGTGGAAACCTTACAGCTAGGAGAGTTTGAAATGACATATTTAAAGTGCTGAAGGAAAAACACTTTTACCTTAGAATAGTATATCCAGCAAAAAATATCTCTCAAACACGAAGAAGAAATAGAGACTTTCCCAGACAAAAAAAAGCTGAGGGATTTCATCGACACCAGACCTGTCCTACAAAAAAAAAAAAAAAAAAAAAAAAAAAAATGCTAACGAGAGTACCTCAATTAGAAAGAAAAGGATGTTAATGAACAATGAGGGGAGGGATAGCATTAGGAGATACACCTAATGCTAAATGACGAGTTAATGGGTGCAGCACACCAACATGGCACATGTATACGTATGTAAGAAACCTGCACATTGTGCACATGTACTCTAAAACTTAAAGTATAATAATAATAAAATAAAAATAAAATAAATGAACAATGAGAAATTACTTGAAGGTACAAAACTCACAGTTAATAATAAGTACTTATAAAAACACCAAATATTATAACAATGTAATTGTGGATTGTAAACTCTTGTCTTAGGTAGAAAGACAAACAGGTTGATCAATCAAAAATAATAACTACAACAACTTTTCAAGACATAGACAAGTACAAGAAAACATAAAGGGAAACAATAAGTTAAAAAGCAATGGGATGAAGTTAAAGTGTAGAGTTTATTGTCTTTTTGCTTGTTTGTTTTTTATGTAAACAGTGTTAAGCTGCTGTCAGTTTAAAATAATGGGTGATAATATAGTATTTGCAAGTCTCATGATCACTGCTAATCAAAAAGCAAGCAACAGATACTAAAACATAAAAAGTAAGAAATTAAAACATACCACCAGAGAAAATCACCTTCACTAAAAGGAAGACAGGAAGGAAGGAAAGAAAGAAGATAAGACTACAAAACAACCAGAAAATGAATAGCAAAATGGCAACAGTATGTACTTCTTTATCAATAATAATATTAAATTATAATCAACAATGGGCTAAACTATCTAATCAAAAGATACAGATTGGCTGAATGGATATAAAAACAAAATCCCATGATCTTTTGCCTGCAAGAAACACACTTCATCTCTAAAGATACACATAAACTGAAAATAAAGGAATGGAAAAAGATATTTTAAACAAATGGAACCCAAAAAGAGCAAGCGTAGCTATACTTATATTAGACAAAAGAGATTTCAAGATAAAAACTATTAGAAGAGACAAAGAAGAAATCCCAATACAATAATAGCTGGAAACTTCACCCCACTTTCAGCATTGGACAGATCCTCCATACAGAAAAGCAACAAAGACACATCAGACTGAATCTGCACTGTAGACCAAATGGATCTAATAAATATTTACAGAACATTTCATCCAGTGGCTGTAGAAGACACATTCTACTCCTCTGTACAAGAATAGACCATATATTAGGTTAACAAAACAAGTTCTAAAACATTTTAAAAATTGAAATAATATCAAGCATCTTCTCTGACCCTGACCACAGTGGAATAAAAACTAGAATTCAATAAGGAGGAATTTCAGAAATTATACAAACACATGGAAATTAATATGTTTCTGAATGACCAGTGGGTCAGTAAAGAAATTAAGAAGGAAATTTAAAAATTTCCTGAAACAAATGATAATGGAAACACAACATAACAAAACCTATGGGATACAGTGAAAGCAGTACTAAGAGGGAAGTTTATAGCTGTAAGTGCCTACATCAAAAAAGAAGAAAAACTTCAAATAAACAACCTAACAATGCATCTTAAAGAAACAGGGAAGCAAGAGCAAACCAAACCTAAAATTGGTAAAAGAAAAGAAATAACAAATATTAGGTCAGAAATAAATGAAATGAAGACAACCACACAAAATCAACAAAGTAAAAACATTTTTTTGGAAAAGATAAATAAACAAATAAAAACAAACCTTTAGCTGGACTAACTAAGAAAAAAAGAAGACCCAAATAAATGAAATCAGAGATGAAAAAGGAGACATCAAAACAGATACTGCTGAAATTCACAGGCCACTAATGGTTACTGTGAGCAATTATTTATGCCAATAAATTTGAAAATCTAGAATAAATGGATAAATTCCTAGACATATACAAGCTACCAAGATTGAACCATGAAGAAATCCAAAACCTGAACAGACCAATAGCAAGTAGTGGGATCAAAGATGTAATAAAAAGTCTTCCATCAAAGAAAAGCCCAGAACCCATGGCTTCATTGCTGAATTCTACCAAACAGTTAAAGAAAAACTAATACCAATTCTACCAAACATTTAAAGAAAAACTAATACCAATCCTACTCAAACTAAAAGATAGAGGAGGAAGTAATATGTCCAAATTCATTCAATGAGGCCAGTATTACCCTGATACCAAAAACAGACAAAGACACATCAAAAAAGAAAACTACAGGCTGATATTCCTCATCAATATTGATGTTTAAATCCTCAACGTAATACGAGCAATGTGAAATCAACAACACATTAAGAAAATAATTCATCATGACCAAGTGGGAATTATTCCAGGGATGCAAGCATGGTTCAACATATGCAAGTCAATCAGTGTGATACATCATATTAACAGAATGCAGGACAAAAACCGTATGATCATTTAAATTGATGCTGAAAAACTATTTAATAAAATTCAACATTCCTTCATTACAAAACTATCAAAAAGTGGGTATAGAAGAAACATACCTAAACATAATAAAAGCCATACAGAACAGACCCACATTTAGTATCAAACTGAAGGGGGAGAAACTAAAGGCCTTTCCTCTAAGATCTGGAGCATGACAAGGATGCCCTCTTTCACTGCTAGTTTTTACCCAATAGCACTGGAATGAATTTTCTGTCCCATTCTTCTAGCTTATATGATATGCTCTTTTGTACCTTAAAATTATTTCCATATTAATCCATATTAATCCATGCATAAAGTATTTCCTTGTTCTTTTTTATTTTTGGCAATTGCAAAATATTCCATTTTATGAACATACCATAATTTCTTTGATTTATTGATGGAAATTTAGGGTGTTTTCTTTATTTTCCTATTATAAATAATGTCACGCTGACTAATCATGTGCATATGCAATTTTACCTGTGTAGTAGTATATGTCCAGGACAAATTTCTGGGAATAGAATTATGGTACCAAAGGGTATATGCATTTGAATTTTGATCATTGCTGCCAACTAGCCTCCATAGTAGGGATTGTATAATTTACTTTCACTATAAACTCATGAGAGCTCCTCTCTCTACAGCCTTGCCAACACAGTGTATCTTGAATTTTAGCTTATCAGGTAAGTGCAAATTATATTATATTATATTATATTATATTATATTATATTATATTATATTATATTATATATATAATTATATATTCTATATTATATTATAATATAATTTGCAGTAAGAGTTCTAAGGAGTTGTTGGTTAAGGCTTAGTAGAAATATGACTTCAGTTTGACCCTAAAAAATGATGGGGACTTGAATAAACATAAAAGAGGAGACAGGGCATTTATGGAGCATAATAATATACAGAGCAGATGGTCAATGGAAGGAAGGGTGGAAGGAAGAAAACCATCTAAATATGCCATAGTGACAAAGAAGACAAAATGATAAAAGGCTTATTCAGGGAGGTCAGCAGGATACTCAGGGAAGACTATATCTGCCAGTGTTCTGGTCTTTGGATAATTTTAAATCGTCAACTAGAACTTTCTAAAGTTCTAATTGAGACATAAGGAGCCATGAATTAATGGGAGGTGAGTTTTACGCTGAACAACCCCAAATTTTGCCCCACTTCTGCTTATTCTATTGATGGCACCGTATAATTATGACGCTCATTCTGCCTGTGTCTTTGATACCTTCAATTTTGATTCTACTTTATCCCTTTTTTTTTCATCTTGCTAATAAATATCATGAGAAGGGGACTATTTGTGGCCAGATTGGTGGCTGGCTACTGCAAACATCAATGACTGTTACATTTCCCAACACACAGTAGTTATTCACGTAGCCCAATGCCAGTATTGTTCTTATTCCATTCTTGGCCAATTTTCAGGTGTGTCTTTGTTTGAGCTTTTCCACTTACCTAAAATGTCATCCTTTCTCTTCTGACCCTACCCAAAGCCTACTTAGCATTCGAGGACTAACAGTCAGTATACACACATTGATTAATACTCTTTTCTCCCACACTTATGTGCCTTGTATAATTTTGTAGTATTCTATGCTTTCTCATCCTATAAACTGTTTTCCCTCCAACTACATAATACGTTTCTCATAATCAGAGATCATTTCTTATTTTTCACTTCCTGTTCAACACATGCTAGTTAGTCAAATGATTTATTGATTCTTTTACCCAATACTTATTGAGCACTGACTGTGTTCATTAAAGGGCAAATATATTTGCATAATGAATAAAATCCTTTACAACTCAGTCCTCAGTCTTCTTTTCAGCTCTCCTGATCTTCAACTTTTTATCTACCTTTAAGCTCTAGCCTTGATAAATTTTTCACCCAGTTTCTGACATATCACAGGTTGTTATTACCACACTTTTCCATTTGCTGTTCACTGTTCCCATTGCCGCCTCCCCCCGCATATTTATTAGGCCAGCATCAGTACCCCCTTAGTGCTTTGCTTATGCCTCTTACAGCAGATAGGCCAGATGCTCTTGCATTTCACTAGACTGGGAGGTCCCCAGAAACCTGTCTTATTCATACTTGCATACTCACAACACAGCGATCAGAGAGTGCAAGGAGGGTGTTATATCAATTCAGGAGTTATTACCAACATAGAGAGGCAGAATTGAGAAGAATCCTGTATTTTGAAATCTGGGGATAAAGAAGCTTTCAAGAAAAATTTATGGTGAATATGAATGAGAAGTCAAAAAGTGTGAAGAAAAATGAGAATAGATGAAAACCTTTGAATTTGACAAATAAGGGGCCATTAAAATACATGTGCAATAATAAAGTATTGCTACTGAAGAACTGAATATAGCTCATTTATTTAAAATTTTTGGCAATAAAAGGAAAGAGAGAAATACAAGAATTAAGTAAAGATGTCAACATTAGCAAAGGGAAAAATATTCTTAAGATAAGGGTGATGAATTTGTTGATTTTAACATCTTCACAAACTTTCATTAGTAGTTACTTTGCATGTATACTTTTTCCACACCTTTGAAGCAAGTAAGAAAATATTATTATATTGAGATAAATTATATAAGAAAAATAATACTTAAACATTGTCATTTGCTGCTATGCCACCTTTGTTTCTTAATATAACATAACACATCCTGGTCTGAGTTACTGTCATTCCACAGAGTTATGTTTATGAAGCGCTGCCTAATAAAATATTTCTTGTTTGTTTTAATTGTTCTCATTAAATTTAGCTCATTCTTCAACACATATCTTAAATTTCACCACCTCCATGAAGTCGTCTTCATAAATACCTCTAGTTGGAATCCTTACGCAATCCCTCACATTACCATGCTATTTATTTCCATTTCTTAGAGCATAAATAATGGAGTCACTAATCTCATTGTTTTTAAATTAATAGACTTTATTTTTAAAGCAGTTTTAGGCTTACAAAAAAATTAAACAGAAAGTACAGAGGTTCCCAAACATTTCTTCCTTCTTTACTCTCCTTTTCATCTATTATTACCATCTTGTATTGGTGTAGTACATTTATTACAATTGACGAATGAATATTAATACATTATCATTTACTAAAGTCCATAGTTTACATTAGCATTCGCTCTTTGTGTTGTACAGTTTTTTAGGTGTTACCCATGCATAATGTCATGTGTACACCATTACAGTATTATACAGAATGCTTTCACTTCTCCCCCAAAATTCCGCTGTGCTCTATCTCTTCACCCCTCCCTTTTTCCTAACCCCAGATCTTTTTTACTATCTGCATAGTTTTACCTTTCTCAGAATGTCATTGTCTTAGTCCAGTTTCTGCTGCTATATCAGAATACCATGGACTAGATAACTTAGAAATAAAAGAGATTTATTGGATCACAGTTCTAGAGTCTCAGGAGTTCAAGGGCATGATACCAGCTCTGCTTGGCCATCTGTTGAGGGCCATCTTTTTGCATCATTCTATGGTGGAAAGTGAAAAGGCGAGTGAGTGCACAAGACAAAGAGAAAATGGGGGCTGAACTCATCCTCTTATCAGGAGCCCCCTCCTGAGATAACCAATCCACTCCCACAATAACAGCATTAATCCATTTATGAGAACAGGGTCCTCATGACCTAATCAGCTCTTAAAGGTCCTACCTCTCAACATTGTTACAATGGGGATTAAGTTTCCAACACATAAACTTTGGGAGGTACATTGAAACCACAGCAGTCATATGGTTGGAATCATACAGTATGTAGCCTTTTCAGTCAGGCTGCTTTCACTAAGAAATGTGAATATAAGTTTTCTCCATGTCTTTTTGTGACTAGGTAGCTCGTTTCTTTTCATCACTGAATAATATTACCTTGCGTGGATGTATCACAATTTGTTTATCCATTCACTTATTGAAAGACATCTTGGTTGCTTTCAAGTTTTAGCAATTATGAATAAAATTGGTATGAAGGGCCAGGCATGGTGGCTCATGCCTGTAATCTCAGCACTTTGGGAGGCCGAGGCGGACGGATCACGAGGTCGAGAGATCGAGACCACCCTGGCCAAAATGGTGAAAACCCGTCTCCACTAAAAATACAAAAATTAGCCAGGCGTGGTGGCAGGCGCCTGTAGTCCCAGCTACTCGGGAGGCTGAGGCAGGGGAATCACTTGAACCCGGGAGGCGGAGGTTGCAGTGAGATGAGATCGGCCACTGCACTCCAGCCTGAGCAACAGAGCCAGACTCCATCTCAATCAATAAATGCTATACATATCTGTGTGCAGGTTTTTGTTTGGGTACAAGTTTTCAACTCATTTGGCTAAATACTTAGGAGTGTGATTGCTGGATCCTATGGTAAGACTATGTTTAGTTTCAGAAGAAACTGCCAAAGTCTCTTCCGAAGTGGCTGTACCATTTTCCATTCTCATCAGCAATGAATGAAAGGTCCTGTTCTTCAACGTCCTCACTAGCATTTAGTGCTATCAATATTCTCCATCTTAGCCATTCTAATAAATGTATAATGGTTTTCCATTGTTTTAATTTATAATTCTCTAATGACATGATATTGAGCATATTTTCATATACTTATTTGCCATCAAGTATACTTCTTTGGTAAGATAATTGTTCAGATCTTCTTCCCACTTTTTAATTGGGTGGTTTTTTTTATTGTTGAGTTTAAAGGGTTTTTTATATATGAATATAAGAACTTTATCAAATATGTGTTTTACAAATATTTTCTCCCATATGTGTCTTGTCTTTTTATTGTCTTAAACTTATATTTGATTATTATAATTGAGTATAAGGTCCTGTAGGGTGGGATTTTATCTTAGAAATGTTTTTGGTTAAATTTAATTAACTTGGCAAGTTGAAGTCACATCAGACTTCAACTTCTGCTGCTGTCACAGTTTCATCAGTAAAGTGTAGAACAGTTAAGTGCCCAGTTTTCAATGTTTGCCAATGGCTCAGCTATTCGAGGGTATATTTTAATATATAAAAAGATTATTTTTCCAAGTGTGTGTAAGTAAATAAGGGCTAATCATTTTAAGTTTGTAAATGACCAATATTTAACCTGCATGTAAAACTTCCTCATTATATAGTATACAAGATTAATATAATTCCTTCAGAGAAACCAAAAGAATTCTTAACTTTCAGCTTATCTTTTTAGTGGTTTTGATGGCTTCCAACAAAATTAGTGAAAATATCTTAACATTAATGTGACCTTTTCCAACAACCAAACTACTGAGTAAGTTTTTGTGGTACACAGAAAGTTACAGTTATTGGGGTAAAATTCCAGAAAGTAAATGTGAAGAAAAACATGATAAAGTCCCAACAGAAAAGACTGAAAAATGTTTCCCAAAATATCAGTCTTCTGGGATTTACTAACCAAATGAGAGTCCATCCAGTCTAGAAACTTGAAGTCACCTTCCTGAACAACTTGGATCAACCTTATCTTAAAAGTTATAAATGTAGTTATTAGTTTATTAGTCTCCTTTCCATTAACAAAATTAGTTTGTTAATTTCCTTTCCTCATGGTGTGGCATGAGCCAACTGGCAAATTATGTTTTTCCCTACCTTGAAAATGTACAAAAATAATTTGTATTGTATATTAGACTATACACTTTGTTTTGCTTTTAAAACATTTTCATTTTTTCCACAACCATGGTGGAATAGATAAGGCAGCCATTATTTCTCGTCACTTATCTCACCTATTAGATATCTCTGCCAGAAGGTTCCATGAATCTCAGATTCAACATGATCATTTTTCCCCTGTCCCCAGAATCTGTTATATTTTTGCATTCCCTTAATTAATGGCATTAATATATATCCCGTTTTCTATGCTAGAATCTTCAAAGTTTTACTCACCTTCAAACCATCTTCTGATCTCTCTTTTCCTATCTCCAAGGCCATTCTCTATATTGCCTTCTAGTGTATAAATCTGATACCAGTCTTTAGCCTCAAACTTTTGGCTATTGCCCAATTACATACATGAAGAAATGTAAACTCTTTTTAATGAAATATAAAGCCTTTCTTAAGCAGTCTTGGATAAATCTTTTCAGTGTCTTCTCCTCTAAACCAAAGTACAGTCTACATTCACTACATTAAACTCTCACAATTCCCAAACACAAATTGTTTCTTTGATTAATATCTGCTATTTTTCTCTCTTTTTCTTTCCACCTCAAATGTTTCCTTTTCTGCAAAAATTTTAAAGAATTTCTATGACATAATTTATATTTTCCTCTGTGTTCCCACATCATTTTATTCTATTGTATTGTAATTCCATTTGTTGTTTTCCACCTACACTTTCAGTTCCTTGAGAATGAGAACTAAGCCATTGAATTTTGTGTTTCCATCAGCTTTGCACAGTATCTAGCACAGGGTTTGCAGTGAACAAAGGCTGAACAAATGAAAGACTGAACAAACTAATGAATGATTTGCCAACACTTTGTTTACAATATAAAAAAATTCTGCCTAAATAGAGAGGCTCTAGGATGAGTTATTTCTTATGAATACTCTATATTTATTAGTTTATTTACAAAATGCATATTATTAAGTACAAAATTCTTTGTTTTTTTAAAAGTAGCAAAGATGTATAATACCTAAACACCACCTTCAGTGAGGAATATGGACTCTGGTAGGCAGATCCAGAAATAACAGACTCAAGTAGAAAGTAGTGGGTACCATGGCAGGAGTTTGCAATTCTGGGAGTCGAAAGGAGGACAAAATTACTTTCAGCTTCATAAGAAAACATGCCATTTGCTTTACTTATTACACTATCAGTACAATTTAGACAACAGAGAGGGTAAGAAAACACATTTTGTAAAGCACGCAGCAGAAGCAAAGGCTGGAGATAAGAATGGTTAGATGAATTGGGCATGACCAGATTGTGAAGGACATTAAATGTCAGGCTAAGAAGTCTGACTTTTGTTCCATAAATCACAGGGAACTTTTAAGGTTTCTGGACAAAGATGTGACATGAATAAGTCTGTCCTTTAGGACAATTAATCTGGGATCAGCAGGTAAGAGGGACTGGAGGAGAAATAGACTAGTCATTGAGAGAACAAAATAGCAAAGTGTGAAGCACTCTTATTTGCAGCATTTTGATGTAATAGATACTTGTTGCTTTTGCCAGTAACCTCCATACTTTTTATCATCAGAACATTAGTGTTCTGTTCTCCAGAACAGAAATTCTGGAGTTTGTTTTAAATTAGCCAGAAAGCAGACTATATTTTCATGGACTGGGTACTGCCATGATGTGGCAGTACTCAGTTGCTGGGACCTTCCTATTGCAACCTGAATATAGAGGCACTACAAAGCACATGGAGCCCATAGCTAGATCTTAGTGATATTTTACAAGTCCTAAATCAAGCTTTGCTTTTATATCTTTGGAGTCATGTTGGTTGAAGTCAGTTTGGGGTAGGTTTTCTGCAATCGAAAGAATTTTTGTACACCCATTTGTGTCACTAACAATCCATATCATTGCATGAGACGAGATTTTGTGGATGAGGCATTTGAGAAGTTTCTTTTCATCCTTCCATCTTAAAGAAAGAGCTTAAAATAAAAATAGTTCAAGGTTTAGCCGTAGGCAACAGTGGTATTTAATTCAGTCTATTTCATGAATAACAGTGACTAATAGATAACAAATGATTAATGAAAGTAAAGAGTTGTGTTGAGTTAAATAACATGGTATGCATAAAAAACATTTGTAGGCTGTGAAACATAATACAAAAGTTAACTGTTAATACCATTTTTGTGTTGATCTAATATTTATTGCCTCACCCATTGCCCATTGGAATTTGAAAAGTCTTTCTGTACACTTCCTGTACACATTCGGTTTCTTCATTGTCATTACACTGACTTTCCTTGTTTGTCCTTCTACTGCTTAAAGTAAAAAAAGAATCAGGTAAAACCCATTATTTTTTTCCTTTAGAGAATAAAAATGAATTCATCTTTTCCTAAACCCTTAAGAAAACATCAACCTAACAGTGGAGGCCTTTATTGCTGGGTGTTTTACTCATGATTTATCCTCTTCAAACCTTGGTTTTCTATTTGATTGGCAGTTTTAAAGCATTCTCCACTTTTATCTAACATTTCCCTATATTTTAAAAGTGATTTCAGCCGGGCGTGGTGGCTCATGCCTGTAATCCCAGCACTTTGGGAGGCCGAGGCGGGAGGATCACCAGGTCAGGAGATCGAGACCACCCTGGCTAACACGGTGAAACCCCCATCTCTACTAAAAATACAACAAATTAGCCGGGCGTGGTGGCGAGCGCCTGTAGTCCCAGCTACTGGGGAGGCTGAGGCAGGAGAATGGCGTGAACCCGGGAGGCGGAGCTTGAAGTGAGCTGAGATTGCGCCACTGCACTCCAGCCTGGGTGACAGAGCAAGACTCCGTCTCAAAAAAAAAAAAAAAAAAAAGTGATTTCACTAACAAATAAAACAACTTCTAAGCCAACTAAAAAACTTCAATTTGAATTTTAATTTATACTTCACAAAAACACAGTTGCTGAGTGATACCAACAGTGAAAGTAGAGGTACATGGCAGAAAAGAAATAGGCTCAAAACAAGGATACAGCCGTTTATAAAACCTTATATAAATATTCCTTTTGGATTAGTCAAAGCTCAGAGCCTTCATTCTTTGAAGTTTAAAATCGGCCAGATTTTTAAAATATATTTTTCAACTTGGGAAATGTATTTTTATTACACAGTTGAAATATTTTCTTTAAGCACGACTTGTCACATCTATTATTTAAGCTTTAAAATCAGCACTTCCTTTCTCTGAAGGAATATTCCATTTCCTCATTTCCTGTCATCTCATTTATTTAAATAAAAATTTTTTTCGTCTGAGTCCCCTGAAACCTTTTAGAATGACTTTTTTTTTAACCACTTGGAATAATCTTTTATAATATTTACCTATGTCCCAATTATATCTCCTTCACTTAATTGCTAGGGACTTTAAAAGGAACTATTAGTTTCTTCTTGTATATTACTGTACACTTTATTCCCTTCACTGCTTGCAATACTTATTCTTAATGCATGTGGAATAAAATGAAAGTGAATTGTTGATTTAGTTTATAATAGAATCCTCTAGCAGTTAGTTAGTTATTTTGTTTATAGCCTATTTTTGTCTCTCCTCATCTCCACCAACCCCATTAAAACACAAGCTCCAGTGGCCAGGGGTGGCTCACCCCTGTAATCCCAGCACTTTGGGAGGCTGAGGCGTGTGGATCACTTGAGGTCTGGAGTTCAAGATCAGCCTGACCTAGTGAAACCCCCACCTCTACTAAAAATACAAAAATTAACTGGGGGTGGTGGCGTACACCTGTAGTCCCAGCTACTCAGGAGACTGAGACAGGAGAATTGCTTGAACCTGGGAGGCAGAGGTTGCAGTGAGACAAGATCATGCCACTTCACTCCAGCCTAGGAGACAGAGTGAGATTCCATCTCGAAAAAAGAAAACAAGCTCCTTGAGGACAGGGGTCTTTTTCTATTTGTTATTTGTTTTACTAGAACACAGTTCACTCAAATATTTACTGAAGAACACATGATTGAATGAATAAACAATAGTGAATATAAACTTTTGTCATTTTAAAAGCTGAAAGTCACTATGCCCTTTAATAAACAAAAACTGTAGTGTAATCTCTATTTCTTATATTTACAACCCCAAAGCTATTATCCAGAATATAAATTCTTTAGTAAAACTTGTAAGATGACATAACCATAGGAAAGCAAAGGAAAAGCTTTATTTTTTTGCAGCTTTATGCATCTGAGTTTACTCACTAGATGCTTTTCTTGATATTTCCTATCTAGTATCACCTGGTCCTGTTCCCTTATTCCTTCTTTATCTTTGTCATCACATCTTTCCTCTGTGATTCTTCTTAATTTTTTTATTTCAAGTCTACTAAATCACAGAGTGCAGATTGACCATCTCCTCACCGGCTTTTCTACACTTAGGGCAGTTGCCTGAGCGAGAGGCACTGTGAAGTGTTACAAGAGAAAGAGGGTAAAGAATAATGAAAGCCTGTGAATGGTGGAATATGAGCTGGAAAAAAAAATGCACAGTTGACAAAAAGAAAACCCTCTTTCATGATAGCACACCAGGGCAAGGTCTCAATAATGAGAATGAAGCTTTTCATTTATGAGGGTGCTTTCTGAACTGTGGTGTTTATTTCTAGAGTGTCTCTTCCTAAAATCAGCTGATTGGATCCCTTTTATTTGACAAAACAAAATTTGTTCCCACAAATATATTTATATGTTGAAAATTTCAGAAAGAATTAGATATGTATGGACAATCAAACTTAAACTTGTCTTAGCCATTTGAACAAGGATAACAATAAGAGACGTACTCCTTGAAAATGAATTTCAGCTAAATTAATTTCCTAAGTTATGTGTTGGAAACCATTTCATTGGAGTTATTTAAACCAACAGATGTTTCTATAACTTCTAAAATTCAACAGACATAAGATTTGCTGAAGGATCATGGCTAAATATAGATTCTAATAAAGTTGGTTTTGTTTGGGGCCTGAGATTTTATATTTCTAATAAACTCCTAATAAGCTTCCAAGTGATTCCAATGATGCTGCTGATTTGCATTTCATACTTTGAGTTACAAGTCTTTAGAAATGTTAGTTTTTTAAACATTTTTAAAAGGTGATTTATTTTGCAATTCTTAATTATTTTATTTTGGTCTTTCTATTTTTTAAAAAGAAATACTTTCAATTATTTATTATGCTGCTTAACTAAAACACGTGATGCATCTGATTAAATTTTAAACATTTATTCTTTTGGGATTTTTTTTTCTCACTAAACTAAAACGAAAAAAATAAATAAATAGTATAATATTCTAGAGTTGGATGAAAAGATGAGCATGTCTTACCTTTTTGTTTTACAGCCCCTCCACATAAAGACCAGGGAGTTTATGCCAGTTAGTTACTGCCTAAGCTAAGAGTAGACTTTTTCTCTTTCTGTCCCGTCTCCTAGTTTAGAGCACTTTCAGCAAGCCACGTTGTGTACAACAGACTCACTCAGTCTTACGTTTTCCTAAAAGTAGAGTGTTAAAAATCTCTTTTCATTTTTCTCTTATCTCATTTTTACCAACATATTCTATTTCCCCTAAGGTAAAAAAGTTGGAACCAGGTTCAGTTTTTAGTTTGATTTGACTAGCTAATGAGTTAAAAAATGTCCATGTTCAGCAACGTTGATTAGAAATGTTTTTCTACTAGATGTTCAGTTTTCAGAAACAGTTAAACCATACTGCTAATGAATTTTTAGAAACACCATTGGAGACTTTTGTCTCTAAAGTAGCCCCTTCATTGTAACTGAATATTTTCAGGTCAGTGGTTGGGGTAAAAGATGGAATTTAGAGAGATTAACTCAGTTTAGCATTCAAAATTGCTTTAAAGTAATGATGCTAAAAACATATACCTTTGAAAAAATATATGTTACCGTATAAAAAAAATTTTCATGAGTTCTGGTTGCCTGGAAATTATAAAAATATTATTCAACAATGAGTAGCAGTCCTAATTTTGTAAAGTAATATCTTCTCTAGCTTTGGTCTTCTATATAGCCATTTGTCTTTTGAGGCATAAAATGTCAGCCAGTTAGCAAAACATATCAACTTATAGATGTCGAAAAGTGCAAGCACACATTTTACTGAAGTTTACATTGAAGACATAGGAAACTATTTTATCATTAGATGTATGGTAATTTTTTTCACATCGAGAGAAAAATATTGTAATTTATTGACATAGTCGCAAAGAGTTACCTAAATATTTGCTAACAAAAGAGTGTTTTATTTGTATTTTTTAACCTACCTAATCTAGATGAGTCTGGCTTTCTTGCTAACAGTCTTTACTCTGTTGTCAAAGGGTATCTTCTTCACTCTGATCATATGACTCCCCTGTCTAGAATTTGTCAATGGTTCCCATAGTTTGAGTCCAAAGTTCTAAGTTCTTAGCTTCTTGGCACAATATAGCCTTTAATGTTGTGACTCCCACCTACCTCTCTCTAGGCTTATCTCCTGCTGTTCTAAGTCTGTCTGTAATCATCTAATTATCCAGTGTTTAGTGGAGATATTCTGTAACCCAATTTTTACTTTTTCCAGTTACCCTCTCCAATCATAGTACGTCAGACTTCCCAACTCATTGAATAGTAGATCCCATTACAAAATATGAGTTTATTTACATCTTTGATACTTTTGATTATTTAAAATATCTCCATTTTAGAAGTCCAAGGTCACTTATTTTAAATCTCTTTTACTTCCCTCCCCTAGGGCCCATTGTTTTTGTGGTTTAGGGAGCTTGATTTGCTCTTTAACTCCTCTTCTCACTCCCTCACCTTAGAGTGAAAAGTGCAAGCCTGCCTCTAGGACACTTCCTTTGCCTCCTGTTTCCTGGCTGTAGCCCCTTCCCTCCTGTGCTGGGGTAGGGAGGAGCAAGGCTTTTGTAATTCGTTGTTGGTAGTTGCTGCTTTTCTGGGTAACAATGACAGGCCATTAAGGCCTCTCTGTTGTTGAAATCCAAATGCTTGAGTCCTTCAGCAGGCCCTCCCATGGGCCCTCTAACTTGACAGTTCCAAGAAGTGACAGCTGGCTGCACCTTGGCCTCTTCCACCCACTTCTGTCAGTATACCACCAGCCTCCTGCTACTTGGGTCCCCTCACCCATCATTGTGTCCTGTTTGTCTGACATAGGACAGATGCCTCAAGTTTTCATTTGTCCATGAACAGCTCACACATTCTTATCATGCCAAATGTTTGGCTCAGAGGCTTTACCATGCTATCCATTACCCTTCTCCCATGCCCTGGCATATTTCTCCCAGTCTCTTGTTCTTGTGTTTGAGGAAGCATGGGTGGGAAAATCAAGTCCACAATCTATACATATGTCTAAGCAGGTGGTAAGATACTCATCTCTCTTTCTTGTCAGGCAACCCTAATGTCTACAAATGACCCTCTTGGAGCCCCTTTACAATGGACATTTCTTCTGTTAGAGGTGGGGACAATCCTTCCTTTCTTCTCCATGGGGAAAAGGAAGGAAAAACCTGTTCATATGAACACTACTCTCCCAACTTTTCTCTCACCACTCTGTTTTTCTTCTTGTCAACTCAACGCCTCACTGTCCTCATAGGCCCTGTTGGCTGATTCCAGGGCTCACTCAGGTAAACCTCGATCCAATATCATAGAACTCGGTTCAGTGAGCCTATGTGTCCCGAAAATGGTCACTCTGGTTCAAGATTTCCTTCTAATCACACTGCCTCCGTCTTCCCTTTTACAGTCGTCTTAGAAAGCTTACCCCCATGCTTTACCTTCTCAGTGACTATGTCTCAATTCTAGTACAATTTATTGCTTCTTTCAATGCATTAATGATATAATGAGTATTTCTATAAACATTAATCTTACTATGGAAATCTTTGACTTACTTGCCTTCCTTCCAAAAGACTACAAGCTCCTTAAAAGCAGGAACTATTTCTTAATGAACTTTGTATCTCTAGCATTTAATACAGAGATTACTGTACAGATTGTTAGAAATGCATGTGTGTTTAAAAAAGAAGTGGACCTGTAATCCTAGCACTTGGGGGGCTGAGGTGGGTGGATCACCTGAGGTCGAGAGTTCGAGATCAGCCTGACCAACATGGAGAAACCTTGCCCCTACTAAAAATACAAAATTTAACTGGGTGTGGTGGCGCATGCCTATAATCCCAGCTACCTGGGAGGCTGAGACAGGAGAATCGCTTGAACCCAGGAGGCAGAAGTTGCAGTAAGCTGAGATCGTACTATTGCACTGCCGCCTTGGCAACAAGAGTGAAACTCCGTCTCAAAAAAAAAAAAAAAAAAAAAAGTGGATAAAATAGTATTATATTTAATTATCCTGGCCAGGTGTGGTGGCTCACGCCTGTAATCCCAGCACTTTGGGAGGCCAAAGCGGGCGGATCACCTGAGGTCAGAAGTTTAAGACTAGCCTGGCCAACATGGCAAAACCCCGTCTCTACTAAAAAAAATACAAAAATTAGATAGGTGTGGTGGTGGGTGCCTGTAATCCTAGCTACTCAAGAGGCTGAGGCAGGGAGAATTGCTTGAACCCAGGAGGCGGAGGTAGCAGTGAGCTGAGATCGCGCCACTGCACTCCAGCCTGGGTGACAGAGCTAGACGCTGTCTCAAAAATAAATAAATAATTAAACAAATAAACAAATAAAATTATCATGCTAATAGCTTGAATTGCAGTTATATAATTAGATACAAATAAAATAAATTTCATGTTTTTTTAAAATCACAGAAAAGTGAAATTGATGTGCCACCTGTATGTTGCTGAGCAACAAGTATACAAAAAACTATCAATTTTATTATATCCTTATGGCTACTTTTAAAAAACCATTTGTAGTTAATCATAAAGTGTATTCATAAAATAAGGTAAGTAGTGTGGTAAATCAGAGCTAGCATAGTTTTTGAAATCCAAAACTCTAGCATCAAATAAGTCCCGCCACTTATTATCTGGATAACCAGTCCCCATACCTTTCTGAGCAGAGATTAATAATAATAATGATAATAACCTTACCTGGAAGAGAGCATTTCAAGGATTAAATAAGATAGTACATGTAAAGTCTTCAAAAACCTGAAAATGTTCCTATAGAGATTTTTAAACCAGAAACAAAGTGGTGTCCTTTAGGCCGGTTTTATGAGCAACATGGTCGTATCCATGTGTGTATATTAAATAAAAATTTTAAAAATCCAAATTATTATTTTACATTTCCAGTGGGCAGTCTTTCTTAAAGACTATTTGCATTAAATTATTAGGATTATCAGATTAAGTATGAGAAACTGAGTTGAGGGAATATAGAGGAGAGAATTAGACAAAGCTCTAGTGAATGTATCATGCTAGAAGAAATGCTTTAAATAGGAAAAACTTCACAGTACAGTGGAAAGTTGACAACTGAGTCAGAATAAGCCCAGTTATAATGCCGAGATAAGTCACATTTATTTTAAATATACCTAATATTAATTTGGAAGGGAATTAGCAGTCCAATATCCCATTTATTAATTTACCTTTACCTCTTTTTAACTGAAATTGTATTTAAGGACAGGCCATGTATATGTATAAATTTATGTGTATGTGGGTATATATATGCATGTGTGTGTATGTCTATATGTTTGTGTGTATGTATATAGATATAGATATATACAGAAAGCATATACCTCGAATTTACTAAAATGATACAATTCAAACAAGGTTTGTTTAAAAGATTATTTGTAGACTATTGATTACATAAAATATTCCAAGATGAATATTTTTTTTTTTAGGCTCTTAGGAAGTGGTCAAACAGGGAGAAAGACATATTTTGGTGAGATACTTAGATGTCTTTATCATGATTATTGACAATTTTGAAAAAAAATCACCATACTTACTGTCTTGTCACATAACTGAGAAACTTCTGTTTGAGCTGTGGTGACCATGAAGTTTTGCTCAGCAGAACCTAGTTGAAGAGATCAGGCTGATTTCCCTTGTCTAGACCTCAATGAGCCTGGGATAAAGAGTATAACAGGTTATACTGTTCTTAGAATTGGAAAGTGATGGTTGAGTACAAGTTTTAAAAACTATCTAATTCTCTCTTTTTGATAATCTGCACAAGGTATCATCTGTTCTTCCATCCTATTTTTTTTTTTTTAATTTTGTTTTTGATGTTGAAGAGAAAAAGAAGCCAGAATGTTTGAGCAATCCAAGCTACTTCCTCCTTCCTGGGTCAGTATCTGTCTCCTTTCCACTCTACCCTCTTCACTTCTAGCATTATTTAGGGCCACTAGATCCCTACCAGTGGTCTCAATTCTCTCTCTTTTCCCCAAACACCCATTCCCCTTCTATCTTGTAGTTTGGTCAGTGGTGATCCCCACATATTAGAAACTTCACTGCCATTCTTGACACCATCTTACCCTTCTTTCAGATTTAAATTAGTGCATACTTGTCCCGCTAAGCAGCTTCTGTTCTCCACTGACATCAGTCTTGGAATATGTCCCAACACTTCTGTTTGCTCTGTTAAAGAAGACCAAAGGATGAGTCATCTTAGAGAAGTGAGATATAGTACATAAAATTTTCTTGGACAGTGGGAAAAAAAGGCGGGATAGTCACACATCATCCAATAAAACTTATTTTTTAAAAACACTTGTGATGTATGTCTTTATCTTTCTCAGAATCAGGCATTTCCGCTTGCCCCCTTTGTTCTCTTACCATACCCTGTGAGAAGAAAACACCCATGTAATTGTTGCTACTTAGCCTGGATCCAGCTGTAGCCTGAAACAGCCGTGCCCAGCCAACGTGCAGACCCCGAGCACAAAGTCAACCTGCAGACCTGAAAGCTAGAAATAAATGTTTGCAGTGACAGGACACTAAGATCCTGGGTTATTTTGGCAGCAACTGACTCATGCAATAACCTATAAACTTAAAAATTGGTCTGAATATGAATATGCATTAGATTAAGTAAAGCAAGTAAAATTAGAACAAAGGGGAAGCAGACAGAAAAAGAAAGACATGACTTCTCAATGTTTTAGGCATTTTATATATTTTATCTCCTTTTATTCTCACCAACACTATGATATACTCATCTCCAATTTATAGATGAAAAAGCTAAAGGGTGTATACACAATCTTATCAGTAGCTGCCTCTGGAAAACATGTTAAGGTTACTATGTGGGGGAGTGCTACTGGACTTTCACTTCCTATTTTTTATGTGGTTTTTTGTAAGAATATGTTGATTTTAACATATATCTTTCTAAATTTTAATAATTGGAAATAAGGAAACTGAGGCTGTGTGGACTTGAGTAAGAAGCAAAATGGGGACCTAATGCTACACGCAAATCCGCATTAACTTGCGCACGTAAAATTCACTTCTCCTTTTGAGTCACGGCTATACATGGGGCAGACTGATGGGTTAGCAACTATTGATCACTTTCCTGTCCAACGATTGATCATTTTCCTGTCCCTAGCATCGGCTGGCCTATTTCCACCTATCCTTATCTCCATCCCTTCTTCTCCTCATAGAAAACCTTCCATTTTGCAACTAAAGGTGTCCTCCCCATCCCCATTCGTTGAGGTGAAGAACAACAATGCTCATACTTCACACATATTAGATTTTGTTAGAACTCTGGCCAGTGTGCTTTGAAATGCTAAATGCTCCAGCATCTGGGCTGCAGATGACCCTGCAAGAAGGTGCTGTCGGTACACTGGTAGCTTTCAAAGTTGAAATCACGTGAATTAGAGAGCTTTGTTCCAGTGGTTCATTTGCTATTAAGGACTTTGACCCTGTTTTTGTTAGCAGTTCTGCCATGGCATTTAAATTGCACATCTTGCTTGTTGATGTCTAAGAATAGAATTCGAGTGTTAGCAAAGCTGAGAATGTTTTCTCATTCCATTTCCCAAGAATATGTAGGGTGTGAAGATGATGAGCAGAATGTATTTTCCCATCATATCCTCCACTGGTAAACAAATCTGGAGAGTAAAACTGTTCTTTCAGGCTTTCATCTTCTAGCTTCAGAAAGAATTTCTGACATCTCTACCATTAGAAGAGCAAATATAGGCTTATCATAATATGTTAATTAAATCAGAAGGATCTGCAGCAGGAAAAAGCATCTCTGGAATATGTCACATTGTCCAACGTGAAATATTTGATTATTTCTTCCAACAGCAGAACTAGATCTTAAAACATTGTATATCAGGTGATAATATCCCATAAACTTTAAGTGACCAAAGTTACAGTGGCACTGATGAAGGCATAATTTATGTGCTCTTGCCATATAAGACCACAGAATATGAGAAAGCAAACTTACTGAAGTCTGTGATACTCAAAGTAGTACAATAAGTGGAAACTAGGACTTTTGGAATTTAAACAAGAAATATATCCCAGAGAAAGGCCTCTTGGCTGTCCAAAAAGGTTTTAGCAACCTTACAGGCTTTGGTGATTAATTATTTTAATATGATGGTGATTGCAATCTTGGCTTGTAAGGTGCGATAGAAGAACACTTCCAAATATTTATACAGAGTAAGCCAAAGTTTTTAGTAAAAAAAAAATTCATAACTTTCCACTAGGGAGTATGACTACATAGTCAAATTTATTTGTGACATCTTTTTTGTGCATATAGTCATTTAACAACAATCTCAACAAAGTACCAGATGACGAAAGAGTAGAATTCATATTTTATTTCGGAATTTAAGACAAAAATATATTGCCTCTTTTGCTTTCACAACATATAATAAATTTTCGTGATAAAAAAATAAAGTCTTAAGAAGTAAAATAGCACAATTGAATCTTCTCTTACAGTACTTTTTTCACTTTCTGACAGACTCGTGCAGAGGGGTTTTCTCCCTAAGTAGATCCAGTGTGTTGCTAAGTTCTGCTAAACTACAGAGGGATTGAGACTGAACAAGAATTACTATAAATCTCATTTGGTGCGACTTGTGTTAATAACCAAGTATGACATGTTGATAATAGAGTGAAGTGACCGACTGAGCATTTACCTCACATGCCAGCGTGTTGTTCACCTAAGGTCATAGTGATATTGACAAGGTGTTAAATATGAGTGTTACGTCAACAAAAGCAAAAATATGTAGTTGGATAAAAATCACAAACATTGCTCTTAATGTAATAATTTTGAAGTGTAATATGGAATTTGGGTCACATTTCTCTCAGCAGTTTCACAAGCCAAGAAGCACAGATGTGTAGAGTTTTAAAGATTTTTTAAAAACCCCAAATTTTCCAGTAACAGAAATTAAGAAATCTTCTTTGATCAGAGAGTGAAACAAGATCTTTTCTTTCTCTCTAAGAGGAGTACGTTGATTGCTAGATCAGAGAAAAGAAAGTTGAAAGTACATACTTTTGCCATGAACTGTCTAAGCCTTGTATTTTACAAGTATACAATACAAAAAATTTGTGTTACCTTTTTATTTCTTTATTTACAGTGGCCAAATAAATAACACCAGAACACTTGTACCTGTGTGTAGAGCTAATGTAGGTAGCTAATTTAATAATGTAACTGCCATAATTTCAATGACAAGAATGTATCAGCTCTCCTTTTACTTTTCAAACTAACATTCAAATGGTTGAAATGCCACTGCTAAGGAAATATGTGTATATTTAAATAATAAAATTTAATGAAATATTCTCCAAAGCCAGCATTTTTATAATATCTATTAATTTTAATATCTTTTGAAAGAAGATAAATTTAGAGGAAAGAATATGTGCAAGCGTATATGCAAAGTCTTCAATTAGTTGAGGGTATTTCACGTTGCGTTGGGGTCAGGTTGGTTGTGCACATACTACGTGAAATAGATCCAGGACCAGTACAGGTAGGCACAGTAAGGAGACAGATACTGGCACATTTTAAGAGAAGAAAGATCCTAAGGTTTCATTTTGAAGATGGAGCAGTCTGCTTCTCAATGTGAAATTTTCCATGAATGGAACCGTTAGAGCAGCTAGACAATCACTCAGCACAATTGTTGCAGCAACACCTACAGTTTTCCACTAATGGGTTTCTTTGGGGTAAAAGATGACGATTTGTCAAGGAATAGAAAGTTGGAGGCCCCAGAGAGACTCCAAAATTTAGGGAAAATACATCCCTGTAAAATTGAAGTCCCACTTCGAAGAAATACATTCAGTATTCATCCCTATATACTTTCTGTGGAAGTGATCCACAGTATTAATGATGTAGAAATGTCTGATTGATTACAGCATCTCCTAAAGGTTAAGAGTGGAAATCTCTTTAAAACATCGTTGTAGACTGGAACCCATATAAATTGTCATCTATCTGCAACATATTAAAATTAATATGCTCTGGCATTGCTGCAACTTTTGATAATCAATAAGCAAGACTGAATAAAAAAGCAGAATTAAGACAGATTTATTGAGGTTTATTTAATGCTATGTAAGGAAAGAGAGACTATATCAAACATTTCTATGTTTCATGTTTATTTAAGGGTAAAGCCATATCTTATTTCTGTTTAAGCTCAAGCATAGGAATGCAGATTGTACAAATTGTCCTCTGAGTAGGCAGATTTTAGAAAGGCATGCCCCCTCTGGGAAGATGAACTAAAAGAAGTTGCTCCACTTGGGGACTGCAGTTCTCCTCTAGGGTGGAGCTTGGTGAGCAGAGCACAAGCAGGATTTGAGGCTCTGCTTGTCTCTTATCCCAGTACCTTTGGGCATTATACAAATTGCACGTAAGTGAAGAAATAGCCTATGTTAAGTGAATTAATAAGCAAATTAATGAATAAGTAAAAACATGGGGCATTCTAATTGTTTTATAGTTTCTAGAAATATGTAATATTAGGAAAAAAGGTTTAGCCTGAAAAAATACTTCCCAGGAGACTAA
The DNA here is from genome assembly GCF_000001405.40 of Homo sapiens. Classification (NCBI taxonomy): domain Eukaryota; kingdom Metazoa; phylum Chordata; class Mammalia; order Primates; family Hominidae; genus Homo; species Homo sapiens. The sequence goes on from NC_000012.12 coordinate 20,272,632, forward strand.
AGCAGTTATTTTTCCCTGATTCAGTGAGCATCAGAAAACTTTCTGATTAATTCTTGGTTTCTAGCTATCCTGATTCTGGGAGTCCTGTAAAGCAATGATAAATATATTGATTGCTGTAGAGTTGTATTCTGTAAGATACAAAATGAGTGGCTTTTTCTCTTTCTTTATTGTGGGTTCAGAGGGCAATGTTTTATCTTTTTCTATTTTTCCAGATATAACTTTATTCCACCTTTCAACTTCAGAGCTCCAACTTCAGAGGACAGAACATTATGTGGAGGGAGAGTTAAGACTTGGTAGGAAAAGCGATGACATGTCCTCTGCTTCATTTCTGGGTTTCTTCCCAGGCTGATTCATAACATCCAAAATAAGCTTAAGTAACACAATAGTCTTGGACTCGGCACCATAAGCTGCTTAGGAGGTGTGACTAGATCTTCTCCTGAACACTGTATTGTCTTGTGCCTCATAGTATTCCATTAAATTCATTACATAAATGTAGAAAATAATTAAATCAATCATTTGAGAATTTGGGTAATGTCAATCAATCTCCCATAGGCTAAATACATATAAGTAGTTGAGAATGGTGATAGAATGTATAAAACTAGACACTGGTTCAAAAAGACTCTAACTAACAGGTGATTGCTGCTTTGTAAAATGCTACCTAAACACATCAGCTGATCAGTGCTGCATAACTACAAGCAAAGTTTACTTTATTCGGTAGTCTTGACATTAAAAAAAAAAATGTAGGAGGAATTTTGGAAAAGGCAGTCAAGGGCATCTAAGTGAACAACACAAATGACACAGAGACCATGTGCTAAAGTTAAGGCACATTAATCAAAATCATAACATATTAGATTCCTAATGTCTCAGTGTCCAACAGTGGAAGGACCTAGTAAAAGTTAGGAAGTATAATTGTGGCAAGTTTAACAGTCTAAAAATGAAGTGAGATATAGTATAGTTATTTCTTTTTTGAAGTCAGGCATAATAACCCAAAAGGCATCAGGGCCATTTAATATATAAGCAACGTGCCTGGAATACCTCAATGACCCCTTGGAGGCATTCCTACCTTACTCTAGAGAATTCTACCATTATTTTGATGATAATGATGATGCATGAAAATCTTTCATTCTGTTCACTTTTTTTCAGAAAAGCAAAAAATTTGTAATTTCTGAAAAATGGTTAAAACATAAAGTAAATAAATATTTTTTATATTAGAGCAATGTTTTCTTACTATAAAAAGAGTGTGTGTGTGGTTCAGTAACTAACTGCAAAAATCATTTCATTATGGCTTGGCATCCCCGGGATACAGTGATGAAAGAAATAATAAATAAGCCACTATGTGATGAATACTTGTCCAAATGAAAATGCCTCTGATAATACCCTTTTAGAGGACAGGAATGTTATTAAGCTAGTGAGAACATCTAGTCCAGTTCCAGCTAGGTGGGTCAGGGCCCATTCTGGTAGGCTGATGTCTGTGCCATACCAGTTGTTAAACGTACTGAATATCATTCCTCCAGCAGAACCTGACACCTCCTATTCAACATCCCTTCTGCAGCCGGTCCCCATTTCTGTACTGGCAATACCTCCATCCTAGTCTTAGCTCAGACTTCTCAACAGCACTCCGTGCTTGGCCAGAGTTAACAAAGACACAAATAACACACTGTGTCATCTTGTAGTAAACAGAGAGGCTTTCCATTCTACCATGTTACAGCTGTGGAATCTTGGGTGGCTAATGAGCTTCACTTTCCCTGAGCTCCCTCACTTTTTAAACAGCTTTACTGAGACGTAACTCAAATATGTATTAATCAGGATTCTAGAAAGAGAACCGACAGGATATGTGTGTGTATATGTGTCTGTGTATATGTGTATATACATATATGATATTTATATATATATATGTTATATATATATAACATATATAAATAGAGGTTTATTTTAAGGAATTGCTCATGTGATTGTGGAGGCCTGGGAAGTCCAAAATCTTCAGGGTAGGCTGGCAGGCTAGGGATACAGGGAAGAATTATATAGTTCACCTCCAAAGGCAGTCTGCTGGCAGAATTTCTTCTTGCTTGCGGGGGTCAGTCTGTTATTAAGGTCTTCAACTAATTGGATGAGGCTTGCTCACATTATGGGGGGAGTATTATGTCTGATTTACTCAAAGCCTACTGATTTAAATGTTAATGTAATCTAAAAATACCTTCACATCTAAAATAAATTTTCACCGAATATCTGAGTAGCATGACCTAGCCAAGATGACACATAAAATTAACCATGATACCATGCAATCACTCATTTAAATTGTATAATTTGATGACTTTTAGTATATTCACAGATACATGCAACTATCACTTCAGTTAATCACAGAACATTTTTATCACCCTCATAAAGAAACCCTGTACCCTTTATATATCATCTGCCTGTCTCCTCGTTTGCTCCAACCACAAGCAAACACTAATGTACTTTTTGTCTCTGTAGATTTGCCCATTCTGGACATTTCATATGAATGGAATCATGTAATATGTGGTCTTTTATGACTGATTTCTTTCACTTAGCATAATATTTTCAAGGTTCATCTGTGTTGCAGTGTGTATCAACACTTCATTTCTTTTTAGGGTTTAATAATATTTCATTTTTTTCTATACATCTGTTGATGGACATTTGGGTTGCTTCAATTTTTTGGCTCATATAAACAATGCTGCTATAAACATGTGCAAGTGTGTGTGTGTGTGTGTGTGTGTGTGTGTGTGTGTGTGTGTGTGTATGTACATATGTTTTCATTTCTCTTGGGAATATACCTAGGAGTAGAATTGCTGAGTCATTTGCTAACTCTAGTTTAATCATTCAAGGAATTTTCAGGCTATTTTCCAAAACATTTTACACTATTTTGCATTCCCACTAGCAGTGTGAAGGTTTTCAATTCCTTCATGTCCTAACATTTATTATCTAAATTTTTTATTCTAGCCATTATAGTGGTTGTAAGTGGTATCTGGTATCTGTCACTTTACAACTGTGATTTTGATTTGCATTTGCCTGATGACCAATGATGGCAAAAGCTAGCATCTTTTCATGTGGTTATTGATCATTGTTATATCTTCCTTAGAGAAATGTCTATTTAGATCCTTTGCTCATTTTTTAGTTATTTGTCTTTTTATTATTGAGTTATAAAAGTCCTTTATATATTCTGAATACAAATCCCTTGTCAAATACATAATTTGCAAAATATTTCCTGTCATTCTGTGGGTTGCCTTTTCACTTTCTTGATGGTGTCCTTTGAAGCACAAAAGTTTTACATTTTGATAAAGTCAAAATTATCTATGTTTTTTCTTTGTTGCTCATATCATATCTAAGAATCCTTTGCCAAATCCAAGGTCATGAAGATTTACTCCTATGTTTTCTTCTAAGAGTTTTATAGTTTTAAGTCTTATATCTAGGTTTATAACAAATTTTAAGTTAATTTTTATAGATGATATTAGGTAAGGACCCAAGTTTATTATTTTGCATGTGGCTATTCAGTTGTTCCTAGCACCATTTGTTGAAAAGACTATTCTTTTCCCATTCAATGGTCTTGGAACCCTTGTCAAAATCTATTGACTAATGACACATGATTTTATTTCTGGACTCTCAATTATATTCCATTAAACTATACATCTATTCTTGTATTAGTGTCACACAGTCTAGATTTCTGTTGCTTTATAGTAATTTTGTAATACTCAAGTGTGAAGTTTCCTACTTTTCTCCTCTTTTTTCAGGTTTGTTTTAGCTATTCTGTGTCCTCTGCAATTCCATATGAACTTTAGAATTAGCTTGTCAGTTTCTGCAAAGAAGTCTGGTGAGATTCTGACAAGAATTGCATTAGATCTGTAGATTAATTTGAGAAATATTGCCATCTTAACAGTATTAAGCCTTCTAATTCATAATCATGGGTTTTTCCCACTTATTTAGAGCTTCTTAAATTTTCAACAATGTTTTATTATTTTTAGAGTATACGATTTGCATTTATTGTATTTAATTTAGTCTAAGCATTTATTCTTTATGATGTTACTGTAAATGAAATTTTCTTAATTTCATTTTCAGATTGTTACAAATGAAGTCAATTCCTTTGGGAAGAGACTAGTAGCTATCTGCTTTGTGGCCTACCTCTTGCTTGGGCAAAACTTCTGGTCAAGGGCTCTAGAGCAGGAGGTGAGGACAATGGCACAATTAATTCTCTCTGGCTGACACCCTCTCTTTACAAGTTGAGTACTACGTGGAGGTGGCAGGCAGGCAGTAGCCTTTCTTCTCAGCTTGCTTCTTCTGTCATGGAACCACAACCTTATGAACTAGAGCGAGGTGATAGTGTCCCAGTGTTCCCATTGGCACTGCACTCAAGGTTAGGACCTCCATTACATGAGTGGGAGCTGGGCATTAGAAGACAACCCTCACCTCATAACAACACTCACCAGGAACTTAGCCTCAGCAACAGGTAGCTGGGGGCAAGATGAGAAAAGCTGACATCCTACTCCTCCCTGGAAGAAGGCCCTGTGCTCTTCGCTGCACCAGATTGAAGCGGAGTTTTTGGCTTGCTGAGCTGGGAGGAAGGAGAGAGGGAGTGGTCTTGGTTGAAATGCACCTGACTCCCACTTTTTTACAGGATTTTGTAGATTTTCTTAGATAGATGTTTATTCAGTTGTTGTATTCTTTTAGGACAATTTGCAGAGATTTCAAATGATTGAGTTTTTATAACTTTCACTAATTTCACAGGGGACCAGTTCTGCTAAGCTGTTCAAGCTGTCACAGTACTGTATGATAAGTATTTTAAAATTTTCTCGTTTTAAAATTAGGGTATATATTTTCCACTTCAAAAGATTATTGTGAGACTGAAATTAGTGTATGCAAAGTGCTAATAACAAATGCCTGCCACAGAGTAAGGTATTAATTACTGTTTCCTATTAAGGATTATTACTATTGTTGTCTTATTGATTATCATTATGATTCACTATCCACAGTGTAGTGGTAGGTTAAAAGCACAGGACCTCAATAAAGGATGTTAGGGATGTTATTTGTTTTGTTAAAATTTATTGTATTTTTTATAAAATGGAATGAGCACCCAAGAACCAACCTTCCTCTTTACTCTTGCCCCAAATAAAAACTAGCGACAATGACCTACATATATTTCTTTGGTTTTTCTCATCAACTCATTCCCTTTATCCCCAAAGGCAAGTGATCATTATCTTTAATCCAACTCATATTGGCTGACAAAACATTTCGAATTTTATATATAAAGTTTTATCGAAGTTTCTTTTGAAGATTTAGCCCAGGGGTTGCAAACTTGTGGTCCTTGGCCCTTATAAATCTATAAGTGATAATAATAAATATTTTGGAGCATTTACTATGTTCCAGGCACAATTCTTTGTTTATTAATTAATTTACTTATCATAATACCCTGTGAAGTAGGTAAGCCTGCAAAGCCTACATTTTTAACCTCACTGCTATTCTATTTATAAAAGATTGTATGCCTATGCCTATATTTACATATATGCATAGTGAGATTTTTCCCAACATGTGAATGGAAGTTTCCTCTGGGTAGTGGCATTTTCATAATTTTTACTTTCTCCTATCTGCATTTTGAATTTTCTGAATTTTGTTTTTTTGCAAAGAGCATGTATCATAATTAGAAAGAGTAAAACAAAAATTCTGCTGCAACTTTGCAGGCAAGAGCAAAGCTGAGTTAAGCTCTGTGATAAGCGACGCCTAGTGACGAGGGTAATTAACTTGAATCTTTGTATTACACTATTTTGAACTTTGCTCTGACTTCAATAGCATGTTTTATTATGTAAAAATTAGAAATCAATCAAAATATGTTCCATTAATATTATTAATTGTGTTTTGTGCCAAATGTGTTGGGGAGAATTCTGAGCTATGCACTTGTTTCTAGCTTTTTTTTCAAGCCCGACCAAAGCCTATTTTCTGAGTTCATAAGCACCTACAACAGTTCACCTTGAGACTGATAACAGTTCATCTTGAGATTGACTAATGTTCAAACTTAATTTCTGAAAGGAAGCATTCAGCCTGCTTGGGGGTTTCCTTGCTTTCGATGTGACATCAAACACCACAATCTTCCTAAATAGTTGAAGAAGGTGAGCTCTCCGAGACTCCATCTCAAAAAAAAAAAAAAAAGCAAGCTCTCTAGTACTTGCTTTTATCCTCTTCAAAGACCAAAAGGCTGAGTTTTATTAAACAAGAAAATACATAGAAAAAAATCATTCGTGTCTTTTGAACAGACTTCACAGAATATGCAGCTGATATACATATATTTTTTTTCTGGTTACACAAAAGTAACTAAGGCACAGTTTTGCTATAGGAGAATGAGATAAAATTGTACCTGATTCAAGTAATTTCCAAATTAAGATAAAATAAAACATCTCTTCAATTGTATAATAGCTGAGCCAAAGCTATTTAAAAATGTGATGACAATTTTTAATACTAACACCTCAATGAGTGTTTTAAATACTTGTAAGGTTTCTTCATTTATCATTCTCTCTTTTATTGGCTGATCTTTTTGCTAATGGGAAAAAAGAACTTGAACATATTTAACTTATGCTAATGTATATGCCTGTGATCCCAGCCCAAATTTGAAGGTTAAGTTGAGTAAGTGGTCATATATTATTAGAATACTACATCCAAGGAAAACTTTTAATTAAGCCTCCACTGAAATGCCAATTAATTTACCTATCAAATGCTGTTTTAAATTTGTGAGTGTCGAGGAGTCTGAAATACAAAGTAAGATGTACATCCTGAAATAATGTACAAGCAATCAGACTTTGGCAAAGAATATTATCAACATGACCCAGATGCATGAAATAGTGCTAATGACTTGCTAAAGATTTTAATCCAACAGTAAAAAAATGCATTTCTAAGGAAAAAAACCCTAAACTCTGCTAAGGTATTTTGCTTGCATAGTTCAAAACTGATAGTCCAACTTTTAAATAAACTTTTTCCCCAAACTTATTGCTAATTGAATTATCTAAATCCACAGAGTTAGTAAAGTTGTAGAACTGGGATTTCAATTGAAGGCTGTTTATAGGAGTAAAACTGTTGAAAACATCCTAAATGTTGAATACTAAGGGCTTGGCTAAATAATAAAAGGGAAAATAATGCAATGAAATATTATCCAGCTATTAAAGGCATTCTACTAACATGGAACTAGTGAGATATATATATATATATATATATATATATATATATATATACACACTATATATATATATATACACTATATATATATATACACTATATATATATACACACTATATATATATAGTGTGTATATATATACACACACACACAATAAAATAGGTAAAAGGGCATATTTCAATGCTGTAACAGCAACTTTTAGGGAGATGATATGTATCTTTTATTGTCTTCATTCCTCTTTTAAGTATTTTTTTAACCACAATTATATTAATTTTCTAGGACTTCCATAACAAAGTACCACAGTATGGGTGGCTTAAACAACAGAAATTTATTTTTTCATAATTCTAGAGTCTGGAAGTCCAAGATCAAGATATTAGCAAGGTTGGTTTCTTCTGAGGCCTCTTTCCTTGGCTTATGGATGGCTGTCTTTTCCCCATTGTCTTCACATGTCCTGCTGTCTGTATGCATCTGTGCCCAAATTTTCTCTTCATATAAGGATATTAGTCACATTACATTAGAGCCCATTCAAATGACCTAATTTTACCTTATTTCCTCTTAAAGACCTTATCTCCAAATACAGTCACATTCTGAGATACTGAAAGTTAGGACTTTAACATGTGGGTCTGTATAAGGGGGCACAAAATTCAGCCTCAATAACAACAATGTTCTATATTCCTTTTGCAAAGAGAAATACAAGAACTTCATTTCAATAAGATAAAAGGAATAAAAACAGCCCTTTCTCTCATTATTCCTACACAAAATTAATTAATTGTTCTTTTTGTTGGTGAATCAATCTTTTTGGGCTTTGGTTATTAGGAGTCTGTCCTTCCAAATTCTGATCAGTTTTATCTAACCTTTGAAGCTTTGGCCTAGACTTTATGTGGTGATGACATCATCAAGATACGCAACTGCAGGCATTTCCTAAGGCGGCTTGCTCAATATTTTTGGTTAGTTTTGGAGCTGTAACAGCTTCCTTAGCCAACAGACCCCTCATTTATGTTTTCTTAACAGATACAAAGATTTTAAATTTAATGTTAGAGAAAGCAACACTTCCAATCTGACACGTACAAGGAAACTACAGTAATTTCTTCCAGACCACAGCAAGTAAAAGGAAAAATGAATTCAAGGAAAGTTTTTCTGAAGCCAATCAAGACACGTTCCTTTACTTTGCCTGAATTTTCTAAACACTGTGTTATATAGACACCACTAACAGTGGAACCTTGAGAAAAAGATGGGAGAGTCTTATAATCATAGAACTCTGGAAACTTTCTGACCATAAATCTCCCCTTGGGAAGATATTGCCTAGTTTTTATTTAGTTTAAAAAAGTGTAGTAGTGACCAAGGAAGGGGCATTTTAAAAGGAAGAGCCTAAAGAAGTAGCAATGAAGGCAGAGAAAAATGAAGTGGGATAATATCTACTGAATTCACGAATGAAGTGGGAACCCCAAAAGGAGAGTTCAGATTTACTTACTATAACTGAAGACCCATGGACTACATTTATTTGCCTATTTTCTAATGTATGTTTGAAATAAAGGTCTAACATAAAACACCAAAGCATATGTTTTACATAAATTCACAAAATTAATTTTTATTATACATCTTTTCAAAAGAGTGCAGTTGGTTTGGGCAAAATAAATGGGAAAATATTTTTATAACACTCCACCAAAATCTTTTGTGTCTCCTCTTTTAATAACACATGCTAAGTCAAGATATTTCCAAGTCAGTTTTTCAGGGGACTTAACTTGCCTAATTATGAATAAAGAGATTTTGGGGGGGTTGGAAAAACTGAATATGCCAAACTTAATCATGGTTTCTTATACTAATTAGCAACTGGCTTTACATCCATCCAGATATGTTTATAATTTATAATATCTACTGAATTCAAACAAACTTGAGACATGTAAGACATATTTGACAACTTAAAAAAACTCATTAAAGTATGAATTCAATAATAAAAGTTATCAATCTAGAAAGTCAAGAATTGAATCTTAAAATTATCTCGAATACAGATTTTCCTGAAGAGGAAAATATCCACATTTGGCAAAATAGTTGAATATGAACATGAAAAGAAAGCAAATATGTCTAAACAATAATTCTAATATCAACTTCTCTTTTAATATTTCAAGTGCTGCAGATCTTTTTTATTGTAAATAAACTTTTAAAAGCAAATCTCTTATAATCTATTTTTCTTCCACTTATATACAATGTAAGCATTTTGCTCATTGCTCTGTAGCCCTGCTCTCATCACTATATTCCTCTATCTCTTTTAATACATTCAATTGTTTTAATGGCTGGAAAAAAGAAAAGGAACAATGGTTGTCTCTACTCTGGACTCCCCAGTGCCTAACAAAGTATTTGTCATCCAAAACAGAACACCATTCTTGGTAGTACATTTTATTTGAAAAACAAGTACCCTTCCTCAAAGCCACATTCACAAAGATGTTAGTGGGTGGCAACATAGATTCTTTTCTAACTTAAAAAGGACCTGGATAACTCTGGTACTTCTGATGTCTCAGAAATATTACTTGGCACAAATTATGATAAGGAACAAATCACTGAAGTGTAATTGCAGCCTCATGATGAACCCAGTTACCTATTTAGACTACACTTTGTAGGATTTAGAAACCACCTTTAAAAAAAAAAACTGAGAAATTTGCAAATGAATAAGAAAGTAGGCCCCCTGGCAGGATCAAAATGCTTTTTCACATCTGGTATGAAATTCTTTCTATGGCTGTGGCTAGTTATTAAAGTACAATAGAATCCTAATTTATGACATATTTCTGTACCATTATAAGATACTTCCAGAATGTGCTGTGGTGGTTGAAATGAAAGCAGCTGAATTAGGCAACAGGGTGGCCTTAAGAATTAGGAAAATAAAATTGTTTTAAAAAATGGGCTGGAGAAAATGTGTCTTGTCCAGAAGCTGTGTTGCATTTGAAAATAGTGTTAGAAGAAGTCAGGAAACCTGAGCAAGTGAGAGTCTGAATAAGAAAACAGGATTTGAATTCTTCTGGAAGGAAAATTATTACATTAAGCTCTATCTCTTATTCCTTGTAAGGACAGGCAATACGAGCAGTTTTAAGTCAAGGATAAAAATAAGAAATCTTTCCTTTTCCTTTAAGTTTCTGTTATACCAGTGTCTAGAACATTTCTGAGTATTCAACAGAGGCACAGAATCTTACTGGGGAAGGATTTCATAATATAAAATGTGCACGAAGACAGCAAATCTGTGTTCTGATTTACTCTTAGGCACCCATATCTTTCATGATTCATATATTTGTGGCTTCCTGGTGTGCATGCATACATTTAGGCAAGGAAATCAGAATCCATTTCACATACCATATTCATCTTTTTTAATGGATCTAAGTAGAATGGAAGCCCCAAAAGAGCTGGAATTTTGTCTAGTTTGTTTTTTTGCTGTTTACCCAGCATTTAAGACAGTGCCTGACACTGACTAGCTACTAGATATTCCTTGAGGAAACACATACAGTGAGAGCATAAATCTTATGTTAAATATACATTGAATGTTTCTAAAGTTCATTAACCAATTATGATCATGCACTCACTCTACCCACTGCACAGATCATTTTAACTGGTCTGTACCTGTAAATGGTTTAAAATCTGGTGGAGAAAAACTACATACATACCATGATCCAATAACAACAAATATTTGCCACAATTTTGCAATATGCTGCAATGGGATGAATTGTCTTGTCTACAGAATGAAAACATGCTACTGGAGTGTTCAAAAAGCCAAGTGAGATGAAAATGCCAAAAAAATTAGGGTCGTCAACAGAACAAATACTACAGAAAGGTAAAAGAAGGTGAGGTGGAGAAGATGCCTTGGGTTTAGCTTTACAAAGCTTCAGTTGGGAACTCAGTGGGAGGCCTTAGGTTATATGTAGTGACTAAAAGCCTTTCCTCTGGATTCAAACTGTTTAAGTTCAAATCCCAGGTGTGCCACTCTGTAACTCTGCCCTCTCTGTGCTTCAGTTTCTAACTAACAAGGGTACTTGTGAGAATTAAATCAGCTAAAATATTTGTAATATGTTTAAAACAGTGACTGCCACACAGTGTATTCTATTGCATGCTAGAAATGTTATTGTTATCAAAACTGTGTAGAAAGTTCCCAGATCTAAGGAGCTTTGAAAGGAGTAGATAGTGAAGCTTTTCTATTCTAACTCTACCAGTGAAAGAACCACTGGTATGCTGCTCCTTAAGTTTCGCTATGCAAATCTAAGGGAAGCAATGTATGTAAAACTTCCTCATCACAACGTCCTTCTGTTAAGCTGCTTTTGGCTTGATTCCCAATGATGTACACCTTCAGGTAGTCACCACCGTGTGGAATTCTTTCCCCAAAATGTTGGCCGAACCTACTGATTTGCTTTTTTCTTTTTTTAAAGATCTTAATTTTTTTAGAGCAGTTTTAAATTCACAGCAAAATTGAGAGGAAGGTGCAGAGATTTTCCATATCCTCCTCCCCCCAGATAAGTGTAGTCTCCCCCATTATCAACATCCCCCACCAGAGTGGGCCATTTGTTACATTTAATGAACCTACACTGACATATCTTTAGCACCCAAAGCCCAGAGCTTACATTAGGGTTCGCTCTTGATGCTGTTTATTATGTGGGTTTGGACAAATGTATAGTGACGTGTATCTACCATAAGAGTGTCATGCAGAGTAATTTCACTGCCCTAAAAATCCTGTTTTCTGCCTAGTTATCTCTTCCTCCCCCTAAATCCTGACAGCCACTAACCTTTATACTATCTCCGTATTTCTGCTTCTTTCAGAAAGTCATGTAGTTGGAATTATACACTATTTAGCCTATTCAGATTGGGTTCTTTCACGTAGTAGTATGCAATTAAGGTTCTTGCATGTCTTTAAATGGCCTGATTCTTTCTTACTTTTTAGGACTGAATAATATTTCCTTCTCTGAATTTTCCACAGTTTATTTATTCATTCAGTTACTAAAGGAAGTCTTGGTTGCTCCCAAGTTTTGGCAATCATGAATAAAGCTGCTCTAAACACTCATGTGCAGGTTTTCCTATGAATATAAATTTTCTGCTCCTTTGGGTAAATGTCAAGAAGCGCACCTGCTTGATTGTATAATGAGATTATGTTTAGCTTTGTAAGAAACTGCCAAATTGTCTTCCAAAATAGCTGCATCATTTTGCATTTCTACTGGGAATTAGTTTCCTATAATACCTGTTGCTCCATTTCCTGTTGCTCAGCATCCTCACCAGCATTTGATGTTGTCAGCATTCTAGATTTTAACCACTCTAACTGGTATGTAATAATATATTACTAATGTTTTAATTTTCATTCTCCTGCTGACGTATGATGTGGAGCATCTTTTCCTATGCTTATTTTTCACATGTATATCTTCTTTGGCGAGGTGTCTATTTAGATATTTTGCCCACTTTTTAACTAGGGACTTTCTTTCTATTGTTGAGTTTTAATAGTTCTTTGTATATTCCAGGTACAGTCCCTTATCAGGTATGTCTTTTGCAAATATTTTCTCCCAGTCTGTGGCATGTCTTTTCATTTTCTTGACAGTGTCTCTTGCAGAGCATAAATATTTTAATAAATTCCAGTTTATCAATTCCTTCTTTCATAGATTATGCCTTTGGTGTTGTAAGTTATTGCCAAGTGCAAGGTCAGCTAGATTTTCGACATTATCTTCTAGGAGTTGTATATTTTTCATTTTACATTTACGTCTGTGATCTATTTTGACTTGATTTTTTTTTAAGCATATAATGTCTGTGACTAGATTCATTTTTTTGCTTGGAAATGTTTAGTTATTTCAGCATTGGCTTAAAAGATTACTGTTTTTCAATTATTAACTTTATTTCTTTGCCAAATATTATGGATCAAGTTGGAAAGAATTCACATCTTGACAATATTGATTCTTGCTATCAATGAACGTGTAATATCTTTCCATTTATTTAGTTCTTTGACTTCATTCAACAGAGTTTTTGTTTCTCTCATATAAAACTTGTACATATTTTATTAGATTTATACCTAAGTGTTTCATTTGGAAGAATTACTACTATAAGTGGGATCATGTTAATTTCAAATTTATTTTATTCACTGCTGGTATATAGGAAAATAAATGGCTTTTGTATGTTAATCTGTATCCTGAAGCATTGCTAAAATTACTTATTAATTCTGACATGGTTTGGCTGTGTCCCCATCCAAATCTCATCTTGAATTCCTATGTGTTGTGGGAGGGGCCTGGCGGGAGGTAATTGAATCATGGGACAGGTCTTTCCCGTGCTGTTCTCGTGATAGTGAATAAGTCTCACAAGATCTGATGGTTTTACAAGGGGGAGTTTCCCTGCACAAGCTCTCTTTGCCTGCTGCCATCCATTTAAGACGTGACTTGACCCTCCTTGCCTTCCAACATGATTGTTAGGCTTCCCCAGCCATTTGGAACTGTAAGTCCAATTAAACCTCTTTCTGTTGTAAATTGCCCAGTTATGGGTATGTCTTTATCAGCAGCATGAAAATGGACTAATACAAATTCCATGAGTGTTTTTGTCAGTGCTTTTAGATTTTCTACATAGACCATCATGTCATCTGCAAACCAAGATAGTTTGGTTTAGTTTCACAATCTGTATGCCTTTTATTTTCTTGTCTTATCACATTTCTTGTATTATTACATCTGGGACTTCCAGAACTATCTTGAAAAGCAGTGGTGAAAGTGGACATCTTTATCTTCTTCCTGATCTTAGCGGAAAAGCTCCTAGTCTCTCACCATTAAGTATTATGTTAACTCTAGGTTTTCGTAGATATTCTATATCAAGTTGAAAAAGTTTCCCACTATTCCTAGTTTACTAACAGTATTTAATCATGAATGGGTGTTGCATTTTCAAATTCTTTTTTGTATCTATTGATATAATCATGTGATTTTTCTTCTGTAGCCTGTTGACATGATAAATTACATTAATTGATTTTCTAATGTTGAGTCAGGCTTGCACATCTGGGAAAAATCCGACTTTGACATTGTAGTGGTCCATTTTCACACTGCTATAAAGAACTACCTGAGACTGACTGGGTAATTTATGAAGAAAAAAGGTTTAATTGACTCACAGTTCCACAGGCTTACCAGGAAGCATGAGTGGGAGGCCTTGGGAAACTTACAATCATGGTGGAAGGCAAAGGATAAGCATGGTGGAGCAGGAGAGAGACACAGAACATAGGGGGATGTCCCCATCTTACCATGGTGGAGTAGAAGACAGAGAGAGTGAAGGGGGAAATGCCACACACTTTTAAACCATCAGATCTCATTAGAACTCACTCAATATCACAAGAACAACAAGGGGGAAATCTACCCCCATGGTCCAATCACCTCACAACAGGCCCTTCCTTTAATTTGACATGAGATTTGTGTGGGGAGACAAATTCAAACCATACCAGACATGGTGTATAATTCTTGTTATACATTGCTGGATTTGATTTGCTAGTGTTCTGTTGAGGATTTTTGCAACTGTGTTCATGAGAAATATTGGCCTTCTTTTCCTATAATATTGAAATTATGCCAATTAACAAACCTCTCATGGCCTCTAATGTTTAAGTAAGAGTTCCGTGTTTCTCACTTTAAATCAAAAGCTAGAAATGAACATGCTTAGTGAGGAGGCATGTTCGAAGCCAAGACAGACTGAAAACTAAGCCTCTTAACACCAGTTAGCCAAGTTGTGAGTGTGAAGAAAAAATTCTTGAAGGAAATGAAAAGTACTACTCTAGTGAACACACAAATGATAACAAAGCAAAATAATTTTTTAATTAGTCTGTTTTTGCAAGGAATACTTAAGCCTGGGTAATTTATGAAGAAAAGAGGTTTATTTGGCTCACATTTCTACAGACTACACAAGAAGCATGACACTGGCAACTGTTGGCTTCTGGTGAGGCCTCAGGAAGCTTTTGCTCATGAGATAAGGAAAGGGGAGCTGGTGTATCACATGGTGAGAGAGGGAGCAAGAAGAGGGAGTTACCAGGCTCTTTTAGATAACCTGTTGTCCTGTGAAGTAACAGAGCAAGAACTCACTCATTACTGCAAGAAGGGCACCAAGCCATTCATGTGGGATCTGCCCCTATGACCCAAACACCTCACACTACATCCCACCTTCAACACTGAGGATCACATTTCAACATGAGATTTGGACGAGACAAATATCAAACTATAACACTTCTTAATGCTAATATAGAGAAAGTTTTAGTGGTCCAGAGAGAAGACCAAACAAGTCACAACATTTTCTTAAGCCAAAGCCTAATCCAGAGCAGGCCCCTAACATTCTTCAACTCTGTGAATGCTGAGAGAGATGAAGAAGCTGCACTAAAAAGGTTTCAAGCTAATAGATGTTGGTTTATGAGGTTGAAGAAGAGAAGTCATCTCCATAATATAAAGGTTCAAGGTAAAGCAACAATGCTGATATAAAAGCTGCAGCAAGTCATTCAGAAGATCTAAGATAATTAGTGAAGGTGACTATACTAAACTACAGATTTTGATTATAGATAAAACAGACTTATATTGGAAGAAGATGGTATCTAGGACTTTCACAGCTAGAGAGAAGTCAATGCTTAGCTTCAAAGTTTCAAAGGACAGGCTGACTCTCTCGCTAGAGGCTAATGCAGCTGGTGACTTAAAGTTGAAGCCAATGCTCATTTACTATTCCAAAAATCCTAGCGACCTTAAAAAGTATCCTAAATCTACTCTGCCTGTGCTCTAGAAATGGAGCAACAAAGCCTGGATGACAGCACATCTGTTTACAGCATGGTTTACTAAATATTTGAAGCTGACTGTTGAGACCTGCTGCTCAGAAAAAACTGATTTCTTTCAAAATATCAATGTTCATAGACAATACACCTGGTCACCCAAGAGCTCCAATGGGGATGTACAAGGAGAAGAATGTTGTTTTCATGCCTGCTAACAGAACATCCATTCTACAACCCACAGATAAAGAGGTCATTTTAACTTTTAAGTCGTGTTTAAGAAATATATTTTGTAAGGCTATAGCTGTCATAGATAGTGTTTTTTTTTTCTTATGGATCTGGGCAAAGTAAATTGAAAACTTTCTGAAAAGGAGTAACCATTCCAGATGCCATTAAAAACATCTGTGATTCAAGAGAGGAGGTTAAAATATCAACATTAACAAAAATTTGGAAAAAGTTTATTCAAACCCTCATGGATATCTTTGAGAGGTTCAGGATTTACATGGAAGAAGTCACTGAAGATACAGTGAAAATAGCAGGAGAACCAGAATTAGAAGTGGAGCCTGAAGATATGACTGAAATGCTACAATCATGTGATAAAACTTCAACAGATGAGATGTTCCTTTTTATGGGTAAGCAAAGAAAGCGGTTTAATGAAATAGAATTTCTGGTGAAATGTTGTGAATATTGTTGAAATAACAAAGGAGTTGACATATTACATCAATTTAGCTGATAAAACAGTGGTGGGGTTTGACACAATTGACTCCAATTTTGAAAGAGGTTCTGCTGTGGGTAAACTGCTATTAAACAGCATCACATGCTACAGAGAAATCTTCTGTGAAAGGAGTAAATTGATGTGCCAAACCATTGTTGTTTCATTTTAAGAAATTGCCACAGCCACCCCAACCTTTAGCAACCACCACCCCAATCAGTCAGCAGCCATCCACTTGGAGACAAGCCTCCAATGGCAAAAGGATTAGGACTCGCTGAAGGCTCAGATGATCATTAGCATTTTTTTTTTAACAAAAAGTCTTTTTAAATTAAAGTATTATGCTGTTTTGTAACACATAATACTATTGAACAGTTAATAGACTATAGTACAGTGTAAACATAAATTTTATATGCACTGAGAAACCAAAATTTTCATGTGACTCACTTTATTGTGATGTTTGCTTTATGGCAGTGGTCTGGCATATCTCTGAGGTAGGCCTGTATTTCTTATTGAGCAAGTTTGGCAGATTGTATCTGAAGGAATTTGTTCATTTCATCTACGTTATCAAATTTATGAGTGTAGATTTCTTCATATGCTGCTTTGTCATCCATGTATGGTCCATAGGATCTGTAGAGCTATCCCCTCTTTCATTTCTGATATTAATAATTGTGTCCTTTCTTTCTCTGTCTCTCTCTCTTTCTCCCTTTTAGTTAGCCTGGCTAGAAGTGTATTTATTTTATTGATCTTTTTAAAGAATCAGCATTTGGTTTCATCAATTTTCTCTATTGATTTCATGTTTTCAATTTCAGCGATTTCTGTTCTAATGTCTTTCAGCTTCGTTGAGGTAACACTGGCAAGAAGAAATTTATGTATTTAAATTGTATAATGTGATCTTTTAATTGTTCTAGTTATTAATATTATTTTATTCTACTTTTGATTAAATTTGCTCTTCTTTTTTTTTTTTAGTTTGCTAAGGTAGAAACTTAGATGATTGATTTTGGATCTTTCTTATTTTCTAATACATACATTCAATATTATAAATTTCCCGCTGAGCATTGCTTTCACTAATTTTGCAAATTTGATAAGTTGTATTATTTTATTTATTTCAAAATATTTTTAAATTTTTCTTGAGATTTTTTTCTTTGACCCATTCTTTATAGATATGTGTTGCTTAATATCCATGTATTTTTGTATTTTCCATTTATCTTTCTGCTATTGATTTCTAGTTTAATTTCATTGTGACCTTAGAGCAGACATTGCATAATTTATATTTTTTAAATTTGCTAAAATATGTTTTATGGCTTAAAATGTGGTATATTTTGGCAAATTTCATGTGAGTTTGAGAAGAATTTATGTTCTGTTGTTGTTGGATGAAGTAATTGATAGATGCCCATTATATTTACTTGATTGAAGGTGTTGATCTCAACTATGTCTTTATTGATTTTATGCCTGCTGGAGCCTCTGTTTTTGACAGAGATGTTTATGTCTTCAGGCATAACAGTGGATTCATCTATCAGTTTTTGCCTCATGTAGTTTTATGCTCTGTTGTTAGGCACATTCATGTTAAAAATTATTGTGTCTCTTTGGAGGACTGACCCTTATATCATTAGGCAGTGTTCCCTTCCTCATGCCTGATGAGTTTCCTCGGATTTAAGTCAACTCTGAAATTAGTCAAACCACTCCTGCTTTCGTGTTTTTTCTTTTAAAACTGTTACTGAATATTGATAAATTAAGATTGTATTTATGGGATACAGAATAACGTTATATACACAAAATGTGCAATGTTTGAATCAAGCTGATTAACATATCAACCACCTCAAATACTTATCATTTGTTCCTCCTGTCTAATGAAACATTGTACCCTTTAACTAATATTTCCCCATTTCTCGCCCTGCCTCCCAGCCTACTTCAATGAGCTTGATTGTTTTAGATTCCACATGTGAGTGAGTACATGTAGCATTTGTCTTGCTGTGCCTGGCTTACTTTACTTAGCATAACACCTTCCAGGTTTATTTATGTCATCACAAATGACAGGATTTCCCTCTTTTTTTTTAAGCCTGAATAATATTCCATTGTGTATCTATATGACATTTTCTTTATCCACTCATCCATTGATAGACACTTTGGTTGATTTCATAACTTGGCTATTATGAATAATGCTGCAATTAACATATGAGTGCAGATATATCTTTGATATACTGGTTTCAAATCCTTTAGCTGTATACCCAAACATTGGATTGCTGGATCGTATGGTACTTCTATTTTTAGTTTTTTGAGGACCCTCCATACAGTTTCTCATAATGGCTACACAAATTTGCATTCCCACCACCAGTGCACAAGGGTTTTTTTCTGTTTTTTTTTTACATTTCTTCCAACACTTATCTATCATTTTTTTGATAATAGCCATTCTGACAGGTATAAAGTGATATCTCATTGTGGATTTAACCTACATTTTCCTAATGATTAGTGATGTTGAGCAGTTTTTAAATATTTGTTGACCACTTGTATGTCTTCTTTTAAGAAATGTCTATTCAGGTCCTTTGCCCATTTTTTAATTAGGTATTTGTTTTCTTGCTATTGATTTGTTTGAATTCCTTTTATACTTTGAATATTAACCCCTTATTGGATGTATATCTTGCAAATGTTTTGTCCCAGTTCAATAGGTTGTCTGTTTACTTCATTAATTATTTCCTTTGCTGTGCAGAAGCATTTTAGTTCGTTGTATTTCCATTTGTCTATTTTTGTTTTTGTTGCCTGAAGTTTTGGAGTCAAATAAAAATAATCATCATTACCCAGACCGATGTCATATAGCTTTTTTCTTCTTTTTGTTGTAGTAGTTCTATAGTTTTGGGTCTTACATTTAAGTGTTTGATCCATTTTGAGTTGATTTTTGCATATGGTGTGAGATAAGGGTCTAATTTCTTTCTTCTGCATGTGTATATGCACTTTTCCCAACATCCTTTATTGAAGAGAATGTGTTTTCCCATCCTGTGTTCTTCGCATTTTTGTCAAAAAAAAATTGACCATAAATATGTGGACTTATTTCTGTTTTATTCTGTTCCCTTTGTCAATGTGCCTATTATTATGGCGGTTTGAAGTCAAGTAGTGTGATGCCTTCAGCTAAAAAGAATTAATCCCTTTATCATTATACAATGTTCTTGTTTATCCCTGATTACTTTCTATGCTTTGAACTCTGTTTGTCTGAAATTAATCTAAGTATTCCTGCTTTCTTTTCATCAGTGTTACCCTGGCATATCTTTCTCCATCCGTTTACTTTGAATTTGTATGTTTCTTTATATTTAAAGTGGGTTTTTTGTAAAGTGGGTTTTTTGTAAACAACATATAGTTGGATCCTATTTTTTTATACACTCTGACAATTTCTCCCTTGTAATTGGCACATTTAGACCTTTGATTATTGATATAGTTGGATTAATAACTAGCATATTTATTAGTATTTTATTTGTTGCCCTTGTGCTTTGTGCCTATTCACTCTTTTTCTGCCCTTTTTGTTTTTTACTGAGCATGTTACATAATTCAATTTTCTTTCCTTTCTTAGCATATTACTTATCCTTTTTTAAAACATTTTTTAGTGATGGCGCAAGAGTTTGCAACATACATTTATGATTAAATCAAGCCTGCTTTCAAAAACATAAGATATAAGCATACATAATCAAATACATTGTTGCTATTATTTTGAACAAACTACTGCTAGGTCAATTAAGAATTTGAAAATGTAAGTTTTTATCTTCACTTATTCTATCTTTGATATTTTTTCCTTTTTTTATGTAGATACAAGTTTTTGACCTATATGATTTTCCTTCTCTCTAAAGAACTTCTTTTAACATTTCTTACAAGACATGTCTATTGGCAACAAATTCCATTAATTTTTGTTTGTCTGAGAAAGTCTTTATTTTTCGCTCACTTTGAAAGATAACTTCACAGAGTATAGAATTCTAGGTTGATGGTTTTATCGCTCAACACTTTTTAAATACTTCACTCTATTTTTTTCTCTTTTTTTTCCCAAATTTTATCTTACGTTTAGGGCGTACATATGCACGTTTGTAACCTGGGTAAATTGCATGTTGTGGGTGTTTAATGCAGAGATTATTTAATCACCCAGGTAATGAGCACAGTACCCGATAGGTAGTTTTTTGATCCTCACCCTCCTCCCATCCTCCACCCTCAAGTAGGCCTGAGTGTCTATTGTTCCCTTCTTTGTGTACATGTGTACTCAATGTTTAGCTCCCACTTAGAGAACCTGTGGTATTTGGTTTTCTAATCCTGTGTTAATTTGCTGAAGATAATGGCCTCCAGTTCCATCTATGTTGCTGCAGAGGTTGTGGTTTCATTCTTTTCTGTGGCTGTGTAATATTCCCTGGAATATATGTAGCACATTTTCTTTACCCAGTCTACCACTGATGAGCATTTAGGTTGATTCCATGTCTTTGCTATTGCGAAAAGTGCTGTGATAAACATATGTGTGCATGTGTCTTTATAGTAGAACAAGTCATATATTCCTTTGGATATATACTCAATAATGGGATTCCTGAGTTGATTCTGAGTTGTTTTAAGTTTTCTGAGAAATCTCCAAACTGCTTTCCACGGTGGTTAAACTAATTAACATTCCCACCAACAGTATGTAAGTGTTCTCTTTGCTCCACAACCTCACCAGCATCTGTTATTTTTTTATTTTTTAACAATAGACATTCTGACTGGTGTGAGATGGTATCTCATTGTGATTTTGATTTGCATTTCTCTAATGACTAGTAATGTTGAGAATCTTTTCATATGCTTGCTGGCTACATCCATGTCTTCTTTTGAGAAGTGTCTATTCATGTCCTTTGCCCATTTTTGAATGGGTTGTTTGTTTTGGGTTTGTTAAATTGTTTAAATTCCTTATAAATCCAGGATATCAGACCTTTGTCAGATGCATAGTTTGTGAAAATGATCTCCCATTCTGTAGGTTGTCTGTTTTTTCTGTTGATAGTTTCTTGGGCTATGCAGAACCTCTTCAGTTTAATTAGGTGCCACTTGTCAATTTTCGTTTGTATTGCAATTGCTTTTGGAGCCTTTGTCATGAAATCTTGGCCAGGGCCTATGTCCAAAATGTTGTTTCCTAGGTTTTCTTCTAGGGTTTTTATAGTTTTAGGTTTTTCATTTAAGTCTTTAATCCATCTTGAGTTGATTTTTGTATATGATGAAAGGTAGGGATCCAGTTTCAATATACTTCATATGGCTAGTGAGTTATCCCAGTACCATTTCTTGACTAGGGACCCCTTTCCCCATTCCTCGTTATTGTCAACTTTGTTGAAAATCAGGTGGTTATCAGTGCATGGCTTTATTTCTGGGGTCTCTATTCTGTTCCATTGGCTAATGTATCTTTTTTTTTTTTTTTTTTTTTTTTTTTTTGCCAGTACCATGCTGTTTTGGTTGCTGTATCCTTGTAGTATCATTTGAAGTTAGAAAGTGTGGTGCCTCTGGCTTTGTTCTTTTTGCTTAGGGTTGCTTTGGCTATTCAGGGTATTTTTTCTAGTAGTTTTAAAAAATTCTGTGAAAAATGGCATTGACAGTTTAATAGGATAGCATTGAGTCTAGGTTGCTTTAGGCAGGATGGCTATTTTAATAATATTGATTTTTCTAATCCATGAGCACAGCATGCTTTTTCATTTGTTTGTATCATCTCTGATTTCTTTCAGCAGTGTTTTGTAATTCTCATTGTAGAGATCATTTACCTCCCCTGTTAGCTATATTCCTAAGTACTTTATTCTTTTTGTGGCTATTGTGAATGGGATTGTGTTCTTGATTAGGCTCTCAGCTTGGACCTTATTGGTGTATAGAAATGCTGCTGATTTTTGTACATTTATTTTATGTTGTGAAACTTTGCTGAAGTTATCAGCTGAAGGAGCTGTTGAGTCAAGACTATGGGGTTTTCTAGATATAGAATCATGTCATATGCAAACAGAGATAGTTTGACTTCCTCTCTTCCTATGTGGATGCCTTTTATTTTTTTCTCTTGCCTGATTGCTCTGGCTAAGACTTCTAGTACTATGTTGAATAGGAGTGTTGAGAAGGGGTATCCATGTCTTATTTCATTTCTCAAGGGGGATGCTTCTAGCTTTTGCCCATTCAATATGATGTTTGCTGGGGTTTTGTCATAGATGGTTATTATTTTGAGGTTTGTTCCTTCAATACCTAGTTTGTAGAGGGTTTTCTTTTTAACATGAAGGAACATTAAATTTTATCAAAAGCTTTTTTTGCTTATATTGAAATAATCATATAGTTTTTGGTTTTTGTTCTGTTTACATGATGAATCCATTTATTGATATGTGTATATTGAACCAACCTTGCATTCCAGCCATAAAGCCTACTTAATTGTAATAGATTTGATGTTTGAGTGCCACTGGACTTGATTTGCTAGTATTTTGTTAAAGATTTTTGTATATATGTTTCTCAGGGATATTGGCTTGAAGTTTGCTTTTTTCATTGAGTCTCTGTCAGGTTTTGGAATCAGAATTACACTGACCTCATAGAATGAGTTAGGTAGGAGTCCCTCCTCAACTTTTTGGAATAGTTTAAATAAGATTGGTACCAACTCTTCTTTGTATGTCTGGTAGAATTTTGCTGTGAACCTGTCAGTTCCAGAGCTTTTACTACTTGGTAAGCTTTTTTATTACTGATTCAATTTTGGAACTCATTATTGACGTTTCCAACTTTTCAGTTTATTCCTCGTTCAATTTTGGAAGGTTGTAATTTTGAGGAATTTATCCGTTTCTTCTAGGTTTTCTAGTGTGTGTGCATATAGGTGTTCATAACAGTCTCTGAGAGATTTCTATATTCCTGTGGGGTTGGTGGTAATATCCCCTTTCTCATTTCTGACTGTGTTTATTTGTATCTCCTCTCACTCTCTCTTTTTTAAATTAGCTAGTCATCTATCACTCTTATTTTTTGTTTCAAAAATACCAACTTGGTTTTGTTCATCTTTTGTATGGCTTTTTGCTCTCAGTTTCTTTCAGTTTAGCTCTGATTTTGTTATTTTTTTTTTCCTCTGCTAGCTTTGGGTTTGGTTTGCTCTTGTTTCTCTAGTTCCTCTAGATGTGACACTATGGTGTTAGTTTGAGATCCTTCTAACTTTTTGATGTGGATGATCAGCACTATAAACTTGCCTTTTAATTCTGCTTTACCTGTTTCCCAGAGATTCTAATATGTTATATTTTTGTTTTCATTACTGTGTAACAATTTGTTGATTTCTTCTTTAATTTTATTTTTTATCCAAAAGTCATTCAGGGGCCGATTGTTTAATTTCCATATAATTGTATGGTTTTGAGAGATCTTCTTGGAATTGATTTCTATTTTTATTGCACTGTGGTCCAAGAGTGTGGTTGGTATGATTTCAGGTTTTTTGAATTTGTTGAGAATTGCTTTATGGTTAAGCATGTGGTCAATTTTAGAGTATGTGCCATGTGCCGATGAGAAGAATGCCTATTCTGTTCTTGTTGCATAGTGTTCTGTAGATGTCACCTAGGTTCATTTGGTCAAGTGTCAAGTTTAGGTCACAAATATCTTTTTTAGTTTTCTGTCTTGATCTGTCTTAAAATGTCAGTGAAATGTTGAAGTCTTTCACTATTATTCTGTGGTTATCTAAGACTTCATAGGTCTCTAGAAACTTATTTTAAGAATCTAGAATCTCCAGTGTTTGGAAGCATATATATTTAGGCTAATTAAGTCTTTTTAAATTGAAACCTTTATCATTATATAATGCCCTTCATTGTCCTTTTTGATCATCATTGATTCAAAGTCTGTTTTGTCTGAAATACTAATAAAACCTCTGCTTTTTTGTTTGTTTGTTTTCTGTTTGCTTGACAGATCTGTCTCCATTCCTTTACTTTGAGCCTATGGGTGTCATTGCATGTGGGATGGGTCTCTTGAAGACAGCATATGGTTGCATCTTGCTTCTTTATTCAACTTGCCACTCTGTTTTTTTAAGTAGGGTGTTTAACCCATTTATATTCAAGGTTAATATTGATATGTGAAGATTTGATCCTGTCATTGTGTTGTTAGCTGGTTGTTATGTAGACTTGATTGTATAGTTGCTTTATAGTGTCAGTCAGTTATTAAGTATGTTTTTGTGGTGGCAGGTAATGGTCTTTCATTTTTATGTTTAGCACTCCTTTAGGGAACTCTAGTAAGGCAAGTCTGGTGGTAACAAATTCCGTTAGCATTTGCTTATGAAGCTGGATTTGAAATTCTTGATTGGAATTTCTTTTTTTTAAGAATGCTGAATATAGGTACCCCCGTCTTTTCTGGTTTGTAGAATTTCTGCTGAAAGATCCACTGTTAGCCTAATGGGGTTCATTTTGTAGGTGACCTGCACCTTGTCTCTAGCTCCCTTTAATATTTTTTCTTTCATGTTGACTTTGGAGAATTTGATAACCATCTGACTTGGGGGCAAATATCTTGTATCCTATCTTGCAAGGGTTCTCTGATTTCTTGAATTTGAAAGTCAATCTCTCTCACAAGGTTGCAGAAATTTTTGTGGACGATGTTCTCAAGCATGTTTTCTAGGTTGCTCTCTCTCCCTCCCTCCCTTCCTCCCTCCCTCCCTCCCTCCTTCCCTCCCTCCCTCTCAGGGATGCCAACAAATCATATGTTTGGTCTTTTTACATCATCCTGTATTTCTCAGATATTTTGTTCGTGATTTTTTTTTTTTTTTTTTTCTGACTAAGTTGATTTGAAGAATTAGTCTCTGAGCTTTGGGATTCTTTCCTTGGCTTGGTCTATGCTGCTGCTAATACTTCTGATTGTACTATGAAATTTTTGTAGTGAGTTTTTCAACTCTATCAGATCAGTTTGGTTCTTTCTTATAATGAGTATTTTTTCTTTCAGCTCATGTATGGTTTTGCCAGATTTTCTAGATTCTTTTCATTGGGTTTCAACTTTCTCCTGAATCTCGATGATCTTTGTTGCCATACAAATTCTGAATTCTATGTCTGTTATTCCAGCCATTTCAGCCTGGTTAAGAACCATTTCTGGGGTGCTGGTGCAGTCATTTAGAGGTAAGAAGGCACTCTGGCTTTTGGAGTTGCCAGAGTTCTTGCTGCTTCTTTCACATTTATGTGGGCTGATTTTCCTTTAGAGTCACTGTCCTGTGGCTGTGGCTTTTTGCTTTTATATTCTTTGATGCCCTTGAGGGTTTGATTGTGGTATAAGTTGGGTTCAGTTGACTGGCTTCATTTCTGGACAATTTCAGGGGGCCAGGGCTCAGCTCAGAACTCCTCAGCTGCATGCTATAAACCTGGGGGACTTGGGCCAGGCCCACATCTTTTTTCTCTGGCTTCTTGGGGTTGAGTACCTGCTGCGCTGGAGAGGCTGGGTGGCAGGTACTGACAAAAGCGCTTCACTGGGTCAGTGGCAACAGGGTTAGCGTGTACACACTCACACCAGCAGCAGCAGGGCAGCAGGGTCCACAACCCCACATACGTGCAAGGGTGGGGCAGCAGCAGCAAGGCAAGATCCATGCATGCTGGCAAAGTGGTCAGGAAAGGTGATGGGAAGGTGCACATCAGTAGGAACCCATCTGTAGAAGCTCTCTGATGTTTATGCAGGGTCTGTTGGTGAAGGAGCTATGGCAGTGGGTGCTGGGAAGCACCCCGGTTGAGCATCTGAAGGTGTGCTGCAAGTGGGTACAGACAGGCAGGAACCCTGGGAGAGGCTGGTACACAAGGAGGCACACAGATCATACTGGCCGCATCCCATGGGCAAAATAGCCCTGTTCTGTCCTGGTTTGACAGTCAACAAAGGATAAAGACACCTAGAGAAGCATGGTGAGCCTTGGGGATTGGGCATTCCTGGTCATACTCTACTGTAACTGTTGTCTCAACAAACACTCTGGGCTCTGCACAGGCTGGAGTCCTGTCCCTGCCAGCTCTCCAAGCAGCTCTTTCTGCCAGCTCAAATATCTCTGGGGTTGTGGGGTTTCCTGCAGCTAGGATTCTGGAGGTTCATGGAAAGAGTGGGCTGCTACATCATGTCTATTTAACTCATTCCTTCCCTAGGAGCCACTCGGGGCCAGAAACTAATCCTGTGTGCTCTGCAAACCTGTGTACGGTTCTCACCTTCCTCCCCCTTCACCCAAATTCTGCAACGTCTCTCCAACCACTCTCAATACCTTTCTTCCAAAGATCTGCTTGGAGAGTGTCAATTCTTGATGGTCTAGTCTTAGAGGAAGAAGCTCCTCCTGGGTGCTCCTAGTCAGCCCCTCCTGGCTGCTTCTAGTCAGCCATTTGGATGTTCTCTCTTCTATTCTTTTCTTACTTGTATGGTTTCTGAGGGGAAGTTAGATATAATTCTTATCTTTGTTTCTCTACAGGCGAAGTTTTATTTCCTCTGGCTTCCTTCAGCATTTTTTCTTTATCTTTGATTTTCTGTATTGTGAAAATTATATGTGTAGGTTTGATTTCTTTTGTTTTATTTTGCTTTTGTTTTTGTCTTTGCTTTGGCATTTATCCTGTTTCTATTTATCTTTTCTCCTTCTGGTATTGTTATTACACTTATGCTGCATCTTTTATCGTTGACCCAAAGCTCTGGGATATTCTGTCTTATTTTTTTCAGTCCTTATTCTCTTTGCTTTTCAGTTTTAAAGGTTTCTATAGATATATCCTTAAGAATAGAGAATCTTTTCTTCAGCTGTGTCTTGTCTGCTTATAAACCCATTAAAAGCATTCTTCATTTCTGTGAATGCTGTTTGATCTCCAGCATTTCTTTTTGATTATTTCTTAAGATTTTCATCTCTCTCCTTACATTGCCCATCTGTTCTTGCATGTAGTCTACTTTATCCATTAGAGTGCTCAGCGTAGTAATCGTATTTGTTTTAAATTCCCAGTCTGATTATTCCAACAACCTTGCTGTGTCTGGTTCTAATGCTTGCTCTGTCTCCTCAAATTGTGTTTTTGCCTTTTAGTGTGCTTTAAAAAAATTTTTAACATCTGGACATGATACACTGGGTTAAAGAAACATTGATAAGTCAGACTTTAATAATGTGGTAGTAAGGTGTGAGTGGAGGGGAAGTGTTCTATAATCCTATGAGTAGGTCTGTTTTTTAGTCAGTCTATGCTTCTGAGCTGTGAATTTCACAGGGTTTCTCAGTTTTTTCTCCCCACTCAGAAGGGACAGGATAGCGAAAGAGGGTGGGAGTTGATTATTTCCCAGGTCAGTTAGGCTCTGATAAAACCTTGGCAGGTTGGGTTATGGTTAACTAGTTTCTTCTGAGGTCAGACCTCGTTAAGAAAAAGATTGCCTTGGTGTATTTCAAAATGATTTATTTTCCCCACCCCATGCTGGAAGCACAAGGAGCTCTTTCTCTGATATTTACTGTGAGAACCTGGTTGAGCTCCTGGAGGTAAAATTTACAAAAACGCGGTCGCGGGGTGGGGCGGGCTGTAACTGGGTTTCCCAGGAGTTTTTAATCTCTCAGGCTTGCCTGCACTTAGTCTCCAGCAGTTCATCATTTGCAGTTCACGTTTTCCTGCCCTGGCACTGATTCACACAATGGTTTCTCATCAGGTATGTTGTGATTCTCTATATCTGCCTCTCTGTCTTTCCAATTTTCATGGTAGCAGTTCATCCTGTGACCTCACTTCTCTTATAGATCTAAGAAAAGTTGTTGATTATTTAGTTTGTTCACATTTTTACTCATTGTTAGGATAGAGGGTTGACTTCCAACTCCTTACATTCAGAACCAGAAGCCATGATTTGCTTCTAAGAAATAGAATACAGCAAAAATAATGGGATGTCACTTCCATGATTAGGTCACAAAAGACTATCACTTTCATCTTGCTAAGATTCTCTTTTGCTGGAACTCTCCCTTGCACTCCTACCGTCTTGCATGCTCAGTGAACCAAGATGCCATGTTGTATTCTCTGTGGAGGGGCCCATGTAGCAAGAAGTTAAAGGAGACCTCTGGCCAACAACATGTGAGGAACTGAGATCTTAGTCCAACAGCCTAGAATAAACTGAATCCATCCTTCAACTAAATGAATGAACTAGGGAGCAAATACTTCCATTCAAGACTTGAGATAACCAGTCTTGTGAGAGACCCAGAGTCAGAAGACCTGGCTAAGCCATGTCTGCCTGGATTTCTGACCCACAGAAACTATGAGATAGTAAGTGTTATTGCTGTTTAGTCCACTAAAGCTTGCAGCCATTTATTAGGCGGAAATAGGTAACTAGTACACAACTATGAAGAATATACTTTAGCTTCTCCTGAAGGCAGATCTTGTTAAGAAGAGCAGAGCACTCTAGTGCATTTCAAAATGATTTTATTGACCTAGTATGCACCTGCAGACACACATACATACACTTATGGATCTTCATAAAGCAATATTTATTCTTCCTGTATAATACATAAATATATTTTATATTCTATTAATTTTTTAAAGTAATGGTCGGGACAGAAATTTGATTTTACGATCTACAAATGAGTTGTAATAGTTTGGAAAACCCTGATTAAGGTTATATTCTCTAGAATAAAATTTCCTGTGTTTATAACTCAGGTCTATCGCATAGTAGTGTGGTAGCTCTGGTAATGCACAACCTATATTTGAATCAGGTTCTTTATAAAATGAGAAAAATAACAGAATATAGGATGGTATTGAGAATTAGATCACATTATATATACAAGGCATTCAGCACAAAACTTCACATATAGAAAGACTAACTATTCACAGATAACTTTTTTTAAAAATTATTATACTTTAAGTTTTAGGGTACATGTGCACAATGTGCAGGTTAGTTACATATGTATACATGTGCCATGCTGGCGTGCTGCACCCTTTAACTCGTCATTTAGCATTAGGTATATCTCCTAAAGCTATCCCTCCCCGCACCCCACAACAGTCCCCAGAGTGTGATGTTCCCCTTCCTGTGTCCATGTGTTCTCATTGTTCAATTCCCACGTATGAGTGAGAGTATACAGTGTTTGGTTTTTTTGTTCTTGCGATAGTTTACTGAGAATGATGATTTCCAATTTCATCCATGTCCCTACAAAGGACATGAACTCATCATTTTTTATGGCTGCATAGTATTCCATGGTGTATATGTGCCACATTTTCTTAATCCAGTCTGTCATTGTTGGACATTTGGGTTGGTTCCAAGTCTTTGCTATTGTGAATAGTGCCGCAATAAACATACGTGTGCATGCTTTATGTATGATAACTTTTATTTTAATGAAGCATTTCTATGTGTTCATTTATTCTTGGAACAGAACTGGTAATTCTGTCCACTCCCGTGGATTACTGGAATGATTATTATAGCACCTTTTGCATTCTATTATAATTATTGATTTTTCTATCTATCATTCTCTCTTCCACTCCTTCCCTATTCCTATTAAATTATGAGCTCTTTGAGGGTAGGTATTTTTTCCAATTATTGTTGGTCTCTTCAATACATAGGATAGTTTGTGACACAGAATAGTCATTCAACAACTATGAATGAGTAAATGAATTATAACAATGAATAAATGCCCACCGGTAATTATTAGAAAGTCATACTTTTCAGCAAGTCAAAAATATGTTTTTCACATACTCTTTTTTCCTATTAAAAAGGGCTTATTATAAGTCTATTTTCTCCCTAAAGACAATTCTTCTCTAGTCTCTCCTCAATTTTCATGTAGAAAACCTGTCAGATGGGAGAATAGGATGTATAATTTCAAATTATCTACCTAAAAACCCACAAATTTTCCAGTGATTTCTGACTGCTTTTGGTTATCTTTCCTGAATGTATCCCACCTTGCTAGCATTCCTGCAGATGCTAGTAATATGATATCCAGATATCCCGTTTAGAACATGTGAAGGCAGGCAAATATGGCATATAGCACGCATCGTCCTAGTCTTACATTACAATTCTACCAATAAGTTCCAAAACCATTTTGGCCTCTATTTTGGTAAAAAAAATGTAATAGCCATTCTTACAAAAATATCCATCTTATACATAATCAATTAGTTTTTAAATGTAGACTCACATTTTTATTTATATTTATTTTTATTAAATGTTTGGTCTTGCAGTTTAAATTTTTCAGAAAACTTTTAGACTCCTCATTACCTCACACTGAATTAACCAGGTGATATTATTGAAAAAATGTAATAAGCACGTCTTCTGTGCTGTATCAATGTAACTGACAAACTTGATGGACAGGACAGAGCAAAGTAATGTTTGTAGACACTACATTTTAAGTTCATAGCCAGCCCCATTAATCAACACTCCGGCTGGAATTCAATCATTGACGAATTATTCTATATTTAATTATAGTATGCATGCCCAAAATGTTATTATGACAGTCTACATCGGTTGTTTTAATTTAATGGAGATATTTTAAGGCATTATTATAGCACTACCATTTTTACCTGTGTGGTCAGGATATTAAAAAGCAAATGAGTTCTCTTTGACATGGCCTGTTCTTAGTAATCCTGTATTGGATTGTAGGCATTCCCTTTTTTTAAGAGGCAGAAAACAATTTATAATGCATACTAAAGTTCTAAAGAGGTTCAAAATTAAAGCTCGATGGTCTATATTTTTGGGAACTGTTTTTATGTTCTTTTTGACCACTGAGAGAATATTCCTATATTTTAGTAACTTTTACCTCTTTTTAAAAATTCTGCGGATATCTGACTGTATTTGAAAGTAACATGTGTAAATTCTTTCCAATACTTAAAATACTTAATAGTTACAATTAAATAGTTAAAACACTTTCTCTTGTTGTATAACACAGATGACAGTGCAGCAGATAAGGAAGACTTTTAAAAAATGAATGGTGTGAAATCAGATATTCATAAAGCAAATAATGAAATGGGTTATACATTTAAAGGTAAAAAATAAAATAAAAAGTTTTTAGGAGGAAAACAGAGAAGATCTTCAAGGATTTAGAATAGACAATATTTCTTAAATAGGACAGAGAACCACAAATATAAAACAAATTAATAAATTAGACTACTATGCGGTAATTGGGTTCATCAATAGACACCCTTAAGAGGAGTGATGTCAGTCAGATGGCCAACTAGATGTTCCTAGCACTCATTTCCCCCTTTCAAAAAAATAAATAAACAACTACATTTCAACAAAAGTAACTGAAGGAGAGCACCAGAGCACAGCAAAGGAGCAGCAGAAATCCTGCAGAACACAGAAACACCAAACAGCTGCATAGAGGAAAGATAAAAACACCTTACTTCCCCCATCCCCTCCAGCAGTCAGGGTCAGCTTGGAACTAGGACAGACTTATACCTGAAGGGAAAAGATAAGTAAGGGGACCCCAGCAGCCCCCGTCACCACCATGAACACCTGCGATCTTTGCCATTGTAGACTTCTGGAATCCTTACAGGCTCTGAGCCCAGCTGAGGGAGCTACCTGGAGTCCACACAGATGTGCTAACCTCACAGAAGGAGCCAATGTTGTGCCCCTCCCCGTGGCCTGAGCTGCTACTGTGCTGGAACAACTTAGAAGAAGAGCCACTACTAGAGTGCACCCTGCTCTAGCTATGAGTAGGCGTTGTACTCCTGCATCCCTGAGGCTTTGCTGCTACTACAACATACCTACTCAGTACCACACCATTCTCAAGCCAAGCTGCTACTATGCCCTACCCCCTGAGGCCAAGCTACTACATAGCTATTTCATCCCCCATCCCAGCTGGTCATCTGATGTGGTGCCCTGCCCCACCGGGGAACCAGAGGCTTGGGTGACCCATGTAGCTGTACCTACCAGAGCTGAGATTCTGAGAGCTGCCCCGCCCCCCTGCCAGGGAACCAGAACCTTAACTGAGCTATGCCACCCCTTCCAGAACAAATAGTCAAAGTTCCACCTCAGTGGAATTGTACTATCCCCCTGCAGTCTGATACTGACGCGCCCTGCCTCTTTGGCGAGTGGAATTATTGCTGTGCTGCCTTTTTCCCAAGCCATAGCTGTGCTTCACTGTTCCTGGGGTCTTGCTGCCACTATACCCAGCCTCACAAACCTGAGCTGCTACCATGTCTCACCATCTCAGGGTCCATTTCATGGTACTTTATCTTCTGGGGCCTGAAGTGCCATTGTGTACTGTTTGCTCCAGGACCTGAATTGCAGCTGTGATCTGATCCCTGAGATCCAAGCCTCTAGAACCCTCCTTCTTCCCCGGAGCCAAGCTGGTGCTGCACTCTGCCTCCCAGAGTCAGAGTCATAGCTACATCCTTCCTCCTGCACCTGAGCTCTGGGGTGTGCCTCAGAGTCACAGATCCCAGACTTGTGAGCAAACTGAATCCACTTGTGCATCAAGTTCCAGATGCCATAGTAGTAATAGCTTTGCAAGACTCTGAATGTGAGACTTCAGCTCCATAGCCTCTCTAATAAGCACCTATCCCCTGAATCTCAGAGCCACTGCAGCTGCTTATGAGTCATGGCAGGCCCAACATTAACAGGAAACCCCTTAGCTAAGACTCCCCACTGTGGAGGAGACAAGAATAGAAAGTCCTCTAAAGCTCTTGCCACCAAGAACCCTCATAACTTACGTTGCCACCGCCATTGACACAGACTTCTGCAGTTGACCACTGAGATATCTGCAGTCACCGCTGACATTAATCACAGCTGAAGAAGTTGCATGGAAATTATACCACTGCTCCCACCCAGAGCCAGGGCCACCACACCCTGCTCAACTACTACCTTAAGACCCATCTGCAGATGAAAGCCTTTTCCTACAAAAGCCACTCTGTGATGTTTGAAAAGGTCACTACTCCACCAGATGCACAGACATCAATGCAGAGAAATAGAAACATGAAAAAAGGCAAGGAAACACGACACCACCAAAGGAAAACAATAATTATCTAGTAACTGACCCAAAATAAAAATGTACAAACTGCCTGGAAAGAAATTCAAAATAATTATCTTAAGGAACTGAATAAATCATAAGAGAATACAGATGAACAATTCAATGGGATGAGAAAAACAATTCATGATCTGACCGAGAAATTAAACAAAGAGATAGATATCATTTAAAAGAACCAAAAAGAAACTAGGGTCTGAGGAATTCAATGAATAAAATAGAAAATAAAATGGAGAGCTTCAACAGCAGACATGAAGCAGAAATAGGAATCTGTGAACTTTAAGACAAGTCTTTTGAAATTCGCCAGGCAGAGGTTGAAAAAACAGAAAAATGAAAGAAAGTGAAGGAAGCCTATGAGACCTATGAGACATCATTAAGTGAACAAATGTTCCTATTCTGGAATTTCCAGATGGAGAGGAGACAGAGAAAGTGACAAAAAGAATATTTAATGAAATAATTGCTGAACACTTCCCAAGTCTTGGGAGAGATAAGTATATCCAGATCCATGAAGCTCAAAGGTCTCCAAACATCATAAACCCAAAGGGGTCTTCATTGAGCTATATTATAAGCAAATTGTCAAAAGTCAAAGACAAAGAGAATTTTAAAAGCAGCAAAAGAAAAGTGAAATGTCACATACAAGAGAATCTTCGTTAGTCCATCAGCAGATTTTTCAATAGAAACCCGGCAGGCCAGTAGAAAATGGGATGATGTATTCAAAGTGCTGAAAGAAAAAGAAAAGCTGCCAACAAAGAGTACTATATGCAGAAAAGCTGTTCTTCAGAAATAAAAGAGAAATTAAGTCTTTCACAGGTAAGCAAAAGATGAGGGAATTCATCACCGTTAGACTTGCCTTGCAAGAAATGGTTAAGGGAATTCTTTAAATGAAAACTAAAGAACAATAATTCCTATAATGAAAACATATGAACACATAAAACTCACCGGTAGAGGTGAATATATAGTCTAATTCAGAATACTCCAATATCGTAATGGTGTTGTGTAAGCCATTCATATCTCTAATATGAGGGTTAAAATTCAAAACACTCAAAAATAACTATAGCTATAATAAGTTGTTAAGGAATAAACAATATAAAAGATGTAAATTATGACATTAAAAATATCAATTGTGAAACCAGGGAGAGCAAAAACCTAGAGTTTTTGTATGTAATGGATGTTACATTGTTATCTGCTTAAATTAATCTGTTACAACTATGAGATGTCTTATGTAAGCCTCATGACAATCACAAAAGAAAAAACTACAGAAGTTACACAAACAATAAAGAGAAAGGAATCAAAGTTGAGCACTACAGAAAATTACCACATCACCAAGGTAGACAACAAGAGAGGAAGAAAGAAACAAAGGATCTGCAAAAGAACCAAAGTACAAATAACAAAATGGCAGTAATATATTCATACTTATCAATAATAACATTGAATATAAATAGATTAAATTCTGTAATCAAAAGGTATAGAATGAATGAATTAAAAAAAAATCCAATGATATGCTTCCTGCTAGTGAACTGCTTTAACTTTAAAGAAACATATAGGCTGAAAATGAAGGAATGGAAGAAGGCATTTCATATAAACTGTAACCAAAACCAAGGAGTGGTGGCTATAATTATGTCCGATAAAATAAAGTAAAAATCTGACATAAGAGAAACACACAAAAGGTCATTTTTTAATGAAAATGGGTCAATTCATCAAGAGGACATAATTATAATTGTACATGCACCCAACATTAAAGTACCTACATAGAAAAGGAAATAGTAATGACATGAAAAGAGAAATAGATAGTAATACAATAACAGTTGGGGAATTCAATACTCCACTTTTAACAATGGCTACACCAATGAGACAGAAAATTCATATGAAAATACTGGTTTTGAATAGCACTTTTGACCAAATGAACTTAACAGACATATACAGAGCTTTTCATCCAACAGCAGCAAAATGCACATTCTTCTTTAGTGCACGTGGAACAGTCTCCAGGATAGACCTTATATTAGGGTGCAAAACAAGTCTTAACAAATTTAAAAAAGGGTTAAAATTGTATCTAGTATTACTTCTGACCGCAGTGGTATGAAACTAGAAATAAATAACAGAAGGAATCTTGGAAAACTCACAAATATGTGGAAATGAAATTACATGCTTCTAAATAACCACAACGTGTCAAAGAAGAAATCAACATGAAAATTTAAAAGTATCTTGAGTCAAATGAAAATGGAAATACAACATACCAAAATCTAGAAGATGCAGCAAAAGGAGTTCTACATGGAAAATCAATAGTAACAAATTCCTACAGTTTAAAAAAATCCTCAATAAATAGACTAACATTATACCTCAAGGAACTAAGGAGAAAGAAAGGAGAACAAACTAAACCCAAAGTTAGCAAGGGAGGAAATAATAAAGATCAGAACAGAAATAAAGCAAATACATAATAGAAAAACCATAGAAAAAATTAAAAACCTGAGTCGACTATTTCTGCTTTGACACCACCTTTATTATTTATATATCTCTTCCAAGAAGTGTGTCAACCCTCCACCTGCCTAGTTCTCATAGCTTGCATAGCTGCCATGCTAATGTGCTTGCATCTCTTTGGAAGGGCCATGACCTTGCACACTTCCATGGCTGTGCAATGCTTTCTTCCTGTCTAAAAATTTATTTCCCGAATTTATTCATTTGACTAACTGCTACCTATTCTGCAATCCAATACAGGATTGATTCCATATAAAAAGCTTTCCTGGCCCTTCTTCATTCCCAACTTTTCTGGGTAGATGTTTATGTGTTCTAATAGAATTCTAAACTCTTTTCTATCACAGCATGTATCAACATTTATTATATGTTTAATTTTTTATCTTGACCATTAGTCTGTGAATATCTTTAAGATAAAAGCATGTTTTCTTTGCCTTTGAACCTCTGGCATTTGGAGAAGGAAGGAAGGGAGGGAGGGAGAAAGGGAGGGAAGCAGAAAGAGTAGTAAGTCAATTAGACTTAAATTCTGTTTAAAATCTAGTTCTAGCTATACCTATGGGAGATTAGACTAAATTAATTAACCACTCTGAGTCTTGGTTTCCTCTTCTCAGAAGATAATAGCTGTTCTTCTTTTCTTATTTGTCATTATGAGGATTAAACAATATAATGAAGGTAAATCCATGTCAACAGTGAGGTTTCACAGAAATCTATTGACAACTCAGTGTGTTCCAGGCACTAAGCTCAGCATAGAGAATACAAAGAAGAATAAAATACATCCCTGCCATTGAGGAACTTTGATCTGTTGTGAATGTCAAGAAAACAGGGGAATGAATTGTTTTCTTCTGCTGAAAGGAGAGAGAAAGTCAAAGAGAGATACGGACAGTGGCATTTG
Source organism: Homo sapiens (assembly GCF_000001405.40). Taxonomy (NCBI): domain Eukaryota; kingdom Metazoa; phylum Chordata; class Mammalia; order Primates; family Hominidae; genus Homo; species Homo sapiens. The sequence continues at coordinate 20,309,425 of NC_000012.12, forward strand.
AGCAGGGCCATGAAGACAAATGAAGCATTTGCTTGGTTTAAAATTGTGAAACAGTGAGATTAATACAAATTGAAGAAACAAAAAGTGCTATTGGAGTGCAGAGAGAGAATGGATTAATTTCATCCAGAGAAGTCAGATAAAGAAATCATCACAGAAGAAATGACATTTAGGGTAGATCCAGGAGGACAGACAGTGTCTTTTGTTCCTTCAAAACACCAGTGGATAGAAGGAAATTTCTCAGACAATATGACTAGGCTAGTTTGGCTACAGCACATAGCGTAGTGTGAGGACAGCCGGCCAACTCCTCAAAGAGGGTTTTTCCAACACCTACCTGAAGATATGAACTTGGGTCAAAAGCAGCAGAAGCCAAGAAAGCAATAAAGGATGACTGATTGACAGCTGGGACAAAGTCACATAAAGACTGATGTCAGGAATGACCAAAGCCAGAGGAACAACACAGTTGCCAAAAGGAAATCTCAGAGCAAAGACCTGTAGCCAGAAACGGATAGTTACTATGGTGTCAGCGCAGGGGCAGGGCAAGTTTCCAAAGGCAAAAGTCCAATAGCCCAGCTGAGTTTGAAAGCTCTGGGTGAGTACCATCAAGGACATCATTTAAAGCAAGGGCTGATTAGGTAGAATAGAGAAGGTAGAAGAGTCAAGTTGTTGTGACAGTATGGAATCAGTTGGTGTCATCATTGCTTTTAGCAATGATACTAAAAGCAATGAAATAAAATTTGGAGGGATTTAGAAATAAAATTTGGAGGGATAAAAACCTGTGATTTTAACTCTTGGTATATGAAATTGCTCTCTATGGCTGGGCGCCGTGGCTCACGCCTGTAATCCCAGCACTTTGGGAGGCTGAGGCGGGCAGATCATGAGGTCAGGAGATCGAGACCATCCTGGCTAACGGTGAAACCCTGTCTCTACTAAAAAATACAAATAATTAGCTGGGCGTGGTGGCAGGCGCCTGTAGTCCCAGCTACTTGGGAGGCTGAGGCAAGAGGGAGAATGGCATGAACCCGGGAGGCAGAGCTTGCAGTGAGCTGAGATTGCACCACTGCACTCCGGCCTGGGTGACAAAGCGAGACTCCGTCTCAAAATTAAAAAAAAAAAAAAAAAAAAGAAAGAAATTGCTCTCTATTCTGGGGCAGAAACACTACCCACTCTACTCACCTACATTTTTGTGGCAGTTATGTGCAATTATGCTAGTGGCAAGTGCTAAAGCTAGCAAGGTTAGAGAGGGTCTCATGGTGAAGGGCATAGAATGCCAGAGCGAGAACTTTGTCCATCATTTGAAAGGTAAAGGGGAGCCATGGAAAGATTTTGGGTAGGGAGGCCACATGATTGAAGCTGGAACTTTAAGAAAATCAGCAGAAAATGTTACAGAATGTCTAGTGATGTTTTCAGTAAGTAGAATTTAAGTTATAAAAAGTTTAAATAGAGACTACTTCATATGTTCATTTATGAAGAATAAGTAACCAATGTGGCAAAGATTCATTTATTAAACCTCTATTATATGATTTGCAATAGGCTGGATGATACTGTGTGTATGAATTGCCTTTCAGCATCATTCTGCTCACCATCTTGTTCCAATATGTGTGTGAATAGTGAGTATCATCTGTCTGAAGAGGAATCAGAATTAGCACTTTTATAAGATTCCACAAGTGCCTTCTGAATGTAATGCAGCAGGTTCATAGGCAAACTGTGGTCATTTCTGCTGCTTGTAGCTGTTATGATGACAGAATCAGAAATAAGCCTGTTGGAAAATTTTTATACTTGGATATGCTAGTTTATGAATTCCCTTTAGGTGCCAGAGATGAATTATTATGGCACCCTTGATTATGTCCAGTTCCATTTCCAGAGAGGAGCTTCCTGGTCCATTATTATCTGGTGGTCTTTTTTCCTTCCTTCTATATATGTCTGTATTTTTCTTGTTATCCTACTTGACCCCATCTGTGAAGTAAGCATTGGATATATGTCCTTTTGGAGCTAGAAGCAATCTCAGTCTACTTTCTGCTTGTAGAAAGATAATGGCCCAAGAAGCATTTTCTGTTCAAAAAATACCTTTTCTTAGCTCAGACCTGTAGTATCTACAGCTATAAGCTCTCCTAAAATGATGGTTTCTTATCTATTATATTCCAATTAGCTCATGTACTCACAGCCACATTTTTTCCAGACATTCTCTCTCTCTCTTTCTCTCTCTCTCTCTATATATATACACATATAGAAATATATACATAGAAATATATATTTCTAGATATACATATTCAATAAATATTTAAGTACATATGTAACAAATGTAAGAAGTATGTAACTATATATGTTTTTATCTTGCTGCTTCTTCATGCTTCTCTCTCTTGAGTGATTATGAGTACCTTGGAAATCAGAATTTGGTGAGATTTTAGTCTCTGTTCACTGAGTCATTAAATCAAATTTAAGAATTTATTGCATGCCACCTTAATCTGTTCAGAGGTTTTAACAATGGGTGAATCAAGTATATCCTTGTTTCAATTATTACCACAAAGCCAAGTTTTTACCAGCTTTCAGCCTTATAGCATTTTAAAATTTTATGTTTTACTGTTTATACTTGAGAAAAGGTTCTCCTACATCTATATGAGACTCTAAAATTGTGTCCTATCTCTATTTCCTTTTACTCCTTTTTGCAGATCAAGCTGCTCTTTTCTAAGATCATGTCCTTCTTATACCTCGCCATATAAAGACGAAAGCAATCAACAATGGCACTAATTTCTGTTCTCCAATTTTTACAGCTAAAAGTTTATTAGATACTTAGTCTACCTTCTAGCTACTATATACTGAATGTTATTCATATATTGAAATCCAGTCCCCAATGTTATGGTATTTGGAGAATTCATATATTGAAATTCAGTCCCCAATGTTATGGTATTTGGAGACAGGGACTTTGGGAAGTAATTAGATTTAGATGAGGCTGTGAGAATGAAACCCTTATGATGGGCTTAAGACCCTTGTAAGGGGATGAAGAGCCTCTTTTTGCCATGTGACAATGCAGGGTAAAAATGGTCATCTGCAAACTGGGGAACAGGCCCTCAACAAGAACCCAACCATGCTCACACCATGATCTTGGACTTTCAGCCTCCAAAACTGTGAAAAATAAATATTTGTTATGTAAGCCACTTAGTCTGTGGTAGTTTATAATAGCAGCCTGAACAGGGTAAGACATATATATTTTAATTGTGCATAGCATAATTTCTATCCTTTCACCCTGAAATATCAATTTCCTCACTGTCACCATCAGACTAGCCCCCTAGTCTGCTGCCACATATTATAGGTTATTTGTTACTTATCATCTCACTTCTAGGTACCAATTCCTGTATTAGTTGGGATGAAATAGATTATGCTTTAGTATACTAATCTCTCAATCTTAATATCTATAAGAACAAATGATTGTTTCAAAAAAGGAGTCAGAGAACTTATAACTGCTGAGTACATAGTATGTTCTAGGTACACTCCCATAGTCTTTATATGTATTATCTCATTTTAATCTTCACAAGGTGTTTCTGTGAATGTCTCTAGTTTCTGTATAAGGAAAATGAGGTTTAGAGGGATTAAGTCATTGTTCAAGAATACATAGATAGTGCACAGTGTTATCAAGATTCCAATCCAGGTTTGCCAGTATTGAGGTAGTCTGGTTACATGTTACTGGCCACAGCTACTACATTTCAGAGATCCTCTGCAAATCTAAGATATGTTGATTAAATTTCTGCCTTCCTTATTCTTTTGCCTTTTAGTAAGTAAGGGCATGACTGGACCTCCATTTTGGATATCTCAAATTGAATATTAAACTATTCTGTAACATTCTTCTTCTGAAAATTGAGAGATTTGTGAAAGCTACTGTTTATTTTTTCTTTTCTTTCTTCATCTTTTTTTGCCATGAAAGAGTGTGCTTATAAAATATAAGGAAAAGTATAGACTTGCTTTTAGCAACATGCAAAAAAAATCAATCTGAAAAGCAGTAGTGAAATAATAAAATAGCATTATTATTTGAGAAGGGATAACAATTGCACAGTAAAATTTGTTTACCAGAAAATAAAAACATGTAAGTGATAAATAAAAGTCTAAAGAGACTGCAACTGGATTGCACGGAGAAATGAAAAATGGAAAATCCCTTTTGTATCCATCAGTTTAACCATTTCAGCTCTGATTTAGCATTTCAATCAAGAACTTAAAAAACAGAGAGGAACTTAAATAGAACTTTTTTTTTTTTTTTTTTTTTTTTTTTAATAAGGGAATTGAGCTGCCTGGATGTTACAGGAAACTAAATGACCCATTCAGATACAGTCTGTGTACTGAAGATTATGACTCAAAGTACTAATATCTGATGGTTCACTTGGGCTCATATCCAATTAGCTGTTGATCACATTCTATTCATCTCTCTATTGATCATGTGATTGTACCACATTTCCTGCTGAAATTAGCCAAGATATTGCTTGAAAGGAAAATAAATTTTAAATGATGCTGAACTTTGGACTATGTTTTCAAGTCTAGACGTGGTTTCAGTTAGTGCAAAAGTAGGAAAGAATAAAAAAAGCTACACCATTAACTTGGTGAGAAATGGCCTTTGTTCATAAATATAAACAAAGCAGTGCTTTTCTATAATTTGCCTAATTTAATTTCAAGTTTAAATGAACCTTAAATATACTTCATTGAAAAAATATGGTGCCAGTACAAGCTGCTTGCCTTCTGAATGGTTGTATCATTTATTGTACAAACTGCGGTACTAACATATGTTATATTTAAGTAAAACTTAACACTTACGCAAATATTATAATTTTAAAAACACTTTCACATCCAAAAGCACATTTTTAAATCTAAAAAAGCCTTGTGAATAATCAATGTCCCCATTATACAGTCGCGAAATTAGAGATCAAGTAAGATTAAGCAATCTACCCAAGCTCTTAAAACTAGCAGACCTGGAACCCTTGTGATGCAAAGTCTGGTATTTTCACGAAAACTACTGTTGCACTTGAATTGTTGGTTAACTTTAACTTTAACCTCATGTATACTGACTGTCAACATGCTTAGAAGCTTCTTGAGCAAACTCACTCTTGTACAATTTTCTTTTAAATGAGCAATCCTTCACAGAATGTCCTGCGCAGGACATTCTGATGGTCATCCAAAAAAATTCTCTTGTGGATAATTATGATGACTAACTACAAGAGTCTTGTTCCCAAAATAGGCTTACAAAATATTAGTCAACTTTGAAATGTATTGCAATTGTGTTTAAAAATATAGTGAGTGGAGGCTCCTATAGAATTTCTTGATACTAAGATTCTGAAATATTTACTTCTTAAAAAAAGTCAATCTTAAAACTTCCAACTGTATGTTAAAACAAGCCAAGAAAACACTTAGTTTCAAGTAAAATAAAAAGCTCGATTTTTTTTTTTTAGCTATATCCCCTATTTTTGTAACTTTCTGAGAAAAGTAAATGGCTTACTGCATAGAAACAGAGAAGCTATTAAGGCACACACTTAAACATTCCACTGAATAATTTAATATAAAAAATACTTTTTTGTGTCCTTAAACCACACAATTATGATGAGCTCAATAGTTAACATCTTTGACAATATACTTTTATCAGAGATATTATATTTACCGTATAAGAGGAAACATCTCTCCAATAAAAAATATAATTTCAAATATTTTAGCATAATTTAAAAACTAATTTCTGTGCTCAGAAAGTCTCAAAACTCTTCAGCGCCTAAAAAAACTTCACGGCCTTTGTAAAAACAGGCAAAATGCATTTTCTCTAAGAGAGAATTTATGTTCAAAGAATTACCAGGCAATGGAACTTAAAGATTCAGACCCCATTGTCATCATTCACAAATCTAGTATTTCTAGAAATAAAATTCACCAAAAGGCAATAATTCAACAATGTGCTTATAAGTTTTCTTTTGGGAACTCTCAAAGGCAAACACAAACTCTGTTGGGCTACAGATAATGTCATTTTAAAGGAATGTACTTATTTCCTTTTTCACACTTTATTTATACTGGAGATTCATGCAAGTGTTGCCATTATCATTGAAATGACTTTTGTTAAGAACCTCTGTGCCTGAAACAAATGTGTGTCAGATGGGAGAAGAGCAGCTTCCCAGAGTGACTCCCATGATGATGGTGGTGGTGGCAACAGGAGTTGTAGACCTTTTGGCGAAATAGTTGAATATAATACATTAAATATATTTCTGCATGGCATTATTTACTTAATCCTTACAAAAACCCTGAGAGGAAACTGGTGGCTAGTATTAATCCCATTATTACTAATATGAGAAAACTAAGGCCCAGAGAAGTTAATTACTTTACCTAAGTAGGCAGCAGAGTCTAGGATTGCCTTCTAATCCTGTAAGAATTCCACCGTATGAAATTATTTCTTATTCCAGGGTTAAGTTTGAGTAAATGGATTGATGAGAAATTTATGCTTATATGAACAGAAGAGGCCAGCAATGATGAATAATCCCTATTGCTGTTATTACACAGATCCCTTCTTTATTTATGCATTTAACACAGTTTTAATGAGAATCCACCATGCATGGGGCACTTTGCTTGGTACTAATAAATATATAATAATAAACATTTATTACTTATTTATTTATCATTGTAAATGTTCATGGAGCTTACAGTGTAGTAGGAAAGCGAAACAGCAAAGAAATGCTGCCACAACTACTTAATTATCATTGTGTTATTTTTCTTGCTAACATGGAAGAACATGCAAAATATTTTTGTCATAAAGTTACTTAGTCATTATGAAGCGCTAGCCACAAGCACAATATAACGGATTTAAATTCAAAATTAATTGTACTCATTTCGATGTGCCCATTTAGTCACTGAAAATTCTTTTTTTTTTTTTGAGACGGAGTCTTCCTCTGTCGCCCAGGCTGGAGTGCAGTGGCGCGATCTCGGCTCACTGCAAGCTCCGCCTCCCGGGTTCACACCATTCTCCTGCCTCCGCCTCCCGCGTAGCTGGAGTAGCTGGGACTACAGGCACCAACCCCCACGCCCGGCTAAGTTTTTTTGTATTTTTAGTAGAGACGGGGTTTCACCTTGTTAGCCAGGATGGTGTCAATCTCCTGACCTCGTGATCTGCCCGCCTCGGCCTCCCAAAGTGCTGGGATTACAGGCGTGAGCCACCGCGCCCGACCTAGTCACTGAAAATTCTTTACTTAATATGTAATATTTCTGGCCTTTGTTAATTCTCTTCCTCTAAACCAGCACTACTGTGGGGTGTCTTTTCTTTCCAAGATTATTCTATCAGAAGTTTACGTGATATATATAGAGAGAGATGGATAGATAGATATGAATATATATGTATTGTTTTTTCAAATTTTCCATTCTGTTGGAAACAGTTTTCCTAGACAAATAACAATTGGGGGGCCCAAGCGAACTCCACTGTTGTCCTCAATGCACGTGGTCATAGTCTTATCCTCTCATGTATTCAGCATTAATGATGAAACCATGCCATGAGAAAGATTATTGAGCTGGGAGGCTGTGAACCTGATGTAAATTTCAAGCTTTTGTCACCTTACAAGCTACTGGATTAAGGGTAAACTATTGCCTTTCATTGGCTTGCTTTCCTCGTGTGCAAAATGTTATCTTTAAATACTCTAATGTCAAAAAAATAGAATGATTAAGCCCTACTATTTGAGAGCACAACAGGTTGATTATAGTCAATAATATCTTAATTGTACTTTTCAAAATAACTAAAAGGGTATAATTAGATTGTTTGTAATACAAATGATAAATGCTTGAGGGAATGGATACCCCATTCTCCATGATGTGATTATTACGCATTGCATGCCTGTAGCAAAACATCTCATGTACGCCATAAATATATACGCCTACTATGTACCCACAAAAATTAAAAATGAATAATGTCACTTGTACTCTAAGAAACAAACTTACTGTGCTAATGAACTTCAGAATTTGTGTAGATATAAGAATCTGGCCATGTATTTTATGGGCAGATTATGGATTTCAATTGTTATTTTAAATATGTTTTATGTAAATACTATTACCATTAGAGGGCAGAGATTTATTTTAAATTCAAGTCACTCTGTATACAACAGAAAGCTAAGCATTTTTAGATTACTTAGATATTTCAGGGTCAAAACCACCTGATATCTTTTGCTGTAGTCAATCAGTCACTATAGTTTAGGCAGCAGTTGGATATTCAAAAGCCTGTGATGAGAGTTTTTTGTACTGCCTGCTGTGGTCTGACTGTGTTCTCCAAAATTCATGTGTTGGGAACTTAATCCCCAATGCAACAGTGTTAGGAAGTAGATCCTTTTGAGAGATGACGTCATGAGGGTCTGCTCTCATGAATGGATTAATGGCCTTATAAAAGGGCTTGACAGAGAAAGTTTGTCCCGTCTTTGCCCTTTCATCTCTTCTACCATGTGAAGCCACGGCGTTCCTCCCATCCTAAAGACACAGCATCAAGGCACCATCTTAGAAGAAGAGAGCAGCCCATATCAGACAGCTGAATCTGTGGTGCCTTGATTGGACTTTCCAACCTCCAGAACTGTAAGAAGTAAATTTCTGTTCTTTATAAATTATCCAGTCTCAGGTATTTTTGTTATAGCAGCACAAAACAGACTAAGACACAGCCAGAGTTCTGAAAGGAAGGTAGTGAGTGAGCCTGAGAGGGAGACTATTTGCTGGCTATGTTTCTGAAGCTTTTCATAGAAATCCATAAAAACTAGCTTGCACAGACGTACTGTGACATTTCCGTGGAGAAATATGAGCAATTTGAGTGAAAGTCTGTGGGATAAGCTGGAGGAAGCATATTAGCATGCAATACTTAATGTGAGTTCTGCTTTCCCTTCGGTCACATAAATGAGCAATTTGCAAGCAGATTATTACCTAGCCCAGTTAAGAATTTTCCATCCTTTTTTAAAAACAAAAACAAAAAACAAAAAACTCCTTTTAAAAATTGATGTCTAGCTGGGAACTTACAAGAGATTAGCACATATGGCATAGTGACGTAAGCAAGAAGTTTTAACATTGTTATTTAATTTAATAACCATATTTAATAACTTGTAGTTTTTGAAAGTTTATCCAGAGCTTAAATTTGGTCATATTTTATTTTTTCTTTTATATTTTCCTTTTTTCTTTCTTACTCTCTCTTTTTGAGTGTGTGAGAGAAAAAACAATAGGACATTTCCTTTATCTAAAACTTCATAGAAACTCTTGTAGAATTTGTCCTCACTAAAGACAACAAGTATGCCATCCTAAAAAATAAATACCAGCAAGCAAATTCAATAAGATAGGAAATTAAGGCTGAGAAACAAAAACTGACTGGAACTCTTTAAGTCCTCTCTGATTTATCATCTTAAATAGTTGGTACAGCACTCTCAAAATTTCTGGATCAAATGAGAGTTGTTAGTGACTTCACAATGTAAAATCAACCCAAATTATGGAACAAACTTTTTATAATCAAATTATATTTTACTCCAGCCTTAAATCAATATAACACTTGCTTTCTAAATCAAGTTTTGTGTATTCGGGCTGTATTGGATTTTTATAAAACTTTACAGCAACTCATTAAGTAAGCTAAATAGATCAAGAAGTTTTGTATGTGTTATAATGTTAACTTTTTTGTGTTTTGACTAGAAAACTAGGCATGTTTCTTTAAGATGACTAAATTTTCTATTATTACGTAGATATATGTATATATTATATATGCATTATGTAGTTGCACTATTTGAAGGTCCAATAGGAATTTTTTTTCTCTGAATTTTTTTCCTCCTACACCCTGAACTCCTCCGGCATGTCTCCATTATATTTTCTTTGTGAATCACAGTACGATCTTGTTTAACTCTTAAGTGGACCCCTCGAGGAACTAGATCTCAGTCTGTCCAAACTGACCTCTCTATCTTTCCCATCAAGTTGGCTTCAAGAGCTCTTATTTGCTCTCTTATTATTGTTATCGGTGTAAAACCATATCAGAAGCCTCCAGTTATCCTTGATTACTCCCTACCCCTCAACCCCAGATTCAAACATCACTGAATCCTGTCAACTGAAACAGAGAAATGTCTTTGAAGTCTGAACTGCTTGCTCTCAATTTCCACTGCCACGGCTTTAATCCAGGCAACTCAGATAGAGGCGGCTTTGAGGAGCAGTGCCACAGTCTATTATTATAGCTATGTGTGAAGCTGACCCCTCTAAGCTTTCGTTTCCTCAAATATCAAGTGGAGGGTGAATTTACCTCAGAGTGTTGCTGTGAGATTAAATGGGATAAGGCATATAGCACATTTAGCAGATTCCTGCCATGTAGCAAGTTGAAGGTGAAGGACAAAAAAGAAGGTAAAGTTGTATTCCGGATAGAGAGGATAAAGAGTAAAATGCCTCAGGAACTTGAAGCAGCACAGCCCATTCAGGGATAAGAAACACTTGTTAAATATTAATAATTCTTCATAGTCATTGCTATTAGAACTGAGGACTGAGGACTTAATTATATAATGTTCATGGCTAAATAAGATTTACTCGATTATTTTTTTTTCCTTTGAGATGGAGTTTCCGTCTTGTTGCCCAGGCTGGAGTGCAATGGCACGATCTTGGCTCACTGCAACCTCTGCCTCCCAGGTTGAAGCAATTCTCCTGCCTCAGCATCCCGAGTAGCTGGGATTACAGGCATGTGCCACCACACCCGGCTAATTTTGTATTTTCAGTAGAGATGGGGTTTCTCCATGTTGGTCAGGCTGGTCTCGAACTCCCAACCTCAGGTGATCCGCCTGCTTCGGCCTCCCAAAGTGCTGGGATTACAGGCATGAGCGACTGCACCCGTCCTACTTGATTTTTTTAAATGCAAATAGAAGAGTCAATCCAGCAAAAGAACAACTAAATGCCACCATAGACACAGATACATACATACATTTGCACACCAATAGCATCCCAAGGGAAAATATCCTCAGTAAGCGGTCACCTGATCTGGCATTTTCAACCCTTAATAGAAAATTATGGGAAATGATTACCACAGCTACTTTGGCAACACTTTTAAGTTGTTTATTTACAATATTCAAAATTACAATTTTACAATATCCCTGTAACTCTCAACCTAAAATTGGAAATAATAATAAGCTTCAAACTGGGAATCGTTCTTGTTTTAGCCTTTCAACCAGATTTCACTCATTGGCAGTGATTCTTTCTTCTGACCCATTTCAAAAGCTGACTCTTTTATCTTGAATTGATTCCAGGTAATTGTATCTGCATCTGACCCTAGGGAAGGAACAGTCGTTTGGAACCAGTGCTATAGGGCAATAATCAGGAACTGTCTGAGACGGGCAGTGTCCAGTAGCTACCACATGACAAGAGATATCAGAATTAGAAAGGTCCCTCTGATATTCCTTGCTCTTGCTAAGAGAGACATCCGGTGTCAGTGATTCCATCTCCTCGTCAGGTCAGTTTTCCTGTGATCAAGAATAAGAAAGAAAGAAAAAAGACCTTTTATTCACTTGCTAACTGAAGCTGTATCTGTTTTTAACTAGCATTAAAATGTTCCATTCTTTGTCTAACTTACATGAATTACTCTTAGGCTTTCCTTTCACTCTTTTAAATAACAGTTTTTTTCTAGCCATAGTGGATATGCCTGTTTTCAAAATATAACTGCAAAGAGCTATTGCTGCTTCAGTGATTGTGGATTACAAGCTATTTAGGTTGTCACAGCAAATCCATTAGGGTAGAAATCTATAAGGTCTATTAAATGTGTAAACCGTGTTTAATAGTCTTTCACTTTGGTAGATGTTTATTTATAGTTATTTAGTTATTTATTATTTTCTAATTTTCCTTTTTATACCAGGGCCTTTTTGGTAGATGTTTATTTATAGTTATTTAGTTATTTATTATTTTCTAATTTCCCTTTTTATCCCAGGGCTTTTTTTTTTTTTTATTTTTAAAGAGACAGACGTCTCGCTCTTTTGACCAGGCTGACCTCCAACTCCTGGCTCAAGTGATCGTCTGGCCTCAACCTCCCTAATATCTGGGACTAGAAATGCACACCACTTTGCTAGCTTACCCAGGACCTATTTGAAATTTATTTATAGTTATTTAGTTATTCATTTTCTAATTTCCCTTTTTATACCAGGGCCTTTATTTTTTTTTTTTTTTTTTTTTTTTTTTCAGAGACAGAGGTCTTGTTCTTTTGACCAGGCTGGTCTCCACCTCCTGGGCTCAAGTGATCCTCTGGCCTCAGCCTCCCTAATATCTGGGACTATAAATGCACACCACTTGCCAGCTTACCAGGGCCTATTTGAAATTGATACCATTTGTAAAATTTCTTCTGGGTCTCTGAAATATAGTTTGTATAGCATCTTTTATAAATATGTAGTTATAATATTTTTGGATGGTATCTTGCTATGGTTAATAAACATCAGCATATTTTAGTAAAAAAAAAATCAGGTTAGTTAGAACCCTGAATGATGCAGAGGGTAATATTTAAGAGTAGGTTTCAAGTAATAAAACTTGAGGAAGTTCTATAGTTCTATTCAAGAGGCTGAGGTGGGAGGATTGCTTGAGTCCAAGAGCTGTAGGCTTCAGTGAGCTATGATCATGCCTCTGCGCTCCAGCTAGTCTCTTTTTTTTTTTTTTTTTTTTTATTGTTTTGAGACGGAGTCTCGCTCTGTCGCCCAGGCTGGAGTGCAATGGCGCGATCTCGGCTCACTGCAAGCTCCGCCTCCCGGGTTCACACCATTCTCCTGCCTCAGCCTCCCGAGTAGCGGGACTACAGGTGCCCGCCACCACGCCCGGCTAATTTTTTGTATTTTTAGTAGAGACGGGGTTTCACTGTGTTAGCCAGGATGGTCTCGATCTGCTGACATTGTGATTCACCCTCCTCAGCCTCCCAAAGTGCTGGGATTACAGGCGTGAGCCACCGCGTCCGGCCCCAGCTAGTCTCTCAAAATAAAATAAAATAAAATAACTTCAGGAAATGTGAGGAATTTGGGTTTGTTAAGTCTAAGATGAGGTGACAGTGAGTGTTCCATAATGTTCTAGAACTTCAGTCTTTGACATGCAGTAGTGAAAAAATATAGTGGTATATAATAATACTATATTATTCTCAGGGATTGTGTCAGATCAATTGCTAACAATGGGAAGACCAGAGATCACAGTGGGGCTACCACTCCGAGACACTGGTAAACACCAGGAATACAGGGAGGTTGACTACTTTTGACACCATATAGATAAAAACAAGCTCAAATTCTTTTTTCTTTACTCAAGATACAAAATTAAAATGACAACACTTAACTGTTTTATTATGAAATGTTTATAAGAGGAGACTTGGCATATATGTACAATTTAAGAAAGAACAATAAAACAAATTGGCATATGCTTTCTACCTGGCTTAAAAAGTAGAAAATGAGCTGCAACTTAAGTATACTACCATTCATTCCTGTCTTCACTTTTTGGGAGTCAGTATTTTAAAACTTGTGTTCATCATTCCGTTAATTCTTTTTTGTGGTTTTATCACATATGTGCATCCTAAAAAATACACTATTTGGTTTTATCTCCTTTTTACTTTTATATGCTGATAATAAATTATGCTTTTATGTATACTTCGGTGACATTTTCCTGAATATTATTTTTGAGTTTAATCCATGTTGATACTCCAGTTCATTCTCAAACCAATATTATGTACAACTATATGAATTTAAGATGATTTCTTTATCTAGTCTCCCATCTATGATTTCCAGTTTTTGTCTACTTCAAATCATGCCTCTATTGACATTTTTGTGTGTGTCTCCAGATATGCATGTAGAGATAGTTCTCTGTGATATGTTCCTGGAAATAGAATTGGTGAGTTGTAGTGTACTCATAACCTTAACTTTATTGTAGCAGTGCCTAATTGTTTTCCAGACAAGTTGTAGCAATTTACATTCTCACAAGTACTCTAGATGTTCTTGTTCTATTATATGCTTTCCAATATTTGTTATTAATCATCGAAACTTTTCTCCATATCATGGATATGAAATGAGAACTTTATTTTGTTTTTATCTGTATTTCTTAACTATTAATAATATTAAGCATCTCTTCCTATGGATATTGCCTACTCCTATTTCTTCTTTTGTGAAATGCCTCTCATATTTTCCCTTTTTAATAATGAATTGTTTGCTCTTACATATTGCTTTATCGGAATTCTTTGCATATTCTGGAGATAAGATTTTAAGATTTTCTTAGTCATGTATTTTTAAAATATTGTTTCCTGAACTAATGTGCAGTTTATCTTTACTTTTTTATGTTGTCTTTCAATTGGAAGTTCTTCATTTTACTGTATTTGAATATATGAATCCTTTTCTTTATTGCTTGAGTGTTACATGCATTATTTAAGAAATTTTTCCCACTCTGTGTTCTCCTGTGCTGCCATTAAACTTTTTAAATTTTTCACAAGTAAGTTTTAAGGTATAGAGAAATAATTTGTTTGTCTGTGTGTGTGTATGAGAGAGGGAGAAAGAAAGAGAGAGAAGCAAGGTTCAGCAAGGTTCAAGTTTTATTTATCTTTTATAGACAGAAAATTGCCCTAGACTATTTGTGAATAGTTTATTCTTTCCTAACTGACCAAGAATTCTATTTCTGTCATATATGTCAAATAGCCATACACACATACATCTGGTTCTGGGCCGGCCTTCTACTTGGTTCCACTGGTTTATTTTTATATACCAGTATTACATTTTCTTTATTAAATTTTTTTTCATAATGAGAAAATAAGACACTTTCTTCTTCCTCCTCCTTCATCTTCTTCCTTATGAATATTTTAGCTATTCTAGATTCTTCGTTCTTGTGCATATGTTTTGGAAATAGCTTGTCAAATTCCAAGAAAAACTCTTTTGGAAATTTGATCAGAATTCTATTGAATATACTAACCAATTTGGGGATAATGACATTTTTTTTTAGTCTTTCTATTCATAAACATGGTATATGTTTCAATTTATAAAGATCTTAATTTCTTGTTTTTTAAAATTTCTATTTCTATTTATTTCTGACTACCGTGTATTTTTGGTTCCTATTGTAAAGAATACACTTGTTTAAATTAAATTTTGTAATTATTATTTATGGATATACAGAAATTCAGTTGGCTTTAGTATATTATCCTTAGATCTGGCAATCTTATTCTACTCTTAATTATTCTAATAATCTGTAGAAAATTGAGGTTGTTTATAGAGCTAATTATCTAATCTTCAAATAATAATAATTTTTTTCATTCCCAATTCTTAGGCTTTATTTTTGTTGTTTTGTTATATTAGATAAGGTCTCCCATATAGTAAAGTAGAAATGATTATAGGGCACATTGATGACTTATTCCTGATTTTAAAGAGAAAGCTTAACAATTAGTAAAGTTGGTTTGCTATCTACTTAGGACTTTTGCATTTATGCTCAGGAGTGAAGGTGGTCTTTAATAGTCTATTATTCCTGACTTCATTTTCATGCCAACATTACACTACCCTCGTCAATTAACTTGGGGATGTCTCTTTTTCTCTTCTTTGTAAGGCATTGTTTCAAAATATATTATTTTTGCGTGTTTGATAGAACTCACCTGTAAAATAATCTGAGCCCATTATTTCATTTGTAGGAAGAATTTTTATTGTTATTTGTACATTAATGTTTTATTTTTCTTCTTCAATTAGTTATGGTAGGTCATATTTTTCTAAGGTTATTTCATCTTAATCAAGTTTTCAAATTTATTGGCATAAACTTGTCCATAATATTCTTTCTAATCCCTTTAATGTCTGGTTCATATGTAGTTAAATCTTCTTTTCATTACTAATATTATTGTACCTTATCTTGCCTTATCTTTTAAAAATTGATCAGTCTTTCTACACTTTGCCAATGCAATAATCTCTTCAAATAACTATTTTTTGGCTTTGTTGATTCTATGTATATATTTTTTTCTGTTTCTTTAACTCCAGCTCTTATCTTTAATGCTATACTTCTGAATTTTATGGAGGTATGGTTCATTTTATAAACCTTGTTAGTTAGATAATTAATGAATTATCAGATTTATTCTCATCTAATATAAATGCTTAAGGATATCTTCTCATCTAATATAAATGCTGTAATAATAATACTATAATTCTCAGGCATAGTTAGGTTGTATTTTTATTATTCTTTGATACTTGATGTTTTCTACTTAATTTTTTTGACCTATGAATTATGAAGGAGTGTATTTTAAATTTTTCAACTCACTAACTTTCTAAAGCCATCTTTTCTGTTACTGAATTATGTGCATTTTTAAAAACAGTATGTTTTCTAACATATTGAATCTTTGAATTATGTTTTGCTTACTTTATTATATAGCACTATGTCAGTTTTTGCAAATGTTCTGTGTATCCTTGGAAAAACATATTTTGCAGTTTCGAGGTTTGATTAATATACCACTCTATGTTTATACATAAATTTATAATTGTATTTTTTACATTATATCAATCCTTATTAATTTCCGTTTTGACCTATCAAGTATTGAAGAAGATATATTAATTTTCTAATATTCTGGTAGATTTATCAATTTTTTTCTTCTGTTATATATTTTAACAATATGTCATGGAGTACATATGGATTTTGGATTATATCTTATTGAGACATTGAATGTTTTATCAGTAGGATATGATTTAAGGAAGACACTTGTAAGTCAAGAAAGCTGTTATATGTTGTTTCTTAGATACATGCAAAAATATTATATATCACACATCAATAAAAATAATTGAAGGTGGAAATAATCCCAAATCCCTCAGAATAAATGAAAAAAAAATTCCAAGCAGAGAGGCTGCTGTGCCTAATTAATGAGTCACAGGTAACTTTCATCACACAGGATTAATACTAAAGCATAGTTTCATAGTTTAATGGGCAGTGTTTTTCTTTTTTTAGCAGGCTGTGACATAATAGTAACTCATATTCAATAGCATATTAGATTAGGTGACATAAAATAGCTGGGTATTTTAATCCATCCTGTCCATCTTTGCCTTTTTTTATTTTGGAAATTTTAGTCTATTTTTATTTGTTCAAAATAAGTTTATTTGTGGTTGTGATTTGGCCCATTTATGCCATAGTTTTACCCGTTAAGTATTTTAGTTCTATTCTATTTGCTTAACCCACAAATTAGGTATTATTAGATATTAGATGTTTGGTCAAGTTTTACTCACATTTCCCTTTTTTGTTCACCAGTCCTTAGATCTCATATCTTCCTTTATGAATGATTGTCAGTAGTTCAAATGTACATCCTTTAGAAGTTCCCTTAGCAATATACATTAGTATTAACATTCCATTTTTGTCTATATAAAATTGTCTTCATATCACTCTCAAACTTGGAAAAACATTTCACTGGGAATACAGTTCTGGAGTGATAATTACTTTCTCTCTCTTGGCATTTAAAGATATGATTCCTTTGTCTTTTAGCCTATTTGTTACTGTGTAGTCTTAATGGTTAGTTGTAATCCTTATTCTTTTTTATTTTCTTAGATGGAGTTTCGCTCTTGTTGCCCAGGCTGGAGTGCAATGGCACAATCTCGGCTAACCGCAACCTCCGCCTCCCGGCTTCAAGCAATTCCCCTGCCTCAGCCTCCCAAGTAGCTGGGATTACAGGCATGCGCCACCACGCCCGGCTAATTTTGTATTTTTAGTAGAGACGGGTTTTCACTATGTTGGCCAGGCTGGTCTCAAACTCCTGGCCTCAGGTGATCCATCTGCCTCAGCTTCCCAAAGTGCTGGGATTACAGGCATGAGCCACCACGCCGGCCTCCTTATTCTCTTATAGATAATCTGTCATTTTTTCTGGATGCTTTTAAGATCTCTTTGTTTTTGTTATTTTGTTTTTGTAAATTGCATTCTGCAATTTTATGTTACAACAAAAAATGTGTATATTCTCCTTGGGATTTACTGGGTTTCTTAAACCTGATTCTGTTATCTTTTAATATTGGATATTCTCAGCCATGGTGTTTTTGAATATTGCCTCCGTACCATTCTGTAATCTCTTATTCTGAAACTCCAATGAGATATGTACCAGAACAATTTACTATACCCCAATAAAAGCTGACATCTCTTTCATATTTTCCATCTCTTTGATTCTTTATAGTACATTCTGCATAATCTTCAGTTCTACCTTCCTGTTTACAAATTCCATTTTTACTTCTGTCTAGTCTGCTATTTAACACATTCATTGAATTCTAAACAAATTCACTGAATTTAACACATTCTGAATGCCTAACATACGTTCCAAACTTTTTTGCTTTTCTATGTTACTTCAGGCAGCTAAATCACTATAGTGCTAGAAATGGAAGACAGATGTCTAGGAGAATTGCTACGATCTTATTGAAAAAGTTTCCTAACTCATAACTAAAGGACTAAAAAAGAGCTCAAAATAAGTCTGGGAGTTTACCTTGAGAGATTTCTTATGTAACAGGGGATCGATCTGGAACAAATGGAGCCCTGAGAATTGAAATGAAGATGTGTAAGAAAATCAGAAGACTAAATAGAGAACTCTGGAACTTTCCATCTTCTGAGCTTTCCCTACTTAAGGAAGTAGCTATTCCTCTACTCCTTCTGCTGCTGCCTCTCCTTTGCCTGACAAGCCATTTCCTTTTCTTGCTTCAGCTATCTTTCCCTTACCTGAGATCATTACTTTCAAAAGGAAGCTGGTTTTCATTTTTTCAAAATTGATTACACTTATATTGCAATACGGCCTTGGGAGCCAAATTCAAATTATGCCCTGGAGGAGAATAGTCACAGTAAGTTTGCAAATCTGTTTTAATATATATTAGAAACTGTCTCAGGAATATGTATAAAAATAAAATTTTAGGATACTCAACTAAGCAGGGAAGAACATTAGATCAATTTGAATTTGGCAATTTCAATTGGAATCTGGAAAACCCAGATTCCAATAGTATTTGGAGTGGACTAATACAGATTTCATTCCACACTGACCCACAAATAAAAATGAGATTTAAGAAAAGAATGGAAAATATAAAATAAGATGGTAAGAATAATATTCATATACATTTGCCTTTTAGAAGACAGTAATTATTAGAATGTATTTTAAAAGTTCCATTTATATTCTATTTATAAAAGACACAGCTAAAACACAAGGACACAGAAACGCTGGAAAGAGAACACTTTATCAGTGAGGCACTTTAGAATTGGAGGCAATTTTTACCACATTTGGTGTCCTGCTTTGACCTTTGTACCAGGTGGCCTAAAAAGCTGCCAGCTTTCAGTGGTGCCCAGAGCAAGAGAAGACTCAGCACTGATCAGCCTGTCGTACAAATAGGCTCCACAACCAGGTCTTTATGACCCAGCAGGTTCCATGATGTTGGAAATCTCTGACTAATCAGGATGTCACATAGACTGTAGCAAGCTCTACAGGGGAATCAATATACCTTGAAGTTTTGAAGCAAAGGCAATGTCTTTATGGCAAGTGATTGTACTTTTTTTTTTTTTTTTTTCAGACGGAGCCTTGCTCTGTCGCCCAGGCTGGAGTGCAGTGGTGCGATCTCGGCTCACTGCAAGCTCCACCTCCCTGGTTCACGCCATTCTCCTGCCGCAGCCTCCTGAGTAGCTGGGACTACAGGCGCCCGCCACCACGCCCGGCTAATATTTTATATTTTTTTGAGAAACAGTTTCTGGCTTGCTACTGGGCTTGGGTGTTAATTGAATGCTTGAACACACTATATCAGGGAAGTGTATGACTCAAACTGACCATCATCAATTATGTACTGCCAGATCTTGTATGTATTTATCATGAACTTAGACATGTTTAACATCATTTCATCATTAATAAGCGTTTTTCAAACTGTTTTTACTAAGATCCTCTATAAGAAATATTATCCTCTTTACCATCCCCCCACGTAAATATTCATATGCACACATGTATTTATTTATTTATTTATTTAATTTTTTGAGATGAAACCTTGCTCTATCGCCCAGGCTGGAGTTCAATGGCACAGTCTCGGCTCGTTGCAACTCCTCCTCCCGGGTTCAAGCAATTCTCCCACCTCAGCCCTCCAAGTTGCGGGATCACAGGTGCCCACCACCATGCTCGGCTATTTTTTTTTTTTTTTGTAGTTTTAGTGAAGATGGGGTTTCACCATATTGACTAGGCTGGTCTCGAAATCCTGACCTCAAGTGATCCGCCTGCCTCAGCCTTCCAAAATGCTGGTGTTACAGGCGGGAACCACTATGCCTGGCCACTTGCATACATTTAAAAAGATGTTTTGCAAAACAAAACATACTTTTACTGTGTGCCATGCAGTGTGAACATTTTTATTCTACTTTTATTCTATTAAACTTTCAAATTCTGGTTAAAACTTACTAAATTTATTTCAAAACCCACTAAAGGGTGACAAACAGTTAGAAGTGGCATCTCAAAGACCTGGTCTTGATGTCAAGCAAATTGTTGAAACCTCAGTGGGTGTACTTGTGCCTCACTGCCAGAGTCTCATTCAGTCTGCACCTATGACTCCAAGGGAGTCCCTTGTGACCAATTGATGATGAAGAAGAAATTGAGCTGGGAGCAATAATTCTGCATGCTCTGTCAAGAATCAGGCACGTTAATGAATTTCTAACATGGGTAAGAATTTTCTAGTTCTTTTTACCATAATATCAGCCCCATTCAGAAGGAGCTATACCTTGATGAATGCTGTCATCATTTGTTGTCATCTTAAAGTAACTCCACCTTGTTAGAACTACAAACAGGATAATTAACTTTTTCTAAGTAAATTGTCTAGTTTTAGAGGTGTCAGTTTATGCTCTTTTACAATCAGCATTACATTTGTAATCCTTGATACCAAAACTTTTATCAATGGAGGGGTCTTTAGAAATCACTTTTTAAAAATTCTCATTTTATTAATGAGAAAATTAAGGTTTTTGGAGAAAAACTTACTTACTAAGGTCACATAGTATTGAGTAATAGAACCAAGTCTACAGTACAGGTCTTCTTATACCTTAACTAGTATTCTTATATGCTCTTTGTTTGTTTTAATATTTCAAATAAGGAAACTTCTTGTTTGCAATCTATGCTTAACAGTGGGTAAAATCAAGCAGTTAGTTTCATAAAAATTTCTCTAAAGGGTGAATAAATTTATCAGAAGCTGATTCTAATGAGCTTTATAGCCTGTTCAATTATTACTCATGTCTAGAAAAAGGAAAATATCCGTGGTATAGGTATGTTCTTCTATACAACCCAGATCATTTAATGACTAAAATACTAAGCACAAATAGTTTTCTGAACAGAACTTGAAATATACCTTTTCTAAGTACAGCAGCATGGGAAAATGCATAAAATAAGTTGACTTTTATTATTATTGCCTTTGTTTTGCAAAGTATCCTTTGGAAGCCAAATGTAGCATCTCTACCCAAAGTATTTTATGCATAATAAGATTTAAAATACTTTAAAAGGAAGAGTTCTCTAATAATATCACTATTTAGCATAGTCCATCCATCTTATAAATTGCTAGTCTCAGTAAAATTAATAAGAAAGTAAAACTGAAAATTGTGCCCCCTTTGTCAGAGTGGAACTTATATGTATGCATTGTGGGGTCAGATACTCAGATACTTCTCCATCTTACTGCACATGGTCTTTGTCACCTATGAGGTTTACAGACAGGCTCGTTCTCTCAGTCAGCTTTGGTCTGGGCTCCAAGTCTTGCTATTGTGAATAGTGCTGCAATAAACATATGTGTGCATGTGTCTTTATAGTAGAATGATGTATAATCCTTTGGGTATATACCCAGTAATGGGATTCCTGTCAAATGGTATTTCTGGTTCTAGATCCTTGAGGAATTGCCACACTGTCTTCCACAGTGGTTGAACTAATTTACATTCCCACCAACAGTGTAAAAGCGTTCCTATATCTCCACTTCCTCCGCAGCGTCTGTGGTTTCCTGACATTTTAATGATCTCCATTCTAACTGGTGTAAGATGGTATCTCATTGTGGTTTTGATTTGCATTTCTCTAATGACCAGTGATGAGCTTTTTTTCATATGTTTTTTTGGCCACATAAATGTCTTCTTTTGAGAAATGTCTGTTCATATTCTTTGCCCACTTTTTGGTGGGTTTTTTTTTTCTTGTAAATTTGTTGAAGTTCTTTGTAGATTCTGGGTAGTAGCCCTTTGTTCAGGTGGATAGATTGCAAAAATTTTCTCCCATTCTGTAGGTTGCCTGTTCACTCTGATGATAGTTTTTTTGCTGTGCAGAAGCTCTTTAGTTTAGTTAGATCCCATTTGTCAATTTTGGCTTTTGTTGCCATTGCTTTTGGTGTGTTAGTCATGAAGTCTTTGCCCATGCCTATGTCCTAAATGGTATTGCCTAGGTTTTCTTCTAGGGTTTTCATGGTTTTAGATCTAACGTTTAAGTCTTTAATCCATCTTGAGTTAATTTTTGTATAAGGTGTAAGGAAGGGATCCAGTTTCAGTTTTCTGCATATGGCCAGCCAGTTTTCCCAACACCATTTATTAAATAGGGAATCCTTTCCCCATTGCTTTTTTTGTCAGGTTTGTCAAAGATCAGATAGTTGTAGATGTGTGGCATTATTCCTGAGGCCTCTATTCTGTTCCATTGGTCTATATCTCTGTTTTGGTACCAGTACGATGCTGTTTTGGTTACTGTAACTTTGTAGTATAGTTTGAAGTCAGGTAGCTTAATGCCTCCAGCTTTGTTCTTTTTGCTTAGAATTGTCTTGGCTATACAGGCTTATTTTTGGTTCCATATGAAATTTAAAGTAGTTTTTTCTAATTCTGTGAAGAAAGTCAATGGTAGCTTGATGGGAATAGCATTGACTCTATAAATTACTTTGGGCAGTATGGCCATTTTCAGAATATTGGTTCTCCTATCCATAAGCATGGAATGTTTTTCCATTTGTTTGTGTCCCCTCATATTTCCTTGAGCAGTGGTTTGTAGTTCTCCTTGAAGAGGTTCTTCACATCCTTGTAAGTTGTATTCCTAGGTATTTTATTCTCTTTGTAGCAATTGTGAATGGGAGTTCACTCATGATTTGGCTCTCTGTTTGTCTGTTATTGGTGTATAGGAATGCTTGTGATTTTTGCCCATTGATTTTGTATCCTGAGATTTTGCTGAAGTTGCCTATCAGCTTAAGGAGTTTTTGGGGTTTTCTAAATATACAAACATGTTATCTGCAATCAGAGACAATTTGACTTCCTCTCTTCCTATTTGAATACCCTTTATTTCTTCTCTTGCCTGATTGCCCTGACCAGAACTTCCAATACTATGTTGAATGGGAGAGGTGAGAGAGGGCATTCTTGTCTTGTGCCAGTTTTCAAAGGGAATGCTTCCAGTTTTTGCCCATTCAATATGATACTGGCTGTGGGTTTGTCATAAATAGCTCTTATTATTTTGAGATACATTCCATCAATACCCAGTTTATTGAGTGTTTTTAGCATAAAGTGGGGTTGAATTTTATCAAAGGCCTTTTCTGCATCTATTGAGATAATTAAGTAGTTTTTGTCATTGGTCCTGTTTATGTGATGGATTATGTTTAGTGATTTACATATGTTGAACCAGGCTTGCATCCTAGGGATGATGCCGACTTGATTGTGGTGGATATATTTTTGGATGTGCTGCCGGATTCGATTTGCCAGTATTTTATTGAGAATTTTTGCATCGATGTTCATCAGGGATATTGACCTGAATTTATTTGTTGTTCTGTCTCTGTCAGGTTTTGGTATCAGGATGATGTTGGCCTCATAAATTGTGTTAGGGAGGAGCTCCTCTTTTTGTATTGTTTGGAATAGTTTCAGAAGTAAGGGTACCAGCTCCTATTTGTACTTCTCATAGAATTCGGCTGTGAATCCATCTAGTCATGTGCTTTTTTTTGGTTAATAGGCTATTAATTGCTGCCTCAATTTCAGAACTTGATATTGGCCTATTCAGGGATTCAACTTCTTTCTGGTTTAGTATTGGGAGGGTGTGTGTGCCCAGTAATTTATCTATTTCTTCTAGATTTTCTAGTTTATTTGCATAGAGGTGTTTATAGTATTCTCTGATGGTAGTTTATATTTCTGTGGGATCAGTGGTTATATCCCCTTTATCATTTTTTATTATGTCTATTTGATTCTTCTCTCTTTTCTTCTTTATTAGTCTGGCTAGCAGTCTATCTATTTTGTTAATCTTTTCAAGAAACCAGCTCCTGGATACATTGATTTTTTGTTGAAGGTTTTTTGAGTTTCTATCTCCTTCAATTCTGCTCTGATCTTAGTTCTGCTCTGATCTTGCCTTCTGCTAGCTTTTGAATTTCTTTGCTTTTGCTTCTCTTGTTCTTTTAATTGTGATGTTAGGGTGTGGATTTTAGATCTTTCTCACTTTCTCCTATGTGCATTTAGTGCTATAAATTTCCATCTAAACACTGCTTTAACTGTGTCCCAGAGATTCTGGTACGTTGAGTCTTTGGTCTCATTGGTTCCAAAGAACTTATTTATTTCTGCCTTAATTTCTTTATTTACCCAGTAGTCATTCAGGAGCAGGTTGTTCAGTTTCCATGTAGTTGTTCAGTTTTGAGTGAGTTTCTCAATCTTGAGTTCTAATTTGATTGTGCTGTGGTCTGAGAGACTGTTTGTTATTATTTCCATTCTTTTGCATTTGTTGAGGAGTGTTTTACTTCCAATTATGTGGCCAATTTTAGACTAAGTGCTATGTGGTGCTGAAAAGAATGTATACTCTGTTGATTGGGGGTGGAAAGTTCCATAGATGTCCATTAGATCCACTTGGTCCAGAGCTGAGTTCAAGTTCTGAATATCCTTGTTAATTTTCTGTCTTGTTGATCT
The DNA here is from genome assembly GCF_000001405.40 of Homo sapiens. Lineage (NCBI taxonomy): Eukaryota > Metazoa > Chordata > Mammalia > Primates > Hominidae > Homo > Homo sapiens. The sequence continues at coordinate 20,334,211 of NC_000012.12, forward strand.
AATATTGACAATGGGGTGTTAAAAACTCCCACTATTATTGTGTGGGAGTGTAAGTCTGTTTGTAAGTCTGTAAGAACTTGCTGTATGAATCTGGGTGCTCCTGTATTGGGTGCATGTATATTTAGGATAGTTAGCCCTTCTTGTTGCATCGATCCCTTTATCATTATGTAATGACTTTCTTTGTCTTTTTTGATCTTTGTGGGTTTGAAGTCTGTTTTATCAGATACTGGGATTGCAACTCCTGCTTTTTTTTTGCTTTCCATTTCCTTGGTAAGTAGTCCTACATCCCTTTATTTTGAGCCTATGTGTGTTTTTGCAAGTGAGATGGGTCTCCTGAATATAGCTTATGAATGGGTCTTGACTCTATGCAATTTGCCAGTCTGTGTCTTTTAATTGGGGCATTTAGCTCATTTACATTTAAGGTAATATTGTTATGTGTGAATTTGATCCTGTCACTATGATGCTAGTGGTGCAGTTTCTTCATCATGTCAATGGTCTTTACATTTTGGTATGTTTTTGCAGTGGCTGGTACAAGTTTTTCTTTTCCATATTTAGTGCTTCCTTCAGGAGCTCTTGTAAGGCAGGCCTAGTGGTGACAAAATCCTTCAGCCTTTGGTTGTCTGTAACGGATTTTATTTCTCCTTTGCTTATGAAGCTTAGTTTGGCTGGATATAAAATTCTGGGTTGAAAATTCTTTTCTTTAAGAATGTTGAATATTGGCCCTCACTCTCTTCTGGCTTGTAGGATTTCTGCTGAGAGATCTGCTGTTAGTCTGAATGGGCTTCCGTTTGTGGGTAACCCAACCTGTTACTCTGGCAGCCCTTAACATTTTTCTCCTTCATTTCAACCTTTGTGAATCTGATGATTATGCATCTTGGGGTTGCTGTTCTTGAGGAGTATCTTTGTGGTGTTCTCTGTATTTCCTGAATTTGAATTTTGGCCTGTCTTGCTAGGTTGGGGAAATTCTCCTGGATAATATCCTGAAGTGTGTTTTCCAACTTGGTTCCATTCTCCCCAACACTTTCAGGTACACCAATCAAATGTAGGTTTGGTCTTTTCACACAGTCCCATATTTCTTGGAGGCTTTGTTTGTTCTTTTTCATTCTTTTTTCTCTAATCTTGTCTTCATGCTTTATTTCATTAAGTTGATCTTCAATCTCTGATATCCTTTGTTGCCTTTGATCGGTTCAGCTACTGATACTTGTGTATGCTTCACAAAGTTCTCGTGTTGTGTTTTTCAGCTCCATCAGGCCATTTATGTTCTTCTCTAAGCTGGTTATTCTAGTTAGCAGTTCCTGTAACCTTTTATCAATGTTCTTAGCTTCCTTGCATTGGGTTAGAACCTGCTTTTTTAGCTTGGAGGAGTTTGTTATTACCCACCTTCTGAAGCCTACTTATTTCAATTTGTCAAACTCATTCTCCATTCACTTTTGTTCCCTTGCTGGCAAGGAGTTGTGATCCTTTGGAGGAGAAGAGGCATTCTGGTTTTTGGAATCTTCAGCCTTTTTGCACTGGTTTTTCTTCATCTTCATGGATTTATTTACCTTTGTTCGTTGATGTTGGTGACCTTCAGATGGGGTTTTTGTGTGGGTATACTTTTTGTTGATGTTGATGCTATTGCTTTCTGTTTGTTAGTTTTCCCTCTAATAGTCAGGCCCCTCTTCTGCAGGTCTGCTGGAGTTTGCTGGAAGTCCACTCCAGACCCTGTTTGCCTGGGTATCACCAGCAGAGGCTGCAGAATAGCAAAGATTGCTGCCTGCTTCTTCCTCTGGAAGTTTTGTCCCAGAGGGGCACCTGCCAGATGCCAGCTAGAGCTCTCCTGTATGAGGTGTCTGTAGACCCCTGCTGGGTGCTGTCTCCCAGTCAGCATACAGGGGTCAAGGACCCACTTGAGGAGGCAGTCTGTCCTTTAGCGGAGCTTGAGCCCTGAACTGGGAGATCTGCTGCTCTCTTCAGAGCTGGCAGGCAGGAACATTTAAGCTTACTGAAGCTGTGCCCACAGCAGCCCCTTCTCCCAGGTGCTCTGTCCCAGGGAGATGGGAGTTTTATCTATACGCCCCTGACTGGGGCTGCTGCCTTTATTTCAGAGATGCCCTGCCCAGAGAGGAGGAATCCAGAGAAGCAGTCTGGCTACAGTGGCTTTGCCATGCTGCAGTGAGTTCACCCAGTTTGAACTTCCTGGCGGCTTTGTTTACAATGTAGGGGGAAAACTGCCTACTCAAGCCTCAGTAATGGCAGATGCCCCTCCCCCCACCAACCTCAAGCATCCCAGGTGGATTTCAGACTGCTGTGCTGGCAGCAAGAATTTCAAGCCAGTGGATCTTAGCTTGTTGGGCTCCATGGGGGTGGGATCCACTGAGCAAGACCACTTGGCTCGCTGGCTTCAGCCCCCTTTCCAGGGGAGTGAACATTTCTGTCTTGCTGGCATTCCAGGTGCCACTGGAGTACCAAAAAAAAAAAAAAAAATTCCTGCAGCTAGCTCAGTGTCTGCCCCAACGGCCACCCAGTTTTGTGCTTGAAACCCGTGACCCTGGTGGTGTGGGCACCTGAGGGAGTCTCTAGTCTGTGGGTTGTGAAGACCATGGGAAAATGTAATGTTTGGGGAGTGCACCATCCCTCATGGCACAGTCCCTCACGGTACAGTCCCTCCCGGCTTCCCTTGGCTAGAGGAGGGAGTTCCCCAACCTCTTGCACTTCCTGGTGAGGCAATGCCCCACCCTGCTTCAGCTCACCCTCCATGGGCTGCACCCACTGTCTAACCAGTCCCAATGAGATGAACCAGGTACCTCAACTGGAAACGCAGAAATCACCCACCTTCTGCCTTGACCTTGCTGGGAGCTGCCGACTGGAGCTGTTCCTATTCGGCCATCATGCCAGCCCCCCCCCCCACAAGTTTTTATTTTATAACTAGGTTATTTGATTTATTTTCCTTTCCCCTTGCCTTGTGTCTCTTGAGGCAGCCTCTGAGGAACTTTGCCTTAATTTCCTTTTTTTAAGTTTCATTAAATTTAATTTTAAGTTACAGGATACATGTGCAGGATGGGCAGGTTTGTTACATACATAATTGTATGGCATGGTGGTTTGCTGCACCTGTTAACCCATCACCTAGGTATTAAGCTCCACATGCAGTAGCTATTTCTTTGCATTTTTCTCAGATCCCAACTCTAGGAGTTGTAATATCACTTTATTTAGGGAGAAGTTCTTGAAATTTTAGCCTAATTTAAAAGTAATTAGTGGCAGCTATGCTAAATGCACAGGCAGTTGAAGAAGGTAAAGGACACACATCCCTAAAGTGATCTGCAAGCAGTTAAATTAATTTCCATGGTCTAATTCTCTTCGCATTTGTTGATCCTTAGATGTGCACTCCTTCAGGGCTCCCATATGACTATTTGCGCTTCCTCCAAATGTTTTAACTTTTTTTCTTTTCTAATTTCTTTGTACAAAAGATCTTATCTGCTTTAGCTTTTCAGGTTAATCAATCTACTGCCACTTGTTCTCTGCCTTTAGGAATTCTTCATCATTTCTGGCTTGCTGATGGAATACTTTCTTATCCATTATTCTCAATTGCAAAATCTGGGGTCCGATATATTAGGGTTCTTCAGAACCTATAGAACCAATAGGATATATATATAGGTGTATGGAAAGAGGTTTATTATGAGAATTTGACTCATACAATTGTGGGGGCTGGGAAGTCCTACAATCTGCTATCTGCAAGCTGGAGGCCCAGGAAAGATGGCATAGTTCCAGTTCAAACCCAAGGGATGAGAACCAGGGAAACCAATGGTGTAAGACCCTGTTTGAGTTTGAAGGCCTGAGAACCACAGGGGTAGCTTAAGCAGAAAGCAAGTTCACCCCTCCTTTACCTCTTTGTTCTATTCGGTCCCTCAATTAATTAGATGATTCCCTGCCACATTGGTGAGGCTGTTCTTTATTCAGCCTATCTATTCAAATGCCAGTCTCTCGCAGACACACCCACAAGTATGTTTTATCCCCTACGTGGGCATCCTTTAACCCAGTCAAGTCAACACATAAAATTAATCCTCTTGCCTGCTTTGGAATAAAATATATCACTTAGTTTTATGGCACACCCTTATTCAAAATGGGTTCCCATTTTATAACAAAGTCTAAAGTTATTACAATAGCCTAGAAGTCTCTCTTCAGTCTCGCTTCTACCCACCCCAGTGCCTGCCTCCCTTCACTTTTCCGCTCTCTCACTCCTTTCTGTCACATTGGCCCTCTTGCTGTTTCTCACATTTGACAAATATTTTCCCATCTCCTAGACCCTTGCAGTTACCCATCCCTCTCTTAGGAATACACCTTCCCCAGGCATTCTTACAGATTGGTCCCTTAATCCATCCAAGTCTCTGTTACAGGTTACCTCCTCAAAGGGGTCTGCTGAGACCACTCTATCAGAGGTAGATTCTCTCTATCTCCTCCATTCTGTTTTATCATTCCTGATAGCTCTTACTTCCTGACAGTATGCTATACACTTATCTGCCTAACATGTTCACTCTACATCCAGCACATGGAATAGTACTTGGGTTTAGAAGGAAGGTGGTAAATACCTGTTGAGTTCACAAATAAAACAATAATGTCCATTACAAAATCTGAAAAATGAATTTTAAATATTTAAGTTCAATTTTGTCATTTATTTAAGACTAAACAACAGAAAAAGTCAACAATAAAATTATTACTGCAAGCATAGTTTATTTCTTTACTCAAATAATTAGTACAGCAGTAGCTAATATATTTAATAATCTAAAAATCTGAAAATATATATGGCTAAATGATGGTTAAATAGATTATCATCATTTCTAAAAGCCTCTGTGAGGATGTACAGTTTAATCATTAAACACAAGGAGGTGAAAAGACCATTACGTTCCTCCCTTCTGTATAGTTTATTTTCTGTTCCATTTATTATTTATACAGCGTTTATCACCATAGCATCTATGCTTCATTAGCAAAAAGCAAGCAGAGAAGGCAGGAATTGAAAAATTATGCTGTCTGACCTACTCATCTGAAAGCATTCTACCCAAGAGAAAGAACTTCAAACTAGAATAACTAACATTCTTGGTGACCACAGACAGTCACTGTACTTGTCTGGGCCTCATGTGTGAAATAACAAATTTTAAAATGGGTGACAATTAAGGTATTTAGCTCTAACCATCTGCAATTCAGTAGCTCTCAATATAACTAGTTTTAAACAGATTTCTGCACTTCATATATTAATTTTCCCTTATTGTAATTACTGATTAAAAAATACATTATAAAATAAATGATAAACATAAATACAGCATAAATATAAAACATACGTAAGGAAACAGTACAATTTCCATTAATGTTCTCAGCCACAGCTATCTAACATGTAAGATAAACATGTAGAAAGGCCTATAACGTAACAGTTAACGTCATGGAAACTAGAGCCACGCTGGCTAGGTTAAAATCGAATTCAGCTATTCTCTAGATAAATAAGTTTAGGCAAGTCATTTAACTTCTTTGTGCATCCATTTTCTTAGCTGCATATGAGAATACTTTATGAGATTCCTATGAGAATTGATTTGAGTGAAGCCCTGAGAACATTGGCCGACAACACAAAAACACTATTTAAGTGCTTCTACTATTATTATCTAATTCAAAGGGTTAATATAATTAAATGAGGAAGCACATTTAATATAATACAATATCTAGCAGCAGAAATATATCAATTCAACAATACTTATTGGGGGCGTTCTTTGTGCGAGACAATGGGCCAGACATTAAGGATGCAAGAGTGAATTAAACAAAGTCCCTGCCTCCTAGTGCTTGCACTCTATTAGAGACAGAACGTGTACAAATAAACAATAGAAGATACTGTTTCAGGTGGTGAAAATTAAAAACGAAAATAACAAGTTTGGAAGAGAGAATATCAGTTTTCCTATTTTGTTAATCAAGGAAGTCTTGTCTGGCAAGAAACATTTTTTTCCCCAAGTTACGTGATAAAGTAAACAGAACTTTACAAATGTAGAATGTCAATGCTAGCATCAAAATTTTAAGTTAAAATTTATTATGTTTTGAAGGAATACTAGCATTTGGCATATTATTATTATTATTCTGATAAAAATTAGAATGATGACAAATGCCTCCTTTTGAAATTCACTGATGCATTTGGAAAACATGCTGTCATTTTAGCCACTTCTATATTATTTTCAGTAAAAAACATTAATATAGTTTATCCCATGAAGAGCATTTTTAAACATTACCAATGTCATGTGAGTCTTCAGTGTTCATAATAATAATCATAACTTAAAAATGCATATTTTTAAAATTTATACAAATACATGAGTAGCTTTGGGCATTGATTAGGAAATTGAGCAATACAGAGATGTCCAAAATCATACCAGCACTTAAACCTAGGTCCTTGATACTAAATTCAGGATTCTTCTCACTACTCTCAACAGCTCAAATAATACTTAACTGGCTTGACTCTGCAGCTTTTTAATTCTTAAATACATATTACTAGCTTTTGTGCCATTTATTTGTATTCCTGATATCAGACTGCACAAGATAATTTCATTTGCAGCTTTAGTGGACTTTCATGGTCTTTGCCTTCACATAAGAAAAGTGTAGAATTCATTATTTTCATACTCAGCATCTCATTTATAATTCAACAGTTTTTTTTCTATTGTCAAGTTTCTCAATCCATGGTAAACGGTTTACTCAATATATCAGTTAAAGGAAGAGAAAATATTTTAAACTTTAATGAGTAGTTTATCAGTGTAACATGAAACATAGTAGTTCTTGAACAATATGCTCTACTAAAGCATTGTAAGCTACTCATGCTATGGTACAGACTGTGAAGCATAAAGAATTGCAAATGTGAACAGGCAAAATGAATACCGACGCTACATGAATACACTGGTTTTTATAGTGGGCCAACAAATGGAGTAGCTAACGGTGATCAGGCTCCTCTTATGGGTTAGCTGTGTATCAGTGAAAAGAGATTCATGCTTAGAAGAACTGAGCAAGAGTAATAAATAATTATTTGAAATTCTTATTCAAGTGTTTTGCCCGTTAAACCACTGAAACACTTTAAAATAACATTACATGTTTTCAATTGATGAGGCTAACTGTATAGAAAGGCATTATTTTAGAAATATTTAAAAATACAGTCCCATTAAATCATTTTTCTTTAAAAAAGAGTAATACATGATAGTTTGTCAATTTATTATCTTTTTAAGTTTTTTGTAGTGTGATTTTCTCAGTTAAAAAGAAAACCCTGATGCCTTACTCTTCGAAATACGATAAATATACAAATCCTAATACACACAACAATGTTGCACCTTATACTTTCCCCAAAAGTGCTTAAATGTTATCTCATTTGAGGTTCACAATTACATGTAAAACAGTGAGAAGAGCGCCTAGCACAAAGCTAGCAGTTAATCACGCTATTTGTTATTTTCCAGCAGCATGTCAAGCTCTATATATTGAACTATACTTCTTACCCACTCACCCAAATCTCCAGTCACTTTCTGCCATTTTCTCACTTGACTGGGAATCACCTAGACACTCTACTCTGAAACCTGGGAGACATCAGTGACTCCACCTGCTCCGTCATCCTCTGCCTTACCTCTCTACTTAACCACTATCATCTCCTCTACATTCTCATCATGTATGCATTGGTACAGGTGTTCATAATTTTTTGCCAAAACCATTGCAATTACTTCTCTCTTAATCTAGAAGAGACCCCATCTCTGACCCCCGTATAATTCAATTGCTATGCAGCTGGGAGAAGAAATCCAGTCATGTTGGTTGCTTAATTGGCCTTAAAACTCCCCACTAATTTTGGGATAAGACCCAAACATTCTCAGCCTCAGCCTCATCTTTGATACTTCTGATCAACCCAATCACATCCTCCTACTGTTCACTCCCTTTATAGCAAATTACACGTAATTCTCAGAATGCACTATGTCATCTTAAGCCTCCCTGCCATTGCACAGCCACCTCATCTGGGAAGATCACTCCCCACTCTTTCTTTGCCTGGATAACTTCTGTTTATCTTTCAAATCTTGGGCTAGGCATCTATTCCTCTGTGATGATTACACTTGTGACCTCATCTGGGTAACTGCCCTTGAGGCAGTGAACATATTGCCCTGGGTTGTTTCCATCATGGCCTTCGTTCATTGGTATCATGATTCATTTATTAAATATCTGTTGAATGTTGAAGGAGAAAACTAAACAGATAATTACTAAAAGTGTTACATCAAAAGTAGGCCTTTTTAATGCTGATTCAAAGACCTCTTGCCCTGCGCAACTTCCTCACAATGCTTTTTTTACCCCCAAAAGGGCTCCATTTCAAAAGTTTACTTTTCTCTCTTCTTTCCAGACTAGCAAAATGTTTTATGAAGTCACCCCCTAACTCTGGGCAGGATGGGCCAAGCTCTATATATAAAGGGAGATAAATCAATGGGTTTTGGACTTCTCTACCTTGCATACTGTGTATCTGGCTTATGGCTCTAAACTTGTGAGGCTTCCTCGCTGCTTTGTCTCATTTATAGTGTCCATGTACACCTATGCATCATTATTTCTTATTCAGGCCCAAACTAGTGACTGGGGCTTCTTTTTTCCCTTGCTTCTTTCTTTACTGGTTCCTTCTTTTCTTCTTCCCATCTTTCAACAGATATTAACGGAGTATATACTGTGTACCATAGAATCTATTAGTTGCTGTAGTAGCGTGGTGAACAAGACAGATATGGTTGTGATTTTAATAGAACTTTAAGAATTTGCCAAGGGATAACTATCAAATAAAAAATTACACCGTTAATTATTTAATTATAATGTTGTTAAAAGGGAAAAAAGGAACAAGTAATTTTGTTAATAAGTTTCGCAGGAATTTAGAGCAATGGACAGTGCTTGGATAAGACGTGGCTTGCAGTCAATTCTCTAGGAGTGCTGCGCTCGTTGGGATTGTCCTAGTTTAAAGAGAAATTTTCTAATCTGTGTTTCGCCAAACACACTTTACCTCAGTTTGAGTAGTGCTGGGAAGAAAGCAAATTGATTAAACTTATTGATATTCAGGTATGGAAGTCCTAACAACTTATCCCCAACACATATGCACATACACAGGAAGAAATGCAAAAATGGCTTCAAAAATCTTCAGTTTTCATATATTCATGTTCTTTTTTCTCTATTGAGGTATAACTGACAAATAATATTGTATATAGCCTTCCCTAGGAATACATGTGACCTCTAGAAGCAAGTAAATGAATTCTCCCCTAACAACTTGACTTTACCTAATGCAAACAATTTTGAACTTCTGACTTCCACAGCTGTACAATAATATATATGTGTTGCTTTGTGCCACTAAGTTTCTGGTAATTTGTTAAAGTAATAGGAAACTAATATACACAGATTGACCTCAGTTGTTTTGTTCTATTTCAAGCTAAGCAAATTTCAAAAATTAAAAAGGAAAAATATAATTAAATATACAAACGTGTATTGCATTCACTTTTTTAAAAAATTGAATTAACTTTGGTCTTCATCATATGAGCTATTTAGAAATTTTTCTGCTTTAGCTTCCTGATTAGTCCTAGATGAACATATCATGCCTTCTTCCTTGACTGTCTTCCAACTCAGCATCATTACAACTGACAAGAACTGGGTATTCTTGCTAAGGATTCCAAATTTTAAATTAGGCAATCTGAAGTGGAAGGTTGGGACAGTGAAACAAAATATAAAATATAATATATTAAAAATATATTACGTTATATATATTATGTAATATATATCACTATATATTATACTATATATACTATACATGCAGTATATATGCTATATATACTATACATGCAGCATATATGCTATATATACTATACATGCAGTATATATGCTATATATACTATATATGATATACCACATATACTATGTTATATACATGTTATTATATAATATAGTATAACATATATTAAACTACACAATATATAATGTAATATATAATTAATATACTTATATATTTATATATAAGTAATATATTACACTATATAATTATATATTGTACTATAATTATATATTATATATTATACTATAATTATATATTATATATTTATATAAATTTTATATATATGATATGTATATGATTTATATATGATTCCCAATCAAGTGAGAAAATGGCAGAAAGTGACTGGAGGTTTGAGTGAGTGGGTAAGAAGTATAGTTCAATATATAGAGCTTGACGTGCTGCTGGAAAATAACAAATAGTGTGATTAACTGCTAGCTTTGTGCTAGGCACTCTTCTCACTGTTTTACATAAATACATATATATAAATATTATATATTTATATATAGTACATTATATACTATAATATATAATTATATATTATATATAATTATATAGTGTAATATATATTATACTATGATATATAGTATAATATATACAGTATACCCACACATGATATAGTACATATATAATATATTCTACTATATTATATATTATATACAATAATATATAAAATTGTTTATATATAAATTTATATGTGCATATATTCACATGCTATATATGTTATATATATATAAAATGTATATCACCATATATATAGTGATAACCTTGAATAATGAATAGAAATAATTCACCATGCTAATATTATTGAGTATAATATTTTCTAAACACCAATTAGAGTACAAAACTAAAACATCTTTCTGCTTTCAAAGTCCTGTGTCTTAATTTTGCCTTTGTCTTTGATTTTGCCTCTCTCTACTAATTTAATGCTTATTATATGCTAGGCACAACATGTTCGAAGGAGATAATATCTAGAAATGACTATTTGTACTATAAAATGGATCGATACAGAGTTTCCTGAAACAGAAATATCCCCTAGTGGATTTTATTTATTTATTTTTTTGAGACAGAATCTCGGTGAGGCGTCCAGGCTGGAGTGCAATGGTGCAATCTTGGCTCACTGCAACCTTCAGCTCACTGCAACCTCCACCTCCCGGGTTCAAGTGATCCTCCTGCCTCAGCCTCCTGAGTAACTGGGATTACAGGCATGCGTCATCATGCCCGGCTACTTTTTATAGTTTCACCATGTTGGCCAGGCTGGTCTTGAACTCCTGACCTCAGGTGATCCACCCGCCTTGGCCTCCCAAAGTGCTGGGATTACAGGCGTGAGCCACCGTGCCCAGCCCCCCTAGTAGATTTCTAAACGTTTCAATTTTATAAATGTGTATAAATGATTTACATACATAGCTTCTCTTGAATACAGTTGCACAAAGTAAGAAGCACTGGTGTATATATAGTGTCTGTAATTGGGCATGGTTCCATGTATCAACTATAGTATAGTATAGTAAAACATGCCGTTAAAAAGTAAGTTTGTTGTGGAAGGCTTAAATTGCTGTGTCGAGATACCAAATGCTTACTTGTATACATTGTTTCATGCTGATGAAAGACATTAAAAGTGATGTTTCCAGACATTAACAAAAGAGTTGGTGATGGAGGAGGAGCGATAGAAAGAAGCTTTAATCAGTTAGTAAAATGTGTTTCAGTTTTATTTAATTCTGTCTAACTAAAAGAAAATTAGATAGGTAAACATCTTTAAAAGATGCCGCGTAAGTCCCCAACGTATTATAACAAAAATTTAAAGATGAACATAAAATATCCACTTGATTAAAAAAAAGTAGTATACCATAGCTTCAGAAGACACATTGATGTTTAAGAAGGTGTAGATGTGTGTTTGTAAAATTTTAATCTTTTCTCTAGTTATTTAATATTCCCTATGCATACGGCACACTTCCTTGGCCTTTGGTAATACCCACAGACAAACAGCACAACTGCTGCAGGATTCCAACAGCAGGGACTTGTCAGTGCTGGATGAAGATTGCATGGCCCATGCCAGCTCAAACGTGGACATTTCCTCTTTCTGTTTTCCTGTTTCCAAAGGCTAGCCAATCGGGAGTAAAAACTCTCAAACCTGGCACATTTGATTTAGAATCTCAATACAAATGATTATGCTTTCATTCCAATGCCTCTGCAGGTGACAGAAAGTAAGCTGCCTTCTCTCCAGGAGAGGACTGCAGTCAATATGTTCACAAGTGCTTTTCTTTTATAAAGAAAAGTATTTATCAATGTAGGGCACTGTTTAGAAAAACTGATAGTCAGCTATTCTTAAATCGGTGCTTATTAAGTTTCAAACCATGGTCAGGGAGTAAAGAGGTATGTGGACACTGCCTATGACTCCTTTTGTGTATTCCATATTGAGTAAATCTAATGAAATTAGAGATTTTTTCCACTTTCACCTTATCTCTCAAATATGACCTATGTGTAAATCTTTACATTTTCTGATTTTAAAAAACTAAATGCCAATTTCAAGGGGATATTCTCTAAGTTATCAATGATTGTTTTCTGTGTATACATTTCATACTTATTAATATTTTCATAAGTATTTGTGAAATAGCAGAGAATTGATTGTGTATTAATTTTCTATTGCTGCATAACATAGTACCACAAACTTAGCAGCTTAAAACAATATTCTTATATTAGCTTATAGTTCTGTAAGTCTGGCATACAGCACAGTGGGACTGGACTTTCTGTTCAGGGTATCACAAGGCTATCATTATGTGTTAATTGGCCTGAATACTCATCTAAAAACTCTGGGAGAAAGTCCTCTTCCAAGTTTATTTGGGTTATTGGTAGAATCCAACTCCTTGCAGTTGCATAAGTGAGGTCCTCATTTTTTTTTTTTTTCTGGCTAGTGGCTGGAGATCATTTTTAACAACTAAAGGACATGCTCAGATCTTTTTCCCATGGCCTTGTCCATCTTCAAACCAGCAATGGCATGTCAAATCCTTTTTATATTTCAAATCTCTGACTTCCCTTTTGCTTCTAACTAGAGAAAAACCTCTGCTCTTAGAGGGCTCATGTGACTAAGCTAAATCCATCTGGATAATCTTCCTATGATAAGATTGACTGATGAGTGACCTTAATTACCTCTGCAAAATCCTGATTGCCATGTAACATAACAGAATCATGGGAATAACATTGGGGTTGGAAATCATGAGAGCCATCTTAGAATTCTGCCTGCCACACTGGGTACCACAACCTTCCTAGTTATTACCACCTGTTAATAGTTTTGAACTATTTTACAAGTCTATAAGCTCTGGAAAACTGATAATAATGCAGGTGATTCTTATCCATAGAAATGCAAGTGAAATATGTCTGGTAGAATGCAGTTTATTCTTACTCTCTGCATATACCATTTTTGTATTTATTTGTAAACTAATTTCAGCATTCTTTACTGGCTCTGTAAATATGGTTGTTTAATTCCTCCTTTGAATTAATTTTAACATCTTACTGTTTCCCGCACTAAATTATGAATTCAAATGATGTGTTTTCATTATATATTTGTATAAATTATGATTTTCTATTTTAAAAATATTGCCTTTTAACAATATTTATTATATGTTAATCACTCTAGTAGTTTATTAGCACACAAAGATACAACCTTAGATAAGGTCTTATGAAGGTTGTTCTTTTGAAAATTGAAAATTTCCTAGAAATAAAGGATATAATTGAGCAGAAAAGATGTTACTGTTTCATACTGCTGAAATAAATCACAGATTATACAAACAAATAGAATAACATTCCATGCTCATAGATTGCAAGGATCAATATTGTTAAAATGATCGTATTGGTCAAAGCAATCTACAGATTCAGCACTATTCCTTTCAAACTACCAAGGTCATTTTTCACAGAATTAGAAAAAACTATTTTGAAATTCATATGGAACCAAAAAAAGATCCCAAATAGCCAAGCAATTCTAAGCCAAAAGAACAAAGCTGGAGACATCACAGTATATGACTTTAAACTGTAATATAAGGCTACAGTAATCAAAACATCATGGCACTGGTACAAAAACAGACACATAGTCTGATGGAACAGAATACAGAACCCAGAAATAAAGCTGCACACCTACAACCATCTGATCTTCAACAAAATCAATGAAAATAAGCAATGGGGAAAGGACTCTCTGTTCAATAAATGGTGCTGGAATAACTGGCTAGCCATATGCAGAAGATTGAAACTGGACCCTACCTCTCACCATATACAAAAATTAACTGAAGATCGATTAAAAGTTTAAATGTAAAACCTCAAATGATAAGATTCATAGGAGAAAACCTAGGAAACACCATTCTGGGCATTGTCCTCAGGAAACAATTTATGAGTAAGTCCTCAAAAGCAGATGCAACAAAAACAAAAATTGACAAGTGGGACTTTTAATTAAACCAAAAACTTCCACACAGCAAAGGAAACTATCAACAGAGTGAACAGACAACTTACAGAATGGGAGGTAATTTTCATAAACTATGCATCTGACAAAAGTCTAATATTCAGAATCTATAAGAAGCTTAACCAATTCAACAGGTGAAAATCAAGTAATCCTATTAAAAAGTGGGCAAAAGACATGAACAGACACTTCTCAAAAGAAGACGTCCAACCATCCAACAAATATATGAAAAAAATGCTCAACATCACTATCATCAAAGAATGCATATCAAAACCACAATGAGATATCATGTCACACAAGTCAGAATGGTTATTATTAAAAAGTCAAAAAACAACAGATATTGGTGAGCCTTCAGAGAAAAGTGTGTAAGTGTATAGCAGCTTGTACACTGTTAGTGGGAATGTAGATAAATTTAGTCCCTGTGGAAAGCAGTTTGGAGATTTATCAAAACACTTAAAATAGAACTACCATTCAACCTAACAATCTCATTACTGGGTATATATTCAAAAGAAAATAAATCACTCTACCAAAAAGATACATGCACTTGTATGTTTATGTCAGTGCTATTCACAATAGCAAAAACATGGCATCAATTTAGGTGTCCGTTAATGGCGGACTGGATGAAGTAAATGTTGTACATATAAATAATGTAATACTATGCAGCCATACAAAAGAATGAAATAGTGTCCTTTGTGGCAACATGGATGCAGGTGGAGGCCATTATTCTAAGTGAATTAACACAGAAACAGGAAAACAAGTATTGCACCTTCTCACTTATAAATGGGAGCTAAACATAGGTACTCTGGACATGAAGATGGGAACAATAGAGACTAGGGACTACTATGGGGGTGGGGAGATAGGGGACAATGGTTCAAAAACTAGTGGGTACTATACTCACTACCTGGGTAATAGGATTGATCATACCCCACACCTCAGCATCATGTAATATACCCATATAACAAACCTACACATGTAACCCCTGATTCTAAAATAAAAGTTGAAATTAAAAATAACAAAAAAATAAAAATAATGAAAGAAGATGTTACTGTTTCGAGTGAAGTTTTATGCCAATAATGTGTAGAAGCTATGGAAAGACTTACAGGTCTCAATTTCAGCAGCTGATTGAGAATTTTATTTTTGTAAGGGAAGAATATTGAGTACATATATTTAATGATATTAACATAAGAATGACCTTACACTTTTTCTAAATCAAGGAAAGCTGTGAATAGGTGGGCTTACTTACTGAGAATCCAGAAAGGTAGAGGCCTTGATCTTGATATGCTCATGTTGTTGAGCACATAAATGGGACCGCTGATCAAACCGTCTTGTTGTTAGAACTCAGTCTAATACTGTATAGCTATATGGTTCAGTGGCCAATATTCAATCCTTCTCACAAAATTTATAATTGCATTTCATTTGGTAATTATGACATAAACATTGCCATTTGCTCTCCACTCTATAATTAAGTAGTATCTTTAGAGTATCTTGGTAAAAATCATGTAATTCGTATGCATGGGCTATAATATAAAGCGGATACAAGTACTCGTCTTAAAAATTTTTTTTTTAAAGAGTGGGTCCATTAGTTAACTTACTTTATTTTAAAAAAAGTTGTGACTATATATTTTTGTGTGTCTTTGAAAGATAGCCAGATGTATTAGGCAACTTATTATACTTGCCAGCTTTGGTCATCTCAACATTGTGAACTCAAATTTTAGACCAATTATTTGGCTCAGTTCTTTTCAAGATATTACAGATTATGAGGATTTACAATTACAAAACATAGAAAACTTTTTGTGTTTGAGTGCTCATCATGTCCAAAGACAATATTTCACTTTGCTAAAATTAAATCCAATTAGGTGAATGAGATCATTACAAATTCTCTTTATACATAAAATGTGCAACTGTGGAAGGAAGAAAAAGAAAAGATAGTTAAATTTGCTTTACCTTGTTTCTAACTTTATATTGTGTGATTAGATACAGGCAGCAATACAACGAACGTTTTCTGGAAAATACGTTTTAAAAAAACAAATGTCTTAAATTAGAGACAATGAAAAATAGCTTATTCACTACGAGTATCTTAGTCAAAAGCTTTGTGAACTTCAGAAGGAAAGCGTAAGACTATACTTCCTTCATTCTTCCTGAGAAAAATAATTCTCACGGGAAGCGTCCTACTATGACTCATTTACAGTTTTGCATCTGTAAGAAAAATAGAAGAAGCTGACGCAGAAATCAGGATTTAATGAGTAAAATAAACTTATATTATGGGTTTGTGTGATATTTCCTTCAGTATGATGAATAATTTGTCATTTCTAGATTCAGTGAGTAACAAGTTCACCCTTCACCCCTCTCACCAGGCTGTTTTGTTAAAGGCATCTGGCCAAATAAGATCAGGCTGTTGCTTCAAAATTATGAAGTACAAAGTATTTCTTTTAGACTTCACAAGTAGAACACTTCTATTTAAGTAAATTGTTTACCTTGTATTTGTTTGATATATATTACTATAACACAAACTCTTGAGATACTCTCACTTTTTAAAGTATAGTATAATGCATAATATATAAATTTGTATATTTATAAATAAGTCCAAGTAACAAATGAAGCCAATGAACATATTCCAGTCACTGGCTGGAAATTTTTCTTTCTCAAATATGATCTAAAGCTGCGGTAAGATAGACTTCACATATAAATATTACACCTTTCCAGGATCATTTTCCAATGTCTTTGAACAGGGGAGCTCTCTCGCAGCCACATTGAGCTGTACTTTGAATTTCTTGCTTTGATGCACTCCTGATTTTATTGCTGCTTAAAGGCAAAGTTTGGGTTTTATTTATTTTAAAAGCATTAGAGAAATATTTGCAGAATGACTGGATTTATAATAAAGGTTTCTAACAAACAGATCAGTTAATAAACCAAGAGAACAGCACGCTTATAGCTTTTCAAAAACTTCAGTGGTTTTTCACACAAGGACAATCAGGTTTAAAATACAAGCCACTGTTCTGCTGGATTTCAACAAATGCAACATTAGAAACTTGTTTAAATATGCATTACCAAATGAAAGCCAAAAAGATATAGGCTGGGATTTTATAGAGCCAAAATAAGCAATTAAAACGGGAAGAATTCGGTCTATACACATGTGGCCTACATTATGACAAGCAATTGTTGGACCAGGTTTTTTAACTAAATTGATATTGGGGCTCAGCTCACTTGGAGAAGCTTTCCTTTGGCCAGCCCAGACTTCACACTAACTTTTCAAGTCCTTCCTGGCCTCCGGAGCGCCATTCAAGTTAGATTTTTATGAAGTCTTTCTTGACTAATTGAACTTACCTTGATTTCTTCTCATCAATAAACTACCAGTATCATGCATTTATTATTTCTCAGTACACTGTCGCATTAGTTTCAAGGTGTGTGCCTTTGTGTGTGTGCATGCACATGCGTGCGTGTTTCCGTGAACATACAAATCTTGTCTCCCATGCAAGAGTTTGCATTTCTCAATGCAGACAGTACGGCCCATGCCTTTGTGTTTCCCATGGTGCCTTGTGTAGAACATGTTATTAAGCATGAAATGGTTCCACTGTAAAACTCCAGGCTGCTGAGGCCAAAGGGGGTGCACAGGAAGTATACTAGAGTCCATGTTTTTGCCTACTAGGGGATTCGTTTTCAACTTGGACCTAAGCTGGAATTTATTCTCCCAGCCAAAAAGCAGTAGAATATACACCGGCTCCTTGCAACGGCGACGGCTCTGGCAGAACACAGAAGCGGCAGACAAACAGCACTCAGAGAAGACAGAAAGTTGCCGGGCTGCTCAAATAGAGACAGAAGCCAGTCCCTGTATAATAAATACTAGCAGTAGCCATTTAGTCGACAGCAAGGAGTGAAACAGCCTTCATATTTAACTACGTACAGTTTATGAAGACTCTATATTAAAATCTGAAAAGCAACTGTAGATATAAACAGATTTTTTTCTACTATTAGTAACATGGAATTTGATATAAAGAAATAATTATCTTTCTTTTTTTCGAGATGGAGTCTGGCTCAGTCACCCAGGGTGGAATGCAGTGGCGCGATCTCGGCTCACTGCAACCTCTACCTCCCAGGTTCAGGTGATTCTCCTGCCTTGGCCTCCCAAGTAGCTGGGATTACAGGCGGGCGCCACCATGCCCGGCTAATTTTTGTATTTTTAGTAGAGATGTAATTATCCCAATATAGAAGAGCCAGGGGTATAAAGAAGAGGATGTGCATGTTAGACTGACAACAGATGAAGAAAATTAATCGTGCTGTACCTGAACAGAGACACTTCACTAGTCTCACTGAGTCAATATGCAGAATTAGAAAAGAATCCCAAACTCTACTCAGTGTCATTGCTAATATGTTATATATACTTATCCTTAAATGCAAGTAAACTGCAAGTCCATTTTTTTTTTTGAGACGGAGTTTCGCTCTGTCCCCAGGCTGGAGTGCAGTGGCGCGATCTCGGCTCACTGCAACCTCTACCTCCCAGGTTCAGGTGATTCTCCTGCCTCGGCCTCCCGAGTAGCTGGGATTACAGGCAGGCGCCACCATGCCCGGCTAATTTTTGTATTTTTAGTGGAGATGTAATTATCCCAATATAGAAGAGCCAGGGATATAAAGAAGAGGATGTGCATGTTAGATTGACAACAGATGAAGAAAATTAATCGTGCTGTACCTGAACAGAGACACTTCACTAGTCTCACTGAGTCAATATACAGAATTAGAAAAGAATTCCAAACTCTACTCAGTGTCATTGCTAATATGTTATATATACTTATCCTTAAATGCAAGTAAACTGCAAGTCCATTCTTTTTTTTTTGAGACGGAGTTTCGCTCTGTCCCCAGGCTGGAGTGCAGTGGCGCGATCTCGGCTCACTGCAAGCTCCGCCTCCCAGGTTCAAGCGATTCTCCTGCCTCAGCCTCCCGAGTAGCTGGGACTACAGGCATGCACCACTATGCCCAGCTAATTTTTGTATTTCTAGTAGAGACGGGGTTTCACTATGTTGGCCAGGATGGTCTCGCTCTCTTGACCTCGTGATTTGCCTGCCTCAGCCTCCCAAAGTGGATCTTGTTCTTTTTATGGCTGCATAGTATTCCATGGTGTATATGTACCACATTTTTCTTTATCCAATCTGTCGCTGATGGGCATTTAGATTGAGTCCATGTCTTTCCTGTTGTGAATAGCGCTGCAATGAAGATTTTATTTCTTGATCTGGGTGGTGGTTACATGCCTTATGATAAATTATTAGGCCATACGTTTTTGGTTTTTTGGTTTTGTTTTGTTTTTTTTTTTCAGATGGAGTCTCACTCTGTCGCCCATGCTGGAGTGCAGTGGCGCGATCTCGGCTCACTGCAAGCTCCGCCTCCCAGGTTCAAGCGATTCTCCTGCCTCAGCCTCCCGAGTAGCTGGGACTACAGGAACCCGCCACCTCGCCCGGCTATTTTTTTTTTTTTTTTTTTTTTTTTGGGATTTTTAGTAGAGACGGGGTTTCACCGTGTTAGTCAGGATGGTCTTGATCTCCTGACCTGGTGATCCGCCCGTCTTGGCCTCCCAAAGTGCTGGGATTACAGGCGTGAGCCACCGCGCCTGGCTGGCCATTCTTATTTAATACTTTTTCTTATGGAACCTTCAGTTAAAAAAAACTCTCTGGGTATCAATAATAATAAAAATCTGATTCTGGTAATTTGTCAGCATGATTCTGGCCTCTCTTTGGAACTTACCAGGCAGCATTCTTTATAGAAGATTGCTTCAAAAAAAACTTATTCTTACATAATACAACACACTAACACTTGGCTGGCAAACATGATTGTTCAATAAATACCTGTTGATTTGTTTAACAACTCCAAATATCATGAAGAGAAGAGTTTCTTCTTTTGAGCTCATCTCTAAAATAAAACAGGATAAGGCTACCCAATAATCTGTATATATTTAAAAGAAAAAGGCAGGATGACGTTGGAAGCTTGATAACCTTAGAATTCATAGCAAAACAGTTGGCTGTTAATAAGCCTTACAGGGTGACATTTACCTTGGTCAGTTTACCTAGGCTCAGAGTTTGACATCCCAGCCAAAATAATCTTGTCAGTCACCCAGAGTTTGTGAATGTCAGGGAGGCTAAACTGCATTTTCTAAATGCATAAGAGGCTGAAAAATGCCAACCTTGTTAATTTACTATGTTATAATTTAGGATTCTTAATCGCAAGTGAGAAAAATCCCAATGTCAAGCTGGCTTAAACACAAAGGGAATTTATTGATTGAAATGACCAATAAACTTTGGAAGTTTGGCTGGCTTGATGTTGAGGCTCAAACAATTACCTGGTTCTTCATCTTGGGTTAATTTTCCCCCACATATTGAATTCATTTTCAGACATGATCTCTTTTCTTAATTAAAAACTGACCACTGCAGTTCTAGATTTCACATTTAGTGTGGAAGGAATAGCCTCTCTTTCCTAACTGTTTTGGATCTTGTTGTGATGGCCCCCACGGGGTCACATACCCATACATGAACCAATCACCAGGGCAGGGAGATGGGTTGTGGGTGAAACATAGCTAAGGCAAGTGTCAACATGGTAGATAATGGGCTAGTGTCACTAAGAAGGGCAAGCAGATGCCAAAGGGCTGGAATATGTCATCCCCTCTCACACAGGGAAGGGTAAAAAGGACTTGGGAAAAGCCATACAATCTACCATGCTACTCACTGTTCAAGTACATTAAAGAAATTATGTTGCCATATATTGTTTTATACTGCCTTATTTATGTGATTCACGTTAGCCAGTCCTGAAGCCGAAAGTGAGGTCAACCTACCTTGATAGTGTGGGCTGAGTGGAGAGATTAATTATCCAACAAAGGAAATGCCATGTGTTATTTGCAAGTAAGAAAGATACTGGGGGTTTTGGAGAGGGGTGAGGAGAAGAGCAATTCTATTATGCAACGAGATCTACAACTGAATAAGCTATTCACTTTAGCCTGACCAGTGTATTTTTCCCCTAAGCAAGCTAGAAATGCAGAGATAAATTGACAGATTTTTTTCTCTTTTTGGTAGACAATTAGATTGAAGGAAAGGTGTTGTAAGATTCAAATATTATGTAGCAGCAACCGATTGTATTTTTCTTCACAATAATTATGCATCTGTTAAGTGATCTGGGCATTAGCTTGCTGGGGGCCTCATTGCAACCCTGTATGTGTCTTCCACAGCAGTAGTATGATGACAATGATAGCTGGGTTAAGCAAACTCGGTTTTAAATTTGAGACAGCCAGTTTCCAACACAGATTACTTTTAAAACTCCAATGTAGCACTTGCATGTTTGTATGTTAGACATCAGTGAACTGTATAGACTGGCACATTTTCTAACATGGCCCTCAATTACTTGTCTTTCTCTTCCATTTGCTTGAAAATGCTCATAGTTAAGCGTATGACTTTAGGAAAATCACTTAACCTTTCTGGATCTCAGATTTATCCAGTGCAAATGAAATAATGTAAATTCCAGGCATCCTTTTCATATTCTCCATCACACTTTCTCAATAAAGGAGGTCATTTAAAGTGCCTCTCTTATTTTATGTATTCTGTATATTCATATTGTACTTTTGCTGAGTTATGTGGTATCACATAAACCTCAAATCTCAGTGGCTTTGAAAACCAGGTTTATTTCTCATTCATGATGAATGTCAGCTGAGGCTCTGCTCCATATCATTTCCATTCAAGAACAAGGCCAGAGGAACAGTTTCTACCCAGGAAATGTCAGTTTGATGGCAGACAGAAGGATAATGATGACATGGGATAATTGACCAAAGCAAATCACATAGCCAAGGCAAGTGTCAACGTGGTAGGAAGTGAGCTAGTGTCACGGAGAAGGGCAAGCAGATGCCAAAGGGCTGGGGTATGTCATCCTCTCACAGGGAAGTATAGGGACAGCTTGGGGAAAACAATGCAATCTACCATGCTACTCACTGTCATAATTAAATTATTATGTTGCTATATATTATTTTATATTACCTTACTTATGTGAAATCATATGACATTTGAAAATACATTGTACCATTTTAGGGTGCTATATTTATAGTAGCCCCAGCGGGGTAGCTAAGAATATGAATCCACTTTGAGAAAAAACAATGTCAATGAGAACCAAATTTTTTCAATGCAAACTAATCATCGGTTGTGGTTCTTTGCAATTCGGTAGATGTAGGGATGATAATGAAACCTACAGAGAGGGGAAAAAAATGGGAACCCTAGGTTTGGGACTTTCCCTTTACTTTGACTTCTGATTAGCTTTTCAAATTCTGAACTTGGGTGGCACAAATCATTAACCCTCAACAAACTGAGTATCAAATATTCACCAAGTAAATAACTTAGTGAATTTAGCACAAGTAAGTAATATATGAAAATGCAGTATGGATGGGGCGGGCCTTGAGATTCTCTTTCTTCTGAAGGGTTACTGTGATGTCCAAGCCAGTCTAATGCAGTAGTTCTTGAAGTGTGATCCTGGAGCCAGCAGAATTAGCAGTTCCAGGGAATTTGTGAGAAATACAAATTTCCAGGCTTACCTTTGACCTAGCGAATCAGAAACTCTGGGGCTGAGCCTAGCCAACTCCTCCAGTGGATTCTGAAATGCATGATAGTTTGGAAACCACTGGCCTAAGGAGTGCTCTTAAGTTTCTGATACTTTAAGCCCCTCTGGGTGGGAGCTCTATTTCTATGGGGCTAATGCCCATCAGCACCTTTTCCTTTCAACTAGCAGAATCCAGATTTGTTTATAATCTCCATCCAAAACAACGTATCTTACACAGCCCAGTGTTATAAAACCTCAGCTAGGTCGTTGACATGGATTAGTGTGAGAAATATTTCTATATCACCACATATTTGCTTTAAAAATATGTTTTAGCTAGTTGCCTCAGTATGCCACTTTGACCAATGTTATATGATCTTGAAATAAAAAACCTTGTCCTATTTTAGGGTTCTACTTTGCCAGAAATATTTATGGCTTTCCCAGCTTTGCCAGGATAGGAAAGCTGCAGGGGTTTGGTTTATAGCAAGCCGACTTGTGTAGGTCAAGAAGGCCTGTGGAAAAATCTGAACTGTGACTCTTTCCCAAACCAAATTCAGGCCATGGTCCAAGGAGAGAGAAATAAACACTCAGGTGAAGAATTGTTCATTTCTTCTACAATATTTTGACGATCTTTCCTGAGAAGGCTCAATTTGAGATCGGATAAATATGATTAAAAATAAAGTTTTAGTGAGAATTGGTGAGTTTACATTTTAGCTGGATAATAGTTTACTTCTAGTCAATCTGAAATATTCAAATCATTTTAGGGTAACACCTATGTAGGAATCTATAGTTTTTTAGTTACTTTAGTACAGATATAAACTGAACCTACCAAGTCACCGTTGTTATTTAGATAAGTGTGTCTAAATATAATTTGGGCATTTTTGTACATTTATTAATAAAAATGTCTTTTATCTATTTTTAGTCCATGTTATTTTTACCATAAAAGGACGACTTCTACATCTGAGCATTTTAAGCTGTGTTTTATTCTTCTTTGAGTGTTTACTATTG
Organism: Homo sapiens; assembly: GCF_000001405.40. Lineage (NCBI taxonomy): Eukaryota > Metazoa > Chordata > Mammalia > Primates > Hominidae > Homo > Homo sapiens. The sequence continues at coordinate 20,358,021 of NC_000012.12, forward strand.
ATGTAGTTAGATGTACGCCCGAAGTTTTTGCCTAGTTATTGTAATATTTTCCCAAATATCTTCCATCAGAAGAAGGTACTGACCTGGGGCAGGACGTAAAAATATGGTGACATATTAATAATTAACATGGAAGTGGAAAAAGGGACAAAGGATACCTTTTGAAGTTCGTATTCACAATCTGACTTTCCAAGGGCACTTTATTCAGGGCATAGATGGATATGGTGCTACAGTTACAGAATATGAGTCAAAATAGTGCTAACTGTAAAGAACATATTTCCTAACAACTGCCATAGCTGCTGAAGTATCTTATGGTATCTCTTTCTGTCTTCCTTAGTTACTGCTCATGCTTATCACATGACCCTGCTCACATCTCTGTGTGCTGACACCCCCCGCATTACAGGATAGCCTCATCTTCATTTCAGTTCAATGGTACTTATGGTGAGATAAGAAGAAATGCATTCTCCATATTAGATTAAACTGTACAGACTTGTTCCTTCTTTTCCAGAGTGGCACTCTTTTCTTCCCATTTGACTTACTGGTTTAGACTCTTACAGCCTCCTTTTCCCCAAAAACTATGGTATTGATTTCCTGAGGGCTCTTTTAGATGACAACTTGTGTGACATATTTTGTTTCTTTCTTCACCTGTTACTTCCAATGTGTCCAAGCCCAAATTCATAAAAAATCTTATCACGTATGAACTCCTTTTCCAACTTACGTAATGCCTGAGAGGTAAAGATGTGACCCTTTTTGACAAAATGCTTTAAAACGTTAAGGACCAGTATATTCTGCTATTGCTATTCTCATGAAAATGATTAGGACTTTCAAAAATACAATCCTGGCCAACCTTCCTAAATGTAGCTAGAGATAACTATATTTGTACTATATTTAGGCCCTTCCCCTACTGTGACTTTGAGAACATATAAAAATAAAGATTTTGTTTAAAAAATAGCATTTCAAATGCTATTTTCAACAGTCATTATCTAAGTTGGCCTCTCTAGGGCTGAGAGAAAGTCAAGCCTAAGTTATCTCTGGAAATGGAGGGGTCCCAGAGTTGTGCCACGAGAGCCTCTTACTTAACAATTGGTATGCAAAATACCATGCCAGGGAGAAGCAAAGTGATTAAAGTGCAGAAGCCTAAATAATAAAATCAACACTTGAGACAGTAGATAAGACATTTTATTGAATGGAGCACTCCAGTGAGGAAGGAGCCAAAAACCACTGGTTGGAGACTGGGATATGCAGTGTTGTGTAGACTGATGGGTCACAGAGAGGTTCTGAAGCACACAGAGAGGTATACAAGTGTACAGTGTTCTTATGCACAAGACAAGGAGCACAGTTTTTAAAGTAAAAGCTGTTCCAGACTTACATAAGCACTATGTCACTTTACTTTGCATTACTGGGGTCTGGGAGCTTCCTTAGAAGCTCCCTGTAGACAAGGAGGCACAAGTGTTTGCAGAAAGGGTTGTAGGCATTTACAGGGAAAGTGAGGGCTGATGATGGGAGCACTACCGTCATCCGCTACAGTCCACCTGCTGGATCATCCAGATCCATTCACGCCCTGCTTTAAGTTAATCTGCTCTGTTACTCATTCTACAAAGGGATACCCAGTCCCCACCCACTTCACACACACACACACTCACACGCACACACACACACACACACAATTTCTAAGACAAATAGAAATATCGCCTATAGGTGATATTTCTCAGCTTCCTCTTCTGCCCCCACTCTAGAGTCTCTTCACCTTTACTCTCAGCCAGGACTTCTATTGGCCTAAGTCATTGGCCTAGTTGGGTAACACAGACCTAGATCCATGAAACCTCTGGATTCTAACTTGCCCTGTTCTTATCAGATTATTCCTTGGGATGGAAGCACCAAGGGGTATGTATTAGTCTGTCCTCACATTGCTTTAAAGAAATACTTGGGACTGGGACATTTATAAAGAAGAGAGGTTTAATTGGCTCATGGTTTTGCAGACTGTACAAGAAGCAGAGCAGCTTTTACTTCTGGGGAGGCCTTAGGAAGCTTCCAATCATGGCAGAAGGCACAGGGGGAGTGAGGCATCTCACACGGTGGAAGCAGGAGCAAGACAGAGTGAGGGGAGGTGCTACACACGTTTAAGTAACCAGATCTCATGAGAACTCTATCAGGAGAACAGATGGTGATAAACTATTTATGAAGGATCTGACCCCATGATCCATCACGTCCCACCAGGCCCCATCTCCAACACTGATGATTACAGTTTGACATGAGATTTGGGTGGGGACATAGATCCAAACCACAGTAGGGCACCTCCATGAATTATCTGAGTTTCAGTCATATTTTCCCTATCTTGATTGTGCAGCAGTAACCCTATCTGGTCATGAAAATCAGTATAGTAACTCCTTTGCTTGCTAGTCTACTGGCACGTGATGCCCAATATGTTTAGGCAACATCCAAAGTTTTGGGTATAGTGAAACGCTGTGTTCCTAGGTGAAAGATCTGCCCCAAGCACCCTCTCCTCCCAATTGTCTGAAGCTGTATGAGGTCATTTTATATTCTGTCAGGCTATCTATCATCTTCTGGACTGCCACAATGTGTGTGAGCCAAGTACTCTCAGCAGCCAGAAGGCCCTGAGCAGAGACCAGAAATAGGATGTCACTGGTGTGTATGGCCTAGGGAATACAGGAAGGGAACCGATAGCATCTGCTACAGTGATATTATAAAATATTTGTTATAAAAGGAGGCATTCAATATGAGGCTGATAACCACCAATCTATACTATGAACTATACATTTATGTTATGTAATTTCATCTTGATAGCTGGACTCTTGATTTTATCACTCGAAGTAACCTCTTATATTATCATTTAAACACCAGAAGTTTTTACATAAGGAAGGATTGAGGACAGAGAAAAGGTATAAAACAAATGTAACCTTGTGTCCTCCCAATTTTCAGGACCTTTTAACCGAGGATAGAAAAAGACATTGTAAATGTGAGCAGGACTTGAAATACTCAGTTGCTGAGCACCACATGTGAGTTTTCCACAATCAGGTGGTAACAGAGAGTAGTCTGTTCAGATCCCACTTAGTTCTACTGCTTGGGTGCAAAAGAGAACTGAATTTAGCCTAGCTGTCGGCCCAAATATATTGGTTAAATTATTGCCATTTTCATTTAGAGGCAGCTGAGAAAATATACGCCAATTACTCCCAGTGACCACTGGACTCAAGATGTCTTTTCATTCATTAATTATTAAGGATTGGACTTTTGTAAGAGTAGGTGATGGTGTGCGCTCCCTCTCTCTCTCTGTCATTTAACACCTCCTTCACAGGGGTGTTATGCGGATTTCTGCCTGTGTGGTAACGAGGTTCAGTAGCCTGCTTGGAATTTCCCAGTGGACAAGGTGTTATAAAATTTCAAAATAAAAAATATACGACTACTAATAAGGATGTTGATCTTGAAATGCAATATGAAAACCAGAGACTGGAAATTTAAAATTTGTAATGAAATGCTCTAAAGCTGTGATCTCTTCTGACCTTGGGAGTTCAGCAGGGGTGGGCCCAGGAAAGACTTGGATGGAGGATGCTGCAGGATGTGGTGGCGGTGATTCAGTAGGTGGCCCTCTTCCATCCCAGGGTGGTGCTGAGCCAACTTCAGCCTGGGTTATGGAGCACTGAGCTACAGGAGAACCATCTATTGGATGAGACGTATGACTGAGGTTCTGACCACTTCTGCTCATTAAAAATTCCAAGGCATTTTTATAAGGTTAAGGATGCATCCTTGTGTTCTACAATCTTGATCCAGTTGGGTAGGAATATTGACTTTTTAGTAAGGTCTAGAAGAAAGAAGATGTATGGAAATTTTAGTAGAATGATTAACATTTCTATGGGAGAAAATTCAGACAGCTTTGTTCAAAATTTTATCGTGAACTCTTATTTTATAGAGCAGCAAAACAAAACACCTGTTCGAGTGACTTTCTTGTTGGGGTATAAATGTATTTGTAGATGAGAAATCCCTTTTTCTCAAATAAACCTATATGAGTAAATTTAAGGGAACTCTCCAATATTAATATGCAGTAATGAAATGACTTGTATGGGTTTCTTCTGGGCTTTTCTTCAGTCCCTTGAATAACTGATATTTGAGGTATGAAATTAGATAAGATACATGGTGAGTGATAATAATTATTTTAATTTAGAATAATCTGAGACCTTTCTCTGGCCCTTTTTAACTGTGTGTCACCCGTAACTTCCAGAACTCTTAATTATGTATTATCTATATCTTTTTATGTACTATATTAATTATAATAACAAAATCAGAACAATGCCAAATTAGCTCTCAATAGTAAATGGACTAAAATTTCTCATTGATGGACCTTTAGAAAGCAAAAAATAAAACAAACAAGAAATAAAATTTAAAAATCAATGTAAAGATTTGGTCAGGAAGCGGAGACATTATCGGAGAAAACTCACATTCTTACCTATATTTTGGAGGTCCTCCCTTTTCTGGAATGGGAGAACCACATTTATTTCTTCCATGCATCACTTACTGTTCTTACTGAGCTCAAAATGCCCTATTTCTAGATTTTGGCTAAAGGAACTCATTGAGCCTAAGCTCTGTATGTAATTTGCCATTTCTGTGGAAAGTTACCATAGTTCTGTGGTTCCGGTAGAATGAAAAAAATGCCTTACAGTTTCAGGCAGAGAACAACTCAGATTAACTAGTATGAGCACTTCCTTCTTAGTCACTGAATACAAGATATTGATTATACTGACAATCTCAGATGATGCTTCTTTTCTGAACTTCGTATTAGTGGGAGAGATAATAAACATTAAGCATTTTGATTTTTGTATTTGAGTCTAAGTCTTTAAGTGTAAATAATAAGTATTTTTAGACACTGATTATTTCTTTTCTACAGGTTCTACAGGTAATTATTTTTTAAATACTGTATTTTAACACTTTTTCTCTACTCTCACAACATAGTTGTTTTGTGAAAGCCAACCAGACATTTCATAGATATACCTAATGCTAGATGACGAGTTAGTGGGTGCAGCGCACCAGCATGGCACATGTATACACATGTAACTAACCTGCACATTGTGCACATGTACCCTAAAACTTAAAGTATAATAATAAAAAAAAAAATGAAATTGCCCTTTTGAGGCTAAAGCTTTGGGGGAGGAAAGAATTTGAGAGATGATATAACAAATAGCCCTAGATTCTGTAAGATCCAACACAGCCACAAATAAAAAGAGAATTGTAAATATAAGTAAGATAACTAGTCAAGTGACAGTATTTTTAATTATATTTACATAAAGATGAGTGATTATTTAACTCATTTTAAAATTCCATTCTAATTTTAAACATGCATTCTCCTTAGATAGTTATAAAGGAAAAGAGCAGTAGGTGATCAATTACTCAGGGTAGATTTTCAATTAGTAAATTATCTGTGTTCTTTGTTTCTATTTTCCCTTCTATTAACTGCCTAATTTTAGACATTTGGCTGCTTATTAGAATTTCCTCCAAAATGATAAGGTAGCTTAAAACACTCCATTAATACTTAGAAACCTTGGTAGATTTCATGCAAAAGAGCATCACATTTATAGATCAAGGAAGTTTCTACGCTGTATATAAATTTTGCCCTGGAATCCTTCTGTCACATATATAAAAAGTAGCAGTTTGGGTGCTATTATAACACTTACAGGTAAGTAAAACTAACTTTAAAATGTAGAGGTGTTGAAATATAACAAAGAAATAGGCTATACTTATATTTTCCTTTCTATCAACAACCTTCATAGTTTTTCTCAATAATACACTCTAGCTTAAAAATGCAAATCATCCTTAATTTCTAACATTTTAGACTGGCCTGTACATCAGTAGCTGCTGTAAACCTGAACTATTTGCTCATGAAGTCAATAAGAGCTCAGCCTTTGACTGTTTATCAGCAATTTATTGGGCAGGCACTGCATTTTAAGTGGCAGCATTAAAAAAAAAAAAGGCAGATGATACATCTAAAAATGCAAGGTTTCTGCATTTTTTCCCTGACTATATGTGAAATAATAAGTATTAATAAGGTCCATGTTGGCAAAATGTTTACTTTTTTAAATCTTAAGTTAATCCCCTATTGTTGTTAATTGGCACAGTTGGAGACTATGTCATAAATCGTGATGTGAGCTATGACATCTTAGTCACTCATATTTAGGTATCTCCTAATTTCTCAGCTTACATATTACTGAAATGCAGCTTTACATTGCTTTATCCCTAAGCCTACCAGAAAACTGCTAAGGATTGTAGACATTTCATCAGGTAATCAATACAAAGTTTTCAAAACTTTGACAATTACCTATTTCTCTAATAGATGAGTAATTTAAGTATTGATATAGGCCCGCACTGCTAACAATGTTTTGGTCAATGACAAACCACATATACCACAGTGGTCCCATATGATTATAATATGGTACTTTGTGCCCTTTCTATGTTTAGATACACAAAGATTTACCATTGTGTTACAGTTGCCTAGAGTATTTAATACAGTAACATGCTGTACACGTTTGTAGCCTAGGGGCAATAGGCTATACCATATAACCGAGGTGTGTAGTAGGTCACACATCTGGTTTGTGTCAGTATACTCTGTGATGTTCACATGATGAAATCACCTGATGACGCATTACCCAATCTCAGGTATTCTTTCATAGCAACAGTAAACAGACTAAGACAAGCTTCCACCATGTGCCAGGCACTATTCTGGTAATTGGAGATACACAGCAAACAAGACAGCTATTCAGAGTCCTTGTTCACATGGCACTAACACCCTAGTGAACAGAGATAAATGATAAGTGAGAAAACAAATAAACGAACAAGACCATTTTGTATAGTGATAAGTGCTATAAATACAATGAAACAGGGTAGTATGATAGTGAAAGAAAAAGTGTGTATGTGTACATGGGGTGTCCAAAAATTTTTGATAAGATTCTTGGAAAAAAAGCCTTTCTAAAATAAAGTAACATTTGAGGTTAGACTTGATGGAGCACAAGGGGCCAGCTATGTGAAAATCTCTGGATACCAAGGCCCTGAACAGGGTTTCCCATTTCACATGTATGAAGAACACAAAGGTGGCCTGAGGTATTAGAGATGCATTCTCCATTCCTTTAGACACTAGCCAAGTGAATGTATTAAAATTTAAATTAAAATAAAATACAAAAGTTCAGCTCCTCAGTGACACCAACCATGGTTCAAGTATTCAATGGCCACATGTGGTTAGTGGCAACCATGTTGGACAGCAGAGGGTCTATTTGTCATTGAAGAAAGTTCTAATAAATAGTACTTCACCAGTGAAGTAGGAGCATTGGAATAGGAGGAGAGGTCAGAGAGAATTACTTGGAAAGATCATGAAGGTCCTTGTAGGACTGTCATGAGGACTGTGATGAGGACTGCATTCTGCAAGTACGATGGGTAGCCTTTGGGTAGTTTTAAATAGGGGAGGGACATAATTCAATTTATATTTTTAAAGTGTTACTCTGCTATATAGAAAATGAATTATAAGTAGGGCAAGATCAGTTAGTTACTGCACTTGTCCTGGCCAAGGAAGATGATGGGTCTTTGGCAGGTTATTATAAGAGGGACAGTGAAAAGTAAATGGATTTAGAATATATTTTAGAGACAGGATCAAGTGGATTTCCTAATCGACTAAAAGTAAAACAAGATAAACAAAGGAAAGAATCAAGACCCGTTCCCTCTTCTGGGGCCTGAGCAACTAGGTAGATGGTTATGTTCTTTACTGGGATGTAACAAGATTGAGAAAATATAGTTTGGGTGGGTAGGGGATAGGTAGGAAGGGAATTGTAAGTTAAGAATTTTGTTTTGGATACCTTATGTTTTAGGTACCTATTAGATATAAATATATAATAATCAGATAGGTAGCAGAGAATGATTGAACCCATACTACGGAACGTAAACTTACTGAATTTTACAATAGAATCCCCTGACGCTTAACTATATTTAATAAAGCTCAAATGTGAAGGGTTAGATCCTTTTCCCAAAAAACTGTAAAAACATGTTTGCTAGATTTGACTAAGTGGAAGATTTATCAAGTAAAACTTAAATTTTTATTTCTGTTGTCCATGCTCTACTATTTTTCTGCACGTACAACATTTTCCTTATTCTTTGGCTGTGTTGTCACTTTCTTGAACTAGGACTCACCACTATCTGTAGAAAAGAGGCAGTGTTTATATGTGATTGCTCCCTATCCAGTTTATGTATTGCAGCTTATTTCATTTAATATACTCTGTTAAAGGTACATTATTAGTCGCTTCTTTCAGTTAGTATAGCCCTGCAGGTTTCTGCATCTCTCTAACATTAGCATTTTGTTGTCTTTGTTCACTTGCCTCTGGGTTCTGGATGGTATGGGGAGAAAAATCTACCTTCTTTCCTTTTGATGGGACAAATAACTTTTTGATTATGATTTGTTAAAGAAACCTGGATGCCAGGACATTGCCTCCTTATTTTATTGAAGAGTTCCAGGATGTTATTAACACATGGATTTAGAATATTCTTGTTTTGCTGCCATTAGCAAATGCCATTTTTTCCTGTTACAACTTTTAAAAAACATCTGCTTCCCATACCTTAAGTGTTCAGTTTTTATGATAATATTATATTAAATTTTCTAAAGAACTGAGATAATTGTGGGGGTAGGGGACAGATAAAATTGAAATATTCTAAAATTTCCCTTACTATGCTTTTCTTTTTAACCTTGATATATGCCAGATTTTTGGTTTATTATTTTAATATGTTATTTTTGATGCCAACAGATATGAATGATTTTCCAATCAAGGTTTTTCACTCCGATGTGTCCCAGGTAGGATCTGGCATATGAATCATATGTCTAAAAAGGAAACTCATGAAAGTATGTGTGCGTGCTAGGGGGCTCATTTGTCTTTGGCAAAGACATTGCTGCTCCTGTTTCCTTAATTATTAAACAGATGGTGCCCACTGCCATTGACTAGCTGCCCAACTCATACTCCTGTGTGGTAGCACAATTCTGGACATCTGACAGAGAGAAGCTATACCTTTATAGTATATCTGCCTTCTACTAGAACAGGCTGCTTCCCATGAAGCTGTTTAAAACTTAAGTCATCTTCTCCCCCTGTCCCCATAAATTAATTTTATCTCAAGGATCTCCTTTTGGCTTTTTTTATTGCTTCATGTCTACATACAAAATACAGTGGCATATTGAATCAATTATCTAAATGCTCTAGGCTGTAAATACACTTTAACCTGGAATGTCAAGATAATTAAGACAAAATTGGATTATTAAGATTATTATTAGTGAGGGCAAATGACATCTAAGATAGCCATGTTAAAAGTGGAGTATCATATTAAAAAGACAACTAGATCCCAGGGAACATCAATAGAGTTTAAGTCCATTGAACAGATACTGAATTCTTTTTCATAATCTGCCAAAAAAAGGTTAGCTTGAAAATTTTCTTTTAGTTTCTCAAATATCACACTGCTGCAGTACACGAACCTTTACTCATTAATAACTAAGGTCCTGATTTTTTTCATATGCTTTGCTCGAAGATGTAGTATTTTGCAGCCATAGACAGTCTTCTAAGATCTCTCCTAGTGTTAACCCACCTATCCTCACCTCTCCCTTGAGATTTTTCTTTATTTTTTGATGAACTATCTGGGCTTTTAAACTTTGTTAACCTTTTTTGAGGATACGGTCACTTAATCTCAATGTAATTTTACTTTCCACAGTCAAAAACTATTGTGTAATACTCATGCACTGGATTTAAATGACTGCTGCCTCTCCTTCCTTTCTTTTTATACTATTGTGGTCTAGGTAAGGCTGATTCTTCCATCATTTGAACCAACAGGCCAGGCTTGGGTTCTCATAAAGCAGACCTTCCAGCAGGAGCGACCAAAGGATGACACTGTCACCTGAAATTGGACTGCTGTTGTACCTGACTTGGGAACATCTTTGAATCAGACAGTAGAAGTGGCTGTCATTTTCAGGGACAGTAGAAAGTATGTTGGCTCTCATCTGCCAAGTAGGCAAACACAATCTTTTTTTTTTTTTTTTCCTTCCAACGTTCTAGGGAGCTCAGCCTCAGGGCTAGCCGCAGCCCCCCACACCCCGGGGCTGCGGTGGGCTGCGCGGTGGATCAGCCTCAGCAGCCCCTGCTCCAGCCTGTAGGGTGAACCGGCCGCTTTCCCAGCAAAGGAGCAATCGAGCTGAGGGTAGCGCCTCCTCCGCAGGAGGGGGCGGGAGCTCGGCTGAGAAAGCTTTCCTAGGGAGTTGCCTTAAAGAAAGAAAGCGGAATTGTCGATCACTCCAGTTGCCAGTTTTATACAATTTTAAGCAGTCGTCGCCACTCGTTTCCCCTTTGCAAAACTGCAAATCACCACCAACCTTGCATCAAATAGAAGTGGGGAGGGAAAAAAAAAGCAAATCTCCTTCTCCCTTCTCACCCTCCCTTTCTTCTCACCCTCCCTTCCTCTCTTACTCGCTCCTTCTCCCTCCCTCCCTTCTGCGGCTGCCGCTAGTCTCTCGGTCTGGCTCTCTCTCCGACGGGACTTAGCAACTTCTTATTTCTCAGCCCCTTGTCCATTTTTTTTTTTCCATCCTTTGCCATGAATTGGATTGACAGAGGCGGGGGAGGCTTTGCTTTCTGCCCCAGGGAATGGCGATTCGCGTCCTGGGGCCGTGCCGGGGAGAATCGGCCGAGGAGAAAGAAAGAGTGATAGAAAAAGAGCTGCAGGAAGGAGGAGAAGGGAGACCTCCATCTGCCGCGGGCCCGGCGCGCTGCAGCGCAGCGCAGCGCCGAGCTGCGCCTCGGAATGGCCCGGAGCCCGCCCTGCGCCCCCGGCTCCTCCAGCGTCAGCGGCTCCTGCGCGCGGGATGCATTGGGCAATTTTTGAAATCCTGAAGTAGGAAGAGACCCCGGAGGATATAAGTCGGGGGTGGGGGTGGAGCAGAGAATCTGTGAAAGATATTCAAAGAGAGAAAAGGGGAATCCTGATCGTTTCTGCCCGTGCTTGTTTTCAACTTGAGCGTGCTAGCCTTTAACTTGAAGAAGTCTCATTGGAGCATCTAGCATTCTCCAGGAGTTATTCGAAAGCTGAAACTTTCAGTGGATTGTGGGCCTGGGGAGAAGAAGGATTCCGAGGGTGGAATTGGGAAGAGCGTGCGTGCGTGTGTGTGTGTGTGTGTGTGCGCGCGCGCGCGTGGGTCGGGGCGGGGGCGTCGGGGGGCCACTGGGAATTCAGTGAAGAGGGCACCCTATACCATGGCAGTGCCCGGCGACGCTGCACGAGTCAGGGACAAGCCCGTCCACAGTGGGGTGAGTCAAGCCCCCACGGCGGGCCGGGACTGCCACCATCGTGCGGACCCCGCATCGCCGCGGGACTCGGGCTGCCGTGGCTGCTGGGGAGACCTGGTGCTGCAGCCGCTCCGGAGCTCTCGGAAACTTTCCTCCGCGCTGTGCGCGGGCTCCCTGTCCTTTCTGCTGGCGCTGCTGGTGAGGCTGGTCCGCGGGGAGGTCGGCTGTGACCTGGAGCAGTGTAAGGAGGCGGCGGCGGCGGAGGAGGAGGAAGCAGCCCCGGGAGCAGAAGGGGGCGTCTTCCCGGGGCCTCGGGGAGGTGCTCCCGGGGGCGGTGCGCGGCTCAGCCCCTGGCTGCAGCCCTCGGCGCTGCTCTTCAGTCTCCTGTGTGCCTTCTTCTGGATGGGCTTGTACCTCCTGCGCGCCGGGGTGCGCCTGCCTCTGGCTGTCGCGCTGCTGGCCGCCTGCTGCGGGGGGGAAGCGCTCGTCCAGATTGGGCTGGGCGTCGGGGAGGATCACTTACTCTCACTCCCCGCCGCGGGGGTGGTGCTCAGCTGCTTGGCCGCCGCGACATGGCTGGTGCTGAGGCTGAGGCTGGGCGTCCTCATGATCGCCTTGACTAGCGCGGTCAGGACCGTGTCCCTCATTTCCTTAGAGAGGTTCAAGGTCGCCTGGAGACCTTACCTGGCGTACCTGGCCGGCGTGCTGGGGATCCTCTTGGCCAGGTACGTGGAACAAATCTTGCCGCAGTCCGCGGAGGCGGCTCCAAGGGAGCATTTGGGGTCCCAGCTGATTGCTGGGACCAAGGAAGATATCCCGGTGTTTAAGAGGAGGAGGCGGTCCAGCTCCGTCGTGTCCGCCGAGATGTCCGGCTGCAGCAGCAAGTCCCATCGGAGGACCTCCCTGCCCTGTATACCGAGGGAACAGGTAAGCACTGGCAACTCCTCTCTCGGCTCTTGGAAACTTGAAACACTTGGCAACCGGCGCAGAGTGGAGAGAATCCGAGCGCTGGGAACTAAAGGGAAGATAGCCTAGAAAACTGGTCTAACTTCAGAATTAAGAAACTAGCAGGTTTTTTTTTTGTTTTTTTTGTTTTTTTTTTTTTGTTTTTTTGCCCTCTCTTTCACACAGTAGTTTTATAACCTGAACGACTGAAACACAATTAACAAAACTAGATGGCATGTGTAGGGTCTTCCACAGCTGGGCCAACTTTTTAGATCTGCTACACCTGGTGTATGGCTTGCCTACTCTTTTCAGTACTCTTACGCTTTCCTTCCTTAGCAGAAATTTTAGAATTAAGTTTAGATTTTAGCAATGAGTGATTTTTTTAACACATAGATTTTACTAGATTTCTACTTTTTAAAAAGTAAAATCTTTTTAATGAAATGATATTAAACATTTATGAAAACCAGTAAAAAGATTCTAGAGCAAAGCAAGCTGTGCTTGAAGGTGAGGAATTGATACACATTTTCTGGTTTTGCAGTAAGTTTTATTTGGAGAGACTGCAGCTGATGGTGCCCAATTTGTTTTTAAATATAATTTAGGGGCATACATTATTACATGCTAGTGTGTTTTGTATCACAAACTTCAACTTGGGGAATAATATGTCTGAACTTTGGAATTGTTCAAAATTGTCAACTGCGTTTTAGTGTCAACTAAAAACAAAACAGTTCTCTTTAGTATGTGCATACTTAAGTGGATATTTATAAATTCAAATGGATTTATGCAGATTTTACAGGAAATACTAATTCGGGAGGCCATTTCTAAGATTGCTGGAGATGTATATCTTCCCACAACGTGGGAGGAGGAGGAACCTGGGATTATAAAGTTGTAAATAAAACTTTAGTCACTTTTGGGGATGAGTCTCCTTATTATCATTAAGTGATTTAAAACTATAGAACAGTTGCTATAAAGGGCATAAAGGAACAAATCCCAATTTTAAATGCATACGGTGTCTAAAAAAGCATACCGAAGGGTATGCCTCCCTAGTTGAAGCAGATTTGTTCACCTCTCTATTTGAAGTGGATTTGACACTTGATGGGGAGGAGGAGCTGGTTGGATACAGCAAGTGGAAATTTACATTTTTCCCTTTAAATTAATGCCTACCTGTGGTACTATTAGGACAACTTTAGGGAGCAAGAGAATATCCTAAGATAAAGTAAGCTTTTTCTTTTTAGGTTATTCTGTGGATAATCATTTGGGTATTTCTAAGAAATAGCAGTCACCATATGGTGTGGGTGGCTAGTTGGTTTCTGAAATGGAGTTGATTACACAGATCTATGGCTGTTTGACATTATTGAGCAGAGTAGATGACAGCATCATAGTCTGTTTATTTTAAAGCAAATGTAGTTATTTGCTTTTTGTTTCGATAAAACAAATGTTTCTTGTCTTTAAGCTTACTCTAAGAGTGGAGGGGAAAACAGGCCACTGACTGATAGTTTTGGTAAAAATTTGGAAATTGTTAAAATGGAGTAAGTTATCTATTTGAGGGTAAACTAACCATTTTAATTTCTTTTCACAGTTATGGGAGAGAATGTCTTAAATGAAAACACCACCGCTTTAAGTATGTTCAGAATACACTATTCATTAACTTATAGGGAAATAGGATGTTACTATTGCAAAATTCACAACCATAATTTCTAAGGAAAATCTGGGATTTAATCACAACTTGATTCCAAATTGATATCATTTACCCTGTGGAATTATTTTTTAAAATTTTATATTAACATTTATAAGTTAAGAAATTAAGGGTGGATAGAAGATAAGAAGGTGGTTAGGTAAATTAACCAGCAGCATTCATTTAACCCACACATTTTTATTGGGTTTCTCTGGTTTAAATTGATAAATGGAGAATTTGAATTATCTACGAAGTTATCAAAATAAGCATTGCATATTTAATGTTTTGCTGATTAATGCTGTTGGAAAATGCATAATCGCAATCTATTTCTGTAATTTTCTTTGGTCACTATTTTTTTTAAAGACTGTGTTAATGAAGATTATTCTAAAGTGGGAAACTTTGTCTTATGCTTGATGGAAACACAAGAATACATTTAGCAGAAATTGAGATACTTGAAGTTTTAATGAGGGCATGGGTGAGTGTGTGCGTGTCACTGAAGACTGGTTTTTATATATGACCCATTAAAAGTTGTTGCTGAGCATAATTGTGGGGAGTGGGTGGAAACTAACACAGTGTACTATCTTATAAGATAGGACAGTATCTCATATACGTTAGCCTTACTGTGTGAAAAGTTCAGGAGCTACCCACAGTAAATGGCTTATCTGTTTTATCATAAGGAAACAAACTTCTGATTAAGGGTGCAAAGTGTACCACTGTCATTTGCATACTTTGTGAAGTCAAACATCAAAATAATTATAAAATAAGTATATAACACTCCCCTGAATGTCATCTGCTTTTTTTCTGAAGGAATGTCTACTTTCAACTCAAGACAATACTCATAGGCAACAAGTGAATTTTAAATAGTCATTTAAGAACTTAAACGCACAGTCTGTCAGAGTCCTCTTGAGAATTTATTTGCACTTTGCTCATTGTGAGGCTTACCAGTGAGAGAATTTCATCATTTTCTTCTCTGTATGAATGGCAGTGGCTGGTTACTGATGAACTATCCCTCTTCAGTGACCCTCAGTTCCAAAAGTGCAAAGAGAATATATGATAAAAATTCTCATAAGAGAAACCAATTGACAGATACATTTTTCTCTCTCCCTCCCTTTTTTTCTTTCAAGAACTGTAAGTCTGTAGCACTGGTGTCTGTGAATGCAAGTGGAAATATCTTTATTCTCAGGAAAAAACAAAGTTTATAGTTCTTTAAAGTTTAAAGAACTATAAAGTTTGTTTAGCTTTTAGTTTAGTCCTGACAACCCAGTGTCCGCAATACTGAGGCTGATTTTGTAGATGAGTGTGTCAAACTACTTTTTTGGCTGCCAGTGTTAAGAAGGCAAGTGTCTGTTAAGGTGTGTGTATCTTTTCTAAGTGGACTTTCGCATCCCAGAGCAGATATGTCTCTCTCAAAGTACCACTGTGCCCTCGGCCCGAAACATGGGAATATACAGAGGTACCTAGACTTTCTTGGAGTATTAGATATTATGCATGATTAATATGTTATTTTTCAATGTAAAATTTTAATTTTGCAATTTTTTTGTTATTGCAAATTGTATTTGAAGGGGTGTCTCTCCATTCTCTTTATAAATAAAGAACTATAATTGGCTGCTCATTCTTCTCTAATTACTGAGACCACCTTACACATTCACTTTTGAAAGATTTCAAACCAATGCAATTTTATTTTAGTTACCTGTTAAGGAAAATTTTATATTTTTACCTGTGGTTTCAGGTAAATACAAAGGCATATGACTGTCTCCGTTAATGCATTTGTACCACTTAATGACAACATTTTTTTGGGATGGATACAACATCATCCATTTTGATCTTAGTTGTCGAAAGAAGAGTCAAGTTTTTCACCACTGATGTGAGAAAGACACTTTTAGGAGAGAAAGCAAACAACAGCAAAGCAAAAATAGGAGAAATGGGTATGGTGTTTGATGGTAGGCACTGGATGGGAGGCATTGTTATTCTTTGACAAAAAACTTGCTTATTTCTTCTCAAAATGTAGAATACATTGTTTAAATTCCTAAATGCCTGTCAATGTAACATATTGTTCAAATTGAGTAAGTTTCAGAAATAATCACGGACTTTTAATTAAATTGTAGCTTCTACATTTCAGTAGTGTTACTCAGTTTATGGTGATTCAAAGAGCAATATTGATTACTTATGACTTGGTGACAGAATTAAAATTAATTAATGTCAATTTCTGAAAATACTGAAAAGGGAAAACAAGATTTCCTTATCCCTTGGGAAAGGTGAAGGAAAAGAATTTTTTGTGTGTCGGGGGGACAAAAATTGTAATTTTACTTTGTGAATACAGATATTTAAAGCATACTGAAAAAGTTTTTTAAGTGACATAAATAGTCAGTGAATCTATATAAATTTACAGAGGCTGGAAGGAGTGAAAACAGTAATTTTACTCTTTCTGTATTGAGTCGAAAGTGTAAAAAGTTAAAACTGTAGAACTGAAAGAAATGCTGTGTATGCTGGGCTGTCATGTTAATTAAATAAACAACCAGAACAGTGACTCTGTGTATGAAATACATTTTGAAAAGCCTTGGGGGAGGGGGTGCAGGCAGGCAAGGGTGAGTGACACTGGCATGAAAAAACATTCATTCTATCTGCAGTGACATTTGTGTGAATTTGTTGTAGTCTATTAGAAAATTCAGATCTGAGAAATAATCTCTTCAGAGCGCTAGTTGAATAAAGGCTTTACCAAATTGAATTTTACTTCTATTTTAAGCAAGTTCTCATTCTGTCAAGGTAGGATGTTTATAAACCTCAAAATTAGAAGTATGCCTATATATTTTAAGATTTTTCCATTAATATGGTTTGTGTCAGTCAGCCCAGTAGAGTCAATGTTGACTTCATTGAAAACGTGTGTTATTTTATCTATCAAAAGAAAGAGTTTATTTTGGGATTAGGATAGGAGTTGTGTTTTTGAGAAAGAGTTATTGTTGTGAGTTATACTGTCCTGGATGTGTGAAGATAATCAATGCAACTATTGTATCATGCCTTTGCATTGGGCGATGGGGAAATGTCTTATGCTCCCGGAAGTGATGCATAACCCTACAGGTTTATGGTGAATTGTTTACTTAGCTGCCATATGTCTCCTCTTCAGTGGAGTCTTCCTGCTCCATTTCTGTGTGGTGTTTATATCTTCTTAAAAAAACCCTCAAATTGAGATTAAAAAATATTATGCTTATATTCTGCATTCATGTGTTTAATGAACCTCTGTGAAATAATTCTGAAGACCCTCAGAAAGTCCAGTCTCCTATTCTTGCACCTAAAGATGTGTTCCATTAATGTTCAAATGAAGATAATTCCTTTATATAGAAACTTGAATCCTTTTGGTAATTACCTATATATACTTTCATGATAGGTAGTATTTTTTATTAAAGGAGATTTTTTGTTGTTGTTTGTTTTTTTAGTAAGGCTACTATGGAATTGTTTTAACTTTGAACTGAGAATGTATGTTTGTGCTGTTATTGATATAAAATATACAGATTTGATCACTGAGAAAAAAGTCTAACAGATGTGCCTGAGTTGTAGTTTAGAGGAAGATGTGTTGTATGACAATCGTAAAAAATATTAGTTGACCATACCTGTTCATTGTGAATGTATACCACTGTTTTAAAAGAAGATGCTACCCATAGCTAATGTTACCCATTATCCATAAAGGCCTTTGATCAATCAACCTACCAGGTCTCAAATCAACACATTTTATCTGTGCATTAGTCCTTGTGCTAAAAATCAAAAATAATATACAGATAGATGTGACACAGCATTTGTCTCTGCAAAGTTTAGAGCCTAGTGAGATTAATGAGAAGTGAACATAAGAAAAAGGGAAGTCACAGTGAAATATCTTAGATAATGGAGAAATGCATATAATAACTTGGAGCAGGTTTTTAACCTGGCTCCAGGACTCATTCATCTCCTCTCTGAAATTGTATGCAGAACTTCATTTGTTCATTCTTAGGAGCAAAAAGTCTTAGTGTCATAGGTTTTCAGAAGGTCCTCAACACATAGATGGTTAAACATAAATGGCTTAGATTTTAAGCAACTTTACATTTTGAAGACATGGAGAATGTTTTTGAAAATGGAAATTACTTTGGTGTACCTTTACAGTCTGCTCTGAAACAAAGGTAAAATAATATTTCATTTAGGACATGTTACACTTCAAAATAGTACACTGATTGATTGTATTTATGTCGAGTTAGTTTATGACTGTAAATAGCTGGTTGCACTGATATTTTAAATGCTTAATTCTGAAAAGGCTGTAGTTAGTAGACTACAATTAGTCTGATTTTAGAGAGAAGGAAACTGAGAGTTAGCTATATGTGTGAAGATAGCCCAAGGCAAGATGGCTTTTGTCCATTTCCTCTTTGACTTGACTGTGCTACTGAGGAAACAGTAGGAAAGGAGTCAGGCTGCTAACTTTAACCCTGGGTATCATTTGTAATTTTTCCCATGGAGCCAACTCTAAATTCTCATTCAGCATTAGAAGACTGAATAATCAGATTGAGTGTCAGATGTGTAAATAACACAAAACTTGTTAATACCAGGTAGCCTCTGGAATGAATTATTCTTGACTTTGTCACGTAAATGAATATCAGTTGCACTGAAAAGTCTAACTTTGTGGAGTCTTATCAAACAAAAGTATTTAGCAGTGGCTTAAATATTGAATATTTTTATTTTAGATTTTCAATATGTTTATTTTTGTATGTTCAGGATTTCCAAATTCAAGGCAAAGCATAATCTGCAGATTGTTAAGGCATTTCTTCATTAGCAAAAACAGCTGGTAATTTTTTTCACCTGTTATTTTGCAGTGTTTCCTTAGAATTTCATTAAAATATAAGTAAATAGGGTATAATATCAGAGGAGGTCATGAAGAACATTACCATTTCGAAGATGGAAAGCTATTTGAGAGAAGTCACAAACTAAGCAATGTCTGTGTTTTTGATTTGATTAGAGCTGTCATTTGTTATTTAGGAATCTGTGAATGATTATTAAAGCTTTCAAGTATAGCCAGTCCTGCTAACATAATAATAATATTACATTAAGGGCACTCATGTTCTTTCCTCCTGAGAAGATGACTGGTTACAGGGGGCACATATTGTTTGCTGAAGTGTGTGTATGTGCATGTGCATGTGTGTACCTGTATGTGCATTTATGATTTGTGTGTGTGCATGTGTGATTTTCCCCTGGCAGAAAATTGCTTTGGTTGTATCAATTTAGTGAAGAAACAGTGTCACCCAGTGGCTTTGATGAAAACAGTCCTATAAACATTATAGATAAGCACTGTCCAGTAGAAATACAACACAAGCCATACATTTGATTTTACATTTTCTAGAGGCCATACACACCCAAGAAACAGATGAAATGAATTATAATAATATGCTTTATTTAACCCAGCATAGCATGTCAACATGTAATCGGTGTAAAAAAAATGAAATATTTTGCATTCTGTTTTTTTGTGAGTCTAAATATCTTGTGTGTGTTTTACACTTAAAGCACATTTCAGTTTGGCCTAGCCCCATTTCAAGTATTAAATAGACACAGGTGGCTAATGGCTACCATATTGGACAGTGCAGCTCTATATTTTTAAAGATTTGTAATATTTGAGATACTAATGTCACCTCTTCAGTTATAATGAAAAGTCTTTGTAGATTTAATAACAATATACAGTCTTTAAAATTATATGTGTAATCTTGATAGCTCATTTTTGTACCACTCTAATAGTTGCCAAGTCTATTTGCCCTTTTTTCTTCATTTCTCATTATTGCATTTATTTTAAAATATGATTATTTTCATCGGAGGGGGAGATTTAGCAGAGTTCCTTAATAAAAGACCTTTATATTAACCTGATTTATAACACAGTATCAATATTTCCAGTTAATTATGAATTTGCCTTTAGGAGTTTGGTATGTAACAGGGATTGCTTATGGATACACTGTAAACACAACACATGTTCATGATGATTAGTCTATAATTGGGTTATCTAATGTCTCTTTAGAAATGAAAGTGCTTATGTTTGTAGGTCATTATCTTTGTAACTTAGGAAACTAAAAGTCACAAGCCTGCTCCTAGCTTTAATGGATGAAAATTGTAACAGTGTCTGTAAAGGGCTAACTTTTCACTACTGTTTATATAAATACCACTTTCATGGAAACACAATGAAAATGGTTCATTCTGTGTATAGAGCAGATTGGAGATTTTGATAGTGTGGAATTTTTAAAGTAGGAATTTAGATTAGGTGAGTTTTGGAGCCATTTTCTGAGTTCACTCCGGTTTGCAATTTCAAACTGATTTCAGATGAAAAAGTCTGGAAATGTTTAATGTCATGTCCTCTCCATCACCTTTCCTTATACTCTATGAATTCGTTAACAATAGCCGTAATTCCAATTCTACATCAAGAAATAAAGAGAAAATTATATATGGCATTTTACTTTATATATAGATATATAGATTAACTTTTAAAAATACATTTATTATGTGTATAACGTTTATATCTGTGTGTGATGCTTTTAGTGATTGGGACAGGGTATATTACTTATTTTTACACTGCAGATTAATATAGACAGATTTTATATCATAGATACATAGATTTTCACTTACTAGAAATTCTAAAAAGATCAAAAGGCAATAGAATCATGGTATACAAAGAAGCACATTTGGACAAAATGAAATAATGTGGATGCTGGCTCGCTTCTGGTAAAAGCTGACTTAATTTAGAGTTCTTGAAGAAGCTAGCTGAAGAATGAAATGTCATTGTAACACACATCTGTTTCTTGAAAGAGTTTATACTTGAATGTAACTAGTCACTGTTAGCTCTGGCTAATTTTGAAGTTGATTTAAATTAATATAGAGGTTGTTCTGGTACTTTTTTTTTTGGTCAGTCTTTTTCTGTTCTCCATCTCTATCTACATGCACATTTTCTTTCATTTCATTTTCTTTTTACCTAATAGAGTCTTCTCCCTCCGAATGTGTTTAAAATTTTAAGGAATGCCATTCTGTCTCTCCCAGTACCTTGTTAGAATATTGAAATAATTTTATGCAAGAATCTTGTGGTTTTGGTTTAATAGGATTTTAGTAAAAATTTTCCATCTTGTGAAGTAAGTTTAAATAACTGAATATTTATGCTATGTCTGTGGCAAGTGTTTCCTCCTCTCCAGGTATAAACCACTTAAAGAGACCTAATGGAAGTTTGAAGTCATAGAGATATTATTCAGTGGGTAATGTTTAATTCTGTGGCAACAGTTATACAGCTATGTGGAATCAGCATCCTTAGCCCATTTTTAAGCTAGCATGAACACAAATAAATGAAATAGTTTTTATTTTTATCGTATTTTAGAGATCCACTTCAGAAATGCTCTTTAGTGAGCAGTGTTTGTCCTCGTGATATGAAACATCCCCTTGTTTGGGAGTTATTATTTCAGGGTCCAGCCTCAGCAGCAGTCTCTCAGGAAGTTTGGAAGGGAGAGAGCCTGCTGAACTGCTTATGCTGTATTGAGAATTTGCTTTCTAGTCTCAGGAACTAAGGAAGTCAGATTCAGATTAAGACAATTTTTATTATAAAAGGAATCAAATTTTTGTAGCTTCCTTTTCTCAGCCATAAGCATTTCATTTAGAAAATTCTGGCCCAGTGTCTTGCTTATTGTAAGTGCTGGCTGGATGGTAGGAAAAATGGATGAAAAAGAAATAAAAGACTTTTAACCTGAAATATTTATCTCCCCATTCTCCTGAGGTTGAGGTAGTGACTAAGTTGATTTAAGGAAATTTCTATGGGAAGAAGAGAAGAAATAAGACTATCAACAAAGCTATACATTTTCAGTTTTAGTATGGTGTTTACATTTTTGTTACTTAAATATTTTCTTGCATATGTTACATAAGGGGTTGCATTTGCCTGTGCCCTTACTGGTAGGAAATCCCATGTTCAGCATGAGTCCTAGATAATTATTTTTAGCTCACTCTCAACTGAAAATAACCAAAGCTACCACCAAGATCATTGTAGTGTAAACCTTTGAAAAATTTCTGAAATTTGGGTTCATATTTTAGAAAAATAAAATGTCAAGTGTTTTTCACATTCAACTAATAAATTGAGAGAGAACAAACTCTGACTTTATTTTCTTCCATTCCATCCCACAGGGCTCTGACAGGTGCTCTTCAGCTATCACCTTTTTTATACTCTAGTAGTCTGCATTCTTGTTAGAGGTTCTTACTGAATAGCTGTATTTTCTGAAAAGTCTAATGTAAAGCAAATGTTATCTCCTTAGCTTTTAATTGTGATCAATTACAAAACAAAGTTTGAGATGGTTGCTTCCAGAGATGACATTGTGAAATTGACTTTTTAAAAATGTCATCCAACTGCCGTGCTAGTTCCATCATGTGGAATGATCTAGAAATTTGGTAGCATAATTGCAGAATCAAGTTGAACTGAAAAATCAGAAGCTTATAGGGTTTTATTGCAGTGATAAATTTAGCTTTTCAGTCATTTTTCTTTGGTCCACCTACTTTTTAATAGAACTTGACTTGTGAAAATCAAAAAATTTAAGTCAAATAAGAATGTTTTGTTGTTGCAGTTTTAATACTTAGAGAAGATACAGTATTGTTATATCCTCTCACTGAAATCAGAGACATATCTTTTGAGTATGTTAGGCAGATGATCATGACATTAGATGAACTAGGAATACAATATTTAGGAAAAAAGTGATTTCGAACCTTATGGTGTCAAGTTTCTTTTTATCTGTACATGTCAAGTGTTCTCACAGGCAGACTTTTTAGAGAGATTGCTATCACTGACAACTTCCAGAGTTTGAGAGTTTTTTGAATATACTACTTAAAAAAATCTCCATATGGTTTTCATTTGAAAAAACATATTACAAACTGAGACATTCACTATAAATTAAATTGAAATAATCAAAATATAATTAAGCTATTTGTGAGTTTACATTTTGCAAAACATTTTAGAAGCAAAATCATTTAACTTTGTTTGCATTTTGAGACAAGGAGCTAACTGTGTGTATCATCTTGAGTAGTGTCTGTTTTTATTCCTAGGGATTGTTTTCCCTATAATTGGAGTTGTTTTTTGCTAGGTAAGTAGGATCCAAATAACAGCATAGTTATTAAGGCAGTAGCCTCGTTTTGTCCACTTCTCGTCATTCCTTTTTACTTAAATAACAATTAGATTTGCTCATCTTAACCCCTTTACAGAGCTACAGCTAGAGCTTTTAAGTGTTTTTGGTGGAACTTCCTTAAGCAATTAACTAGTCCTAATAAAAAGTGTGAGAATTAGATTGGGAATGTTGGATACATATATAACTAAACACCGATTAAGTAAGTTATCTAAAAAATAAAGTGGCATTCAGATATGAAAACCACCATAAAAATGAGTGCCAAAAACTAATGGTAGTATTTTTGCTTGTGCACAAAGAAGACTAGATCAAAATCAAATGAATAATTCCTCAGTTTTCAAAAAATATTTTATGGTCTTTTGAGGGCATAATATTAGTGCATGTAAAAACTAGAACGCTTTATGATTTGAAAAGAGGAGAAGATGCTGAGAGAGACACTCTTGGAAGCTGGGCAGGAAATCCAGCCATGCATTGCCTCAAGGTCTGTCATTAGATCAAAAGCACTCAGGGGACGATGGTCTGTGTAAGAGGTCCTAATGCTATTCACGAACTCTCCTGACATTCATTAGTTTCCAAGACATTGATTCTTATTCTTTAACTTTTTAGCACATTTATCATTTTCACTTATACATGTATGCTAATAGCAATCTTATGTGAACTTTTACCTCTTATATGACCAGAATTGATTAAAAATGTCGGCAAGTAAGTTTGTTATTTAATATCTCTGAACTTTCTCTATTTTACATTGAATATTTGCTACATTGTAAGCATTACAGTATGACTAGATTCTTCTTTTTTTCTAACTTCTCCCCTGTTGATAATTATTCTTATATAACTATAATGCCATGTTAATCAAACTATTGTTTATGAATTATAACAGTAAATGCCCCTGGTTAATAGATTAATCAACCTGCCTTAGATGCTTTTGAAGTCTGTGAGGACATTGCTTAATTTCACCTACATATAATTACATATCATTTGACACTCTCTAAATCGAGCTGTTTATTGTAGTTCTCAAAATTTAGTGTGAATAAAAATTATTTGGGAAAACTATTAAAATGCAGACGTTTAAATACTAGATTATAGATCCTGTAACCTTCCAGATACTCTGATTTAGTTAAGTGTAGAGTGGGATCCTGAAATCTGTGGTTTTAAGGAACACCTCAGTTGCTTCTGTTGAGAATCACAGGACTATAAACTTGTGTCTACTGAAACTGTACAGGAAGTTCTGACTTTTGCAATCCAATTCAACAAACAGTTTAAAAGTGCTTGGCTCAGACAAGAAGGGTCAGTATCATGGGGAAAAACTATACACACGCACTATAGTTTATGAACCTATGACATTCATAAATGTTTCACTTTGATTTCATTTCTTTGAAGTTCAAAAAAACTTCATTGATGATACCTCAAAGAAGTTTTCTTAACCACCCTGGATATCAATTTCCTCATCTGTAAAATAGGAATAGGAATATCAGCTTCACTACCTATCTCATATGGCTGTTTTAAAGGCTAAATCAAAATAAATTGCTATACAAATGTTAAATAGAAAGAATATATGCACTCTCTAGACTGTCACAGACCAAAGCTTGTAATATATACCAGTTTCTTAAACTTTCAAAACTTTAGTGACCCTGTCTGTACCATAAGAATAATATAACTGATTTCTTAACGTTGCAAAGGTTAAATTAATGTAATAATGGACAGAGGTTCTTGTTAAACACTGTGCCCAGCTGAACATGAATAATACATATTCTTGCCCATTAGGGCCAGGTCATTGAAGGTTATAATCTAAATTTCAGAAAGCACTATGTAAAACAATGCAAACAAATTTGCATTTGATTACAAAAACTCACAAGTCTTACAAAATATGAAAATTTAATGGAAGTTAATTAAAACAGTATTAGGGAGTTAAATTGTAAGCAAAGCCACTGCCAAATGAGGCATCCTAGGAGCCAGATAAGGCAACAGTAGAAGGAGAGAGATCTGATAGGGACTTCAGATGCTTCGGGTGCTTCATTGAAAAAGGCTTAAGAGAGATATTTAAAAAAATTGGTGGAGTCTTTGAATGTCTTCGTAAAAATGATGCTTTTGAGGGTCGGTTGTGTAGTGTGTCCTATAACCCCACGTACAGAAACTTGATTTGTGCTTTAAATTTGACTTGTACTCTAGCTGCCATTATAACCTATATTTTGTCTTGAAAAACAAAATTATTTTCAAAAATTTTAGTTTCATTTTTCATGGTAAAATATCAGTCATTCCCAACCCTTTTCTCATTATATACCAGTGGTGCCATTATTCTCAAATGACAGGGACTTTCTGCTTATTAACTGTATAATACAGCTAAGCCCTGGCTCAGCTGTGGCCCTCAGTGGAAGGTAGTGAGTGTTTATTTTATCACATAAAAATATTCCTCAGGATGCTGTCTCTTTTTACCAGCTTCCACAGGGCTTTACTCTAGGCCTTAACCCTCAGACCACTCTTCTTCCAGATTTTTCCACTTATTGAATGATCTTTCAGTCTAGTCTGAGGTAGTTATTTTGGTTTGGCCCTAGGAGCAGCAGGAGTCCTGTGGAGTCTCAGTCTACTCCTATTGGTTTCAGTTTATAAATTCTGCCTGGAGTGGTCATCTCTTTCCTAACTTGGTTACAGACAGTCCATGGATTTCCACTTTTGTGACAGAAGATGGAAAAAGGTGAGGAGGAGGGGACAGCAGATCACATAGGCCATGAGGGGTCACTGCAAGACTCGTTCTGAGGCAGATGGGATACCATCAAAGGGTTTTGAGCAAAGAAAGGATGTTACCAGCCTTATGTTGAATAGGGTGTCTCATATTCTCTGTGTTGAGTGAGAGTAGGTGTTACGATGTAAGAAGGAAACCAATTAAGATTGTTGCAATAATCCAGAGATGGTTGGGAGTTGGACCAAAATGATAATGTCAGGGGCAGATTTTAAATATATATTGAAATCAGTACTGCCAAGTTGGGTATTGATGGGCTGGTATTTCCTTTGAGGACAGACAGAGAGTTCCTTTAATGTTTTCTCTTATTTTAGAGACCAAATAATAAAGGAATATTTATCTTTATTTCTTGCTTTAAAAATATCTGATTGGGTTGACATTTTTTTTTTTTTTTTCTCTAATTTTATCTTCTGCCTACACCTTCCGGAAGATATACAAACTGGAGACCTGACATTCGGGAAAGTCATGAAATCTGCTTACATGGAAATAAATTCTAATCAAGCATCTCAAACTCTTCAAAAGTTTTTTAGTTTGTTAGGATACTATAACGTTTTGTGTAATAAAAGTTGGTTTTGAAATTTTATTTTGATATAAATGTCTTTATATTTTAAAATCTGTTTTAACAAGATGAAATTTTAATCAATTTGTGTCATTCACATGCTCTTCCTTTTAAAGAGATGTATTTGCAGCTGATACTCTACCTATCTTTTTTAAAAATTTTAATTTAATTTAATTTTAAAATTCCAGAATACATGTGCAGGATGTGCAGGTTTGCTATGTAGGTAAACATATACTATGGTGCTTTGCTGCATCTATCAACCTGTCACCTAAGTATTAAACCCAGCAAGCATTAACTATTTATCCTGCTTTTTTTCACCCTGTCGCCCCACCCGACAGACTCCAGCATGTTGTTCCCCTCCCCATGTCCATGTGTTATCATTGTTCAGCTCCCACTTATAAGTGAAAACATGTGGTGTTTGGTTTTCTGTTTCTGCATTAGTTTGCTAAGAATAATGGCTTCCAGCTCCATCCGTGTCCCTGCAAAGGAGACGACCTCATTCCTCTTTATGGCTGCATAGTATTCCATGGTGTATATGTACCACATTTTCTTTATCTAGTCTATCGTTGATGGGCATTTGAGTTGATTCCATGTCTTTGCTATTGTGAATAGTACTGCTGTGAACATAAACATGCACGTATTTTTATAATAGAATGACTCACATTCCTTTGGGTGTATTCCCAGTAATGGGATTGCTGAGTAAAATGGTATTACTGGTTCTAGGTCTTTGAGGAATCACCACACTGTCTTCCACAATGGTTGAGCCAATTTACATTCCCACCACCAGTGTAAACGCGTTGTTATTTCTCCACAGCCTCACCAGCACCTGTTGTTTCTTGACTTTTTAGTAAATGCAAATCAAAACCACAATGAGATACCATCTCACACCAGTTAGAATGGCGATCATTAAAAAGTCAGGAAGCGACAGGTGCTGGAGAAGATGTGGAGAAACAGGAACACTTTTACACTGTTGGTGGGACTGTAAACTAGTTCAACCATTGTGGAAGACAGTGTGGCGATTCCTCAGGGATCTAGAACTAGAAATACCATTTGACCCAGCCATCCCATTACTGGGTATATACCGAAAGGATTATAAATCATGCTGCTACAAAGACACATGCACACGTATGTTTATTGCGGCACTATTCACAATAGCAAAGACTTGGAACCAAGCCAAATGTCCAACAATGATAGACTGGATTAAGAAAATGTGGCATATATACACCATGGAATACTATGCAGCCATAAAAAATGATGAGTTCATATCCTTTGTAGGGACATGGATGAAGCTGGAAACCATCATTCTCAGCAAACTATCGCAAGGACAAAAAAACAAACACCACATATTCTCACTCATAGGTGGGAATTGAACAATAAGAACACTTGGACACAGGAAGGGGAACATCACACATCGGGGCCTGTTGTGGGGTGGGGGGAGTGGGGAGGTATAGCATTAGGAGATATACCTAATGTAAATGACGAGTTAATGGGTGCAGCACACCAACATGGCACATGTATACATATGGAACAAAGCTGCACGTTGTGTACAAGTACCCTAGAACTTAAAGTATAATACAAAGTATTATATTAATTATTAATTATATTAATTATTAATATATAATATATATAAAATATATATATAAATATATATAAAATATATATATAAATATATATAAAATATATATAAATATATATAAATATATATAAAATATATATAAATATATAAATATATATAAATATATATATAAATATATATAAATATATATAAATATATATAAATATATATATAAATATATATAAATATATAAAAATATATATAAATATATATAAATATATAAAAATATATATAAATATATAAAAAATAAAAATATAAATATAAATATATTAATTATATTAATATATTATATTATATTATAGTATATTATAGTATAATAAAAAAATACTAAAAAAAAATTGCCATTCTGACTGGCATGTGATGGTATCTCAATGTGGTTTTGGTTTGCATTTCTCTAATGATCGGTGATGTTGAGCTTTTTTTCATGTTTGTTGGCCACATAAATGTCTTCTTTTGAGAAATGTCTGTTTATGGCCTTTGTCCACTTTTTAATGGGGTTGGGGTTGTTTGTTTTTTTCTTTTTTCTTCTTTCTTTTTTTCTGGTAGAGTTGGGGTTTCACCATGTTGGCCAGACTGGTCTCCGTCTCCTGACCTCAAGTGATCCACCTGCCTTGGCCTCCCAAAATGTGGGATTATAAGTGAGAGCCACTGCGCCTGGCCTTTTTCTTGTAAATTTAAATTCCTTGTAGATTCTGGATATTAGACCTTTGTCAGATGAATAGATTGCAAAAATTTTCTCCCATTCTATAGGTTGTTTGTTCACTCTGATGATTGTTTTGCTATGGAGAAGCTCTTTAATTAGATCCATTTCTCAATTTTTGCTTTTGTTGCAATTGCTTTTGATGTTTTTGTCATGAAATCTTTGCCCATGCCTATGTCCTAAATGATATTGTCCAGATTGTCTTCTAGGGTTTTTATAGTTTTTGGCTTTGCATTTAAGTCTTTAATCCATCTTGAGTTAATTTTTGTATAAGTTATAAGAAAGGGGTCCAGTTTCAATTTTCTGGGTATGGCTAGCCAGTTCTTCCAGGACCATGTGTTAAATAGGGAATCCTTTGCCCATTGCTTGTTTTTGTCAGGTTTGTTGAAGATCAGATGGTTGTAGATGTGCAGTCATATTTCTGAGTTCTGTATTGGTTCCATTGGTCTATGTGTCTGTTTTTGTACCAGTACCATGCTGATTTGGTTACTGTGGCCTTGTAGTATAGTTTGAAATCAGGTAGCACAATGCCTGCTGCTTTGTTCTTTTTGCTTAGGATTGTCTTGGCTGTGTGGGCTCTTTTTTTTGGTTTCATATGAATTTTAAAGTAGCTTTTTCTAATTTTGTGAAGAATGTCAATGGTAGTTTAATGGGAATAGCTTTGAATCTATAAATTACTTTGGGCAGTATGGCCAGTTTCACAATATTGATTCTCCCTATCTATGAGCATAGAATGTTTTTCCATTTGTTTGTGTCCTCTCTCATTCCTTGGATGCTCTAAATATCTTAAGCTCTAGTATAGCAAAAACATGAGACTTTCAAAGAAAATTCAAGGCTTTCTCTATTAGTCTTTGAATAGTCTGACAAATCCCAATTCCATCAAAGACATATTGCCAATACATCCCAGGTCTTTTTATAGAGGAAATACTTCTATTTTGTATCCATATTAACTCAGACTATCTGTTGACATACAGAGCACTTCAGTGATAGGTGCTATATAAATATTTAAATTAGGATAGCTGATTGCTCTGTAAGTTAGGAGTTTGCTAATTCTACATTGTGGTTAATTTCTGATTATGAAACATTGTTTACATACTGCTTGGGAACAACAAAAGATAAGATATTTTAAAATGTGTGAAATGAAGAGTTTTTAAATCACATGGGAAAATACTTTTGATGAGTGGAAAGTGAAATCATGAAACACAATTGAGGATAGGCCAAATTCACAGCAGAAAGGAAACTTGTCAAGATGTTCATTCTTGTTTATGTGGGAGAATAATGGGTTATTTTTACGTACTTTTATATCTTTTTTCTGTATTTTGTAAGTTTTCAACCCTCCACACGTATTTTACAATCAGCAAAACAAAGCTTTATAAAGAAATGTATTCCTTTGACATTGTTCCTTTGGATATGTTCACAGAATATTTATTAGGGCCATTGCCTTAGTGGTCGTTTGGGTTGGAGACATGGAAATTGCACCTCCAGGTGCTTTTAGGAATGGTAATGTGTGATATTCAGTACTATATAAAACACCCTTGGAAGTAAAATCCTTTTGCATTCCTAATTTTTGTCCCAGATGGCTGGACAGGCTTAAAATTTCTTATAAAATTGGAGATCCTAGTGGTACATGATCCTCCAAGGTAGATCCCTGAAATTTTAGATCGGCCTACAGACAATTTTTGTAACTTTACCTGAAGGTAGCGCTTTATGAAAATATATACATCCACGTGTATGCACATATATACCGAAACATGTTTCAGTTTTTACCAAGGCTTTTTGGTGTCTTTTTGTTTTAGACGTGGCAACAAAACTCTACCACGTCAACTGATACATTGAGAAGAACATGAAAACAAATGTTGTTCTACTAAGGAGAGAAAATTCCTTATAAAACATGTAGGAGGAGAGTATTGAGACTACCTCACTGATTACCAGGCTAATAAGGTTACAAATAAAGATCAGGTTCATAATGATTTTTGTTTAAAGTAATGAGCATGTTTTCTAAAAATGAGTAATTTCTATGTTTTGTTGTTTTCGTGTATCTGAGTTACATACACTGTATATAATATTGATTAACTTCAGTTTCATTTCCCAGGATTTTGTTGAGTATTCCCTGCATTTCCTGCGTAAGACTAAGGAACTTTATACATTTCCATTTGTTGTTGCTTGTTTGAATAAATGAATAGAGAAAGAAAACAATGTGTACATAATATTTTTTAAAATGGTGCCACATCTAGGATTATTAAAATGCTTTTTCATTTGAAGAGCTGTACAATTTTGCAGAAATAAATTTGAGAATATTAAAACAGTTTCTATAACTACTGAGAAAAATAGAGAGTGTGCTCTCACTTAACCAAGAAAAAAATCTTTCTAGAAGAAAATATGATAGAATCAGAGAATGTAAACAGAAAAATCACTTTTACTCAATCATTCCACCCAGTTTTTACGGTTCTGTCGAAGGAGAGTTAGCAGAATAGTACTAGCTGATTATGCTTGCGATGGTTAAGGTGACAGAGACTGGTAGCCATTTCCTTTCTCTCTCTCTCTTTCTGTGTGTGTGAGGAGGAAAGGGGGCAATCAGTACTGAAGTTAGCATTTGGGTAGAATCCAGATCTCAGCCTTGCAGGTCAGAGATGCAATTTTTCCATAAAACTAGAGGTTATCCACTGAGGAGGCACACTAATAATACAACTATATCTCATCAATCAGAATGTCAGGTTATTAATGGACACAGGAATTTAACTGTAAGGAAGATCAGAGTGCCAGTACTTACTAGTCAGTGCTTCTTGTTTTTAGTGGGAAAGTCACCTTTAGCATGGTTGGCTCCTAGACTGTAGCTGAGGATCTCTGGCTTGTGGGAATTCTCCTTGGAAAACTTACACTGTTTGAGTTTTTTATTCTAGAACGTTTGAAGAGTGCCCACAACATCCCAGAAAATGTGGGGATTGCTGGGGGAAGATTCAGAAATGAACCATCCTTGCACCCTCCCTGAGTAAAGATACTACAGTAACAAATGATTATACTGCCAAGGGATAAATACTTTGAAAAACAGAAAGTCATGAGAACTTTGCCCTCCAGAAAGGTCATAGCTAAATTTAATGCTCAAATACTGTCACCCTCTTAACATGGATTTCTGGTAAAGTTCTGTCTTCCTGTCTTTTCTGACTTTTCCTTTTGATTTATGTTTTACATTCTCACGTGTTTATGTTAGTAGTAGGCTGACTATAATCAATTTCAGTACAATATAAAGAATGTATCTAAAATAGAAAAAAAAAACCCAGTGTATTCGTAAAAGAATATTTCTATATATTTCCCCTATGGGCATAAGGCCCAGAGGATATGAGGTAGGGAAGGATTAAGATGTGTTGAAGAGCTGGACATCAGGTGTGGAGTGCATACTGGGTTGTGGAAAAGACAGGTGGAAAAGACATGTGAAAAAGACACATAGCCCTGCTTTTGTGCTGAGGAGTAGAGGTGGGATGCTGGGAAATTTTAAGAGGTAAGATAAGGGGGATGTGGGGCCGGTGTGGAGAGGGGAGCAGGATGAAGACTTGAGTGTTTTAAGATTAGGTTGAGGAATTTGATATTTTATGTGTACCAAACATTATATTTTTTAACCAAAGAGTGATGTGAACAGATTAAACATAATTATTCTAGCAGTGGATTAGGTGGGGACCCAAATGGACACGAGGAGGCATTTAAGAGGGTATTGTGAAAGTCCTGGGTAGAGACATTGAAGATTTATTAAGATAGTAGTGGTGGGCAGGAAAGGTGATTTAAGAAAAAAAAAAAAAAAACTGCAGTTGGGAGGATTAGCTTGTGATTGATAGTGGAAGGTGTTAACAAAGGGCATGAACGCCACTTAAAACTGTGAACCTGAGAAACTAGAAAGATAGTGGCGCTGGTCACTGAGAAAAAAAAGCATCAGATCAGTTTTTGTTTATTTTAGTTTCGGGGTGAAGGAGGGAAGATGATGTGTTTGGTTTGGACATATTCAGTGTATGTTACTTTTGCAACCTCATGTGACCCTGTCTCCTTGAAGCTGCTCAATTTTCTTAGTTCACAAAAAAATATTTTAATACCACAACCACGTTAGTTCACCGTATTTTCCTGATTAGTATGTACATGCTTTTTAGAACTGGAGCTTCTTGTGCCCAGCCTATCACTACAAACACAGAAATGTTGTAGGCTTTGGACATTTCAATTTGTGCAAAGACTATCACCCTATTTAAGATTAGATGTTAAGCACGGTCCTAAATCTTACAGGGCAGATGACTTTTTACTCTTGGTGCTGAATCCTACCGATGAAAGATATTACTGAGTCAGTACAGACTTCAGCTTCTGTGTAACCCTCTAACGATCCCCAGGGCAATATACTGTTGTAACCTTTGATCACACTTAAAAAGTACATGGGCAAGGTTCTTATCCTTGAGCAGATGAGTGCTTTTCATATGACTAGTTAAAAACTTACTTTATCAGTAGAGACAATCTAGGCTGTCGAGAGAAGTTAACCTTGTAAAATTATCAGGTTGAGTTCCACTTTGATGTTTTTCTTGGGTTATTCTAGATGCTTACTATAGTTTGTCTTTTGTACAGTTAATATATGTGTGTATAAATTAGGCTATATTCAATGATGCTAGCTAGCATCATCGTGTGTGTGTATGTATACATATATATAACATATATATTCTCATATATATATATATATATATACACACACACATACATGCATTATACATATATATATATATACAATTCCGGACCGTTGACTCTGGATCAAGGGTCCGGAAGTGCAATCCACTGTTGATTCTTTGCTCACATAGTTAAGTTTCCCACATTGTACAATCTTCAATGCTTTCACTACTCTTCTAGACTTGTGTTTATATATCATAGTAAATTTTTGGAGGACTTTTTTTTTTCCGTTTATGTATGTGTTACTTTTCCTGAAAAACATCAGTGCTGTTGTATCACAGGATTGGAGGGAAATTAAAGGTAGAGCTCAATTTATGAAATGCCTAACAAGTGATCATTGTTAAGCTTTTGCCTAATCACTACCATAATAGGGAACTAAGTCCCCTTCCATGCCATTTTGTTCTCCCCTTTTCCCCTCCTCTCTGTTTAGATATGGTCTTTTGAAATTGAGGAGTCCAGAATCTGGTACAACAGATATGGTATGACTGGAACAAAGCGAAGGGTGGCTGTCACCTCTTTTGTAGAACAATAATTTGTGAACCTTTTTTACAATATACACTTGCCTAAGCATCAACCCTCAACCTACAGAGCATCAACGTGTGGGTGAGCAGGAAGGGGGACGTGTAATTTTGTCGTATGCCTACTTACGAACCACTAGTCTAGTTAATGAGACCCTTAACACATACTAGGACTGCACTTGCTTTTTTTTGTCAGCATAATAATCTATAGATGTATATTTTGTTTGTATCAGCTAAAGCTTTGAAGACCTTCACATGAGTTAATACTACACTCCATTCATCTGTCCTGTGCCTTTGGTACTTTAGACCTTCTGTTTTTGTTTGGTCCCAATGCAAATAGGAAGATAACTAAGGTTTCTGCTTTGTTAAATAACTTCTGGTGATTTATGTATAGCTAGAACAGTGAAAACTGGGAGGCAAAAACACTACATAAATATTAAAACAATTTGACAAATTTATAACTATCACTGTAGGTCTAAAATGTGTAGGTCTAAAATGTACCTGGACTAGATGTGGTAACACATGCCTTTAGTCCAAGATACTGAAGTGGCTGGGGTGGGAGGATTGTTTGAGCCCAGTAGCTCAAGATCAGCCTGGGCAACATAGTGAGATCCTGTCTCATAAATAAATAAATAAATAAATAAATACATAAATAAATAAATAAATAAATAAAATCTAGCTGGACATTATGGAAAACAGTATGGAGGTTCCTCAAAAAACTAAAAATAGAACTCCCATGTGATCCAGCAGTCCTACTGCTGAGTATGTACTCAAAGGAAATCAGTATGCTCCCATGTTTATTGTAGCACTGTTCACAATAGCTAAGATACAGAATTAACTTCAGTGTCTATCAACAGATGAATAGATGCAGAACATGTGGTATATAAACACAATGGAATACTATTCAGCCTTAAAAAGAATGTAATACTGTCATTTGCAGCAACATGGCTAGAACTGGAGGTCATTATGTTAGGGAAAATAAACCAGGCACAGACAAGTACTTCAAGTTCTCACTTATATGTGGGAGCCTAAAAAGTGGATCTTGTGTAGGTAGAAAGTAGAATGGTGATTGCCAGAGGCTGGGAAGGGAAGAGGGGAGGAAGGAATGAAGACATTTGGTTAATGGATACAAACATACAATTAGATGGAAGGAATACATTCTAGTATTTGATAGCACAGCAGAGAAATTATAGTTAACAGTAATTTATTTTATATTTCAAAATAGCTAGAGTGGAAGAATTGTAATGTTCCTTTATTAGTCTGTTTTCACGCTGCCTATAAAGACATACCTGAAACTGAGCAATTTACAAAAGAAAGAGGTTTAATTGGACTTACAGTTCCACATGGCTGGGGAAGCCTCACAATCATGGCAGAAGGCAAGGGGGACCAAGTCACATCTTACATAGATGGCGGCAAGCAAAGACAGAGAGCCAAGAGAAAAAGTTTCTCCTTATAAAACCATCAGATCTCATGAGACTTATTCACTACCACAAGAACAGAATGGGGGAAACTGCTGCCATCATTCAGTTACCTCCCACCAGTTCCCTCCCAGAACTATGGGAATTATGGGAGGTACAATTCAAGATAAGATTTGGGTGGGGACACAGCCAAACTATATCAGTCTCCAACACAAAGAAAGATAAATGTTTAAGGTGATGTATCATCCAGTTACCTGATTTGATTATTACACATTGTATACATATATCCAAACGTTACATATACCCCAAACTATGTACAACTCTGATGTATCAATTAAAAAGTAAAGAAAAACAAAACAGAAAAAAAGCTGGAAAAGGAAGGCTTGAGATTTGATGCACTAAATTCTGTGTACTTTTGGAAATAATATTAACATAAGGTGGCACCGTTAATGGTGAAATGAACTTTTCATCCTAGGTGCACCCTTTGAGATGGCAGGCACAATGGCTCTTTGTCTTCTACAAGGGTGATTATCACATGGTAGGCTTTTTCAAACACTAACCTGCCTTCGATTCTGATATGTTCTCTCTAGGGCACCTCCCAACCTCCTGAATCAATGCTGTAGTGAGCCACAGTTACTGATGTGTGTGTCACATCCATCAGGTATGTTGACGTGAGAGAAAAAGTTTACAAATCGCAGCTCTATAAACTTGAACCTAGAAGGGCATGAACCTAATTTGTGGACCACGCAAGCATTTACTTTCCTGTACAAAGTTCCTGTAAGGAGAAATTTAAATAAATATAGTGTAGAGGAAGGGCCTTTCCAGGAGTTTCTTTAACATCAGTGAAATATTCTTGCAAGAGGCAATATTTGACTCAGTATTTTCATTGGTCATTTAGATTTTACTTTTGACTTTAATTACTGGTATTCTAGCCTTCAATGGTAGACTGTTTCATGTTTCTCCAGAAAGTTAGGTTTCATTTTTATTTTCTATAGTTTATGAGTCCATGCTTGTAACTTATAGGGAAATCATAAAAACAGAACAGAGTGTAGTTAGAACACTGAACTTCTAAAAGGATATCCCTGCCTTAGAGATGGTATATAATACTTTTTCATGAGTTGGGATAAATAAGAAACCTCTTTGTGGCACTTTGGGCAAGAAAAGAAGTTTTGCTGTAGTTAACATTGTGATGAAATGGACTATTAATCTGAAGAGTTGCACCTGGAATTTTTTAACTAATGTAGTTAACAATTAATTTGTATAATAAATAGCTATCAGAGAAGCATTATAATGATATCAGATGCTACATATTCTTCTCAAAGTACTAAATTTTACAATTATAATCTCCACAGAAGAAAATACGATTTTAAACTGCAAATAAAACATGCAAGAACTTGAATCTTTTATTCTGCTTCTACTTGCTGTGACTTTTCATGTTTTTAAGTAGGGTATTGCATTGATTGTCAACTGGGCCAAATTTTGCCCCTGCCTGAAGATATTATTTAGTTTTTAGGACTTGAAGAGTGCTACTGGTTTGACATCTGCTAGGTAAAGTTCAGGAGTGTTGGTAAACATCCTACAGTTCAGAGGACAACTCCCTATAAGAAAGAATTATCTGACTCAAAATGTCAGTAATGCTAAGGTTGAGATATATCTTAGATTATTGTGCATTTATTTTAATCCATACTCCATATGGAAAGAAGGATGGAATCAATAGAAATTGAATTTTTCCTAATTATGAACATAGTGATAGCAGGATCTGTTGATGGAGGGATTCAAATACAGCGCAGTGATTAAGATGCTGGATTTGTTATCAGGGTTGAGTTCTGGTTTCCACTCTAGCCACTTGTTAGCCATGTGGTCTTGGTAAAATGATTAGTCTCTCTGAGACAGAATGTCATTTATAAAATGTGGATAATAAATTCTACCTTACAGGTTTGCTTGGATGAATAAAATTGCTTGCAGCCTGGAAAGTATTACATGTTCAATAAATTGTAGCTACTGTTCTATTTAGAATATAAACTGATATTGGTAGCATAGTATTTATATGGTTATACAGAGAGTGAGATGGTAGAAATAT
Source organism: Homo sapiens (assembly GCF_000001405.40). Lineage (NCBI taxonomy): Eukaryota > Metazoa > Chordata > Mammalia > Primates > Hominidae > Homo > Homo sapiens. The sequence goes on from NC_000012.12 coordinate 20,395,385, forward strand.
TAACAGAAATGAATTTCTTGAATATAAATATTTCTTTACAGTTTAATGAAGAGCTGTAGTATTTACACATAGTATTATATATGTATACTATGTATACACATAGTATATATATACATAGTATAATATGTATACTATGTGTACACATAGTATAATATGTATACTATGTGTACACATAGTATATATATACATAGTATTATATATGTATACTATGTATACACATAGTATATATATAGTATTATATATGTATACTATATATACACATAGTATTATATATGTATACTACATATAACTAGAATAGAATCATTATATATATATATATATCTCTAGCAAAGCACAGTAACATAGGTATATAACTAGAAAATAATATTTGACAATTTGGGGAGACCTATAGAGATGCAACCTTCAAGACAGTAAACTAACGTTAAAAATGCCAAATTATTAACAGAGGTTATCAATGAGGTTCGTTAAAAAGAAAAAATATTTTCCCTTTTAAAATTTTTTATTCTTTTATTATTTTATTTTAGGGACAGGATATTGCTGTGTCACTGTCACTCAGGCTGAAGTGCAGTGGCATGATCATAGCTCACTGTAACCTTGAACACTTACGCTCAAGTGACCCTCTGGCCTTGGCATCCCAAAACACTGGGATTACAAACATGAGCCACTGCACTTGGCCTATTCTTCCATATTGTCATATTGCTTAATTTTGTTTTCAAAAAACATACATTCCTTTTGTAATTTAGAAAACAAGTATTATAAATGAAAAAAACCCTCATAGCTCCCCAATATAAATGGTGAAAAATATAATCGTTAAAACATTCCTCTTCTAATTTATAAGGTTACCCCTTTTTGCTGGTTTATCTCTATTAGTTGGTTTTCCTCTTCAGTCACCTTTCTAAAAGTGGATAAGCTGTAGGACCCATTAACATTTTACTGGCATGATAAAGCTGGTCATGTTGATGCCTTTATCGCCTAAGCTGGCATGTAGTGCTATTGTGAAGCCAGTACAGTTTCGTCTGGGTGGTGAGTAGAGGAAAAGTGCAGAAGAATTTAGAACTTGAATGTCTAAAGCCAGAACTCTATCCTTGACCAAGTCTTCCCTAATAATTTATTAAAAACTTCAATAGAAATATAGAAAGCATATTATTTAAACTTCCAGTTGACAAAAACTGGAAGACATACATACTAGCTTAGATGATTGAGTATCAGTTTCAAAATATGCATAGAGTTGAATAACGAGTAAACATTAAATTTTAAAAATATTTAATTTAAAAATATTTAAAAGGAGAAAAGGTAAATTTCTATAAATTTAGATTTAGGAATAATTTTATAATTTCATGATGAGAGAAGCTGGACCATTATCTAATGCCCGTTACCTAAGGGTTAGTTTGCCACAGTTCATTGAACTGTCTCTTAGACTAGATTTTGAAAGCAAACTTTTCAGAATCCTTTGCTATGTTTGTAGCATTGTGACCAGTTCTGCTTGCTGTATTTTAAGAGGAGTATTGATCACTATGAAGTGGTCAGAAAGCCTGGAATTAGTCAAATCCCTGCTCTGCCATGTATTAACTCTGTGGCTTTAGGTAAATTGTAATGCTTAATCTCTCAAAGCTTAGGTTTTCTTATATAGAAAATTTTTTTTAAGCTACCCCAGAAAAATGTTTTGGGGATTGACTGAGATTATAAAGATGCTAATAATAATAACTTAATAAACCTTGTATGTTGCTTACTCTAAGCCAAGCTAAATTCTAAAAATGTATGTTTGTAAGTACATTTAATTCTCATTAGTACTCTGAGGTTGATACTGTTGTTCTCATTTTACAGCTGAAGACACAGGCACAGTGAGCCTGTCTCTATATATGTCTCTCTATATGTCTTTATATATGTCTCTATATATTCTAGTAAATCATAGTTAAAAATTTTTGTGCATATGAGTGCTAGACATGGTATCATGTGTTTATATACCTTTGTTAATTTTTGCCAGAAGAAGGAAGTTGGGCTTATCTCAATAAACGTTTTGAGCCCTTTTGGTACCTATAAAGATACATATAAAGAATTATACTTATGGTATATCTCAAAACTGAGTTTGTTTCCTATAACCCATACTAAAAACAATTTATCAAGTTAATATAGTAATATATTGTGTAAGTATACATGTATAATATAGTAAGATGTATATGATAATATATGTTCAAGTTAATATAGCATAATTAGCAAAATCATAATTGGGTTCAAATAATATTATTGACTGATACTTTAAAATATTTCCCAACTATTATGCTGTTCCATTTACTTTTAAAAAAAATAGAGATATTCTTTTCAATTTAGAGTGTAAAATAATTGCCTCCTCCGTATATATTTTAAAGATGGCCTATAAACTAGATTCATTAATTCAAAATTACTAAAATAGGCAACTCAGTAACAAAGAGAATCAGCTCATTTTCTTAGATGCTAACAAAACTAATTATACAAATTCTGACAAAGTGGACATTGCAAATGAATGAAAATAAAAGGATTGTTCACGATCTTATTGATTAAATAAGGAGAGGCTTTGACTGAGTAGATGATTTATTGAATACTTAATTGAACATTAATTGATTATTTAAATCATTTTAAAGAATCAGTAGTATTCATCCCTCCATGAGAATGACAGGTTTTTTTTTTTTGTTTTTTTTTTCGGGAGTACTGGCAATCACCATCTGATTCAGTCTAACGTTTTCTGGCTGGGGCAGGAACTCTGAACTTTATTTCCAAATGAGTAATAATGATAAACAATCCTAGAGGAAAGTGGGAAAATGCCTGATGGCTTATTGGCGGGAAAAAGAAGGGTGTGTGAGAGGAGGAATTATTCAGTTATCACTGGTCTGGAGAAGAAAGAGCATGGCCCATTTGCAAAAATGATTCTTAGTTCACTTTTTTTTTTTTTTGCCTTTAGTGATATTATGGGTAATAGCGATAAATTTTTATTTTCTCAATTTATATATATCAGATTTCTCACTCTGTGTCATCAATTAATTCATTCAAATCCATTTCCAAAACTTTAATCTCGTTAACCTTGCCAATACTGTTTTGAAAATCTGTCTTGAGTTTCTGAGTTATAAACAGCCTCATATTTTCATAAATATGAAAGAAAGCCATCAAAAAAACTGCACTTATTTTTTTAGCCTTGGTTTCTCTGTATTCTGTAAAATGATATAGCCTAATAAGAGAGCTTTACTCTAGTGGCCTTCATTATAGCCCATGTGCAGGATGATTCTGAAATATATAAATTAAATGAATGGAAACAGACATGTTGACAAGTTTGTTTAGCACCAACGATTGGATATGCTATTCTTAAACCAAAACTTTTGTTTACTCATTCATTCCTAGAATTTCAGTATTTTAAGAAGTCTCAGTGCTACAGGATTTCCTGTATTTTTTTAAAATGTGGTAACATATACATAAAATTTACCATGTTAACCATTTTTAAATATACAGTTCAGTGACATTAAGTACATTTACATTGTTGGGCAACTGAAACCACAGTCCACTTCCGGAACTTTTTCATCTTCCCAAACTGATACTCTATGCACATTTAAACAACAACTTCCCATTCCCTCTTCCTCCCAGCCCCTGGTAACTACCATTCCACTTTCTGTCTCCATGAATTTAACTATTCTTGATATCTTATATGAGTGGATTCATGATGTTTGTCCTTTTATGACTGGCTTAGTTTACTTGGCATAATGTCTTCAGAGTTCATCCATGTCGTAGCACATGTCAGAATTTCCTTCCTTTTTAAGGCTGAATAATATTCCATTATATACGTATGCCATATTTTGTTTATCCATTTATTATTGATGGATACTTGGGTTGCTTTCACTTTTTGTTTATTGTACATATGTTGCTATGAATATGTGTGTATGAATAGGAAGATTTTTATATTGTTTAAAAGTGGCAATAATGTGAACTTTTTGTATAACATCACCAAGTTGACAAAGGAGCTGCAGCAAATGTGGGTGGTTTTACTGCATTTTAAAAACTAGAACACCTTCTTAAACTGATCCTAATCAATCAGCTCCTCATGGAAAGATTAGAGCTTACAGGAAGAGAATGAAAGGCATACATGAAACACATTTAGCACATTAAGACTTAAATTTTCATTTAAAACTGAAATTTTATTGCTTGGCTTGTCTTTACATACAGGATTCAGACTATTAAAAAGCTGATAGAAAAAGCTTAAAATACTATTATTTTAGTAATCCTAGAGAAGCAAAGAAGCCTCTTAACAAATAACAAAAATGTGGGCATAAATAACACATTTATTTCAAGATAACTTAATGCTTTTTTATTAGGCTCTTTTTGGAACTAATGAAACTATTATCCAAGGAGGAGATAAATTAAATTTCCACCTACAAGATCAGTATAGCAATATTCTGAATTCAAAATTCTGTTGTTAAGGATGGTGTAACCATATATGACAAGGCTTTTACAAACTCCTTTTTGAACATTGCTTTAAGCAATCATTTGTGTATTTGTATTAATTTTCAATCTAATCATTCCAAATGAGGCAAAGTTTTGTGTACCAGTGATTGAATTAGAAGAAAGAACAAGTTATTTTGTATAGTCTAAAAGCTTTGTAAGAATCCTCTGCTTGCAGTGTTTGCACAGTTCTCCATTAGCCCTGTCGTGTTTTCTTCTTCTTTGAGACATCCATTAGTAGATACTTTAACACTAATCCGTTTTCTGTCCCAAATACATAGGAGTCCAGGAGCCAGGGATGCAGGTGTCATTTTACCTTCTAGTAGTCTATTTTTGTGTTCTGGTGCATGTCCGACTGAGCTCTATTTTTAAAAGTACGGAGCTGCTTGCTACCTGAAGCCAGAGAGATACTGAAGAATGAAAGACCTCGAGAGTCCTGCTGTCTAAAGGAGTAGCACAGCCAGACACTGATGAGGGTGGAGGTAGTAGCTGAGTCTTTTGTTATAAAAGCTCATGTTGACTCGTTAACATTGGTTTTTTTTTTTTTTTTTTTTTTTTTTTTTTTTTTTTTTTTTTTTTGAGATGGAGTCTCGATCTGTCGCCCAGGCTGGAGTGCAGTGGCGCTATCACGGCTCACTGCAAGCTCCACCTCCCTGGTTCACACCATTCTCCTGCCTCAGCCTCCCAGGTAGCTGGGACTACAGGCGCCCGCCACTGCGCCCGTGACCGCACCCGGCTAAGTTTTTGTATTTTTAGTGGAGACGAGGTTTCACTGTGTTAGCCAAGATGGTCTCGATCTCCTGACCTCGTGATCCGCCCGCCTCGGCCTCCCAAATTGCTGGGATTATAGGCGTGAGCCACTGCGCCCGGTCAACATTGTTAATATTTTAATACACATTTTTGTTTATTTTGTTTGTTCTTTTCTCTATTGCTAATTTTCGCCCAGTATGCTAAGCATTTTAGAGAGATCATGAATCCTCATTTTGCTTCCCTTTGTTTGCTCTTTTCCCTTTTGCTAATTTTCTCCTAGTATGCTAAGCATTTTAGAGATATCACAGATTCTCTTAAGATTAGAGGTATGTATTATTATTTATTTTTAAGGCAAAAGGGATTAAGTAATTTACCCAAAGTCTCACTGTTTATCAGATGCAGAGGCTGGGTTTGGGTCCGGGTCTGTCTTGTGCTGATGGCTTCCTGTTTCTGTTACACTAGATGGCCAAAACATCACTGGAACTTACAGGATATAACTTTCTTCAAAGTGGTAATCATTATACCCAGTCCTTCTTTCCGTTTTCTACTCTCACTGTCCTAGTTTATGGCCGTATCACTTCGTAGTTGGATGGGCTGTTGCAGTAACTTCTCAACTGGTCTCCCTACCCTCATGCCATCTGAATATTAATTTATTCATTGAACTACCACACTACATCTTCTTGATGTACAGCTCTAATCAGGCAGCAGTTTTGTTGAATGTTAATATTTAATCATGTAAATCCTTTGATAAAAAGTAGTTTGTAGTTGTTTTTTGCCTTTCAAATGAAATAAATACCTCCTTGTTTGGGATTCAGGACCCTCTCTAATCTACCCTTCTTAACATTCAGTCATTTTAAACTGCTACTGCCTTCATCACATCAATTTTCTAGTGACTTTGAAGCGTGCCTTTTCTCTCTCAAGACAGAGATAGGTAGATCTCTTGAGGTCCTACTTCTGTCTACCACATTATTGCCCTCTGCCCCTAATTCTCATCTCTCTATCCTGATCTCCAACCAGCTTAGGTTGAAATTTTACCCATCTTCTACCTGCTTCACGATGTGTTTTCTGATCATCCCCGTTGGAAGCTCTTTCTCCTTCCTCTGAGTCTCCATAGCGCTGTATCTATTGCTGTCTTACGGCACTTACATTCTCCGTCTTGGATTGTGAATAGTTTTATAAGTGAGGGTGAGTTCCTTGAGGATGATCAATGTATAATTGAGCCCACCTCTCCTGCGCCCCACATTATTTATTGCAGTGCCATGTAGATGCTTAACAAATGTTTTTGAGGCAATGAGATATCATCATAATTTGAATGCAGGTAGTGCTTGGAAATTTAGATAATATCTTAAGTATATGTTATCTCATTAAATCTGATAACAATAGTGTGGAATTTGGTGATTATCCCCAGTTGATGAATGGTACTTAGGAATTCACAGACATAGGTTCAGTATGTATCTGTGGAGCTTTGTGGATAGTTGTGCTGCTGGGGAAGTTGTTAGGTAGAAGTCCAAGTTAAACAGTAGGGAGCTAACAAGACCTCCTGGGAAATTGGATCCTGGATTTCTTTTTTTTAATTCTTTTTTTGAGAGAGAGTCTCACTCTGCTGTGCAGTGGCACGACCTTGGCTCACTGCAGCCTCCGCCTCCCGGGTCAAGCAATTCTCCTGGCTCAGCCTCCCAAGTAGGTGGGATTACAGGTGTGTGCCACCACGCCCTGCTAATTTTTGTATTTTTAGTACAGATGTGGTTTTGCTATGTTGGCCAGACTGGTCTCGAACTCCTGGCCTCAGGTGATCCACCTGCCTTGGCCTCCCAAAATGCTGAGATTATAGTTGTGAGCCACCACGCCTGGCCTGGATCCTGGATTTCTGAACCAAGGTTGTGATTTGGACTCACCCTCAGGAAATCAAATATAAAATCATTTACTAAGTCCCACACCATCAGTTTTTCATCTTACGGTGGGCCCTAGATGTTGGAATTTTTGTTTTTAAGTGTAACAACTTTGAAAAATATTATATTGAATGTATAGAAGACAACTATGAATATAAATTTATTGGTATTATAAACACTAAAAAATTTTGAGCAAATAATTTACAGACTTCTTTTTGTAAAATATAAATTCAGTGTTTTCTTTATATCTGCAGTATTGTGAAAAATAAATTTTTTTCTAATGCCTGGCTGAAAAATAGGTCTGTATCCTAGTTGTACAAGAATAACCCTTCAGAGGCACAGGATTATGTTGCTATAATCCTAAGTGAGCTGTAAGAGTTAAATGCATTATAATGGGTCTGCTTGGGTACCAGTAAAGATTATATTTAAAACTCAAAATAGGAAACAGAAAAGTCTTGTGTATGAATGAGAAACATTTGATGAAAGGAAGTTACATAAGAATAGAGAAATAATATATAACTCCTACTCATTATGTAATAATGTCTCATTTTTCTTTCTCCTTAAGGAATGCCATCACATGAATTTTTATTGTTGCTGTTACATTGGTAACCAAATTTCATTTTCTTACTGTGTGGGTGATTTTAATTGAATTTTTTCTTGCTTGCTCAAGGTCTATCTTTATCAACTTGAATTATTGCAAAATGCAACAGTTCTATAACATCTTCAGAGACAATTAAAATGTTTGGAGATATTTTCCTGATGCTGAATGGCTCAACTTTTCATGCTTTATACTAGTATGTGTGCCTCTTTAAATGTTAATTCTCTCCCTTACAGTTAGCTGTCCGGTGTGGTGTGGTTAGCAGGTATCTTTGTTTCTGTTTTGAAGAAGAATTGCGACTTTGCAGGGAGAGCACTTAACCATGCTTGTCAGGTTAATAGTCTTATTTATTCACAGTTGTAGTCAGTGGGCACTAGATGGAGGCCTGAGGGTGACAGTATATTTTTCCTGTGTAGGACAGCTCTTAGGATTTGTGAGCACCATTCCATTTACCATCTAGCAGCCTTTTCTCCATTACAATAAAATTTACAATTGTATTATGAATGAAGAGCTTGTTGGAATTGCTTCTTAAAGAGAATGAAGTCATTTAACATCAGAATGTGCAAAATGACAATTCCGTGATGAAAAAGGAGAATTTAGAAGTATGACAACCTACATTTTGTCTTTTTTATAAGGCCTCCCCAAAATTTTTATTTCAGGGCTATTTCAAATCTGAGCTTCAAATAAAAACAAACAAAATGTTAGGACTATCAATTCTAATAAATTTTTATTTAGGTTTTTCTGGCACAGTTAGAAATTTAGTTATATATAATACATATGTAGATACATATATATATGTATCTTGAGAGACGTTAGATTAGACATGGTAGGCACTCAATTTCTGAAAATTTTCAAACTCTATAATTTAGTTACTCTTTAGATTTCTACTTCAACTTCCTAATGAATTATTTTCTTTCAAAGGCTCTTCCTGGAATTTTTCTGTTTTTGGCAGGTATGTTTGCATATCTCAAGTGACACAATTTGGCCAGGTTTCTGAAAAAGAATACTTTAAAAGAAAAATGTAGGTTGGCTCTTAAGTGTTTTAATGTTATTTGAGATAAACTAAAATAGAGCATAATCATATGGTATATTAATAGGAATATGTGCTGATTTCTTAAGCCCCATTCAAATTTTACGATAGTTTTTGTTTCTTTTAATAAATTTGTTTGGTTTATAACTTTATCTCAGGGGGGATATATTATTATTTTTTCCTCATTTCTTGAGTGAAATTTTAGCAGAAGTGACTTAATTATAATCTTGGAGATGCATGTTGCTTACAACTAATTGGGTCCTGGACTTAATAAAATCACTTATGTAGAAAGCCATATACTGTAGGTTAAAAAAGAAAAGGGACAACTTTGGTAATTTTCAAGTTAAAAATAGAATATAAGTTTCATGAGGTCAGGAACCACATCTCTTAATTTTTTCTTTATTCTGAGTTCAACCTAATTATTATATGCATGACAGATACTCTTTAAACTTTTTTATTGATTTATTGGTTACAAAATAAATATATTGAATGGTACTGGCAATTCTAGCTTTGTTTCCCACAGATCTGGCTTTATCTAAGAATATTTCTCTAATGGAAATAGCAGTTCCTAAAAGTTTAATTAACTCTTTGACCTCAGACCACCTTATTTATATATGTCTAAATTATTTCCTTTCCAGGCATGATTCATATTCCTTGAGCTATTGGCCACGTGCCAGGGACCATTGCCATTCCACACATGTGTAGGTTACAGAGTTTTTTTTTTTTTTTTTTTTTTGAGCAGGAACTAGCATGTAAATCCTTTCTTCAAAATATGTATTTATCTACTGGCTGATACCTGACAAAGGAGTGATAATGGTTCCCTACTGCTTGCCGACTCAAGGACAGAGTTTTCTGCTACCTTTATTTCTTCCCCCAAAATTTATTTTGACAGACTGCTTTATTGAGAGAGAGAATGAATATAGGATCAGTGTTTCTGTACAAACATTTGAATTTGGTGTGAAGGAGGGATAAGCGTCAGAGGAAATGGAAAAGGGGAAATAGAAAAGAGGAAGTATGGTCCATGCTGCCCAAACCGCTGCTTCTTATTAATCCTTCTCTGTCCCCTCAGCAGTTTTTCTCTATCTTTGCTGTGTGGATTTTGTCCATTCTATTATGGGTGTCTACCTCCAGGGATAACCCAGGCCTCTTATGGTTTCTTTGTGCACACGCTCTCCTTACTCCAGTCGCTACCTCCTGTTTTCTTTGAGCCTGCCAGATTCCTTCCCACCTTCATCCTCTTCCAGTCCTTGGGATGACCTAAATTCTCTTCTGTGCTTACTAGAATCCTGTTCATCTTTCATTCCCCATTTCCAGGCCCCTCTCTTTCACAAAGCTTTCTGAATCTATACAGCTTCATTCTCATTCACCTGAGCTGCTCACACCTGGCACCTCACAGTTTAGCATTTCCTTACTCTGTTGTGTGGTCTTCATTTCCTGACCTCATCATAGACATCCCATTGTTTTCTTTTTTGTTTGGCTTTATTGAGATATAATTGAAAATAAAATCGTATATATTCACAGAATACAATGTGATGATTTGATATACATATACATTGTGAAATAATGACCACAATCAAACTAACACATCGATCATAGTTACCTGTGTGTGGTGGAGTTAGGGGGTGGTGGCGACCATACTTAAAGTCTGCTCTCTTAGCAAACTTTGAGTAAATGATACAGTATTTTTAACTATATTGTAAATTAGATCCCCAGAACATGTGAACTTACTCATCTTGTAACTGAAAGTTTCTACCTTTGGACCAACATCTCCCTATTCCCTCCACCTTCCAGCGCTTGACAATCACCATTCTACCCTCTGTTTTTATGAGTTCAACTTTCTTAGATTCCACATGTAAGTGAGATCATGTGGTATGGCTTATTTCACTTAGCATGATATCCTACAGGTTCACCCATGTTGTGCAAATAGTAGGATTTTCTCCTTTTTATGGCTGAATAGTATTTCATTGTGTATGCACACACATACATATACACACATCACATGTTCTTTATCCATTTATATATTGTTGAACACTTAGGTTGTTTCAATGTCTTGGCTTTGTAAATAGTGCTGCAATAAACATGGGAGGGCAGATATCTCTGTGACATGCTGTTTTTATTTCCTTTGCATGTATACCCATAAATGAGATTGCTGGATCTTAGGGCAGTTCTGTTTTTAAGTTTTTGAGGAATCTCAGTGTTGTTTTTCGTAATCAGTTTACTAAATTACATTCCCACTAACAGCATGTAAGGGTTCCCGTTTTTCCACACCCTTGCCAACACTTGTTATCTTTTTGGTAGTATCCATCCTAATAGGTGTGAGGGAATATCTCATTATGATTTTTATTTGCATTCCCCGGATGATTACTGAAGTTGAGCACCTTTTCATGTACTTGTTGGCCATTTGTATGTCTTCTTTAAAAATAGTTCTTTGCCCATTAAATCAAGTTACTTATTTTTTGCTGTTGTATAAGTTCCCGATATATTTTGGATATTAATCTCTTATTGGGTGTATGATGTGCAGTTATTTTCTCCTATTCTGTAGGTTGCATTTTCATTTCATTGATCACTTCCTTTGTTGTGGAGAAGCCTTTTAGTTTGATGGAGTCCTACTGGTTTACTTTTGCTTTTGTTGCCTATGCTTTCGGTGTCATACCCATAAAATCATTGCCAATACGAACGTCTTTTTCTGTGTTTTATTAGAGGAGTCTTATGGCTTCAGGTCTTACATTTAAGTCTTTAGTTCATTTTGAGCTAATTTTGTGTATGGTTAAGATAACAGTCAATATTATTTTTGTGTGTATGGATATACAGTTTTCCAAGCACCATTTATTAAAGACATATTCTTTCCCCATTGTTTATTCTGTGCCCTTGTTAAGGATTAGGTGACCGCATGTGCATAGGTTTATTTCTGGGCTCTCTGTTCTGTTCTATTGGTCTATGTGATAGACATCCTGTCTTATGCTGCTTTTCTGCCTTATTGGAGGCAAAAGTCACTGGTATACTATACAGTTTGGGATCAGCATAGATGTTGATTACAGGCTCTGTGATCTAGAGAAAGTTACTTAGCATCTCTGTGCCTTTTCATTCTCTATTTAATGGGTACAATATTTCCTATCTCCAAATGTTATTACTTAATCTTGAGATAATTTGCTTACAGCATCTGTCAAAGTGCCAAACATATAGCAGGTACACAATATAATTTTGTTTTCCTCATAAATACATGGTTAGGTTCAGCATGGTTATTCATGAAAAACTTTTTTTAAAAAATTGAACAACTGAATAAATTCTAATTGAATGGCTGAATTATTTGAAAGGCAAAAAAGGCAGGCAATAAAGTTAGTCTGAAGTATCTTCATGTAGGTATTCTTGGTGTAGAAGTGTAGTAACTCTAAATCTAGCAAAACAAGCTTTATTCCCATATACTGTAGCTGATTACCAAGTTCCCAGAGGGAGGTTGGTGGTGCTTTGGGGTCCAGTTTATTAGATTGGATTAGATGGGGTAGATGCAAGAAGATATACCAGCATTCCCAATTCCTTCCAATACAAAGATTTTGTGGCTTATTAAATTTTTAAGTGATTATGGAGTACTTAATTTTAGCTTTTTATAAACTTATAAATTTTTTTAAAAACTATTTCCAGTTGGCTTTCATATGTTTTTCATAGTATAGATATAGCATATTACATATCTATATTGACTACATGAAGAAAAGCAACTAGTGTGTAAAAATTAATTTTTTTGTTTTTGTTGAATGTCATTGTTTCAGACTTCTCTTGTACTGAAGTGTAGTAAAATGTATTTTCTATTTTTATTTATTTATTTATTTTGAGACTAAATGTTGCTCTGTCCCCCAGGCTGTAGTGCAGTGACTTGATCTTGGCTCACTGCAACCTCCGTCTGCCTCCTGGGTTGAAGCAATTCTGCCTCTGCATCCTAAGTAGCTGGGACTACAGGTGCGCGCCACCACGCCCAGCTAATTTTTGTATTTTTAGTAGAGATGGGGTTTCACCTTATTGGTCAGGCTGGTCTCGAACTCCTGACCTTGTGATCCACCCGCTTCAGCCCCCGAAAGTGTTGGGATTACAGGCGTGAGCCACCATGCCTGGCCAATGTGTTTTCTTTCAAATAAAACTTTATTAGAAAAATCATGTATTATAACTAATATTTTAGAAATCTATAAGAGTATGGCTGAAGTTAAAAATTTAAACAAGTGTTATTAGTCTTCCTACATAAAATATTGGTATGGAATCTGCATACCTTAAATAAAAGCTTGTAGTTACAAAACTTTATATTCTTAGTAATATTGTATACTCTAGTTTAATTTACATGGCTGTTTGGCTCTGTTAATGATAGAAAACCCTTCATTATTAAGGACAGCACTTCACAGAAAATTGACTGAAGCTAACTTTAACTTGCAGATGGCGTTCATTAAAGAGTTTCTTTTCATAAGGGTCATTTTTCATTTTTATTTCAAAGATTAAATGGATTTATACATAATTATTTCAACATGACATCTGTTCTCATTTTTTCCTTTCAGAGCTTTCTTCCCAAATATTCCATGTTTGTATTTTGTAAACCATACAAACAAGTTTTAAAGGAAAATATATAATCCTGAGTGATTACATAATTTATTGCCGTTCTCTATCTTATGCTTTTAATTTTATTTAATGCATGTCTTAAGTTTTTCAACAGACTTTTCTAAATGCCATGATAATATTAAGCTCTGTGACAACATTAATTATGTGTACATATATTATTTCGATTGCACAGTTTTTGAGTGCAATGATGGATCCATTGAGAATGAGGATTCTGGAAAGCTCTAAAAGAGTGGCTTGTGTATTTTTCCTTCTTCCTTTTTACCCGCTTTCCTCTCTCCCTCCCTTTCTTCTGGAAATGGGAATTTTTTTAATGAAATTTCATGCAAATTCAATGAATGAATGGTAAAACAAATCTGATCCAAACTATTGACAGAAGTGGAGGCAGGCACAGAACTCCAGCCTCTTCATCATCTCCTCATTTCCTCCTGAATTCCTTTTCATGTAGTTTCTTGGACAGATGCATCTGGAATCTGAAAGTAATATTTAATAGAGTATTCACATTCTTAATAGTTGTTATATTTGTAAGTCAGCGACACAGGTTGAAGCCACAAGCAATATTTAGTCTTGAATAGGTTTTACTTTTTAAAATTCTATTTGAGCTTTTTTCTTTTTTATTAATTGTGGTCATTTCTACAACTCTTTCTAGAAAACTGTATTTCTCAGATTTGAATATATTTGTTATTATTAGCTCTCTTATTTAAAGATGAACTAAGTTTCTTAAGGACAAAAAAGAAAATAATTTTTACCTACAATTTGATACTATGTAGAGAGAACATTTTCTTTCAGAAATGATCAAAATTGTGAAATCTTTGATAGATGGAAGAAAGTAGTTGTCTTTGCTTGTAATGAATACTTTCAAAATAAAGTCGCTGAATAAAAATAGTGATCTTACGAAATATTATAGTTGGATATCATCAGAGAGGTGATATTATAAATCTTCTACCCCAGATAATGATTTTTTAATAGTCTTTCTGTTACAAATGTTTAGTCACTACTGAAATACATTATATGAAAGAGAGCTCACCACAAATCAAACCAATACAAAGGAGTATTACAAGGAAAAAGGCTTTGAATCCAAGTGCACATTGGAGCAAGCTGCTATTCTTTTACAGATTAACTATTTGTTATTGCGCATTCAGCAAATTCCTTAGCTTTTGGTCTTCTGTCTACTAAAGGAAAATTTAAATTCCAGCTCTGCAAGTTTGTTGAGTAATAATATAAATGGATTATCTCATAGACAAATGTTTTAAAATAAAATATTGCTATAGGATACTTGCTATATTGAACCAAAAACTGCCTTGTAACTTTGACTCCTTTGTCCTAGTGTTTATTTTCTATCCTACATGTCTGTTAGGATTCCCAAGTCTTGCTGTCCCCAGGCTAAAGCTATTCATTGAATTCAACTGTCCATTGTCTGACCTCATTTTCATATTCCTTAAACATTGCTCTTCCCTGGGATGCACTAGTTAAATCTTATTGTGGTATTGGGCTATCCTTTTTTGTAGCCATCCTCAGGGAAGCCACACTTGTTTGGCATGACCCTGTTGTCTTGGCTGCACTCAATTGTACGTCCCCAAGCTGAGCAGTGAGATTCTGATTCAGGCATTCAGTATTGGGACCAAGGGAGAGTTAAGTTAGTCTTTTCCAACATGCAAAAGCTGTAGGGCTTGAAGCAGAGAAAGTCAATTCACAGAGAAAATGAAACATAATTTCTGTTCTTTCTGCTAGTGTGGGGAGAGGAAGAGGGATCTCAGTTACTTCAGGACTTTCATGATTCTTACTCTACTTCTTCCTGAAGCTACACCGTGATCCTGCCCTTTGTTCTAGAAATAACCACCTCCGTCAGCTACCTAGAGTTAGTTTCTGATACTGCAGTTACTATTTTTCATCAAAAGATGATGTTTGTTTTGTTGTTGTTGTTGTTTTGGGTGAGAACCATTAAGATGTGTCCTGTGATATCATTTTTACTTGTCAATTATGTCTCCATAATTTTTAAAAGACGCTGTTCATTATAAGACCTTCCCAATTCAGAGGTATCAAAATGTGAAAAAAATACTTTAATATAGCAATCTATTTTGAAAACATCTCTGTTAAAATCTAGGGCTCAGAATTGAACATGAAAACTGGCTCCCCTCTTCCCCTGAAATGGTGGCACTAAAATAAAAGCCAACATATTTCCTGTTCTGTCCACAGAGCCCTTATCTCTTGTCTCCAGAAACCTATGAAACATTTCCATTTAGATGTCCCCATCAAACGTATTTCACAATTCATGCTCTTCTGCCTTGTCAGGCTGGATCTCCTTACTTTGTTTTCATAGCAGCACCATTTACCCCATCTTCTAAACTAGTGACCAAAGAGAGTAATTTGGGATTTTTTTCTTCTTTCAAATTTTGGCATTTATTTTTAAATTAATATTTTAAATCATGGTATAATACACATAACAAAGTTTACCATCTTGGTCATTTTTAAGTGCACATTTTAATGGTAATAAGTTAATTCACATTGTTGTGCAACCATCATCAATATCCATCTTCAGAACTCTTTCCATTTTACAAAACTGAAACACTGTACCCACTAAGAAATTACTCCCCATTTCTTCCTTTACCAAGCCTCTGGTAGCCACCATTCCACTTTCTGTCCCTAAGAATTTGACTACTTTAGGTACCTTTTAGAAGTAAAATAGGACAGTATGTGTCTTTTTTTGTGACTAGCTTATTTTACTTGGCATAATGTATTCAAGGTTTATGTGTATTGTAGCATGTGTCAGAGTTTTGACATTTCTTGTGTTGACATTATTCTGCTACTTACTCTTTTTTTTTTCCTATCTTTATGCTGTCGCTGACAACTAGAAGGCCTAAGGTTTTATTACTTTGCACCTGCGCTACTGAAATAATGTCCTAACAGGTCTCTGGAGATTCCCTCCCTGCTTACTGTCATAATCTGTAATGCGTGAATAGTCTTTATATACATGGCTTTCTTCTGGTTGTTGACAATAGGACTATCATGAATGGACCTCCATGGGTGGTTAGTGCAATGTAGAGGTCCGAGATAACCCCATTCTTGCTAAAAACATTACACATTTTCATCTAATGTCCCCGACGTAGTCTATCCCTTCAATGTAATTTCCGAGACCTTTACAATATAGGTAGACCCTTTAAAAAATTACCGTGTGCTTAAATTTATATTCCACCATTGTTAGCCAAGGACCTTCATTTCAATTTTATAGTCATTTAATTTTCTCAGTGTTTATATCTGTGTCTTCTTCTTTTTGCCTTTAATTCCCCTCAGCCAAAAATTTCAGCATACTTATGATCTATCCAAATATGTGTTCTGTGTATAGCTTATCTTTTTCATTAAAACTTCACTATTGTTTCAGCCCTGTATAGTTCACTTAGTTACACGTGTAATTTTAAACACTGTTGTTGACTGTGTTGTACTGGTTAGAAGCCATATTAACTAGATTTCAGTTTCTTGAAAATTTATACATTAGCAAGCATAGTGTAAATATGTATTAAGTGGGCAATAAATATTTGTTGTGTTAGTGGCATTTTAATAGTACATGATGGAATAAATGATAGATGTGTTGTAAAAGCTTTTATTGCATGATTGCCAGTTTCTACCTCATTGTTGTTTCTAAATCTCCCACTTTTAATTTACCTGAAAGTGCTTTAATGTGTGAAAATATTTAAGAAATTATTAGTGTTCCTTTTTTCTCCTGAGAATCACACGGACAACTTTTTTTGATTTAATCTATATTTTGTCTAGCATTATCCCAACATTAGAAGTAGTTAATGTATCCATAGGCAATTGTTAGATACATATGTAAGAAAGTGAAAAACCGACAGACAGACAAAACCCACCTAAGTCAATAATATTGGCAATAGGATTTAGAATGCTGTTATGGCACATGAGATGCTCCACATCCTACCTACATGGAATATGGGGTATGTGTAAAGAATATTGTTTAGCCCTATTTTTTCGTTTGTTTCTTTTGAACTACTCCGTTTTCCTTAACTCTCCTTATCTTTTTCTGAATGACCTTAAACTCAAGGTAGTCGTTGAGTGGGAGGGATGATTTTTAGCCATCTTTTTCCTCCAACTCAGGTAGATAGGATTTACCAGCTTGGCCTTAATTTCCTCCTTTCTGTTAACATTGAAAACCATCATACTAACTGTAAAAATCAAATACTGTAATAAGAGTGAGGGAGTGCATGTTTTAAAGTCTGTCGCTATATTAGCTCATACCACATATGTGGCAAGAAGCAGATACTGTACAAATCAGTTCAATAATGAGGCATTGAAACACAAGTTACATACTGTGCTAGGAATAAAATGATAAACAGAGTAACACTATTCTGTCCTTTTGGATTTTTATAGTTTAGTAGGAATGTATTAAGTAATGACAAGTACATGAATATGATTAAAGGGATGTAAAATACTGAATAGCAAAGGGATTTTACTTTGTCTATGGGACCAGTGAAAACCTTTGAGAAAGTGTTCTTTAAACAAAGACTTGAAAGTTGAGCAGGAGGTAGCCAGGCATAAAGGAACCCAGAGAGTTTTCCAAGTGGAGTTTTCCAAAAAGCATGTGTGAAGACTTGCAAGCTTGTGCAACCCACCATTTTTTTTGTTGTTGCTGTTCTGTTTTGTTTTGCTTTAGGATTTTAGCAGCCTGAAGCCATGGATCTTTGTTTCTGTCTCTAGTTTTAAGTGGAAAAGTGGGCTGAGGAAGGGGCTTCACTGGCCCAGCAAGAAACAGAAATTTGGAACCCATGACTGTATTTCTCCTGTGGACACCCCCTGCCTAGGACAAGAGAGAGCTGTGCTGTAGAATGCTGGGGAAATGGAAAGGCAGCATTGGTGGAACAGAGAGCATGGAGAAATCGTCAGTGCTGGGAAATTGTGGGAGCTGAGCAACAAGTGTGAGATGAGACAGGTGGGGGCCAAATGATGCAGGGCCTAGCTCTACTTGTCAAGGATTTTGAAATGAACCTTAAAGGAAGCTATTTAAAGGCTTAGTCAAGGGCCTATTATGGTGTGATTTGTGTTTTAAAGTAGCCATTCACCTGCATTATGGAGAATGAAATGAAAGGAAGCCAGGAGTAAATGTGGGAAAACCAGCAGCCAGGACAGTGGAGGAGAGCATCTTTGACCAGTGTGATGGTACGGGAGAGTGAAAATAGATGGACTTTAGAGACGTTTAGTAATAGTTTTAAACTCATGTGCTGTAAATTCGATTTGATTTTAAGAGGTGACAGGAAGGCAGGAGGCAACAATAGCTTTCAGGTTTATACCTTGAGTAGTTCTGTGAAAGGTGATGATAGATAACAGAATGTGATTCCTGAGATGAGAAAAACTGGCCAAAGAACAGATTCTGGAGAGACGGCAAAGAGGAATTCTGTGATATTATACATTATTGTATGTTAATATATAGTGTAATATTTATGTATACGTATATTTGATTATATGCCTATAGGATACCGATTTTGGAATCATCCCTCCACAAATGGCCAATAAGGCCACGGAATTAGACAAAATATATTGGGAGCTTGTAGAAAAAGAAGCACTCTTGAGAATACAAGTACTTAACAAGAGAGTAGAGGTGAATTTAGGGCAGACAACCATAGATTTCAAATCATATAGCAGGAAAAAGTCTTGTACATCATCCAATCTGATATAATCAAAATGAAGATGAATGAAATGAAATTCTGTCAGACTGTATAAATTTCTCTAAGTCATGCATAGAAAGTCTCCTAAGTCTATGTTTCTTGTGTAGGTTTTGAAAAATACAATTCAGCTTCCTATTGATATTTTGTCTGAATTGAATTATATATTGCGAAGGTGTCAAAAATGTTTTCCTATGTTTAAATTTAACACCCTTTGGTGGCAGCAAATTTTCACATCTCTCTTGAGTATTCAAATTTGTTAAAATATGAAACACAGTGCTTGGCCAAAAACAGATAATATTTGCTGAATGAATCAAACGGGTTTCTGAGATGATCAATTCTTTAAAGATAGAGACTCAGTTATTTGTCTTTTTCTTCTGAGCCAAGTACAAATACTTACATAACAATTATATTGAATTATTGTTATTTTTTTCTTGTAGCTATTTTTTCTCATGGTGTAAACTGAGGGCAATAATTGGCATTTTTCAGAGCAAAAGTTTGATGTTTAAAAATCTAATAAATATAAACCACTATTAGACCTAAAAGTATGTCAAACATAATACAACTCTGATTATAAAGTACTCATTACTTTTTTGATCATAAAGATTAAACTTTACAGGATTGCTGATAAACTTAATAGCACATTTTTTTTTTGCTTTCCAAAAAAGCTTTTATTTAAAGACTTTCTTTTTTAACCACAGAATGTCAAGATAGTTATGTTCTATTTATTGCTGATTTCTCCCTTTCTATTTTTTTCCTTTCTTTTTGTATCATGCCCATAGCAGCTGTTTCCCTAACCCTTACCCCAACCCACAGGCTTTCCCACGCTCCTTTTTTGGCTCTCATTTGGCATCGATCCTGAGTTTGACAGATAAAACATGTGTCTGAATTGTAGTTACAGCCAAACTACAATCTATCAGCTTTTCCCTCAGGGTAATTATGCTTATTTTACCCCAAAACAAGGTAATTGTTTTGTGATAAAGTATTCAGTTCACTCGGAATAAGCCGTTGGCCTCCTTTTATCTACTTATTTATTTATTTATTTATATTTTTTATTTTTTTTGAGACGGAGTCTCACTCAGCTTCCCAGACCGGAGTGCAGTGGCATCGATTTCAGCTTACTGCAACCACCAGCTCACTGCAACCACCGTCTCCTGGGTTCAAGCGATTCTCCCATCTCAGCCTCCCAAGTAGCTGGGCTTATAGGCACCCGCCATCATGCCCAGCTAATTTTTGTATTTTAGTAGAGACGGGGTTTCACCATGTTGGCCAGGCTGGTCTTGAACTCCTGACCTCAGGTGATCTGCCCGCCTCGGCCTCCCAGAGTGCTAGGATTACAGGCGTGAGCCACCATGCCCGGCTGGCCTCCTTTTATTTAATTCCTCATCCAATGATAACATGCTGACAGATGACTCAGGTTCTTTGGAGTCAGTGTGAATGAAGCTCATGGGATATTAGAATTGGAGACAGAAACAGAGAGGCAGTACAGGCTTCAGTGTTAGACAGAAATGGGATTCAGTCCAAACTTGGACACATACTAGGTTGTGACTCTGGATGTGATATTCAATTTCTATGTGTTTCCATTTCCTCATGTGTAAAATGAGATAACTACAAGCCTTTTGAAACTTTGATCCTGAAGACGTCGTTTTGGTAGATCTAAAATGAATACATGGTGGATCCCATCACTGTTTTATTTAGAAATACAAAATCAAGGTTATTAATTCTAAGATATGCATCCATAGCTCTGCAGTATCCAAAGCACAGCATTAACTTTAGTTGCATGAAAATTTCCCAAGTTGGTATATGGATGTATATGAAATTGGAGTGGTCATGGAAAGCATATGTGACTTTAAAAAATGAAAATTCTCACTCGAGGTTATCAACACCCTTGGACTTAAAGATCTGATTGTGAATTGTCTAAATTATGTGAAACAGACAAACTACCGTTAGGTTGTTTTCCTGTGCGGAATATTTGACAACTAAACTTAAATTCACAAATTTAAGACATGAATGGATATAACCCACCTTTGTATGTGAATGCATGTGTGTGTATGTGTGTGTGTCACTAAATGGTCACAATTTAAAACAAGACCAGAATTAAGCATTCAAAAAACATTTATTAAGCAGCCGCTATGTGCCAGGAATAGTAGAATAAATAAAATCTTCTAAAGTTTGCAGTTACTTTAAAGTACTCCAAATTTAGGCATACTTCACACGTGCTATATAAAACATAAAACAACTTAATTCTTCATTAGTGTGTATTTCAGTTGCATCTTTAGGCTTTTTCTGAATGCCTTCATTACTTCTTAAAGCCCTCAAGAAATTATGAAAACTCAGAAGGCAACCTATCTGATTTCTTAAATTTAAATTTCCTGGTTAATTTATTTAGATTATTTGCAAATTCTTCTTTGCCCAGGTACCTCACACATACATGGACTATACTACTTGGTCACTTTTAATTTAGAAGGAACTTCCTTTAGGAACAGATACTTTGTATAGCTGTAAATTATTTAAATTCACATGAAATCACTCTTTATATTCAAAGTACATAAGGTGAGATGTAGTTTCTTTTTCTTATAAATTTATCCTATTAAGGGAATAAATTGGCTATTTTATTTAAAACAGAAATAGAAATTTTATGAATGATGGTTGGGAACTTTAACCAAAATGTACATAATGTGCATAAATGATGGGAAACTTTGTTTCTGCAACTAGAATTCATGCTATAATGTGGACATTGTTAGTCTATAAGTTAATACGTGTAATTTAACCTTATCCCTGTACTTGATACATCATTAGTTAGCAGAGTTATTTATGTGACATTATGTGGCATGCCTTAATTTTTAGAACCAGTTTACTTTTTCAAAAAATACATTGCAGTACACAAAAGTCCTGTAGAAAAAGGTCATTCGAAGTCTTATATTAGAATGATATAATTTCCTTTTTTGTTTTACTTTGAGTTTTAAAAATTGATTTATTTGGAAACAGATTAGCAAGTCCCCAATTATATCTTTAGATACTGGTATATTAAAGAATATTTTACAAAATCACAGTATCAACCATAGCCTCGAGAGGTAAAACTTATCCTATTCTTAATTTCCAGTGGTAGCACTTTATAAATAAAAATTATGGTGTATGTGCCAAAAGCCTGGACTTTTGTCTGGCAAAGGTTGTTTAAAACTTGAAGAGACATCAAGAAATATGTGAGTTCATCCACCCAGATCTAGCCAGAACTGCTTTTGAATGGTTCTGTGGCTCATTTAGGCAATTAAAGCCTTGTGATTGCCCTATTAAAAGTCTGAAAGTATGCATATAACCCACCAGTGTTTTACAGAGGAATAATAGGTAAGATTTATAAAACATCTGAAATGAAAAAAATGTAGGATAATAAAAGCAGGTATTTGTTGAGTACTTACTGAGTGTTCGAGGCAGCGTACTTAGATAATCTCTGAGTTTTGTTATACGTATTAAATGAGTTAATATAAAGCACATATGTGCCTGGCACATAAATGTTATGTATTTACAGTAACAACAATAACAGTTGTCATTGATTTAATTATACATTATTATCCTAAAAATAACAGAAAATCAATAGATGGGAGAGCCGGGATTGGAATTGCAGGCTGTCTGTCTCTGAAGTCCATTCTCCATATCACTGAGCTATTCTAGTTTTCCTAGGTAGAGAATCTAGGATGGCCAAAAAATGTCCCCAGAGCCTCCCTGTAAGCTGTCCTCCACAACAGACTTCTGGAATAGAAAGAAGTTGGCTTATGACCTCTTGTCACTGCCTAGTCCTTGGGTGTGATAAAGTTATTTAAACTGTTTGAACTCCTCCTTCTGTAAGCAGGGGATATCAGTAATATCAATCCTAAATGTGTCGGGAGGATTAAATGAGATAATGCATGCATATTGCTGCTGAACACAAAGTCTGTCACATAATAGGTACTCAATAAAGGAAGGCTGTCCTTGTTGCTTTGAGGAATGCAGATGACTGATTCCATTGGTTCTGAGTGCTCAGTTTGTGGCCTGACTGAATTATGTGCACCAGATTTGGTGGTAGGTTTTTGTGAATTGACCTCACCCCGGTTGCATCTTAGCTTTTCTCCACCTTTTAGGGGATATACTTTCCTCAGCCGTTTCATTTAAATTGTATTTAATGTGGTTATATTTTTAAAAGGTGGTTTTTAAAGGCTTTCTTTTTTAACCACAGAATGTCAAGATAGTTATGTTCTGTTTATTGCCGATTTCTCTCTTTCTGTTTTTTTCCTTTCTTTTTGTATCATGCCCGTGGCAACTGTTTCCCTAACCCTTGATTAGCTTACTTTCTGAAATAAGAGCGTAAAATAATAAAAATAATGGTTACTATATTGTGTTAGTTTTCCCACAACACTTTTTTTAATGCTTTTACATTTTACATAACTGGGATAGTATTATATATTGATTAGTGTTCTATATTTTTAAATTAACAGTATGTTATAACCCATTTTATACATTAAAAGTCTGTAGAAATTACTTCTATGCTTCTTAATATTCCGTATATGACTGTGTCATATTTTATGTAAGTAATTCTCTCTTGTTAGGCTTGTTGATTATCTCCTGGTTTTGTCAGTATAAATAATACTGAAGTGCATATTTTAGTAAATTCTTGGTTGCACTTCTGATTACTGTTTTCAGATATATGTCTGTATATGGGGTTATAGATTAAAGAAACTAAGCCCTCTATGCTTTAAAATAATGGTTTTCAACCTCATAATTAAAATTGGATGAAATTTCTTTTAAAAATCTTAGAGCAGTGATTTTTAAAGTGCCCTGTGACATCTCCTTTGGGGTTGCTATTGAGAGGGGAGAGTTACACACTGAAGGTGGCTTTTCTTAAATGCCGTTTCTTTTTTATTTTATTTTTTTTGCTTATACCAGGTGAAACTTATTTTCTTTTGAGGCAAGATCTTGCTCTGTCATTGAGGGTGGAGTGCAGTGGTACGATCATAGCTCCCTGCAGGCTTGAACTCCTAGGTTCAAGTGATTCACCTGCCTTAGCCTCCCTAGTAGCTGGGACTACAGGTGTGCACCACCATGTCCCACTGTTTTTGTTTTTTGTTTTTTTCAATTTTCTTTTAGAGACAGGGTCTCTAAAAGACGCTGTGTTTTTTAGTTCCAAGGATGCTTTTCAAAATATCGAGTTTCACAAAAAATAAAGTCAAGATATGTTGCTTCATGTGGCTAATGTTTTTGTTCCATTTTATAATAAAATGTAAATATTAAATTCTCATATAACTCATTAGAGAACCACAAATAAATGCATTTACTTAATAAATAATTTATTTTAAATTATATGACAACCCTATGATTAAATTTAATATTGTATTTTTTTTTTTTTTTTTGAGACAAAGTCTCACTCTGTCACCCAGGCTGGAGTGCAGTGGCTGTGATCTCGGCTCACTGCAACATCTGCCTCCGAGGTTCAAGTGATTCTTCTGCCTCAGCCTCTTGAGTAGCTGGGATTACAGATGTGTGCCACCATGCCTGGCTAATTCTTTTATGTTTAGTAGATATGGGGTTTCACCATGTTGGCCAGGCTAGTCTCGAACTCCTGACCTCAAGTGATCCACCCACCTTGGTGAGGACACAGAGCCAAACCGTATCGAATATCATTAAAAAGAAACTGTGGCATGGGATAGTTTAGGAATTTTTTAAAAATCAGGTGAAGAATATTTTGTTGACTTGTCATCATAATTTTTATTTACAAAGATATGGAAAAATATTTAGATCTTGGTGCAAGTATAGAAAGAACACTATTCTACCTATTTCCAAAGGGCTTGGGTATCACATGGAGCCAGGGCTTCGGAGAAGAGAGAATGTCTGTATTGGAGAGAGACTATTTGGCAGTATTCTTGGCAACTTGGTAGGGACTCGCAGAAAACTGCAGTGTGACTCTTACCTATAAATCCGATCTCCACGCTCTAAACTCAGTCAAGTCTCGAGCTCATGATTGCTTACCTCCGAGTTTTATGTTATTTTTAACACAAGAATGGTCTGAGTTCATGCGGAGGTTGACTGATGTAGGGTAGAGGCTACCCTGGAATAAGCTAGCATCCGAGAGGAATGAAACTCCATTGGTAATGACAAGTAGCAGGACTCTTGGCCAAGAGTTAAGTTGGGGCAGGAAGTTTGAACTGACTGCTGAATTGGGGGACATTCAGGGCAATTGTACACGTATTGCAAGGGACAGGGAGGCTCCAGGTGACAGCTTGGTTACATGATTTTTTTTCAAGAGCAATGTACAGGAAGCACAGGCCTTACTTTTTATTGTTGTATGGAGCAGAGTCCCAGAAGGACCGGCTGTGGAGTGCTGAATAAAATCCCTGTGAATGCACACCGGGTTCTCTGAAAATACAAGCTTCTAGTCATTTCTGGGTTAAGGTGTAGTCCATTTCGCTTTGCTATCAGATTACACATAAGTTATTGAGCAATAAAAGGAAGAATGTCTTGTTCTTTATTCATATGTTCTAAATCTGGTAGGCCATCGAACTGTACTTTAATAAGAATAGGGGAAGGACAGGTATACGAGTGTTGGACTTGTTCCATATTGTCCCATTTGGCAGAACAGGACCAAAAAGTAGTCTTTTTCTTTTTTTCTGATCATTAGAGGTATTTAAGAGCAGAAACAAAGTTTGGTGGGGATAAAATAGAGAACACTGAAATGGTAAAACCACAATAATATTGACAAATAGGATAGTTATATTAGACAAAACCATGTTCCTTGAGTCTGGAAATTGTTAGTGTCAAGTTACACTATGTATTAAGGCACCGTAACATATTGTGGCACTGACTTTTAGGCACATATATTTGTATATCTTTCTAATTTTTTTCAAAAGTGGATTTTTCTGCCATTTATATTTGCCATCGTATAAATAAAATTTTTATGTTTTGATGTTCAACAGCCATTTTATACTAATAGGAGCTCTAACTGTGACAATCAAATAAATTAATGTTTTTATACATGTCTTTATCGGACTTAAATCTGTGTTCACACCAGATAACAACTCAAGACTGTGACTATGCTATTGGCTATGAGGAGTGTTGCTTTAATTGCAGCGAAGTTAATCTGTAGAATTTAACAATTATGTTGCCATCTATCTTAAGGGTTTATAACTCTGGTATAGAATAAGCAAATAGCATAAAACACTTGTACCTGTGTGTACTCCTCAGAGTTTTATTGGTAATAAAAAAAAAAAAAAAAACCACCCATGCTCACTTTTGTGCTTGGGAACAGAATCTGTTTCTAACCTTTGCTATTAACAGGAAGTGGGAGAGGTGAAATGAGCCCTGGTTTTGTGGCCGGGCCAGAGCACTCTGTGTTCCTGAGAGTGGTATTCAGGTTTCATGTCTGTCTAGCTTCTTGCTCCTTTGAATAGCTGGCCTTTGAAGTGCTAAAAACATAGATTGGTAATGAGCAATGTAAAGTAAAGAGTGGGAAAATATTTGGAAAATTCAAGCTCTGAGAATAGCCTGTCTGGGATGATTTGGCTCAGGCTGTGTTGTAACTGTGTTTTTCTTTCCCAGGTAAATTGTGAAGTTTTATGAATATAATAGTATAAATTTCCTCTATAAGAATAATTGAAAAATCTCAACTTCACTTGCGTTTTTGGTAGAACGATTGCTATATTTAGTTTAAAATTTTAGGGCGGCAGGCCGGGCGCAATGGCTCACGCCTGTAATCCTAGCACTTTGGGAGGCCGAGGTGGGCGGATCACTAGGTCAGGAGATCGAGACCATCCTGGCTAACACGGTGAAACTCCATCTCTACTAAAAATACAAAAAATTAGCCGGGCATGGTGGCGGGCACCTGTAGTCCCAGCTACTCGGGAGGCTGAGGGGAGAATGGCGTGAACCCGGGAAGTGGAGCTTGCAGTGAGCCAAGATCGCACCACTGCACTCCAGCCTGGGCAACAGAGCGAGACTCTGTCTCAAAAAAAAAAAAATTTAGGGTGGCACTAACTGTCGAGTCTTTTAAAAAGATAATCTATGCCTTGAAGTGCCATTTTTATTTTTGTAATTACAAATGGGTATCAGAAGAATGGAATCTAATATGAAGTTGAGGTCATATATTAAATCTAACACCTTTGAATAAAAGTAGACCTTTTGTTCCATTGCATGTTATTATTGAGGGGCCCCCATTATAATACAACAGTGGCCTGTTTTAGAAAATATTCTCTATCAGAAAAACACCATAATTTAAAAAGACATATTTCCACCAAAGTCACATTCTAAAATGTATACAGAAGGACATGGAATAACCGCATATAGACTTAGTGTATCATGTCCCCATTCTTCCAAGAAAATAGGCAAATTTTGTTAAACAGCCCCAAAGGTAAATATGAATATTTTTATATTTTTAGAAAGGTTTGAATTTTAAAAGACAATCTTAGTTCTAGTATGTTTATCTCTTGCCTTGGAGGCAGTTCTTAAAACTATAAAACTTGAGTTGTGACTGTCAGAATCCAACACTTACATGTTTATTTGGAGGACATAATTTTAAAATACTGACATCTTTATCTAATTTGTTATATTATGTTACAGTAATAGTTTAATATTGTAGTGCATGATATTAGACTTGAAATGCTAGAAATCACTGGAATGTATAGCCAATGAAGCCTGGGTTGATTTTTGATATTTTTGGATTATATAGTACCAAATTATAATCCCATATTCTATATTCAGATCTCTGAAAAAAGTGGCCTTTCATTGATCAAAATATATTTATATAAAACATTTTAATGAAGAATACCTATTTATAAAATATCCAGAGGAAATATATGCAGATGTAAAATTGAGCCCAATAAATCCTTGTGTTTTCATAGGTATGAAAGTTACAATAAATAATGGCAATTAGATATTGTGTGTGTCAGAAAATCAATTTTTCTCCCAAATCAATCCCTCTCTTTCTTTCTGTTTCTGTATCTCTTTCACAGACACAATGTAAACACCTATGCATATGTGCTCATATCTGTTTTAGTTGACTTCTTTCTTGAGACTTTAAATTCTGAAATGTTTTACACTGCATGTACAGCTAAGATTAAAGTCTTCTTTTTAACAGTACACTTTTTATAATGCCTTGAACTTGTTTCTCTGTGGCAGAGGAAAACAGCCTCATGCATCTGGACAAACAAAGGTGTTCCTTCAAAAACAGACTTTCAGAATCATTAATTCTGGTTTAGAAATAATTATGAAGGTTAAGTGGACTCTCATGCGTAAGATTTTAGAGCTGGTGAGTGGCTAATCTGTGCTTTACTTCCCCTTGTTTTCATCCTTCTTATACCACCGGTATTACCGTGCCTCCTCTTAACAGTTTTGTTCCCTCTGTAGCAAGTGAGCCAGAGACAGTGCTTCAGCTTCCTATAGCCTCCTGGTGGTATGCAGGGACAGCTGGCTGAGATCATATGCACTTCTACCCAAACATATCCCAAGGTAAGGCTACAGGTAGTAAAGCTGTGACCAGAAGGTAGATTTAAAAAAAAATTATTTAGGTCCTGGAAATATAGAAAGAGCAGATAGTGCCTATAGTAATAACCAAGTGAGCAATAACTAGGGTGTGAGTGGAGTTATTGTGTTTAGTCTAAGAATGAAGAAATAGCAGTGTTCGGTGAAGTGGAATTTGGTGAGGCATATACAAACCAGAGGTAGAAAGTAGTGGATTTTTGCAGTTTCATGCATAACCGTAAGTGCAGTATTAAAAAAATACATATTGCGAAAGTAAAACTTTTAAAGGATACTTCTCAGCTTGAAATTCTTAATACATTGTAGCAATCATATTAGTTCTTGCTGTAAAATAAGGTGGCTATAAAATAAGTTAGTCAATTTTGAGTTGTGAGTTGAAAAGGAAAAAGTAGTGATTAATGGAGACATGAGCTAGGAAAAAGCATTTGGAGAGCGGATAATTTACATCAGTAGGCCTCTCAACTTTTCTTTACCTCCCCACTGCCCTCTTTCAATTACTTCCCTTAGATCACAAGTTTCTGTTTTAGTAGAAAAATTTTTCTATAGATACAAATAGATGTAAGGGAGCATAAATGAATTCCTGATTACTCTGTAAGCTAAGAATTTAAACATATGTTCAGGATTGTATTTTTATAAAAATTTTTATTGCAAATTATTAATATAGATTCACAGATGAATAAAAAATGATGTGGTCCTATTTATGTAAAGCAAAACAAATATTTGATAGGTGGTGTAGAATGATGTTTACACCTGCCTTATGGATGATTTATGTTGGAACTGCTAGGCATACGTGTCAGAATATCTACTTACCAGAAAATCATAGAAAAATATGCAAGTTTATATCACTCACACTGTGGAGAAAACCAGTCAGTAACAAACTGTTAAGTCTTAACAGTGATTATAATATTGAAAAGAACAATATCAACAGTAGAACAACCATATCAAGACAGTGGATCATGAAGCAATGACTATAGGATTCCCTCCTAAATTTCGTTCATTGTAACAC
Organism: Homo sapiens; assembly: GCF_000001405.40. Lineage (NCBI taxonomy): Eukaryota > Metazoa > Chordata > Mammalia > Primates > Hominidae > Homo > Homo sapiens. Next base: position 20,424,879 of record NC_000012.12, read on the forward strand.
CCACACTGTGTTCTGTCTCTGTGCACAGCACAACAAACTCACTTCAAAGCCAAATGAGGACTTGGCATACTCAGGAAATTCTAGTAATGAGATGCTCTTAGTTTTACTGTTACAGTATGTAGCACTTCATCTTAGGCAAATATGACAGTCTGTGGAATCCTGTGTCATTCATTTGAAAGAACTGACAAAAGAACATGTTTTTAGATCAACTTGCATTTGCAGGAACACACATGGGTTGCCAAAAATATCCATTTAGAGTGTTTAAAAGAGGCACACGCCTGGATTGGCCTCGGTGACCAATAATGTCTGGTGGTAATGCGTGTTTTTTGGAGTAGTCTTTAATTACTAAACAAGGTGGTGACATACATAAAGCCAGTGGGTTTTTTTTCCACCGGCAGATGGGTGCTAAAGAAACTGAGCGATTTTATTTTTTTCATCATATAATATTTCTGATGGTCTTGCCTCCTTCAAGTCTCAACATGTGTCTCTTTAAAGAGAATATTTCACCTTTCAAAATGAAGTCTCCTAATGACTCACTTAAATGTTTATTGTTTTCTTGCCGTAAGGAACTTTGTGACTTGTAAATATGAATTTATGTATGCATTTTTGTATGAATAAATACATTTATAAAATTGATATTTAAAAAGAGCTAGCACTTAAGTTAGGCCAGACGTTTTTCTAAGCACTTTACAGATGCTAATTTTCTAATCCTTTCAACAGCCCTGAAAAGTGACTTTCATATTTAGGATTGAATATAAACTCATTCTAAGATTGTCTATAACCTATTTCTGTGTTGCTTAGCATAGTTCTATTTAAGAGAACTAAGACAAACATATAGAAATATGATGATGACAATGATGATATTATATTACTTTCCCAAGTGTCTGGCACTATGCGTATTTCACCAAGCATTTGTAGAGAAGCGGCAGAATATGATGATTATGAGCCTCAATTCTGGAATGAGACTAACCTGGTTTTAAATCCTGGCTGTGCTTCTTACAGGTTGTGTGATTTGTGGTAAGTTACTTAAATTGTCTGTGCTTCAGTTTCTTCATTTGTTAAATGTGTATGACACCTATTTCATAGAATTGTTATACAGATTACGTTAATTACTAAAAAATTATTTCGAGCTCTTAGAATAGGGACTGGCACATATTCAATACAAAATAAGTAATAAAATACAGAGGTATGTATTTGAATATTCAAGACTTCTTGGAAGGAAAATACTTAATGCTGTTGAGGAAAATTTTAAGCAATTAGAATGGCAACTAGAAGAGATTTTGTAACAAACTATAGTGGATTATCTCACATATTTATCCCTCATTCAGGCAACTACACATCTGAGTTCTCTGCTTGTTACTAGAGCTCATGGTTGCTGGCTCCGAATGAGAACTGAATATGAAAATTTTCAGTTTGTGAAAAACATCTGGAGCTTTTAGTTGACTACAAGCTTAATATGAGCCAACTGTATGTTGCAACTGCTTAAAAGAGAAAAAAAGAATAAAAAACCCTGAAGAATTCCTTAGGCATTATAAATAGAAATAAGAGTGTCCACATCATGGGAAGTAACATAGTTGACGTACTTCACACTGGCCGCATCACGGCTGGAATACCATGTTCCGTCCAAGACACCATAATTTTAGGAAAGACTTGGACAAACTGGAGTGCCAGAAGTCTGGAAATATGAGAAATGGAGGAAGTGGGACTGTATAGTGTAGAGAAGACTAATAGGAACTAAAACACTTGTCTCCAACTATTTATAAGGTTGTCATTTAGAAAAATGGACACGCTTATATATTGCCCTAGAAAACAAAGAGTAGAATCAATATAATGAAAGTACCATGTATATTTTTACTCAGTATTAAGGGTGAAAACTAATGGGTACCAGTGCTGAGTCTTGCAGCAATCATATAAGAATTCCTGTATATGGCCGAAGCTTACATTCAGTTACATTCACTAAAATAAGATTTTTGCATTCATATCCTCATTGGGCTTGGGCAGTAAAGGAATTAAATCCCCCAAAAGTTCATTAAAATTTTAGGGCTGTTCTATGATTGCATGGATGGTTAAAATTAGACCTGATGGCACTATTGGTTATTCTAAGAAAGGAGCTAAAAGTCTATATAATTGGTTTACTTTTTATTCAGTCTAGTTTTGAAATCTTAAGAATGGATCAAGGAACATTGGATGAAGAAGGGACACAGGGTAATGTTATTTTCCCAAATTTCAGAAATTCTTCCAATTTAGGTTCAGCAGGTAATTAAGAATGATTTCATGCATGTCAGCAAAAATAGTTTGATACAGGACTCATTGAATATTGTATTGTGTTGGGAACTGATCAGAGAAAACCATGGTGTTTGTCCGTGAACTCTCGTTGCTTTTTATCTAAGAGGGGTTGAAATGTTGCGTGCTTTTGAATTTTATCATGGACAATACTTGAGATTTGTACCAGTACACTAAGGGTTATTTTTAAGGATTGAGTAAAATGGAAGTGTATTAATGGGAAATAGAATAGAAGATAGCTATAGTATGACCTTGGAAACTGACTTTACGTTTTACAGGCATGTTTTTCTTTCCATATTTCATTCTTGTATCTTGAAATAAGCTGTACTTATGGTTAGGTATATGCTAGATCTTAGAATTCCTTTAAATTCATCTTGTCAAAATATCAGCCATTCTGTATGAATATTACCAAGTTTAAGACATTGGTTTATGTTCAATTTCAGCAGTTTGTATAACTGATTTGAAAAAGCAATAAATAGGCTTCAAAATTTTATATTTTTTATAGGAAACAGGTAATTTAATACATTTAATACATTAATACATTTATAATGTATGTATTTTTTCATGAGGTAGACTATGTAAAAAGTAAAGAAGATGATCTAAATCCAGAATTAAAAGGCACAGTCACATTTTTTTTTCTTTTGCAGCATTGGATAGTATCAGTTTGTTATAATCTAGAATATATAATATATTCTGTTTTTACATTTCTTAACTAAATCCTCTTTTTAAAATATAAATAAATATCTTTAAAATAATATTTTAGGCCGGGCATGGTGGCTCATTCCTGTAATCCCAGCACTTTGGGAGGCTGAGACGGGCGGATCACGAGGTCAGGAGGTCAGGAGTAATCCCACATCGTTCAAGTCAGTAATGAATTTATTTGAATCAAAAGTGGATACATTTAAGGAATTGTTTCTATACATCCAATTAGGTAATTCTGGTTGGCTAAATTGAGAGCTGGTCATAATCCCAAAAGACACAATTCTGAATGTCATAATTCTGAATGTTAAAATCCCAGAAGAGTAAAATCTCTAAAGTCTAAAATCCAGAAAATCACAATCCCCAAAACATCAAAATCCTGAAAATGTAATTCTGAAAAAAATTAAAATATTATTATTAGTAGTAGTAGTATTTTTGAGACGGAGTCTCGCTCTGTCGCCCAGGCTGGAGTGCAGAGGTGCGATCTCCACTCACTGCAAGCTCCACCTCCCGGGTTCAGGCTATCCTCCTGCCTCAGCCTCCCAAGCAGCTGCGACTACAGGCGCCCGCCGCCACGCCCGGCTAATTTTTTTTGTATTTTTAGTAGAGACGGGGTTTCACCGTGTTTGCCAGGATGGTCTCAATCTCCTGACCTCGTGATCCGCCCGTCTCAGCCTCCCAAAGTGCTGGGATTACAGGAATGAGCCACCATGCCCGGCCTAAAATATTATTTTAAAGATATTTATTTATATTTTAAAAAGAGGATTTAGTTAAGAAATGTAAAAACAGAATATAGGCCACTTTACACAACAAAATATGCAATAACAACATACATGCTTTTGCACATATAAACACTCAAGTATGCTAATGACAGTCATACTGGTATAATAGTTATGACAAGATGAACTGTCCTTATAAAGAAGTAGGTCAAAAAAGGACAATGTATAAATGCGTACCACTATGATTGATAGTTGTGTGCAACAGCTTTCTAACTTTGGTCATCTGAAATAATATAATGAGCAACCTAAGTCTTTTGACAAGATCCATCAAAAACTGTGATAGGTTACCAACATATATGTAGTCACCCAAAGAGCTGAGATCTCAAGAAATTTTATATTTCACAAATGCAAATGTACAAAAGAACATCTCTTCATTTACTGAGAAAATTTCAATGTTTTTACATACGTACACAACACTTAACACAAAGTAAACATAGTTCACTTCTGTGAAGTCGAATTTGCAAAAAATGCATAAAACAGAACTCTCAAAGTCTCTATACAGTTTATACCTCCAGTAATGGAAACGATGTGAAGATGAAATACATAACATAGTGAATTGCTTTACGGGGTTTCTAGGTATTCCTCAATCCTGTAAAGTTGACATCTACAATTAAGCCCATACGTTCTAGTGATAAATAGAGGTCAGAAAAATAGCATACGTGGGTTTGGCTTCTGTTTTCCTTCTTTTTTTCTTCAGTTATTCTTTTGACTGTGTTTTCTTATTATTAACCCTTGCCTCAAATTGTTCCCTGGGAGAGTGCTGCAGGCTACAGCCCTTTTTCAAATGGTGAAAAATTTGAGAGAATAGTGGTATGAAGAACATTTTGAATGCAAGGCTGTTTAGTTGTGAATATTGCATTGATCACATCTGTGTTTCTGAAGCTCTGTGACTTGCTCTCCTAAGCCTAGAGCAATCTTCACTGAACTAACTCTGTGGGGTAAAGAAATGGTTCTAAGTAATAATAATAGGCTCACTTTAACTTAGAAGGTAGATATTGTTGAGTGACTTTAGTTAGCATCTGCTGCATTCAAAACATGCTGGGAGGTGAGGGATTATGAAAGAGAAAGTTGAAATACATAGATTTGGACAATAGAAAAAGTATGTTTAATTTTTTCTAGTTATTGTTGATGTTTTATTTTTTACCTTCATCATTTCAGTTTCTTATTTTGTTTCAGATACAGAAACATCAAATCCATGTTCCATACATCTTAGACACTGATTTTTTTTTTTATGTCATTTTGACATCCCTCCAGCACCCAAATGCCAACATCTGCTACATTTTGCCACACGGTTGTAGGCTTGAACTCTGAAATGCCCCTAAATGTTTTTAAAATTTCTTTGTGTATGTTTTCAAAATAACCTTCCTTTGAGTTCTCAGTTTTATGTGAACTGTAGTTAAACTCTTTTTTTTCCATGACTTGTAGCATATGGTATTTAACTGTTTGCCAGTATCGCTTTCTGAAATGAACCTATTTGTACAAAGGCATTTTAAGAGAACAGTGCACTTAATCAGAGAACCTCCTTCAAGGTGACTCTACTGCTTAAACATGGTTTAAAAAAATTAAAATATTTGTGGCTCAGCATTGTTGTTTCATTGTCTATCAAAGTTAATAAAAATAACTGGCCTTTGAGAAAGAGTACACCTTTAAAATTTTTGAAGGCCAAATGATTTTTTTTTATTTTTCATCCAGAAATATCTATCCCTAAAGGAAGAGAAACTTTCTTCAGAAAGGTATTTGTTTTAATCAAGGAAGTTTCTGCTGAGATTAATAACTTGGTATCATCCCTTAGTTCCTGATAAACATCATACCTTAAATGAGTCTTCTGTTTTTTAACTAGTTTTTCTTTTGTCTAAAACAAAATTGCCTCTTTTGTTTTAGAGATGAATTACTCAATTTTTAATTGTTTTGGGGGCAGGGTGCATTATTTTCCTATTGAAGAACAAAATGTAAAACACTGCCCTGAAAGGAATATTTGCAAAACCATGAAAGTGAGCAAAGTTGAGATGGGCTACTCTATAGAAATTTTGCATTTTATTCTAAAATACTGTATTTTGCCATGATTTGTTCCCTGGTGTGTATAGAAGCATTGGCTGCAGCCTGAATTCCTGAGCCCTTCAGTTCTCCACTTTTAGTGTATATAAACACAATTTCACTGAGCTTGGAAGAATCATGTTGTAGTGAAGGTAATATTATTGGCCTCTTTCTTTTGTTGCTTTGCTGCTTTGTGGAGAGGGATAAGTTTATTGTAAAAGCTTCTTTAAATCCATGTTCTTATACAGGGCTATAGATATCTTACCCGTCAGTTCCAGGCAAGTCACCCTTTCTGGGCTGCAGTTAGCCACAATAGTTAAATATTCTGGTTTTTTGGAAGATTTTTAAAAAATCTCTATTCTATCCACCTAGTTCTGAGAGAGTATTTCCCTCAGTTTGTCTCATTTGTGGGAAGAAATATTATCTGCCCGTCTTTATTACTACCCCAATATCAAGTTTACATATTTATGTGTTTGCCATTCTATAATTACGTCTGAAACAGGTTGATTATCTATTTTCAAAATAAAAGATACAGAATGAAATGAGGCTGTAGGGAGAATGAATGAACCAAAAAGAAAAAAAAGGTTTTGCATATTTTAATTTCTGAAAAGTTTCTCCAGTAGGTTTATCAGATGATTTTTGTTGTTGTTCTTCACAGAAATGTTGTTCGGCCATGTATGTTCATGAGGGAAAAAAGTTCTCATCCTTTGAGAGTATGAGGATTGTATACACGATGTATATAATGTTGGAGAAAAAGGTTTTTATTAGTTTCATGACATTAGTTTCCTTAGCTGCCTTTCTGAGAATGGTCCTTATGTTTAAGATGGGGGCATTTAAGTTATTGTCAGGATTAAATTCAATCGAAAGAATTAAGTGTTAGGAAACTGTGCCTTGCCTGTCAAATAGTGACTAGTCAGGAAAACACACACACACACACACACACACACACGCACACACACGCACGCACAAATGCATGCACACATTCCTCACTGCTATTTTGACGTATATGTACCTATAGTATGTCTAAATTTTTCATGGTATTAGATTATACTTCAATTATTTGAAATTAATTTAAAGAACAGAAACTAAGAGGAATCATAGAATCAAAGATAACTATGCGCCTTATCTCAATTGTGTATAAACCTTTTGAAAGAAAATAGGTTCATTTAATAGTTTAATAACACATTTTGCAGTTGTTGTAAGGTTCGTAAGTTTTTGTTTGCTGAGTATTAAGGCAAAATTTTTAAACAAATGAAATTAAGTGGCCTGGTGACCTGGCTTCAAGTATTAATCTGTAAGCACTTTTAAAATGCATGCTTAGCAGCATGGTTTCTTTTTTTTACAAATCTTTTGCAAAGAGCAGTGATAATGTGCCAATGACAATGAAATATTTGAACAAGAAAAGTTGTTTTTATTTATGGAGAAACAAGTAAAGGCCCTAAGGTGGTTAAATGATTGCTTAAAGTCACACAGAAGTGGCATGGCTCTGATTTCCCAGTTTACCAGATACTTAGATACTCTTTTCAATGATGGAAAAGCAAATAATAAATAATTTACTTTCTAGATATTGTTGAATTCTTACTATGTTTCTGGGCTTCTATGAGATGCTGGAAGATTTCTTAAAAGTGAAGAGGGTGAAATGGGGAGGTGTTAGTCAAAGGGTATACAGTTTTGGTTATGCAAGATGAGTAAGTTCTAAAGATCTGTGTAGTATATTGCCTACAGTTAACAGTACATACTCTGTTGTAGACTTAAAAAGAGGGTAGATTTTATGTTGTGTTCTTATCACAAAAAAAGGTGGGAGGAAACTTCTGGAGGTGATGGATAGGTTTATGGCACAGATTGTGGTGATGGTTTCACAAGTATATATATGCTTATCTCCAAACTCATCAAGTTGTATATATTTAATATGTGTAGCTTTTTGCATGTCGATCATACCTTAATAAAATAGGTCAAAAAAAGAGGAAGAGCTTCAATTATTTTTCTCTTCTTTCCTTTTTCCATACCTTCATAAAAATTCAGAGTGCAAATTTCTTAGTTTATTTCACCTACTTTCTGAGCAATATTTTTTAAAACCTGTGTTACATTTCAAAAGCAATATTCAATTTATTATGGCATTGACTAGAATAACTTGTTCTTGAAACTTAGGTAAATGGTTATGAAGTAATCAAAATGTATCTTTCAGTATGCTTTTTTTTTGTGCTGGAGTAGAAAACCCAACTAAAAATGATATACATTTTAATAACCAAAGTATATTATCTCACAGATGGAAGTCTAGAAGGTCTTAAGGGTGACTCCATCAAGGAGTTCTGGCTCCATTTTCCCAGGAATTCTCTTGATTTTGCCCTCCTCTAAATGAAACAATGTAATTGAAGCACTTCTGAACCTCATATTCAACTATAACAATGAATAGATGAAGAGTGAGGAAGAATTTTCCCAGCAGCCTCCAAAAATCCTCCTTTTATTAACCTGACTAATCTTTTTTTGAACTATTCCCTTCGAAGGGCAGTGGGATCACTGTATAACCAAACTTTGGTGGGACACAGCAGACCTGTGACACTGGCTCACATGGGAGAGGAGTAAAACACCCCAGGAAGGGAGAAAGATTATGGACAGCTCACCCTGCCCCTTAGAAAAACTGGAGACTATGTGTTCCTGAAATGAAACAAGACAAGTGTTCATTGCACTCTGAGAATACATTATGATGTAGAAAAAAATTTGAGATCTATAGGATATGAAAGTGGCACACAGGCTTGGAAATTACAGCAATTAGTGGTAATGTATTATCTTGGGTACTGCTTGGGGTCTCTATATGTAAGATGACTTTAAATATATGAAAATTTTGACAAACATTGATACTACTCTCTCAAGGAAGCTGTGTATTTCCCATTTATTTTGTCTGCAATCTGGTTTTTAATAAATTCAAGACTCAAGTTAACTTTTAATAAATACTGTACATATTTTACTATCAGAATTTTAAGAACAGCATACGTTTTTTAAAAAAATACACAAGATGTAATTTTAGTAAGGTTAGGAAGAGCATGTACTGCTGGAAGTATAGTTCTGTAACTACATAGACAAAATATATGTCTTCTCTGTCACAATTTTGCCTTCAGATTCATTGTTTGTAGAATGTTTCTTAAGGCTTCACAGATATTGTAATTTCTTATAGATGGATTGTGGAGAGAGATCATGTGTAGATAGAATTCCTACATGGTCCCAGTGTTTTAAGTATAGTAGTCTTCTGCCACTCTAATATTGAATAAGAAGTGCTAGTGGAAAAATTGGGTGATCGATTACTTATTTCCACTCTGAGATCAGGTCTCATTTACCTTGAATTTGATTTGTTCTTCCTCAGACTCAGTGTTTCTGATGCAGGTGGTGTTAGGCTCCCACATTGTTAAAATAATGTGCAACATTGGTATTCTTTTAAAATACCATTAACATGCTTTATCTTTGTTCATTTGTCAAATCAAGGCTTTACTATTGAAGGTGACTTTTTTTTTTTCCTGCGTTTCAGCTGAGTTTCTCTTACAATAGTCTTGACTGCTGCCTGTTTTTGCTCATGACTACTGATTGCCTGTACCCTAAATCCTCTCTGGACCAGGATGGGAACATACATTTGCAATGTTGGAAACTTGGAGTTCGTTTTCATTGAAATTCTATAGGGGCTTTGAATTTGTGTGGGGTGTTCTGTGTATACAAAGTATAGAAAAAACCTCTATTGCTATCTATCTTCATTTAAGGGGAGAGCCAGGGAGGCTGTTTAGAATTAAATGTTTTTAGAGAGTGTTTGCTAGCTTTTAGTAACTCCTAGACCTGGTAAGGATCAGGACCAGGCAGGTGTGAGGACTATACCTGTTAACAAAAGCAGCCCTGATCCCTGTGCTGAGAGGGAGTATAGTGTAGTGGCAGGGACGGGGAAAGCAGATACATATAAAATCATATGACATGTAAGAAGGGGAAACTACATGGTGCTGAGAAGAAACTATGTTTATTTCATGAAATGCTGACTGAGCTAAGATCTAGGGAGAAATCAGAAATTAAATTCCCACAATATCATGAAGAATAGACTTGAAAACAGTATGAGCCTTGGCTTTCCCTTATTTGAGTCAATATGCTGATTGTATAGAGTGGGATTTATTCCATTGGGATCATATTTTTTCAGATACTAAAGAGTAACTTTTAGTTTGGGAAGAGCAAAATGTCTCCAATTATCCCAAGGATTAAAAACTTTAAAGCAACTTTTCATTCATATTAATGTGAAAAAGAATCCACTTAGAAAGAAATGAGGGTTCCACATTGAAAGACACTTTAGCATTTATTACATTGTGTATTGTTGAAGTAAGACTTCAGGTATTCATTTGATTTTAAAATATGTATGGAGCACCTACTACATAGTAAGCATTTTCCTGAGTGCTGGAGCACAGCAGCCAATGAAGCAGAAATGTCCTGGGGGGCCTTGAACTTGGAGGTACTTCCCATTTCTCACTCTGTCATAGGGAATCCCCACTGCATTCCTTGTTACTGTAGAGTCAACTGTGAGATTCTTGGTCGTGGAACATTTTCATTCCATTACTAACATCAGTTATCTCTGACTAGCATTTGTATTCAGGTCGATTAAAAATATCCCTCTGCTGTTGAATGAAATCTTAGAATCTTAATTCTTCTACGTCATTCAATAGAATTTAGGCTTGTCTTCCAGATTTAAAAAAAAATCATCTAAGGTGCAGTATGTACTGAAATAGTGAACCTGGAACAACCCCATATTCCACTGATATTCTTTTTTTTTCCTGGTTATACAACTGCTGGAACAATAGTGTAACAATGTCAAAGAAAATTTGTCTGGGAGGTAGGAAGATTGGTGATAGGAAAAGTACTATTATTATGGACAAGCTCTAGATTTGGGAGTCATAAGATTTGAGTATGGTTCCTGGATCTAATTCCTGGTAGTAAGGAGGCCATGCGTAAGTCGCTTACCTTGACCAATCTATTTTCTACTTTTCTAAAATGGTAATTCTATTTGCTCTGCTTAACTCACAGCTCTTGTAAGGATCACATGAGAAATGCTCAGTTGTTTTTATACTGTCATACAGGCACAAAGCTAGGGGTGATTAAATTTTAGACCGCAAGTGTGGACTAACCGTTATTAGTACAATATAGTGTCAGAGCTGGGCAAACAATTTAAATAAGGGAAACTGGACTTTGTTCTCCCCATCCCACCCCTGCTTTTTTGTTTTGTTTTGTTTTGTTTTTTGTGTTTCTTGTGTTGCATTATACGGGCAAGATTGAGATTTTTGGTGTGGGAGGGGTTTTTCTGGTGTCCCTCAAATTCAATTACGTAGGTAAAGGTGGAATTGATCCTTGTTACTCAAAGTAAGACTTGTCAACAAACTCAGCATTACCTGGGAGCTGCTAGAAATGCAGGGTCTCAGGTTCCACTCCAGATGGCTGGATCAAAATCTGCATTTTAACAAAATCCCCACGTTTATTGTATGCAAATTTTCCTAAACAGAGAAGTTGACAGATTTCTAAAACTACCCTGATCATTCCAAAAGACTCTTTAGGAAGTTACAGCTTCAATGACAGCAGCTGCGAGATGTTTTAGCACCACCTGGGAGAACGGGGGATTGGGTGGGGGAGAGGGGCTATACTAAAAAACAAAACAAAACAAAAAAAACTATGCTGCTTTCTGTTCCCAAGGAAACATTTTAGGGGTGAAAGGTTCATATTCCATTATCAGTCCCCTGAGCCCACCAGTGTTCAAAAATGTTTTTTTCCCAAGACTTTTATGGCACTTAAGTCAGACTGCTCCTATTGGAATAACAGACCAAAAATGACTGACAGTTATAGTGTCTGGGATTAGGGAGAAAAATATTTAGTGAGAGGAACTGGGAGTTTATCAGGAGACATGAATGATTTCATCTCCAGGATTCTGGTTTTTAGTCACCTTTGCTCTCTGAGGGAAGTGAATAAGGGCTGCCTTACTCTGCCAGTTCCCAGTTCCAGGAAATGTACATTCTCAAGAGATCAGGTGGTTTTATAAAATATAGTCTTTTTCTCTCGTAGAGGGGAATTGAGAGCAAGGGAGGCTTAAATCCTTAATAAAGATCATGTGCATATTTGAAAATTGGGCATAGTTCTTCAGACACCCAAACCTTTTACATGTAATTGCGAATTAGCCCTCACTTCCAGTCATGGCAAGGTTTAGGATTAAATGATATTGAACTAGCTTTCCCCTTAGAACATTGCTTTTCTTTGCAGGATGATAAAGCTAATTTTTAATCATACCTCCTCTACAGTTTTAATAATTATGACTTTTCTTCTTTTTCCTCTTTTCTTTTTGCCTCCTGCCTGGAGTCCTGAGTAAAATTTAAGATTGTGTGTGTGTGTGTGTGTGTGTGCCCTTGACGCTATCTGATTCCTTTGAGTATTGACTACACATCTGGACTGTGCTACTAAACAAAGTTGAGAGTGTTGGATGATGTGAAATAAATCAACTTTGAGACTAGAGATGAGTGGATGGCTCATGACAAAAATTTCAGGCTTTATTTTTCCAATTTTGCTATAAATTAGTTAAAAGTTTGTTATGGCCAGCATTTGGGAACCTGTGTTGCATCAGACTCAGCCTTCATTCAATTATTTAACATATATTGATCATATCCCTACTATATGCTATTAGTATTATGGGTTAGGCCATTCTTGCATACCTAAGGTTGTGTAAATTATAAAGAAAAGAGGCATTTACCCATACCTGAGGCTGGGTAAATTATAAAGAAAAGAGGCTTAATTGGCTCACGGTTCTGCAGACTGGGCAAGCATGGTGCTGGCCTCTGCTCAGCTTCTGGGGAGGCCTCCAGGAGTTTTTACTCATGGCAGAAGGGAAGCAGGAGCAGGTGTGTCACATGGCGAGAAAGGGAGCAAAGTGAACACCGGGAGGGTGCCACACACTCGTAAACAACCAGATTTGGGGAGAACAAACTTACTAATATGAGAACAGCACCAAGCCATTCATGAGAAACCTGTCCCCCATGATCTCATCACCTCTAATCAGGCCTACCTCCAACATTGGGGATGACAATTCAACGTGAGATTTAGAGGGGTAAGATATCCAAACTTTATCAAGGACCGTAATGGAAATAGACTTGTACTCATACAGCTTACATTTTATCCTAGTAGACATGCCTTTGATTGCATAGCTTGAAAGGTTGAAATGAACTAAATTGAGGGTTGTTTATATTAAATAAAGCTATTTTCCCCCAATTTTAGCTAAACCTCTTTTTATGTAAAGAAAAAGGATTTTTTTTTTCCAGTAAGATTTACCAGTCAAAGCAGGAAATCATTTTGTTACAATTGTCTTACAAAGCAGCCCTGTGCAAGGCTGTTGCTAATGTTAAGACTTTTCTTGGGGGTCTCCGATAGCTGATTCTCTCTCGAGAAGTCTTCCTATTCTTGGATGTAGAGTGTTGCTAAAAAGAATTAGTTCCATTTTCTCCAGAGTGCTCTAAGTTATAGCTATTTATCTTTTAAGGAAGCTCCTAAGTATCCACAGGTGTTCAGCCCCCTAAAATTTCAATTTATCTTCAGCACAGCCAGCTTTTCAGTGTTTACTATAAGGCTTTAACCACATGGTAATTCCTCCCTTAAAGAAGTCTGCTGTATATAATGTTAAGGCAGGGTTGTCAGGGCTGTTATGCTGTGTCCCAAGCCAAATACATTTCTCAGCATTCCAAGGTTATGCGAATACACAGAAATAATTATTTTCAGATGTTGACATTGCACTTAGTGATTTAGTAATATGAGAAAATATGGTTCAAAAGTTATTCATCTAAAAAGCAATGCAAAATATAGTAGAGACAAATATGGTATGCATTCAGGCACATACTGTGAAGTAGAAATGTTGGAGTGATTTAGCTTTCTGTCATAACATCTTTATCACACAGGATATGGACTTGCTATGATGTGAGTTAGCATGTTTCCTCTGACACAACTAGAGTCCAGAGATGTGCCTTGCTTCTAGTCCAATAATCACTTTCAATCACTGAGCCAGACCCATGATTCGTGGATTCTCTTGTCACTTAAGATGTTGTCTTTTTTTTTTTTTGAGATGGAGTCTTGCTTTGTCTCCCAGGCTGAAGTGCAGTGGCATGATATTGGCTCACTGCAACCTCCACTTCCCAGGTTCAAGCGATTCTCCTGCCTCCACCTCCCAGGTTAAAGCGATTCTCCTGTCTCAGCCTCCTGAGTAGCTGGGACTATAGGCACGTACCACCACGCCTGGCTAATTTTTTTTGTGTTTTTAGTGAAGACGGGGTTTCACCATGTTGGTCAGGGTGGTCTCAAACTCCTGATCTCAGGTGATCTGCCTGCCTCACCCTTTCAGAGTGCTGGGATTACAGGTGTGAGTCACTGTGCCTGACCAATATGTTCCATTCTTAAGTCAGTTTTGAATGTTAAAAAATGAAATCTTTACAGTTTCAAAATATAATTTTTCTGTAATGATCCAGAAAATAACAATAGGACTTTTAAAAAGGGCTTTTCTTAGCTTTGCAAGAAAAGAGATAAGAGCAGAAAGGTTCACTTTTTGAAGAGAACAAGACTCACTCAGTTGGAAAGTTACTCTAAATTTACTTTTTCCTAACATTGATTTATGACATTCAGTATGAATTTTGTCTGTTTATATCCACATATCATGTAGTCAACATAGAAAAGGGAAAAACCTGAATGAAGTTTTATTATACTCATTGATTCTTTATATGCATGAAAGGGGAAATTATCATTATTTCTTAATAGTCTTTAAATTTCTACGGTAGCATTTGAGGAAAATGAAATGAACTCCATTTGATATATGACCTATTGCACTTAAAAATATTCAGATCACTGGTTATTGCTGACTGCTTATAAGGCAAAATATTTTGATTTTACTGTATTGTTCATGCTGCGAGCAAAATGGGTGTCTGCTAAGTTTTTATTTTAAAATGCATATTTCTGTCTTTACCTTGTAGCCTTGCAATGCGTAATTCAAAATGTTTGCAAAGTACAAGTTTATTATATTGTTTGTCTGCTTCTTATTATAACTTTAAAAAGAAAATGGGACACCCTCCTCTCACCCCACCCTAGAGACAGATTTTCCATGACAGAATAGTTTTAAACATCAGGATATTGCATAAGTCAGTCTGGAAAAAATAGGAACAGACAGCTAGCACTATCTAGTAGAGCTTTGCTTTTGTGACAACATTTTTTGATTAAATAACTCTACATAAATGATAATTTCCCTACATAGTTTGATACCAATATCTAAGTTGATATCAACTTTCAAAATCCATAATTGTTTCTGTGTACATTCTTTCTGATTGTTTTTATTTGGGTACTGTATAAAAAATGATGAGAATTTAAAAGTCATTGTATGATATAAATCCAAAGAAATCTAATTAAGCTCTGAGTCTAATGAGTGTGAGAGAAACCTGTTCAAGGGATGTTTCAAAGAGTTAACATTGTGGTGGGGTATGAAAAAGTGATGGTGTGTAGGATATTGCCTTGCTCCAGGTTTTACAAGGAATAGTTAGGATTTAATTTTTGGCCCCCAAAAGACTTAAATTTTAACGTAATTATAAGGAAAAAGAAATTGGTGGCATGGCTGTGTGATCCTATGGGTTGCTTGGGACTGAGTATAGTGAAAAGTTTGTGAAGTAGACGTTAATATTCAAAGCCCATTTCAGAAAAGTTGAAATCAGAGCAGTAAGCAAAAT
Source organism: Homo sapiens (assembly GCF_000001405.40). NCBI lineage: Eukaryota > Metazoa > Chordata > Mammalia > Primates > Hominidae > Homo > Homo sapiens. The sequence goes on from NC_000012.12 coordinate 20,440,423, forward strand.
TATTCTCCAAGTCCCTTTTAATTTTATTTGCTCACTTAAGCCAAAAGAACTGGGATAGGCTGTATCTTTTTCACGTTACAATGATCAAACTACAGGGGCCAAGTGCAATTCTATTCATATTTCTTTTCAAGGGCAAATCTATTTCTCAATAAGTCACATCACTTACATAACACTTCTTGAGTACTTGTTTACTACAGCCTGGACAAAGGGTATCAAGGAACAGTAGGTTTACTTGGTGGTGGAGTCTGAGGAAAAATAAAACTATTTGTTAACAGCCAGTTGTTTACAAGGATCCTTATCTAGTTTGTGAAATCTTTATCCCTGTGGGATGAAGAGTGTGATCTAACTCATTGTGGAAGCTTAGCTTTCTTCCCTTTCTGCTCCTGGAGCTAGAGGTTTTCCATCAGAGATGGATATATTCTTTTGGGATTCCTTATCAATATGCCATGCCATTTTAGAATGACTTCACCTATCTCACCTTTGATTATTTATGAGTAAAAGGAGGAGAAAACTACCCGTTTTGTGAAATTGTTTCTGACACATGAATAAAACATTATGTATCATACTAATAAATTATAATGAAATTGTATGCCAGGATTGGATCTAATTCCTTGAATTATTCAACAGTGAAGCTCAGTAAGTTCAAGGCACTACCACAAAGTACTGTTGGGAGTATAATGGATACATAAGAAGTAATACTGGTTAAAGGAAAATAGAACATAATTGAGAAAAATAAATTCTGCAAATATATAATTAAGTACCATGAAGCAATTAGAAACTGTGTTATAGTCCAGACTTGAAAGAGATTATTTCCTGAGGCAAAGGGAGCATTCATGGAGTAGAGTAGTCATTGAGTAGGATCCTTCGTGGAGCAGATAGTCATTGAGTGGGTTCTGAAGGGTGAGTGGAATTTGAACAGGGAGAGACCTGAGAAAGACGTAGTCGAAGGCAACATCATTAGTAGCAGAAGAGTGAAAAAAATATGGTATTGAAGAAGAATAGTGCAATTATGTAATGGGTCATAAAATGCATTAGATTGACAAGTTAATTCTCACTAAGAGCCAGGTACTTTGCTAAAATAAGCATTTTACATAAATTATTTAGCCCTCACAGTAAACCTAAGAAGTAGAAATGTATGGATAAAGAATTTAGGACATGATACAACTAATATGTGGCAGCAGATGAACTTGAAACCAGGGACTGGGGTCTTGACCACTAATCTCTGTTCCCTGATGTTGGTATTTGGTACTACAGGGAAGGATGGATATTTCATTCTGTAAGCTGTGGTCACTCACAGGATGTTTTTGAGCAGAGTGAGCAATGTGTTCCTCCCAATTACTCTGTCTCATCTCACCCATCCCTCTCTTCAACCCTGCCTTTAAACTACCGAGATAAACCATTTGGAATTACAGATCTGATCATATAGTGCATGTGCTTATGATCCTCCGGGGCCCACAGCATGCATTTCTTGTTTCTTCCCATGGTGTGCAAGGCCTTGCCAATCTCTATAGCTTCATTTGTAACTACTTTCCTTTCTCTGAAATCTCCTTGCTGTATTCTTCTGCTTTTCCTTAGGTTAGTGCCTCCTCCTGGATGACCCTTTTGCATTTCTGGATCCATCTATTCTGCTCTGCTTTTCTCATTTCTTGTGAAATATTGAACTGCTTATTAACCTTCTTCTTCATAAAAATTTGAAAATCTGTTTCCAGATTTGTAGTTCTACACCAAAATGGAATTCAGTCATTGACACTACCTATTCCATATTAAAATGGCTTTTAAAATTATGTAATGTATTTTTTACCCCAAATTTCCAGTGTGCGACCCATATTCATGACCTGTTTTGTCTATTAGTTAGGATAGGCTAAGCTATCTTGCAGTAACAACAACCACAAATATTGTAATGGCTTACAACAAAAAAGATTTCCCTCATGTTTGTGTAGATTGAAGGGAAGACTGCTTATCATAGTTACCTCTGAAGGAAGCTCCACTTGACATGTTCTTTCACAATCACATAGGAGAGGGAGAGCACATGGTAGTCACACGCTGGTTCTCAGCACTTCTGGCTGGTAGTGATGCATACCACTTGTTCATGCATTTCACTGACCTCGCATGGCCTCACCAAATGTCAAGGAGACAGGGAAGCACCATCCTACCACGTGGCTGAAAGTGGGAGACGCACGGAAATACTTAGTTCACACCACTGCAATGGGTTAAAGATCTGAAATTGTAAGACAATTCTTTTGAAATTTATGTTCACTAGTAGTTTGTAATAGTGTCGAGTCAAATGTAGCAGTTTGGAAGTGAAAACTAAAACAATCCTAAAGAGGTGAGATTGTATCTTTTAAAATCATTATCTCAGTTGAAAACTGAATATTGAAGCATATGCTTAAACTTAACACAATAAATGTAAGCATTTCATGGCCATGGCACAAAAATGTGTTAAAACTATATCGTTCATCCACTGACAGTGTTGAAGAACAAAGCAGTGTCACAGAAAATAGGTTGCATTATTCTTAGAAATATATCATGCTTTGAGGGATCCTTTTTTTTAATGGAGGTCATGATCATCTTTCATAAATAATTTATCAGTTAATGGTAGTGAACAGAGTTTGAATGAGTCAAAATTCTACAATGAAATGCTCCTGTATAGGTGTAAGTATATAAATGTTATATAAATATACATATACAAATGTAAATATATAAATGTATATATTTAATGTGTATTTGCCCCTAGTTTAATTTGTCAGCAGTAACTGCTGGTTTTTATTTCTTTTTGCAAGAAATTATATAGAAATTGATTTGAGGGAGATTTAAAATAAATGTTTAGTGAGAGGAAATCTTACTCTGTCCTATCTATGGATATTGATAAACTGTACCACTGTATTCCTAACTCCTAACTTGGATATAGGAGCTTGACTATCTGCATAGATACGTAAGGGGATATGGCTGACAGGAGGAATTACAAATGTACTTATTTAACAATTAATGCTGACATAAGCTATTTGGGTAATACCTCATTTTTTTTTAGAATGAATGATGACTGTCAGTGTGACTGAGGATACAGACATGAAATTAGGAAATCGAAAATAAATATCTGTTTCCTTCAAAAAATTTGACTAGTCATTTTTTTGACTAGCTTTTTAAAAATTGCATAAGACTAACTCTTTTCGTTTGCTGTGTGTACATTAAATATGTCTGTATAGGTCCCTTTGCTTTCTTTTGCCCCACAGTAATTATGTTGAAAATTATAAACAGAGGCATTAGCATAAATTAAGGATTAAGTATGGAAATCATAAAAAACCCTACTTCCATGAAAATGAAATTTCTTTTTGAAAAGAGAAATAGGTATTATTCTACTTATTTTCGTTTAGCAAATTTTCTTATGGAACATCATTACTCTGCCTCTCAGAAGATTTGCCAAAGTGTTTAAAACTCCCTCTGAATGTTTGTACTTCAATAACCTATTGAAAGCACAACTGATTTTGTTTGTGCTAGGTTTATCTCCATTTAAAGGCAGACTCCTTCGGTGAGCTCCCCTGTGGCAATATGAGAGAAGGAAAAGAAGGAGGGAGGACCTTGCAGGACTGGTTTATATAGCAGGAAGTTAAGAGACAAGAGAGCTCTACAATTATTGAGCACAGGAAAATTGATTTCCTATTCATAGTAGTGTGGCACATGTAGAGGAGTCTTTAAAGATGATACAGCATGCCATTCCTTTCCCCTCCGTTGTGTAATCAACCAGCCAATATTTATCAAGTACCTGTTAGTTTCACTTACAGAGTACCTGTAGCTGAGTTTTCTTTTCTTTTCTGCTTTCTTTATCCCTGCTCTCTAGCTCCTGACCTGTCCATCACGAATATCAGTTTTCCATGTGCCTTAGACCTGTCTTCCATCTAATAAGACTTCACACTGCTCACTTTTCCTTTCTGACACTGAATACACATAAACAACAGAGAGCAATGTCTCTTAAACCCATAAACCCATTCAAAAACCAAAACCAAACCAAATAAAATGAATTGGTTGTATTAATTTGTATCATCCATTTACATTTTGAGAAGCATAGTCAATCAGATAAACTTACTGTTTTAATTCTAAATTCACTGACTTTCTGTCAGTCTCTATGTTCCCTATATGTAGCAGCTGGGTTAAGAATATAATTGTCTTGACAACAAATTATTGACATTTACGAGCTCAAAAGTTACCTCAGAAGCTTTTGAAATTAAAGAAATAAAAGTGTTAATTCTCTCTGATCTGAACAAGCCAGGACTCAGTGTCAGCCCTTTATAGGTCAGGCTGTGGAAGGAATGCATAGGATGAAATACCAGTGCATGCCTGGTGCACTAAAACTAAATGGGATTTCAGCAGATGAAGGGAAAGGGTGAGGAATCAAGCCTTAAATTGTCTGCCTCAGGCATGGTAAGAAGACTTGGACAGTAATAGAAACAGGAAGTGTTTGCTGTGAAGCTTGAGTATATTCAAAGTAAATCAGTTTGTGTTCCATTAAGGAATCCTGGCTCTAGGTTGGAGCCTACGCGGGATCAGTAAATTTTGCACTAGGAAATACCTAATGTCAAGCCTTAGAAAACACCTCATACTGTGGCCAGCTGTCATCAAATCCATCGCCACTGCTAGTAAAATAACTCCAAAGCAAGTGAAACTGGCAGTAATTGCACAAGTAAACGGGTTGCAAAAGAGCAAAATGGGTACGTTTCAGAACATCATTTCTGTTAGGCTCCATGTTATACTGCTTACAGTAGAAACAAATGGAAGTCGAGAGGTGAAGCCTGGCATTAAGTTTACTAGTGATCCAGGAATAACTGTTAGCAGCTGGGCCTGGGTGCTTTTTCCCTGCTTTGTCCTGGAAAGATTTCACATCTTAAGGGAAATGAACTACACACCTTGAGAAAATTTTTTTTTCTATCATATTGTATAAATCTGTGTAAATCTCATTTTCCCCCTTTTTGGAGTTAAGTAGCATAATTAACTGTAAGGCTTTTCCAAATACTTTCTTAACCCTGAAAAACTTTCCCTCGGGACTTACAGTATAGCCAAATGGATATCGATTATTGCTAAATGTAAATACATATGCACATATGAGGTGAAGCTGTATTAAAATATGGGTGGCAGTGTCTTTAACTCAGATTTGGGATGCTTTATACAGTCATGGGAAATATCAGGGGATCAACTTGAAATTCTTTAAAAGTTAACAAAATTTTGGAACGATCAAGGAACATGGGAATATGGCCTCACCTTTTCTTTCTCACTGATGACATAAATGCCGCCCTCACTGTGTTGTTTATTGTTTCTTCCAGATAATCTTTGCATACTCAGTACTTGGAATATAGAGCCATTGCCCTGTACTCATTTTTTCCTTCCTGGAGGTATAAATAGACTGATGACGCCCTATGCTCTCTGCAGTCTGTGCATCATTCATACCGTACATCTCCTTTCTAGGTCACAAAGCTTTTAAAAAAAATCAGCAGTGGTAGCAGCATGTGAGAAGATGAGCATATGACTGACTCCTTCCTTTCACCTCAGAGCCGTGCCTTTGATAGCATCCAGACAGCAGTGCATGGAAACATGACATTTGGGTGGTTCAAGAATATCAGAGGGAAAAATAGCCATTCTTACCAAATAACTTAAAAATAGCATAGTCTGAGCATTTTTCCCTTCGCCCTTTCTCCCCCAACGTGCCTGAAATGAAGCCCTTCCCATCCAAAGCAAAACTAGGAATTTGTGTTTTGTGAGAATTTGAAGAGCCTGCCTCTCTTACTACAACTGCTTTCTTCCTTCCAAATGTATAAGCTTAAGTCGTGAGAAAATGTCATCTGTCTCATTCTGCTTCCCTCTCTAGTAAAATAAAAATGGTCATGCTTTCAGACGGTCATGTATTATTGAGTGCCTACTGAGTGAGGAACCATGTGTTGAGTGTTTTGAGATGGGGTGAGGGAAAACATTATTTTTCTGCTTTCCTCGAGCTTCATTATGTGTTAGATTTCATGGTATCTAAGCCAACAGTTGGCGAGAAGGCTGATCCTTAGAGGTAATCTCACGTTCAAGGAAGGTCGGGAACAAGGTTGGTGAGTAGTGGGGACAGCGTTCTTGTTACCACTGGAGTTTGTGTCCTGGATGCCAGGTATACATCATCTTATTCTCTTCTTGATTTGTCAGTACTTTTTAGGGACCATTAGTTCTCTGCCTACTATGTGCCAGACTCTACCCTAAGCATTTAGAATTCCAGTTAACAATAGGTAAATCTTCTATTCATTTAAAATTTCATTCTAACAGCTAGTAATGTATTTGGAGGAATAAATGCCGTGAAGAAAAGCAGACCGAGTGTTATCTATAGGTAGTTATGGGAGATGTATGTTATCTTATATTGGTTGATCAGGGAGACACAAACTGATAAAGGGGCGATTGCTTATTTCTCTGAAAGAAGCAAGGAAATGAGAACCACCTGGATGGCTGAGGGAACTGCAGTCCAAGGAGAAAAAACAGCAAGCGTAAATCTCACAGGTGAGGGTGCATCAGTGGAGCAAGGGCAAGAGTGTTATGATAAGAGGTCCTGAAGGCAGCAGTGAGAAATGCCCTGGAAGCCTGTGCCAGACATATTGAGGAGTGTGGATTTTATTCTGATAAAGACATTGCAGAGGAGTGGCATCATTTCACTTGCTCTTCAGAAGAGAAACTGGAACACAGATGGGCAAAGGAGGCAGCATGAGACAAGCCTCTCTCTTGCAAGCCATCCGGATGAGAGATAACAGTGGCTTGGAGGTGACAGTGAAGGTGGTAGGAGGATATTCTTAAAGTAGAGCCAGTTGAATTTGCTAATTGTGATATTGTAAAATATGTATTTGGTCTTCATCCCTGTTTTCTGTCATACAGCTCCTAAAACCCTTGATAAGAATATCCTTTGTGTGCTAATAAGACGACTAGTGGCTGGAGGCCCCTTTGTAACTTCTGGATGGGGGCTGGTCACCAGAATGGTCAGGGGATTGGGACTTTCAGCCCCATCTCTCAACCTCTGCAGGGCTGAAGGTTGTGTTGATTACTAATGGCCAGTGATACAGTCAGTCATACCTGTAGAATTGAAGCCTCTATGTAAAACCTAAAGGACAGGGTTCAGAGGACTTCTGGATAGCTGAACATGTGGAGGTTCCTAGAAGGTGGTACAACCACCCAGGGAGGACATGGGAGCTCTGCACCCCTTCTCCTATACTTCACCCTATGCAGCTCTCCAACTGGCTGTTCATTCATATGCTTTGTAATTTTTTTATAATAAATGGGTAAATAAATATGAAATGTTTCTCTGAATTCTGTGAGCTGCTCTAGAAAATTAATCAAACACAAAGAGGTGGGTTATAGGATCTCTGATTTATAACTGGTTGGTCGAAATACAGGTCACAACCTGGGATTTGGAATTGGCATCTGAAGAGGGGGGCAGTCTTGAGGGACTGAGGGGTGATGCTATGTCCAGGTGGATAGTGTTAGGATTGAATTGAATTAGACGATGCTCAGCTGGTGTCTGTTGAAGAATCTTTTGTCAGAAGTGTTGAGTGATGTGTGAGAGTAGGAGAAACAATGGTTTTTCCTACATTCTCTTACACTAATGGATTTGTATTCGGAGAGATTGGAAAGATGGATCTGTCATTTACTGAGATGGGAAGTCACAGCGAGGAGCCCATTAACCATATATTAAAACTCCATTAGTAATATTAAGACTGTCCATTCTAGAAGAGGTGGTGGCTCACGCCCGTAATCCTAGCTAGCACTTTGGGAGGCCGAGGCGGGTGGATCACCTGAGGTCAGGATTTCGAGACCAGCCTGGCCAACTTGGTGAAACCCCGTCTCTACTAAAACTACCAAAAATTAGCCGGGCGTAGTGCTGGGCACCTGTAATTCCAGCTACTCAGGAGGCTGAGACAGGAGAATCGATTGAACCCGGGAGGCGGCAGTTGCTGTGAGCCGAGGTCGCGTCAATGCACAACAGCCTGGGCAACAAGAGCGAAACTCTGTCTCCAGGGGGAAATATTAGTGAAGAGGACAATATTGTAACCTACAAAAATTCTGTGGTAGGTATGTTACTTTTGTTAACAGACTTTTCTGAATAAAGTACTCCAAAGTAACTTGGAGTTAAGACATTTTAATATTATGCCTTGGTTTTCAAAACATGAATGGTTTCCTTCTCTTTTCATGAATTTGGATATGAATGCAGGCACTTACCTACGTAATTTCTAATATTGATGATACTGGTGTTTCTTAAATTCACTAAAAAATTTTATTTGTAAAGGGTAACCTGCGTTACATTATTTAAAGTTTTTATTTTAAGGTTTTTTTTTTTTTTTGAGATGGAGTCTTGCTTTATTGCCCTGGCTGGTGTCAAACTTTTGGGTTCAAGCAGTCCCCACGCCCTAGCCTCCTGAGTAGTTGGAATTACCACATTACATTTTGAAAGAAGAGAGTTTACAAATGTCTGTTTCCATGCATTTTAAAAGAGGTCTTGTTACAAAAGATTCAGTTAATCTCTTTAAATGGAATTTATTTTGGTTTCCTACTTCCTCCATTAAAGTACATTAATCCTTCTTAACATATGCATTTATCACCTGCTGGATTGCTAAGTATGTAAAAGCTACTTTGTAAAAGCAATGCCGTAGCTAAAAAAATGTATTGCATAGCAGCCAATGTGATTTAGCCATTTCAACATTGCATTTTATTAACAGGACACTCCAGACCTAAATGGTGAAAAGATTTCCCACTCAAATTGTCCCCTAGCAAGAGAAGATTGGAATATAGAGGAATCTCCTTTTCTCCTCGTGATTCTGCCTTTTGATGAAGTAATAATCTGTGTTATTCCAGTTCTTTTAAATGTTAATTCATTTTAACAGTTGCTTCAGAAAATAAAATTTTATGAGGCAAAATACAGCAAAATATTTCAACACCACATTTTTGTTTTTCCAACCAGAGTTTGTTTCATTTACAGACATTGTCATTTATTTTTTATTTTTATTCATTTTTTAGAACATCTTAAATTTTTAATCCTTTATTTACAGGTTGCCTAGACGACTTTTGATTAAGAAAACTGTAGAAAGTTGGTAACTGCCAAAGTGGTAGGCGGTGGCACGTGTCAGTTTCCACAGAGTCCTTCCATGTGGGGTATCTGAATGCACTGCACGGGGTCTCTGCTCACACTTACTGGAGCCAATTGTGGCAGATTTTAGTCTACAAGTCGCTTTTCCCCCTATTTCTCTGTAAACTTCAGCATTCTTACAGAAATATTTACAGTCCTTAGAGTATTATTCAGCTAGGTCAGCCTGAAGTGGATGCTCAGGCTGGGGGTCATTCACCAGTGCTGTGAGGGACTGGATTACTTGGTCAGTTTTGGTTGCTGGCTTCCAGTTTTCAGCACTAATTTACTGGCAGAGAGACCTGCCCCTTTTAGTGGACATTTGGGTGACAGATCTTTAAGTGTGCTCTTCGGTGGTTTGAATGGGAACTCTGCTGGAAAGTTGATTTCGATTCTGAAGGCCCCCTTATATGGAGGGTTGTCAGGAACAATAAGCCCTTGCCAAGTCAATAAATTAGCTCCATCTACCTGGAAGTTACGGAAGTTTTTCATTCCACAATTGCATATTTCTTCAAGCTCCTTCATCAGCCTTCTGCTGGTGCCGTCTTGGATTTGATGCTGCTCCTTTCCCAGAATGCATCGCAGCCCAACATTGCCATTTATTATGCTTTATTTTGTTGAGCTTGATGCTTTGCATTAGTTTGTTTACTTATTCAATAATTATATATTGAGTGCTTACTAGAGTTGTCTAGTTTCTCAAAATTGTGAGGTTTATGCTAAACACTGGGGACACAGCAGTGAATGAGACCTAGTCCCTGTCATCCAGGGGCCAATAGGTCACAGATGTGAATTAGCCCTTTCCCTTGACTTTTGGGATTCCAATTTCAAAGAGGTTGTAAAAGAGACAGTGCCATATTCTTGAACCTTTTAGCCAACTAGGTAAAAATAAATTTTCACATATTTCTATTGAGCCCACTGGACACCAATATACTTTAATAATTGTGTTTAAAATAGAAAACTCCTTCAGCTTGAAGCTGTCTTTTATTTGAGAAAAGTGAAAAAGAGATTCGTGGGATATTATAAAAGATGAACAAGATGCCTAAAATGGACAATGCTCCTTTACATGTTACTTTAACATTTGAGAGAATGCTATCAAAATGCAGAACTGGCTAAAAGTGTTAGAAGGAGTAGTTCAAGTTGTCTTCAACCAAGAGTCATCTAGAATTTGGCTGCACCCTGGTATATCAAATACGCTGTATGGGAATGTGCTTATATTTTGATGAGTAATGTGTTTTTATAACAAATGAAGATGCATGTCAGAATGTTGAGCTGGTCAGGTCTCACTAGGGATTTGAAGAATAGCATAACAGCAAGTGGGCACCAAAGAAAAATTGAGTTTACTTGGATACACGAGAACTCTGCCTTCTGACTTGGTCTGAGAACTTGTTCAAGGCAAGAAACAGTTTCTAACTTCAGCTGAATCACAGTGTGAAGGTGAACAAGTAAAAAAGCTCAGTTACCTGCAGAAAGTTGCTTGCAGTTTCAGTTTTACAAAGCTCACTGTTTAAATCTAGTAGTTACCTTTTAATCCCTTCAGATATGTCAGCAAAAATTCTAGTATTTGGAAATATGCCTTGATCACTTGCAAAAGGCTCTGGAAGACAGAAGTCATAGTAAAGTGTCAGGTATTTTAAGAATCTGGTTCAAACTTCCAAACAAAGAATGTTTCAGACCTCAGTGTATTAACAGTTTTCCTAACTATTCAGTTATTCGGTGGTCTTTTATTTTTTATTTTTATTTTTTTCGAGGTGGAGTCTTGCTCTGTCTACCAGGCTGGAGTGCAGTGCTGCCATCTCAGCTCACTGCAACCTCCGCCTCCTGGGTACAAGCAATTCTCCTGCCTCAGCCTCCCAAGTAGCTGGGATTATAGGTGTGTGCCACCACACCCAGCTAATGTTTGTATCTTTAGTAGAGACAGGGTTTTGCCATGTTGGCCAGGCTGGTCTCAAACTCCTGGCCTCAAGTGATCCGCCCACCTTGGCCTTCCAGGTCTCAAGTGATCTGCCCGCCTCAGCCTCCCAAACTGCTGGGATTACAGGCATAAGCAAGTACACCCAGCCTCATTACCTTATAGTTTTTAATTTTTTTGTGGGAGAAAGGACCAGTGACTTTTTTGAATGTGAGAAGAATCCCAAAGCAAAAGGTGATTTATTTCCTTTCCTTTAATTCTGCCACAATACACGGCACCCCAGCATCTAGAAGAATCTTCTCATGTGTGAGATGAATGTGTTTGACTTCTTTTGGAAAGAGTCAGATTTTATATTCATTTAGAAATATCTGTGCCTATAACGTGGTTGCAGTTGTACATGGCACACAGTTGTTTATTTAACTGTGTTTCATCCTTTCATCTTGTGTGGGATGCTCACACTTAACCGCATTTCTCTTCATTGCATAGTGTAGCCCTGACTCACTGGCTCTTCATCTGATCAGTCTGCCTTGCTTTTGTATCTGAACAGTATCTCTCATCACCTGACCAAAATGCTCTGCTCCGATAGGTCTCAGCTTAGATGTTACTTCTTGGAATGCTTCCCTGGACAATGCTTTCCATATTCACAAAGGGAGTACTTAATCCCAGTAAAATATTAGTGCTCCTGAATTGTGTCATTCCTCTGCATGCATCAGACTAGTTCTCATCATGGTTCATATAGTCTAACGCGTGCAGATGCAAGATTAGTCTCTGTCTTGTTCATTGTTCTTCTTAGTGCCTGATTTAGCACATGAAATATAGCAATCATACCTAATGAGTGTAAGTGAAACAAAATAATTTTTTAGAATTTGGAAGTCATTTGTCTTAATGTGTATTTTTCTCCCTTTTCTGGTCATCAGCATTAGAACTGAAGTCATCTTCAATATCTCTCTCTCTCATCCCTTCATTAAATCATTCACCAAGTTTTGACAGTTTTCCTTTGCAATGTGTCTCCAAATGGTCATCCTCTTCTCCTTTTTCAGATTAGGATTCTTGTTTTCTTTACTCATTGGTAAAACAAGTTTGGGAAATGCTAGTTACGCAGTTAATGGTGTAGTTACCGCAGGACTTGACAAAACCTCTAATGAAAGAATAAAACATTTGCTATATTTGTTTGATCAGAGAAACTTTTTTCCATCTCAGGGGATCTTATGTGGTTAATGATCTGCAAAACCCACCTGGGGGAATGCTGGTAGAATTGTGCAACAGTCACCCTTTCATCACGGGCTGTGGATCATTTGACTTGAACTTAATGATAGACATCAGCTATAGACAGCAAACACATGGAAGGGAAGCATGCCAGCCCCCTGACACTGAATGGCTTCTGACCCTCGCACTCTTTGGGTGGCTCAGACCATGTTACCTTGATTAGGTGAAGGGGCCCCAAGTAGGGAATTATGCACCTTATTCACCTGCTAAAGACACTGCTAATTCTTCTTGCAGTACTTCCTCAATGCTGTCTTGATAAGATTTAAAGAGTTTTTTAGCCTCTGCCTTTAGGCACCTTCAGAAAGAATGCCATGTACTCCTATTTAATTCCTGCCTACACCACTGTTTTGAATCTGTAGGTGCAAGGGATTTAAAAGCCAACCACAATGAAGTTGAGTTTTTGTTTCCCAGATTTGTGATTGACTGGTTTTGGATGACAAACTTGATAATGCTTTTTTTTTTTTTTTTTTGAGACTGAGTCCCACTGTGTCGCCCAGGCTGGAGTGCAGTGGCAAGATCTCAGCTCACTGCAACCTCCAACTCCCAGGTTCAAGCAGTTCTCTTGCCTCAGCCTCCCGAGTAGCTGGGATTACAGGTGACCACCATCATGCCCGGCTAATTTTTTTGTGTGTGTTTTTAGTGGAGATGGGGTTTCACCATGTTGGCCAGGCTGGTCTCAAACTCCTGACCTCAGGTGATCTGCCCACCTTGGCTACTCAATACCTGGGATTACAGGCATTGAGCCACTGTGCCTGGCCCAAACTTGATAATGTAGAAGTCATTTGCTGAGGTACCAGTATACAGGTGGCAAAAACAATGGAAAGAGAGAACGATGATTTGTCAAGAGTATCTAAGAACTAAGTAAAATAGAAAGTTCAATTTTCGCTTAAAGGAGCCAGAGAGGAAAAGCCTGTAAAATGTTAGATACTTTTTGTCATTGTTTTGAATATAAGTAGGGATCATGTTCGGGAAATCATGTTGTTGACACATTGATAATCCCATTAGATTTTTCCAGTTGCTCCGAGTCTCCCTTCCTGGCTCTGTTTCTCTTACATCTCAGATTCGATCTATCTGAAAATTTTATTCCACCTGACTTCAAAATAGCTAGAGTCTCACCATTTAACTATCTACACAGTTACCATCATCTGTTGCCGGAATTATCTGTTGCCTGCTTCCACTCTTGCCTCCTTACAGTTTACTCATCACGCAGTGGCAGAACTAATCCTTTGAAAGGTGAATCAGACCATGCCATTTCTCTGCAATCTTGCAATTGCCCCAACTCTCATTCAGAAGAAAATTTGACATTCTTCACCCAGGCAATAGACATCAGCTATAGACAGCAAACACATGGAAGGGAAGCTCAGCCGTCATCTGTCTCTGTGATATCTTTGACCTCGTGTTGTAACACTTTCCCCATTTACTCACTCTAGTCACATCAGCTCCTGGCTCTTGCTTGAACCCGTTAAGCATATATCTTTACCTTGGATTTTTTGTGCTTACTGTTTCCTCTGCCTGGAATGTACTTTTTTCCAGTGTACACATAGATTATTTTTTCACTTCCTTGCCTGTGCTCCAGTTTTCCTCATGAATACGCTTACCCTCACCACTCTGTCTTTACCTAACTGTATTTTTCTGCAGTTACCAGCTGACGTGTTATTGTTTGTATTACCAGCTGACATGTTATTGTCTTATTGGCTGCCTTCTTTAACTAGAACGTAAGCTCAGTAAGAGGAGGGCTTTGTTTGTTGTTTGTTTATTTATTACCTTTTAAGTTCAGGGGTACATGTGCAGGTTTGTTATGTAAGTAAACTCAGGTCATGGAGGTTTGTTGTACAGATTATTTAGGCACTCAGGTATTGAGCCTGGTACCCATTATTTATTTTTCCCGATCCTCTCCTTCCTCCCACCCTCCAGCCTCCAATAGACCCTAATGTGTGTCATTCCCCTCTATGTGTCCATGTGTTCTCATCATTTAGTTCCCACTCATAAGTGAGAACATGTGGTATTTGATTTTATGTTCCTGTGTTAGTTTGCTAAGGATAATGGCCAGCTCCAGCCATTTTCTTGCACAGGACATGATCTCATTTTTTTTATGACTGCATAGTATTCCATGGTGTACATGTACCTCATTTTCTTTATCCAGTCTACCATTGATGGGCATTTAGGTTGATTCCATGTCTTTGCTATTGTGAATAGTGCTGCAATGACCATACATGTGCATTTGTCTTTATGACAGAACAGTTTATGTTCCTTTGGGTATATACCCAGTAATGAGATTTCTGGGTTGAATGGTAGTTCTGTTTTTAGCTCTTTGTGGAATTGCCACACTGCTTTCTACAGTGGCTGAACTCCCACCAACAGTGTATAAGCGTTTCTTTTTCTCCACAGCCTCACCAGCATCTGTTACTTTTTGACTTTTTAATAATGGTCATTCTGATTAGTGTGAGATGGTATCTCATTGTGGTTTTGATTTGCATTTCTCTAATGCTCAGTCATGTTGAGCTTTTTTTCATACGCTTGTGGCCACGTGTACGTCTTCTTTTGAAAGTGTTTGTTCATGTTCTTTGCCCACTTTTTAATGGAGTTGTTTGTTCTTTTCTTGTGAGTTTAGGTTCCTTACAGATGCTGGATATTAGACCTTTGTCAGATGCATAGTTTGCAAAAATGTTCTCCCATTCTGTAGATTGTCTGTTTACTCTGTTGATAATTTCTTTTGCTGTGCAGAGCTCTTTAGTTTAATTAGATTTCATTGGCTTTATCTTGCTCATTGCTAAAGAATAGTGCTTGTAGCAGGATTCTGGCATGTAGTAGGCAGGCACCAGATGCTTGCCAAATAAATTAAGATGAAAGAATGTGAGAGCAAGCCCTCTTGTTTGTTATGGAATTCAGTATTTACTAGGAAAGGGTAGGCTGCCTTTCAGTAAATCCCTGTCATGTCTCTATGTTTATTCTAAAATTGGTAAGCTTTCTAACCATAAACAAACAGATAAACATCATATTAATTGTTCCTCTCCTATTTCTCTCCTTTTCTTTTGTAGCATGATGTTTTTGAGTATTCAAAAACATTAAAAAGATTGGGAAAGGTCTAAGAGGTGGAGAGTAGAATAATCCATTCAGATAACTCCTCTTGGGTCTACGTGAACAGATTTTAGGTACTGTTACTGTGTGATGGATCTGAAGCTTTCCTGCATCAAAGCGTTCATCCCTGGAACATTCCTATCAATGTAACATACTTAATGATAAATTGGCATTTGACCACAATAGATGGTATTTTTCCTTAATTAAAGAAATACATGAGAAAAAATGTTAAATGTTATGAAATGACTAAAAATGAACTGTCCATTTTAATATTTATATCCAGGACGTCGCGACAACCTGTAGCTTCCCTCATGAAGGGATCATCTCTTTCGCAGCACTCCTTCGATGAGCAGGAGAGTGTATATTTTAGAACCTTTAGAGAGAATTGGAAGCATTTACTACGTTTTCCTTTAAATAAGTTTGCTGAGTGACAGGAACAAGTCAGATAGCTTAAGTTTGCTAAAATACATAAGCAGGTAGAATTTTAAAATGCTGAATTTTGTAATATGTTCCCTGGGGGTTAGTTTGCTTGTGTAATATATCATACCACCAAGGAGATACTATACAAACAAATCTGGGGAGAATTTAATAAAACAAGTATTAGTGTTTCACATTCAAACCATAAAGTTGACTTCTTAGGAAATTGTATGCCCCAAATATTGATGGAAACATGTATCTCTCTGTATTGCAGCATGAACCAAACCCTATGTAAACTAAATCGATAGCTCCAAAGCAAAACCAACTTATAATAACAGACCAGAGTTCCAGTAATTAAAAACGTGACCTACTCTGTACAATACTCTAGCTATATTAATGTGGTAATAAAGAATTATTACCAAAAATTCGCTGGAAATGCAATTATGTATATGTGTGTCCATGGGTAGAGTTGCCAGACATTGCATGGGGGTGCAACTAGTGATTTGGTTATTTCAGTTCTTAGAAGTTTAATAATCCTTTATAGCTCCCTTTTATCTTTACAGAATAGCACTTGATGACTGGTAAAAAGAATTAACGCTATGGGCTTGCCCACAGGAATCAAGCAAAGGGCGTATGCTTTTGGATGAGTTTGCCAGCTGGGGACCATACTGAGAATAACGGTTCTCTCTCGGACTAAGCATTGAGATGCTTTGTCAAGTATCCTTAGCTTCTGCTTTCTCTTCCCTTGGTTGAGTTATACCAAAGCCTCCTTCCGGGAAATCCCTTTAGTCCTTTTTTATACAGTCAAATCAAACACTTCTTTATCAGAAGTGCATCTATGTCCAACAAAAAACAAAAACCACATAAAACAAACAAAACCTGACAATTCACGTAGCAAGAAAATTTCAAGCAAAATCTAAGCAAGGACATTGGCAAAGGAATTCCTTTCTAATATGAAATACACTACAGAAAAAGTATTCTATTTCCTAATTCTGAGCAGGGAAATTTTTCTATTTATTGTTATTATTATTATTCTATTATATATTATTCTATTCTAAATTTTCTATTTTTTTCATTTAGTTTTGCTCTTAATATTAACATTGCTATACTGAGACCTTAAATTTATATGGGTAGCTTAGATTTTTCTAGGGCTCCCAACAGTATTATACTTGTAGTATTTCACTTATGGATGAAACAAGGCGTATATGAAATAAAATTTATACATATACATGCATGTAACACATAAAAATATTTGCATATATGCACAACTTAATTCCTGTGTTTTATTTTTCGTTGTACAAAATATTTTAACTGTAATTCTATATACACACACATTATACATATAAATTATTATATAATGTTATCTTAGTGATTGACCCAGAATAGAATACAGATTTTCTTAAGTTTCAATGCAACTAGATAGAAAAGGATATAATGTCTGTATTCAAAGTAAGGGTTAATCTACTTTTGGTAGGTTAAAAGTAGAACATTTTCTTATCTGAGTTATTATATCTGTTAAAAAATAACTTGTAACATAATTAAATGTGTCATAGTTGGTTTATTGCAATGCTGTAAAAATTTTTTTAAAAAGAACTGAACTATGCCCTGATTAAATTAATTAACGTGTCACATAGATTGCCATTTAGAAAGGTTATTTCCCTAAAATTGCTGCATTTTGAGCCTATCTTTTCAGTAAGTTTTCACAATGTTATTTATACAGTTAGATATTATGATTACTTTTGTGATTCGTTTAGATACTAACTTTACTAATTGACAGATATGATCATTTACCTTTTTTCTTCAAAAATATTTCTAGATTTTTTCTTCTTCATTTCAGAAATTTGAATCATTTTATATACTAGTGAATTTTCATCATTTTGTATATGTTCATCTTCACATAGATGCATTTATTATTTATAAAGCAGTTAGCTGTCCTGCTTATTGCAAAAGTACAAAGAGCAGTGCTTGGTGCCTTTGTAGCTTTGCCTCAAGATTGTTAATATGTTTCCTGAAAGTCCTACTATTGATTGACTCATATATGCCTCTGCAGTTCCCATTTCTATCTGATGTAGTATTGAGTTTGTTGCCACTATTTCCTTGTTTTTTCAAGAATAGTCCTTTTACTTATCCTCAGTTTTATCGAGGTATATAAATATTAAGCTTTCCAAAAAAAAAAAACCAATTTTGGGTTGATGTTAGACAAATCTTTTTGTATAGGTTTAAGAGTGTGCTGGGTTACATTTTAGAAATAGCATCTGATCAGTAGTTCTCTCCCACCTTCTTACTAATGTGCCCTTAGAAACACAGGAAAAGATGTATGCAGAAAACTGTGGTGACATTCAACCTACTGCCTGCCTGGGAGGAGTTTTCACTACTATAAGCAGAAAAAACTGGCAAGAATGCCTTTCTTGTCTTTCTACCTACTGTCAGACAAGTAGAGCAAAAGAAAGCCCCCCAGAGAAAGCCCCTCAGTTTTGCTCTACTTGTCTGGTAGATAGGAAGACAAGCTGTCCTTCCTGAGAGTCAGAAACATAAGATTCAGAAACACAGAGCTATTCCAGTGAAAAGCAAAGACAGACATTAGGATACTGTCCATTTTTTGCATGGATACAGCCTTTGAGGCCATCGGACTGTTGTCTACACTACATTATATAGTCATTAACATGGTGTTCACTGTGGTTCACAGAATGATTGAAAAATGCTTATAGTTAAACCTTAAGAAGGCACAGAATTTGAATTTATACAAAAAGAATATGTAAGGGTATAAAAATATGTAAATAAAAGTGCCTAGATGCAAGAGTGATGGAAATAAGTCAAATGTTAGCAGTGCTTTCTTATCAGATGGAGAAATTATGGATGACTTTTCCTTCCCAGTATAGTGTTTCTTTGTACCTCTGAAAATTTGTACAATGTACATCTGTTATTTATAATTTTGTACATTGAGTGTGTATCAAGTTACTGTTTAAACAAAAGGAAAGAATGGGTAGAAAATATAAGACATCTATATTTTTATAAATACTTTTTAATATCCATAATTTCATGTAAAATTTTCAACTATCCCGGAGGTAGACTTTTATTGATATTTTAGAGTTATGACTAGGATAGTTGTGAAATCTTTCCAACTCCAAACCCCATGGTCCTCCTACTATACCTTGTTACAAACAGAAAATCATCCTTCTGGAAAGCCTTAAAGGCAGAAAATATATAAAATAAGTATAAGTATGTTATGTGTATAAAGTAAAAATTTTAAAGACATTTTTGAGGTTATTAGCATAATTTCTATCTTTTTAATTTACATACACCTTTTAATGTGTTTGTTACTAGTGATATATGAAGAAAAAATAATGTATAATTTCACCATCAAGAGATTGTTTTACATTGTAGAGCATGTTCTTCATATTTTAGTGTGTGTACATTCATACATATACATTCAAAGGTTTCATAGCATTAATCTGAAATATATACTTCAAAAGTTTTCAATTTAGTACCATTAATGATGGGAAGATAATATACTTTTGAGTTATAACGGTTTTATTGTGTATCAGTAGGGCCCGCTCAGAAAATCAGAACCTACTCTAATATAAGCAGTAAGATATTGAATGAAAGGAATCAATTACAGTGATAACAGAAGGACTGGAGGTACAAAAGAGAGAAAGGGCTGTTATCCAAATATCAGAAGGCTATTACCACCCAAGGCTGGAGGCCATGAAATAGTGTTTGATACTGAGTTGCAGGAGAGGCTGGTGCTTCTGCTGCAATATTAAAACAGCATTGTGCCATTGTGGCATAGCAGTCTTCTAGGAGCCAATACTACTAATATCTGTGAAACTCTCAGGCTGGATACCATAGTCACCTACGGTGGCTGTCAGTAGCCCCCTGCTGCTGTTACCTCAGCAGAAAAAAATAGCCTATACTTCTTCCACCTTCAACTCTCTAATCAATGCCTCCCACTGGCAGGACCTGACAAGAAGCCAGCTGGCTAAGGATAAAGAAAAATGTAGTTTAGAGTCTTCCTGCCTCCTGTGAATCAGAAAGATGGGGATGGAGTTGATGGCCAATAAAGAGTTTGCACACATTTGTTCATTAATTCATTTTAGTAATTTTCTTCTTTCATACTGCTTGTTTTAATAACCTGCAAGTAAATAATCCACAATAATGTCAATTCATTGGCTGAAAGCGTACAATGTAATTTATTAAAGGCAAAATATTGTTAGGAAATGAATAATTGGAGAAATAGGATGGTATCAAGAAAGATATATGTGCTTTTCTGAAGCATCTCATACATAGTTTATAAGAAGAATGCAATATGAAAAATTAAAATCAGATAAATCTTTAAGCTTTTGGAATAATATGAAAGTTTTATATGGTTATGGCATGGTAGAATTCACATAACTGATTAGTTAGAACAAAGACAAGACTACTTTTTCATTATGGAAAGTAAACATAGTAGTCTTCTCAAGATTATTAGCAAATTTTCCTTAAAATGCTTGCATCTGAAAAGATGGCTTCAGCCTGATTATTTTAAAGCCTGTGTAGTTCATCAGTTTAAGTAGGGAAGTGGAACTTGGCGATCTCAGAGGAGTTCTGTAGCCTCCATGCCCCTGCTCCCCCCTTTTCATGGCTCACTACTGCCATTCACATAAGCAAACACTAGCTTCCCTCAGTCATTCAGATCATGGATGAATGCCATTCTGTGTTAGCTTAACCACCATCATTCTTGATAAAATATAACTTTTTACCTGAGTAATGCATACCTAGTATAATAGGCTACAGTATTTCTTGAAATGTAGAGTCCGTATCAGTGGTGGTATAAAAGATTGTTTTACATGCAACGAGATATGCTGGTATATAATATTAAGTGTTTTGCTAAATTATTTGCCTTTCATTTCTACTCTAATGTTACTGATTAAGATAAGGGGAGCAGATCTCACCTTGGAGCTAGGATGCTTTCATGTCCCTCCAACCCTCACTGATTATCTTTGTAACAGAGAGCAGGCCTCAGGCTAGGAGTGTTTGTCAGAAAAAAAAAAAAAAAAAAAAGAGGATCTTGTGAGAATTGAAAGAGATAGCATTGTCTTTCCTTGACTTTAGTTTTATGGCCACTTTGTACTTATATAAAGTATTACTGAGTTTCCATTTAAGTAGTGACATAAAGTTTTAAAAAATAAATCCAATTGGAAACAAAATTTTATTTATAGAAGACTAAGTGTACAATATTATGGGTGGCTGGTCCATAACATGGTAGAATCACCAAGGTAATTGCTACATGAATAATTGAAATTTTGGAAGCAGTAATATATATAGCACATTTGCTTCTATCTTTTTCTTCTTTAATTTTACATAAAGATATAAAACAGAACTATAGGCTTATCTAGAAAAATTAGATAAACATAATCATTCATCTACTTCTTTCTCTAGGTAATGTATATTAAGCTTTGGGCCCAACCCAGTAACTAAATGGGATGATGGTGATGACGATTATTATTGATTATTGTTTTCTTAAAAGCCGTGATTCCTATTAAAATACTCTTGTAGCAAATTGTAATGAATTTTTCCCAGTTGGTTTACCAAGTGCGTAAGAATCAGATATCAGTAAAAATGTCAAAGTATACATTTATAATAGCCTATCTTTTCCCCAGAATGGCTTATTATTATCTCTCTGCAGTGTATCAGAATATAAATAGTATTAGAAGGTTTTAAAAATATCAATTAGAATGGGAATGAAAGGAATACTGAAGGAAGGAAAAGAGATGAAGTGACGAAGCACTTCTTTTGGCCACTTTCCTGCTGCATGTCTCACTTTGGGTGCTACTTAGATGTAGATAGAGTTGGCACCACCAAACAGGGTTATTACTAATCTTGGATCTCACATATAACTTTTAATTTTAGGTTGAAAATATGAGAAAAGTGTTCTTCTCATTGACAAGTAATTAGCCCCAGAATTTCCAAATCAATTTTGAATATCAGGAAGATTAAAAATTGAACTACTAGAGGCCAGGCGCGGTGGCTTATGCCTGTAATCCCAGCACTTTGGGAGGCTAAGATGGGCAGATCACTTGAGGTCAGGAGTTCGAGACCAGCCTGGCCAACATGGCAAAACTGTGCCTCTACTAAAAATATGAAAATCAGCTGGGCCTGGTGGCTTGCACCTCTAGTCCCAGCTACTCAGAAGGCTGAGGCAGGAGAATCGCTTGAACCTGGGAGGCAGAGATTTCAGTGAGCTGAGATTGTGCCACTGAACTCCAGCCTGGTCAACGAGCAAGACTTCATCTAAAACAACAACAACAAAAATCGAATTTTTTTTTGGTTGTTTGTGAAGATTAGGGTCAGTAATAGACCCCTTTTAATAATTGTATTTTTCTCCTCAGAGTGGCCGTATAGATAATTCTGATTTGTTTGCTCTATTTTAAATTTTAGTTTGATTTTTTGGATTTTAAAAAATGTTATTTTCAATGTCTGAAGTTTTTTTATTCTTCATTTACTCTAAACATTTACTTCAAGCTTTCATGCAATTTGGTATTCATTTGTTAAAAACGTCTTGTAAAATATCAACATACTTTAAGAAAGTAAAAGCTATACTTTTTTTTTTTATGAGTCAGCATCTCACTCTGTCATCTAGGCTGGGGTGCAGTGCAGGATCATGGCTCACTGTAGCCTTGACCTTCCAGGCTCAAGGGATCCTCCTACTTCGGCCTCCTGAGTATACCACCATGCCAGGCTAATTTTTAATTTTTTTGTAGAGATAGGGTCTCCCTGTGTTGCCTAGGCTGGTCTCAAACTCCTGGCCTCAAACAATCCTCTTGTCTTGGCCCCCGCAAAGTGCTGGGATTACAGGCATGAACCACTGCACCTGGCAAATCTATACTCTTGATTATGCCCATGATAAATTATCTCAGTTATAGGACATCATCTGTGTCAATCTAAAGAGAGGAATAAGAAGAGTAGCTATTGCCACCAATGAGACTTTTTGAGAATAAACATGAAAATAACTTACAGATATTTTTAAGTTCCAGGTATCAAAATTGTTATAGTATGAAAAGCAATAGAGTAGTTGTCAGAAAACTTTCAACTCATCAGTGACAGAGCTGGAGATAAATATGTGCTGTCTGTACATCTCCACTTCTTTATAAAATGAAAATAATTATCTTTTCCTTTGCTACCTCACTGTGTTTTTTGCAATATTAAGTATATAGATAAGTAATTTGTATGTATTTTTAAAACTCAACATAATTATGTTATACTTGTTATTTATTGCTCAAATCTTAATGCTATATACCTAATATCTAAGCATGTTGTGATTTATTCCTAGATGAAGAATCATCTAAGCCTATGGTAAATATATCAAAAGGTATTATTTTGCTTATATCATAGCAAACAATCTCTAGAGCTACAAGGATGTATAGCTGCAAATAGAAAATATATTTTCTGAAAGATTAGTGAATCTGCTCTTGTTGTTTTCATATTTCTTTCAGTAGTCTCTCAATATATTTTTAAATATTACATTTTCTACTTACAAAAGTAGTATGTACCTGCTGAGGAAAATGCAGAAAAACATTAAGAAGGGGACAAAACATACTTAATCCCACTTCCCAGGCTGGGGAACTGTTTATATTTTGGCATAGTTCCTTTGTTTTGTGTCTGTGTGTTTGTGTGTATATGTATTGTATATGCGTGTGTAATTCTTGTTTTAGACTTTTCTATTTTACAAAACGAAGACCATATGGTATAAAGAATGTGGACACCCTTTATAGATGGATTTTCCACTTAATTTATTTCTTTATCTGAAAAGCAGAACCTTTAATATTCATTACCACTTAGTTTAGGTTGTTAATGATAATGTTTACTAATGATACTGTTAGGCTCACAGTTCATTTTATGTTGTAATCATTATTCTGCACTTGCCACTAGATGGCTCTGTTCTCAGAGTGACTATTTTTCCAAAAGAAAAAGTGCCCTGTATCATTGAAATGATGGGAAATGTTATTGCCCTTATTAACATTATATGGAATGCACACAAATATAATTGCATAATAATTCAACAGAGTATGCCTGTGATAATTTAAATGGTATTTCAATAGATCCACAAATTTAATATATCCCCTTCAAAATGAGGGTTATATTTACTTAGAAAGCAATATATTCACTTAACAAGGTTCACTGTCACTTAGTAAATCAATATTGGAATTATTTTTTCAGCTCTCGCTTTTTATATCAATAACTTTGATATTGAGTAAGTTGTTTTTTCCCATTGCTTGGCTAATTGTTATCATAATTATCTTTTCTGTACTTCAGTATGATGACTGTCCTTCTGTAGGCCCAAGAAATATACTCTATATAAGTAAGATTTTCTTCTGGATGGCTATTACGGTAAGATGTTTTACCGTGAGCTGAATCATGATTACTCTCAAAGCCAATCTGGTTTCAGGTGGGTCCTAAGCCCATGCTAATTTCTATGGCCAGGATTGTACACTATGCAAATTTTCATTTTCCTTGAAGAGTGAGTGCAGGACTATAAATTGCTGACGTGGGATTGAATAAAATGAGACACATGGATACAGACATTAGTTTCTCATGTGCAAAGAAGTTGTGGTCTTTGTTTATACAGGGCTTTCTAGACATACCCAGCTATTTACCATCCAATCATATTTTATAGAGAGAAAAACAGATATTTTAGGATAAACATTCTCACCACATGATGAACTGATAACATGGCACACTCTATTTATACCCCTAGCAAATCTCAGTATTATGAATTAAGAAGCAGTTACATATGAGAATATGAAATTCTAAAAATGAAATTAGAAGTTTAGCCGTTGTGCATAACTCCTGTGTTTTAAGGTTCATCATACCCCATTTTTATTTTCAATTTTTAAAAAATATTTAGTTACATATAGTTCATTAAATTCCAGGTCTAAGTTCATCAAATCTTCCTTTCTGAGGATAAAAGTCGATGAAGTTGGAGGTTGCTTAACAATTTCTTCTCTTTAATAGCATGTCATAGTTTTCATTTTTGCAGAATATGTATTCCAAGAATAGAGTAGCCCTTATATTGGTTCATATTACGTTGTTGGATTACACACGCTCATTCACAGCTCTGATGGTAAAATTTTCTACCAACTCCCCAAGCTAAGTACTTACGTGTGTTAGAATGTTAATTCTCTAGGTAATTTTTAAAAATTTATTTATTTTATTTTATTTATTTGTTTATTTTTTTGAGACAGTCTCACTCTGTCACCCAGGCTGGAGTGCTGTGGCACGATCTTGGCTCACTGCAACCTTTGCCTGCCAGGTTCAAGCAATTCTCCTGCCTCAGCCTCCCGAGTAGCGGGACTACAGGTGCGCGCCACTGTGCCTGGCTAATTTCTTGTGTGTTTAGTAGAGATGGGGTTTCACCATGCTGGCCAGGCTGATCTGGAACTCCTGACCCCGTAATCTGCCCGCCTCAGCCTCCCAAAGTACTGGGATTACAGGCAGGAGCCACCGTGCCCAGCCAGTACTTTTATTTTAAAAATTTAAAATGGTAGCATGTCCTAAATAAAATAGGAAATATAAAAGTTGAAAGTCCTGGAGATGGATGAAATAGGGAAAGAAGGTAGGACAAACAGTTCCTACTTCTTAGAACTTGAGAGACTATATCTAAAAGAATATTCCAGAACAGGGAAGTGTTATAAATAATACCAACTTGTGCCAAAAAATATTACTCATCTTAGATCTCCCTTTTGGGGATTTTGGATCAATAAGAAACCACGTTTCAATGGAAGTGGTGCAGAGCCCGTTGCCTAGTGTGAAGAGCCAATGAACTAAGTCAGCAGGTTAAAACCTGACCCCCTGGCCCATTTATTTTTCTGTCTTTGCACTCTTGAAAAGCATGTTCCCTAGAGATCTATCCAAATAGTCACTGGAGTCCTGAGGCCCCACCCTTTGTCCAGTACACTGAACCGTGTTATGCAACATGGAAATTGTTCCCATTCCAATGCCTGACAGCCAGACTCTTGGAAGACAAGCAAAGAAACAGGATGCTTCTACGGAGCACAAACACTTAGCACTGACAGCTACAATCTGTGAATGAAACTATTTTTTATATGAGCAAATAATTTTTTAAAAATCCAAATATTATGAAGCATATAAACAAAGGTTCTAATAATTAAGAGTTCTTGCTGAATGCAAAGCAACAATTCTCCTGTGTTTCAAGGAGGAGAGGAAGAAGTGAATGAGATACACAGATGCCATTCAGTAGACCATCTAACAGGGTGCGCTGAGTTGTATTTAAGTGATTATAATGTGATATAATGAGTGGTCATGAGTAATACTTCGAATGTGAATGCTTTTTAAAATTTTCAGTGTACTTTTAAAGAAATTATTTAAAAGTTAAATTATGACTAGTGTATTATTTTTAAGTGTCTCATATAAAAGGCAATTTTGTCTCTGTGTGTTTCTGGCTCTGTTTTTCAGTAGTTGCTGTTCTAGAGAAATCTAATGTGAATATAAAAATCACTTAATCTATTAATAAGTATGACTATATAATTGTGGCTTTGTGTGTGATAGACGAAGTTTGAATTTTAGGATAAGTGTTTTCTTTTCTTTCTTCTTAGCCATCACCGCCTGTCCCAGTTACTAAAGGTACCTCTCTTTTCCTCTCATCAATTTTTTGTTTGAAAGATAAATGAGATCTTCAGTGTGTGCTTAAGTCATTTTATAGTTATGAGTGCAAAAAATAAATTGCCATTTGAACTCCAGAGTTGAATTCAAATTTTTCAGAAATAAGCACATATTTTATTTGTTTTTTGAGACTTCTTTGTTTTTCTCATTGTTGGGTGGGTAGCCTTTTTTATATATGCCTTCCAAAGCTTCTTTCCTGATTGTTGAATTACTTATATGTTAGTTTAATAGGTACATTAATTTTTTCTATCTAATTGGGAGTGAAAGAAGACTGCTGTTAAACATGAGTTCTTAGTTATTGGTTGTTTTCATCTTTTAAAATTTTCTGATTTGAGGAGAGGCAGATAGACTTGGTTAAAATGATGGATTATAAATATGTGAAATGTCTGAATGAGATCCTTTAACAAAGAAAATAAAAGGAATGATGATGCTTTTTTTTTGTTTGTATATCTAGGAATCTTTATTTCTGAAATGATTTATATTAATAAAGATAGTGTAGGAATGACTTTCTATATTCCTGCCTAGTATTCTTTCTGTTAATTTATACTCTAGATGTTGTCACAGGAAATGACTTATAAAAATGTATTTATTATGCTTGCTTATATAAAGGAGGATTTTTAAAGTCTTTATTTTATTCTTGTATGTGATACACTATTAAAAACATTGAAATATACATCTGCCGTTATCTTTTACTAGATTTTGAACTTCTTCCACATTTTAAAGATATCTACTTTATTCTGAATATTTGAAGTATTTAGACAGTAAAGAGTTGGTCAATGGGCCGGGCACGGTGGCTCCTGCCTGTAATCCCAGCATTTTGGGAGGCCAAGGTGGGTGGATCACGAGGTCAAGAGATTGAGACCATCCTGGCTAACATGGTGAAACCCCATCTCTACTAAAAATACAAAAAGTAGCTGGGCATGGTGGCACGCGCCTATAATCCCAGCTACTCAGGAGGCTGAGGCAGAAGAATCACTTGAACCCGGGAGGCGGAGGTTGCAGTGAGCTGAGATTGGGCCACTGCACTCCAGCCTGGCGACAGAGCGAGACTCCTTCTCAAAAAAAAAAAAAAAAAAAAAAAAAAAAAAAAAAAAAAAAAAAAAAAGAGTTGCTTAATGGATGAGAACGTTTCTTGAAACACTTATAAAATTAATAGCACATTTTCTTTTTGTAGCCAGCTTTGTGATTTTGTCCCATATGTTTAAACAAATTAAATAGCATTGTTTAGGTTTTAAAATAGCAACATTGTTCTATTAGGATTGATTTTGATACATAAATTCATTATGACATTTATTTTTCCATTTGCAATTGATTTCTGAGTCTTCCCTTTCATACCCTGAGCTGTCTCAGAATCATGCTTTCTTTCTTTTTAATAACATTTTGCATGTTATACATTTTACATTTGTATGTGTTGCTTCTTATCATTAGTCTTTTGTCTTAAAATTAGAATGGCCAATGATTATGGTCTGTACTTGCCTGTGATCTTGAGCAAGTTATTTAACCTCTCTGAATCTCATTCTGTAATCTGTGAAATTGGCCCAATAATGAGGGATCTATAAGACTGATTGTAAACATTAAATTAAATGATAAGGATACATGTCTGGCATGGCATTAGAAATGTAGTAAATTCTTGCTAATCATGGTTATATAAACATGCCAGAGATGATTCAAATTACACTGACAGCAAGGGCTGCCTGGTCTTTCAGGTTACACTGTGCTTCCCCTTCTATACACAGCTTCCCTGTAGCTCCCCTCTATACGCAGCTCCAAGCATGCCAGACCTAAGATAATTATTTCACTGTGGTTATTGTGACTTTTAACCTAACTTCTGTTGAGAGAAATTAAAAACAAGTCCTTAAGAATTGTTTGTTCACTGGATGTTAGTAGTGGGTTGGCAAGCACTGTAATTGGGTTTTGTAGGACTTCTCTACACAAAGGGTGGAAGAGCCACTAAGCATCCTCTCAAAGTTTCAAATATATTTTCTGGCAGGAGTTATTTTGTTAAATAATTCTAGAGGAGAGTTTACTAAGTAGCTTATTTTGCAAACTGTGAGGCTGCCACTCAGTCACTAAGTGTATCATTAATGTGGTCTAATTATCTGAGCCCTCACAATTCCACACTGCACTGGAGGAGAAGTCCAAAGCCTTGAAGCTCACTGCCTCTTCTCTCATTTCAGAACCCAGTGATAGTATGCTTGAGAATTACTAAACATCAGGTATAAGGAGTCAGAGATGCTGAACAGAAATCACATGATTACCATTATTATTTTATATGATTTTTGCAGATTTTGAGACATATTTGTTCATATTTAACCCTTAAATACCTCTGAGCCATTCTTTAACACAGAATGACTGATATTTTTCAAATTTTCCTAGCCACCGTAATAATGAATACCCTTCTAGTTACTTGGGTGAAACATCCAAGATCCATTTTTGCCTGCCTTCTGAACTTCATTCCTTACTTTTATTATGTTGTAATATCCTGCCAGTTTCATGTCTGTCAACTCCTCCCTATGCTCGCAGTCGTAGTCCATCTAGTCATTCTCCACTCAGATGGTTGTCATGGTCCCAAAGGGTCTTCTCTTTCTAGCCTCCCACTCTCTAATGAGTCTTTGAAATTGCCTTCAGAGTTACTTTCCTAAAATATGCACATCTGCAGTGTACTTATTTGGCATAGAAACTGGCTACTTTGAATTTAATACATTAACTCAAATCCTATGTTGTCGATAATAATTATTTAGGACCTGTTTCAGTTTAAAAACACCGGAATCTCCCTTCTAATAAACATGGGTGCCTTTATATGTTTTTAAAAGACATTGCATACTGTCTAGAGTAACATAATAAATTTTTAGGTACAACATATATTTTTGATGACATTTGAAAGGAAATATTATGTGGGTGGAATAGGGAAATAGTAAGTTATCTAGGAAATGAAAACAGTAAATTATTTAACACAGCCTAACAGTGCTATAACTGTAAATAACACTTTAGTTCTGAAGTTAAAGGTCAGTGTTCAGAATGAAGGCAGACAAAATAGATATTCCCATGGCAGAACTGTTCTTTATGGACTTTCAGGAAACTCTAAATGACATTCTCTGCCAATAATGACTCTGGGAAATTGCATCTCCTTGTTTTCTGAATTTATTAATACTTCTATCTCCAAGTCTTCCTGGAAATCATATTTTAATCTTTTTTTTTTCTGTTTTTTTTTCCTATCCCTGCCACATGTGTTAGCAAAACTTGGATTGTTTTCTCTTACATAACACTAATCATTCAGTATCCTCCATTATTTTAGTTGTTAGGGTCATTTTTGTTTTTAGTATACCAGAACTTTGTCTTAAGAAAGAAATAATTGTGTTGATGGACTTGATGGCACAAAACAGGAGTTTTTTAAGTGGGAATGGAAAATAGTTTTTATTTTGAATGTTGTTCTGACTTGAGGTGGAATACTATATTAAGAGGGACTCTGAGGCTCTGAGTTCAGTGGGAAAGAGGGAAGTGAGAATTCATCATGTCTGAGTGGGACATCTAGTTGTAAAGGGGGTTGTGTCCCAGGGTTTCAAGTATGAACACTGTAATGAGAGGTTTGAACCTAGAACCACCTGATTACAAAGCTTACATCCTTTAATAGCTAGTCTGGATTACCCCTCATAAAAATTTGCAAATGGTCAGGAAAGTGTGTTATAATTTACAACACTTTTCCACTTGAAGTATTTTAGGCAGGACTAGGGAACAATGTAAGGATGTAAAAGTGGAGGTGGTAGAGATGGGGTTTATCTCTTTTCTTCTTAAATAATAATCTTGGAATTATGAATCTGTATGCACGAATCTTGAATAAGCATCAAAATCTTTCTAA
Source organism: Homo sapiens (assembly GCF_000001405.40). Taxonomy (NCBI): domain Eukaryota; kingdom Metazoa; phylum Chordata; class Mammalia; order Primates; family Hominidae; genus Homo; species Homo sapiens. Next base: position 20,470,732 of record NC_000012.12, read on the forward strand.
AACTTTCACAGTGCAATGCTGTGGGTTGCATTGTGTCCTTTTCCCCCCAACCCGAATTGATATGTTGAAGTTCTAATCCCTTATGTGATGGTATTTGGTGAAGGGGCCTTTGGCAGGCAGTTAGGTGTAGATGAGGTCGAGAGAGTGGGCCCTCGTAATGGGATTAGTGTGTTTATAAGAAGAGACACCAGAGAGCTTGAACTCTCTTTCCATGTCCTCACATGTGAGGACACAGTAAGAAGGTGTCTGTCTGTAATCCAAGGAGCAAGCCGTCATTAGACACCATCCATGCTGCCACCTAGATCTTGGATTTCAAGTCTCCAGAACTGCGAAACAATAAATTTCTGTGTTTTAAGCCACCCAGTCTACAATATTTTGTTATTACAGCTTGAGCTGACATGCCCATTCCCAGGTTTTACCCTGGAGATTGATTCAACAGTTCTGGAGACCAGCCTAGCATTTGAACTCTTCAGAATCTCCATACGATTTTGTAACGTACTCTTAGGGTAGAGCGCAACCAAATTTTTAATTTGTCTACAAGTGGTTTTCAGCCTTTTCTGCACATTAAAATCTTTGGAGCTTTTAACTATGATTGATTGAGAGGCCCCATCCGTGATCAATTAAATCCGGGGTAAGGTCAGGTACTGGTGTTTTTTAAAGAGCTCCCCAGGTGAGTCTAACATGTAGCCAAGCAAAAGGAAGAACCACTGGCCTGAATTTATCCCTTTTCCTCTGTTCTTCTGCTCCATAAATCCTAGTTTCTAGAAATACGGAGTCCAATCATGCTCTCTCTTCCCCTCTGGGTTCCCCTTACATCTCAGAGTGCCATTGCTATTATTTTCTGAACAGCAAATCCATAGTTTCAAAAACCATCTTTTTTCTGTTGCCTCAAGTTTTCCAGTACTTTAAATCTCAGAATGAGGACTGTAAAAGTAAGAAAGTAAATTGATTTTCTAGGATGTTTGGATTCTGGGCAAATTGGTGTTATTTATTTAAAACTCCACATTTCAAAGATGTAATGGGTTTTAGATTTTATACCAAAACAATATTTGATATATGATGCCTTTCTAAAGGTTATCTTTCTGATTTTTTTCCCAAAATATATTTATTGAATACTTTTTTGTAATCCCTCCCAGCTACTGTGTTGGCACTCAGGATGTAAATGAAATGGTAACATTTAGAATATTTTTTAACCAGCGTGGCATTGACGCGATTGGTCAGAAAGAACATTGATTGTAAGCCACCCTATGGTCATCCTGGTGCATTTTGGCTCTGAATTTAATACCAAAAGAGGCAGCTACATCCCCACCCTCTTAAGGCTTATGGTTCCTTGTAAAGTCTTGTATTTGAATGTATGTTGACATGACCTAGATCATTTTTGGATACTACCCTAGAGTATCTGATACAGTGGATCAGAGTTGGGGCTCAGTAATCTGCATTTTCAACATGTTTCCTAGGACACTGGATAGGAAAAGACAACCAGGAAGGGATTACTCAGTTGTTCCATAAAGCAATTCCCATTGTCTTCAGTAAACTCTAGCCAACTACTTGCATATTCCTTTTATTTCTTTCAGGGTGTTTTCTGTGGAAAATCTCTACGGTCTGATAGTTGGCATCCTGGCAGTTAATTTTATGGAGAGTTAGCTTTTGTACATTCCTACAACATCGGCTCCTCCTTTCCCTCCCACTGCAAACCCCAGTCAGTAGGAGATTCTAGAAACTTGAAGAGAGATACCACTTTGTTTTTCTTCCTAAAGGTGCAACTATTTAGTTGGATGTAAAATCCTACACTCTTCAGTTGTTAAATCTGTCTCTGAATCTAGTCATCCCTCAGGGGTTTTATTAATCTAAATGACCACATTATCACAGCTGCAACTCATCTTAAGAACTATTTCTCAGAAAAAAACAGTAAGTAGCTAGTGACTCTGTACACAGAGAAAAAAATAAAGAACAGTTTAAATCATATCAGGGTTTCTTCTGAAATTTTTTTCAGTGTTGGAATGTGTAACTTTTAATCTCATTTTGGGGAATTTTAAAATTTGGTTTGGATTAAAGAGCAAAATGTTGGAAAAGTAAACAGCTTATTATCTAAAGGCATTAAATATCTAAAGGCATTAAATGTCTAAAGATATTAAAGAATGCATACTTTCAGATTCACCTTTTTAAATACATTGAAATTTTTATTCACCATCATGGTAAATCTTTTAAATCTGTTTGAATTAACATATTGTAAATGATACTCAATATATACATATTGTATGTGATTTTATATGCAGTAAGTTATAAGACCCATGGCTTTTTGAACAATTGATAATGAACATTTAAAATGGTAAGATAGATCTTAGAAATGGTATCTGATTTCCTCTTACTTCTAGTGAGTTGTGTCATTGAATGTTTTAGATAAAATCTTTGAATTATGAATATTATGCACATGAAAGAGTATATATAATATTGGTACAGTTTAAAGAATAGCAAACATTGGTGCATATTAGCCTCAAATTTAACACTGAAAGAGACATGTATCTCCCTACCCTCTTAAAACTTACAGTCCCTTGTCGAGTCATATTTGAATGTATGTTGACAAGACCTACGTCATTCTTGAATACCAGCCCCAGAGAATCTAATTCAGTAGATTAGAGTTGGAGCTCAGGAATCTGTATTTTCAACATGTTTCCTGGTAGACTGGATTGGAAGAGACAACTAGGAAGGGATTACTCGGTTGTCCTATAAAGTAATTCAGTGTGTCTTCAACAAACACTAGCCAACTCGATGCATTTTCCCGTTACTGCTTTCAGAGTGTTCTACTATTCAGCTTAAGAAATAAAACATTATCAGTGACTACAGTTTCCTGAGTGCTCTACCCTGATCCCATACTTCTCTCTTCCTTATACAGTTAACCTGTAGCATGAGTTTTAAGAAAATCATTCCATAGCATGGATCTCTTAAAAATAGAATTATATATATATATGTTTATTTTTGTCTATTTTTGAACGCGTTAGAATCATACTGTGTTTCTTCTTTGACTCATTTTTTTCATTCAGGTTTGTTTTTGAGATTCAACCGTGTTGATATGTATAATTATAGTTCATTCATTTTCCCACTATATATTAATGCATTATACGAAGGTCCTATAACATTGATCCATTCTAGTATTGATGGGTTTTTGGATTGTTTTCAATACTTTTTTGAATATTATCAACAATATGAATAAAATTATATGTGGCTTTTAGTGCACATGTACAAGTATTTCTCTAAGGCATATACCTGGGAGTTAAATTGTTAGGTTAAATATGGTATGTGCTTGTTCAGCTTTCCTAAATAGAATCAAAGTACACTCCAAAGTGATTGTAGCAATATACACTCTCCCCGGCAGGGTGGGTGAATTCTAGTTGTCCTATATACCGACAAATATGATGGGTGTAAAATGAAATTTACTGTGGTTTTAATTTTTATGTCTATGATGAATAATGATGTTGAAGCTCTTTTTATATATTTAGGAGTCATTCTTGAAATGCCTTTGTTTTTGTTCACTTTATTATTGTTGGTTTGTCTTCGTATTATTTCATAAGATTCCTTTACATATTTTCGATATGTGTCTTTTGTCGTCTAGATATATTGTGAGTGTTTTCTCGTAGGATTTTTCTCAAATTTTCACTCTCTTTAAAGTGATTTTTAGGACAAAAATTATCTTTCAATTTTAATGTATGTGGATTAGTTTTCTCTGGCATCTATAACAAATTACCGCAAACTCAGTGGCTTAAAACAACACACATTTATTCTCTTTCAGTTCTGGAAGGTCATAAGCACGAAGTCAGTTTCACTGGGCCAAGATCAAGGTTTCAGCAGAGGCTTGCTTTCTCAGGAGACTCCAGGGGAAAATTCTTTTCCTTTCCTTTTCCACCTTCTAGAGCTTCATTCCTTGCATTCCTTGGCTCCTGGCCTCTTCCTCCATCTTCAAAGGCAGCAGTTTAGCATCTTGTTTCCATCTTCACATTGCCTCGACTGCTGCTGTCCTTAAAGTTTCCTCTGCTTCTTTCTTCTGTGGACACTGGGGATTATATTTAGGCTCCATTCAGATAATCGGGGGAATCTCCCTATCTCAAAATCCTTAATTTAGTCTCATCCGCAAATTCCCTTTTGCCCTATAAAATAACTTTGACAGGTTCAGGGATTAGAATGTGGCTATCTTTGGGGGCCATTATTCATCCTAACATAGAAGATAAATTTATCTTTTTTTTTATTTTGGTGGAGATGGTAGTGAGACAGTGCTGTGACTGTTGAATCTTCAGAGGCCAGATTAGCCCAATTTTGTAAGTAGTCTCTTTAGGTCACTGTTGATCAAAAATGAGTGACCAAATACTTCTGCCACTTAAAGATGGGGGAATATTTCTTTTTCCTTAACATCTATCACTTATACCAAATGTAGGAGAGGAAAAAATGTGTGTGAGTGTGTGTGTGTGTGTGTGTGTGTGTGTGTGTGTGTGTGTATGTTCCTTCTTTTAAAATTCCTGAGCTCCTCTCTTTCCTCCCATGTTAAAATCGGTAGCATGTCCAAGCCTCTGGGCCTACTGCCTTCGGTTAGCTCACACTTGCTTTTTCATGTGAAGTTTGTTCTATGGCATAATCTTAGTAAAGCGTTTTAAAAACAAAAAGATACGGAGGCTTTTTACAACCCCTTCGCCTAATTATATGATTCATTAAAAGAATCTTGGGGGTGGGCATGGTGGTGACTCATGCCTGTCATCCCAGCACTTTGGGAGGACGAGGCCAGCAGATCACTTGAGGTCAGGGGTTTGAGACCAGCCTGGCCAACGTGGTGAAACCCCATCTCTACCAAAAAATACAAAAATTAGCCAGACATGTTGGCACATGCCTGTGGTCCCAGCTACTCGAGAGGCTGAAGTAGGAGGATTGATTGAACCTCGGAGGCAGAGGTTGCAGTGAGCCGAGATGATGCCAGTGCACTTCAGCCTGGGTGACACACCATACACACACACACACACATACACAATCTTGGTATGTAATGAACAGAGAAAATGCTTTCAGTTTTGTTTTGTGCATCTGGAAAGAAAATGGGATTCAAATGGGCTGAAGAAACAGGCCGTACCCCTAAGAAAGAAAGAAACTGAGAGGCAGATATTCTTGGAACTTTTGGTGCAGAATGCCAGAAGCTAGATAAGCACCCAAGTAGAAACCAGAGGAAAGTGACTGGGGGCGAGAAGCCATAAGCACAAGAATTGTTTAAATGCTTCAGTTTGCATTTTAGTTCATGCTACAAGTTATGTAGTTCATGCTACAAGTTTATGCCTGGAGCTTAAAATCAGGCATTTTTCTCTATCTAAATTTCTTTGCTTTAACCATTGCATTTTAAATAATTTACTCTCCTTTCTTTTGAGATATAAAAGAAAGATTTTGTTCTTGCTTTTATTCTTATTTTGAGGATTGTAGCAACATGTAGAAAAACAGGAGTAGAGCATTGCTATTATTGACAAAATACTAATGTTACGAAGTTATTGACCTATAATGTCCTTAGACTGGGAAAAATCAATGCCTTGGTAATATCTATGCCAAGTGGCAAAAAGGAGACATCAGATATTTATGTTGTTCTACATAATATTTGATTTTATGATATTTGAGTTTTGCGGGATATATTTGATGGATGTTATGATCTTAATAAGTAGAGATTGTCAACTCTTCTGTGAATGGCATATAAAAAATGATAAGAGAATGTCAACGGACATTTAAAGAAACCGAATAACTGAGTAAAATAAGTAATTCAATACTTCTGCCTTAAAGATGGGAACTTAAAATTTCATATAGTTAGTGTGTCTTGATTATTGCCTATTCCATCTTGTGGCATCATACACCCTGTAAATCTACAGCAGGAGAATACAGTTGGCATTGGAGAGGAACTGGTTTCATATGATTATCTAAATTATCCAAGAAGAATGGACTATGAATCCCTTGAACATATGCTTGAGTCCACAGGGATTCAAACCAACGCCTGGGGTTTAGATGGAAAGGCCTTGCCCAAAGAGCAAAAAGATATGACAACAAAATTATAACCCTTGGCAAATTCCATCAAATTGATTTGAATCCGTGGGCTGAAAATGTCAGTGCTTATTAAAGTATACATTGAAAATTATTAAGAATATGATTGCTGAATGTCCCATATTCTTTTGTGTCATTAACAATAAAGTGGCAGCTGAGCATTTGTCTTGTCTAACAGGATTACTGTTGGCTATGAATTAAAAAACAGAACGTGGAGGAATTGCCTTGTTAACTACTAATACTATTTCGTGGTTTAGTATAGATGGGTTAATCCTCATTCTATCTACTTTTATATACTCACTGCTAAGCCATATTTTGAGGCTGTTTCTCTAACAGATGCACAGGGAGCACTTTCTTATTGCTAGAGTACAAAAAAGGAAAGACATGTTTGTGATGTTTTCAAGAACTTCAGTGTCCGTTGCATATATAACCTTTTGAAACAAAGAAATCCTATGCATTTGACTAAGATTGCCTGTGAAATCTGGCGCTGCTAAAAGAAAAATATGAGATAATATTTTACCATAAGTACTTCTTTTTCCTATTAAAAAATATCACAGCAAAAACAAACACTATGTGCCAGCAAATTTATGCCCCTAATTATCCTGAGAATTATCATGCAGTTTGCAAGGAAGAAGGGGCTCTAGCTTTCCAGTTGCTGATCGGCAATAATGAACCCCTGCTCTGTTGTTAAATACTTTTTTTTTGGTAGAGTCATAAAGAACAGCACTTCTAGCAAAGATGCAAAATGTTAAGGCCGTAAGTCAAAGGAATAATTCGATATCTGGCTTGATAAACGGATTTTTAAAAATAACCTTGATTTCTGCTAAAATCTTTTCCCTTGAACATAAAAGGGAGTGAAGGATTTGTATATTTCAAGGTAATTAAAACATTACTGATTTAAAGGAATACTATCATGTATAAGACGAAGAAAACTAGAAAGATTTCTTTTTCTCTGTCATCCAGTATGTTAGCCTTGAGAGTGAGACCCTTAAAGCAGCAACAGAGTGAGACTTTTTGAAAACGCCATAGCAACCTGGCCTCGTAGCCCATGCCTTTCTTTAGAACAACAAAGAATGGTGCTTGAAAAGTCTTCTCATGATTCTTCTGCTTCAACAGCTTGCCTTTCTCCTTGTCACCAGAGTAAGCCATTCCTTCCAGATCGCATCTTCTGCCAGAAGCCACAAGTTTGGCTTCTTGAAATCTCAGAAGTACTCATTCCTCAAGTAATTAATTAAAACAAATAAATAAAATGTGTAAGGCTTTAAGCTTCTGCAGGAGGCTCATATTCTTCCAAAATAGTCTGTCAACAATTACAGTATTTATAATAATAATTGTGAGAGAAGGATAATTAGCTTTAGGAATTCTTCTTCATCTAGATTTTTATAAAGTGTTCTTAGGAATAGGGATGGTTTATTCCTATTGACAGCTTGTCCCATGTAGGGGAGTCATGTTTGAAGGCAACATACCAGATTGGAAGGAGCAATGATTCAAAACAGGATACTGAGGAAATAAACATACTGATATAGTATATAGTTGTAATAGCTGCAGTTGTAATCAGGCATACATAACCTAGGCAGCCATTTACATTTTATACACCCTCATTAGAGCGAGCTTCTGGAAACACATTAGTCATATTATATAATTAATAAGTACTGGATCCAGAGCCAATAGGCTGAGCAATACACACCTGCCTTCAGTGAGCCCCTGATGACACTTATTCTTTTTGTTTTTCTTGTATTTTCAGTACCTACCTAGCACACTGCTTGACATTCAATAAAGACTCAATAAATATTGGATGTATTAAACAAGATTAAAAACTGCCTGTAAACGTAATGGTGTAAATGTTTACTGTAAATGTAAACTTTTCCAGGAAATAATGCTTTTCGTCCACCTGTTTTGAAATATAATTAAAATGACATTTTCCTTTTCATAATCAGGACAAGTGTTAATATTACAAAATCCTTATTAAGTCAGGACAATGTCAATATTTTATGGGCTGTATTTCAACATTATTAATTCTAATGTAAAATAGTCACTCTTTGACTATAAATCTCAAATCATTTCCAGGTCAAAATTTTGGCACATTTTTTTGCCTAGATTTTTGGATAGTTGAAATGTCTACCAGCCTTCTGAATTTTCTCATGCATTTTTCTCACTGTCCTGATTAAAGAGCAGAAAATAATTACACTAATTTTAAAATATATACTTTGTGACATTTTTCAACATTTATTAAAACCCACATTTTATTATGGCCAGGCTTCTTATCTCTACTTTTGCTTAGAAAAATGACAGTTAGTTTGGAATTCATTTTTGATTTTTCAGGTAGTGTTGCTGTATTTCTCAAGAATAATGGTTGAGTTATGGTATCGAATACTTCTAAATATTCATCCTTGTTGAAAAGGTTTTAGTCATTCCCTTAAAAGGTTAATAGACATTGAAAAACACTGAATAATTCATTTTTATGTACATAAGCTGTATCAAATGTAGTGTAGTCTACAAGGTAACATCAGGGCTAAAGTTTCATTCCAGTGGGGACTGATGGACTGCTCTCTTTTTGTGGGTATAACGTGATTGTACTAGTAAGCCCAGGGGACTTTACACCACTCCTCCTTGATCAGTCCTGAAGTTCATGTATTACCTTTTTACCTAAATTTCTTTCAGTGTTTTCTTCTCTGCTATCCCTTGAGTATATCTCTTGAGCTTATCATGTGTCTTGGTTGTTGAGGGCCAGAACTGAAGAACTGTCCCTATCCCTTCTTGTGAGTTAAAAGGGAATTAAGGAAAAGGAATCTCACTGCAGAAGAATGTTTTGGTTGTTCATCCTATATTTAATCTTGCTCCTTTGAGTTTATGGTCAAACATGAGCACATTTATAAAATGCTTTCCTGGGGCAGCGTGGAAGAAACTGTGTTTGGAAAGTGATATTACACTGAGGACACTTGGGCAAGAGGCTTCTGCAGCTTCAGTCGCCATTGCTTTGAAGATCATCACTCATTGCTCGAAATCTTCTATGAACTCCTGTAAGTTCAGATGTTAATAGCTGAACATTGTTCAACAAAGTCTTAAATTGATTTTAAATGGACTGGTATAGCAAAGCAATTGGAAGGTATACAAAAGAGCAAAATTGAGAAGCTGGGTGATCTAAGCCTGAAGTCCTCAAATATTTAAAAGACTTAGTTTGTCAAGATTTAACCATCTTTTTCTGAGTTCTTTTCATCACTGTTGACAAAAGCAAGCACTGGAGAAAAATTTTTCTTTTGCCTATGGGGCCAGCAGTGAAGATGAGCTCATCTGTCCATCAAGCTCTTGCTGCTGCTACCTGGCCTCATTTAATAGCTGTGAGGCCAAATCCTTACTGTCTTTGAAGTCAGAACATGCAAAGTTTGAGTATTTGATGTATCTTTGAGATGTGTCAGTGGCCAACCAATGAGAGGGATTTGGCAGTTAGTGTCAATGCTACAAAAGACAGTTAATTGTACGAAAACCACAGGATAAAACTCCAAGTCAAAACAATAGAACATCATCCAGGTTATATATTTTTTAGCTATGTAGCAGGGGCCCTCTGCATTCAGGGCTTTTAAACTTATTTCCATTAACATCTTTATCATTTACATAGTAAAGCTTTCAGAATATAAAAATTCTTCTGATTATGGACAAGCTACTGTGTGTCCAAAGCATTGTATAATTTAACATGATCAACTACTTTTTCTAAAAATGTTATTTCTCAAAGAAATAAAATATAGCATTTGCAAAACACACACACAGAGGATCTTATTATTGAAGAAATGCCTAGGTTATTTGCAAGTCTATTAGGAATAATTTTCCTTAACTTATTGACTGTTTTCATCTCATGGAAAGAAGTTTCCCTCCTGTCTTTGCTTTGGATTATGTAACTTTGATTTTTCTTAAAGTAATGATTTGCCTAGAAGTGAATTCATTCAGCTTAAAAACCATAGTAGGGCAGTGTGAAAGGAAAATTTATGAATAACTTTTTCCACTATCTTTTCACAAAGATAAGTTCTAGTGGGAGAAGCTCTCAAAGTAACCAAACAAAACTAGCATTGACAGTGAAGGCAGAACGCCATTCAGGTTCTGAAATGAAACCATAGGAGAAATTGTCTTCATTGACTTGACCTTAACCAACTTGCTAGCGTTAACCAGTGCTCTGGAGTCTTTCTGTTAAAAATACCAACTGATGTTCATCAATTGTGGTGGTTACCTGGCCAGTTTATGCCACTTTTCCTTAGTGTTGTAATTGCAGAATTTAATTAAAAATTATATAAACCACTGAAATATAAGCCAAAAATAATGTTGTTGTTTCTATGAAAACTTGATTGAATGCTTTCTTTGAAAGACTTGATGAAGGCAAAGTAGATACAGCATATATGTTAACTGAGGTGTAGATGAAATAATTAGGGACTGTGGGTAAAACTGTAATCAAATAACTGTGCAGCATTACAGATGTTTAAATTACCTTTCTTCTAAAGGTGACATGAAATAGAGAGTAGGAGACCTAAACCTTGCAGGATTTTAGCCCTTCATAGAAAGATTGGTGAATGAATGTCTGAATAATGAATGTTTCAAGTTGAAACTGAATATTTATTATATGCTCATTTAATTATTAAACATGATTATTTGCTTTATGTGGCTCTTTCAACTGTATTTACTGACGTTGTTGTTGTTGTTGTTATTAACTAGTCCTAGTCATTTGGATAAGAAGACTCTTGCCCTATTAGATCAATCCCTAATCATAACTGGGGTACTATAGGACCTACTCTTTGTTAGCTACATATAGAGTAACACAATGAAACAGCCAGCAAAAATAAGTAAAGGAAGCATTTTAATATTTATGTATTTTTAAGAACATTGACATGAATCCCATTTATTGCTTAGAGCATCTCTTCACAAATCCCCCAAACTCTACAGATTTTCGGCTTCAACAATTTATTCAGATTCTCCATGTAAGTGACTTGGGAAATAGATTTTTTTTTTTTTTTTTTTTTTGAGCAGAGTCTCTTGTCACCCAGGCTGGAATGCAGGGGTGCGATCTCGGCTCACTGCAAGCTCCGCCTCCCGTGTTCACGCCGCTTTCCTGCCTCAGCCTCCCGAGTAGCTGGGACTACAGGCGCCCGCCACCACGCCCAGCTAATTTTTTGTATTTTTTGTAGAGACGGGATTTCACCGTGTTAGCCAGGATGGTCTCGATCTCCTGACCTCGTGATCCACCTGCCTCGGCCTCCCAAAGTGCTAGGATTACAGGCGTGAGCCACCACGCTCAGCGAGAAATAGATATTTTTAACAAGGTCCCCAAGTAATTTTCTCTAACAAGTACAGAAAGCACAAGATTATTTCTCCCTGTTGTTTTGACTCGTGTGATTACATAATTGATCATTTAACTAAGAAATGAAAAGTATTTTAGTGACTAAAAGTATTCATTGCACACATGTATTTTTTTTTCTGTAAAAAAAAAAAACCTGATGTAGAAGAATGTTTCTAAGCCATATAGGAACACAAATATTTTTGTTCCAGAATAACTTACCAGAAGGCCATGGCATAGAGAAATTCCCTCATTTCTATAAGTGTGCTTTTCTCTTGAATGAGCTTTACTTCAGTGTTTTACTTGGGCACATGTAGGGAAAGAAAAAAATCATGTTCAAGTTGAGGAATAAGAAGAGTTTCAGATGAAGAGAAGCAGATTCTGGCACACAAAGTTGAACAGTGCAAAACATTGAAGCCCAGCTATACATAATCAAGCTGGCTGAGCTATAATACACATTAAAATAAAAGTTTTTTTCTCAATGGACAAAATTGGAACTAAGTATGTCTGACTGTTTTAGAGATAAGCACTTCTCAACTTCTAACATAAAAAGAGAAGCTGGTGTTTATGTGAAAGAATCTATGTAAAAGCCATATGGAACTGTCTCTAATAAATATCCATTTAATCAAATGTCACTATGTTTTTGAATGTTTTGTAGTTTGATGCAGAGAATGTACTTTTATTTCTTCAGCAGCTGCTCTTTTTAAATGGATGCAGCTGTACTACAGATTTAATTTGCAACAATTGCTTAATTTTTAGTTGGTTGCTTCTAGTCTTTCAAAAGCAATGTTTCATGTTTCTGTGGAAAGATTTTTTTCCTAGAAAGTGCAAAGTACGATATGACGTAGGAATTAGGCAAATAAAAGTTTCTGCTTGATTTTTTTAAAACATAAAAGTTGTATTTCCTCTCTTTATAGCACTGCTTTTCCTAGACATCCTTTTTTCAGACAACATTACTAAGGAGATTTGATGCCTACATATCAGTCTTCATCTCAAAACTTCTAAAAGAGGCCTTACGCGGTAGCTCACTCCTGTAATCCCAGCACTTTGGGAGGCCGAGGTGGGCGGATCGCGAGGTCAGGATATCGGGACCATCCTGGCCAAAATGTTGAAGCCCCGTCTCTACTAAAAATACAAAAATTAGCTGGGCGTGGTGGTGGGCGCCTGTAGTTCCAGCTACCGGGGAGGCTGAGCCAGGAGAATTGTTTGAACCCCGGAGGCGGAGGTTGCAGTGAGCCGAGATCGCACCACTGCACTCCAGCCTGTTGACATAGCGACACTCCATCTCAACAAAAACAAAAAACAAACAAACTTCTAAAAGATTGTAAGCTGTAACAAATTCTGGCAAATGACTTGCAAATGAGAAGAAAAAAATCACGCTCATTCATGTAAAATGGTATCTGCTTTGAGAATAACCCAGTATCAAGTATGTGTTACTTGAATTAGAACTTTGACTTTTTAATATAGAGAGATACTTTTATCTTTGACGTATTTTATTAAAATGTAAAGCACATGATGTTCCTTTCCTATTTCCTTATATTACTCTGTTTTTACTGTAATGTTTAGAAATCTACTTTCTAGTTTAATTGTTATGGAGAAATCATCTTCCTGTATAGATTAAAATTCAATCTTTTTTGAACTCAAAGAAAAATTTGGAGGGAAAGATAAATATTAATGATGGATTATCTAATATTTGTTCCAATCTCAACATGTTTTACTTCTCATAGCCTTTTATCTTCCAGATAAAATTATGAGCGCAGATGTATAGACATTTAAAATGTGATTTTAAAAATGTATAATGCTTTTAACTTTCCTCATGTAAGACTTGTCTATAGGGCTCTGGATGTGTGAGCAGGCTGCCTGGAACCTCCTAGCCTGCTGGTTCCTTTACTCCTCCCATATCCAACTGACTCATAGCTTAGTGAACAGTTTTTTGTTTTTGTTTTTTCTTTAAATTTTGCCTTCTTTCTGGAGTATTTTCAAAAATCTCCTTGTGTATATATTGGAATATTTTTAGCTGTTACCTAAGTACTTAATTTCTTTATATAGTAGGTCATGCAGACAGAATTCTGCAATACATACAAATTTGTATCTCCCCTCCTCAAACTAGTCCCTCTGAGTTAAACAAAGTAGTTACTATAATTTCCTTGGGATTTTTATCTCTTAAAAGTATGCTATGCTTAGTGGTATGTATATAATTCAGTAATAGTCTGTTTTAATTTTTATATAAGGTTTTTCTTTAATATTTTAACTGTTGCTTATTAAATAAAACCCATTTGTAATAAAAACAGAGTTAAGTATAATCAGTGTTCCCCCAAATCAACGTATCTCTCTTGTACAATTTCTCATCATATTGGGTAAGGGAAAATGTGATTTTTGGCGTATCTGTGATTTCTGAAGGAAAGGGGTTTCTCTGTAGAACACAATGTGCTTATTCTTTTTCACTTTAACACTGGTATCTATTAATGGCTAATGAGCTCCATTAGGTTTAATCAACATTTCAGCAATTTTTGACTTGAATTTTGTTTAAACTTTCTGCTTTGTCTTTTACCTTTTGTTCTTTATTACGTTAGCTCATTTAATTTTTATACGTAGGATAAAACATACACTTTGAAATGGCCTCAGAATTTGAAAGTATGGCTGTAAAGGGTGAAATCACTGATGTTAAGGGAACATAACTAATAATGGTCATTGACGTACGGATGACTAGAAAGGCCAGTTGTAATTCGTGTTTAAAAAATTACTATATCATCTTCAAAGATTTATTTATTTATTTTTGTTCCTTTTCTTGGTGTGGTTTGTGTGTTGATGGGTGGTGAATTTGGAGGAAAGAAATGAGTCTTGAGAAAATACCTTGGTCATTCATTCTTAATATGTTTAGAGAATAGCAAACTTTCAGCATATTTTATTGAGATCAAAAGTAGCATGTGAAATTAGACAATGAAATGTCAATTTTTGTATTAGTTTCCTGGGGCTGTTGTCACAAAGTACCAAAAACTGTGCTGCTTAAACAATAGGAATGCATTGTCCCACAGTTCTGGAGGCTGCAAGTCGAAGATCAAGGTGTCAGCAAGTTGGTTCTTTCTGAGGGCTGCGAGGGAAAATCTATTCTGTGCCTCTCTCCTAGCTTTTGGGGACTCAAGCATTCCTTGGCTTGTAATGGCATTCTTCCCATGCCTCTTTTTATATGTCTGTCTCTGAATCCAAATTTCTTTTTTATAAAGACACAGACATATTGGATTGGAACCTAGCCTAATGACTCCAACTTGATCATCAGCAATGACCCTATTTTCAAATAAGGTCATGTTTATTCACACTGAGGATTAGAACTGCAAATATGTTTTTTTTTAGGGGGGACACAATTCAACCCATAAGAATTCTGAAACTTTGTTTTGTCCTTTTTTGATTAGTGTTAATACATTTTCAGAGTACTTTATATTCTCAGGGCTTAGAATAAGACAAAGTAAGATTATTCATTCGAGTATACTGGGTTATTTAGTAAGAAAATGGACTGAGATTTCATAATGAACTCTCTGCTGATATTGACATGAAAACTAGCACATTTTAAGGATTCACCTATCTACATTTACATGAAATCAATGTTCTTATAACCTTCTGACATTTACTTACCTTTTTGTATTTACTTATATACTTAATTTTGCTTTTAAGTATTATTACTATCTTTAATGCATTTGTGCTCTTTTTTAATATGGCAGGCTATGGAGTACAAAGATTTGTGTTTTTCTGGATTAGCAAAAAATAAAACAAAACTGTAAATCCAATCATTCAGATGAGTTCTTTGGAACAACTGAGGAGTCTGTGGCCTGACCAACAAGACTAAGGACCTTACTTCACTACTATTTGGATGCCACGGCTTGAGGTTTTGTTAATATTTTAGTGTTTCTCCTAATAAAATCCAAGGGATAGTTGTTCTTTTAGAGCACATTTATAAATTCTTATTTTAGCCTATCGCTGATAGACCTTTAAAAATATATTGCCTTGACATTTATATTGATAGAGCATATATTAGTCTGTTTTCACACTGCTATAAAGAACTGCCTGAGACTGGGTAATTTATAAAGGAAAGAGCTGTAATTGGCTCACAGTTCTACATGGCTGGGGAGGCCTCGGGAAACTTACAATCATGGTGGAAGGTGAAGGGGAAGCAATGCACCTTCTTCGCAAGGTGGCAGGAAGGAGAATGAACACAGGAGGAACTGCCTAACACTTTAAAACCATCAGATCTCTTGAGAACTCACTATCATGAGAATAGCATGGGGAAGCCATCCCCATGATTCAATTACATCCACTTGGTGTCTCCCTTGACACATCGGAATCATGGGGATTACAATTCAAGATGAGATTTTGAGTGGGGACACAGCCAAACCATATCAGAGGGATACATTCATTAAGATTAACAATTCTTACTTCCCAGTGTATATGTTCCTCATGTTTTTAAAAAGGAAAATATGATAGATGTGGTGATTTAGAAACTGGCTGCTTCTATGTGGTTCACCTAATCCAAGATTTTTGCTTATTTGTTTGTTTTTTTGAGACAGAGTCTTGCTCTGTCACCTGTGCTGGAGTGCAGTGGTGCAATCTCAATCCACTGCAACCCCCGCCTTCCAGGTTCAAGCAATTCTCATGCGTCAGCCTCCCAGGTAGCTGGGATTACAGGCATGTGCCACCACATCTGGCTAGTTTTTGTATTTTTAGTAGAGATGGGGTTTCACCCTGTTGGCCAGGCTGGTCTCCAGCTTCTGGCCTCAAGTGACCTGCCTGCCTTGGCCTCCCAAAGTGTTGGGATTACAGGCATGAGTCACCACGCTTGGCTTAATCACAGATATTAAAATCACATGTTTGTTTGAGAGTTAGAGATACGTGTAGAGACTTTCAAAGCATTACTTGAATTTTTTTCATAGTTTTTTAAAACTTTGTTTCTAATTATTGAAATAATCAATGCTTACTGAACAAATTTTAAAAAATAAAGAGAAGTATGTGAAGAGAAGTACTTAAAATCCAAGCATAATATAATATTAAATTTGACTGGCGTAGTGTCTGTGAGTGTGTGTTCACATGCCTATGTGTAGAACTAAAGAATAATTTAAATAAATTATGACTTATACAAATATGAATGAATGTATGCCCAAAATTCCATTTAACTGATTGATTAATGAGGGAACCAGTAAGATGTTACAACTGATTCAAATGAGAAGTTAAAGTATCACATACATTTAAAGTCAGAAAAGAAGTGCTAAATGAATTTACAAAAAGGTGCATAAGGCTGGACACGGTGGCTCATGCCTGTAATCCCAGCAATTTGGGAGGCTGAGATAGGCAGATCACTTGAGGTCAAGAGTTTGAGACCAGCCTGGTCAACATGGTGAAACCCTGTCTCTACTAAAAAAAAAAAAAAAAAAAAAAAAAAAATTAATTCCAGCTACTTGGGAGGCTGAGGTGGGGGAATTGCTTGAACCCAGGAGGCAGAAGTTGTAGCGAGCCAAGATTGCGCCACTGCACTCCAGCCTGGGCAACAGAGAGAGACTCAGGCTTAAGAAAAAAAAATAAATAAATAAAAAAAGTGGTCAGTTTCTACAAGGCAATATTCAATTGCATTCCAATGGATACAACATCCATTTCTATTTTTGTTATTTTTCTGTTAGTAAATGAGATTGCTGTCAGTTTCTATTATTTTCAGAGTTGTAAAATGGCTCAAAGACAATAAAAGCCAGAGAAATGCATGAGCTAGTCAGGGAACCTACTAATTTGTCATGTTTTTTCTTTTTGCCCATTTTGAAGTTTTTCACACAGTTTTTAATACAGCTCATATTGATATATATTCTCATCAGTTGGAATTATGTTTTTATGTTTCTTCACATAGAGCAAATATAATTAAAAATAAAAGCATAATGCATATTCCTTCCTATTGACATTGATACTATCTATAGCGTTACCCAGGAGCATTATGAAATGCACAACACTTAAAACCAAATAAAACAAAAATACCCTTTCCTTGAGCTCTTTACTCTTGGGGGGCAAGAGGGGCACTATATTATCCTTTTTACCTTCTTCCTCCCAGTCAACCTCTCTCTTTTTCACGTACTCTACCAACATCCCCACCCAATCTCCCCTTATGCCTCCAAAATTAGTCCTATCCTGATTGTGGAGTTTGGGGTTTTCTTTGATTCAATGGATGATACCAGTCACACCATTTGAAAAAAGCATATGACAGTGTTGTTCAGTGTTGGTGAACAGGAATTCTTGATATTTATTTTTAAGGATTCCATTTAATTGCTAATTACAGATCTTTGTTAAATTAAGCCGACCTTCACTCACATTTAAAAAATTTAACTTTGTTTTGGTTTTCATGAGACAAATATCTCTCTTTAAGTGAACAAGCTTTTAAAAGAATTAGCTTCTTCAGTATGGAAAGCAAGATGCAATTCGCAGCTGGTGCAATGGCTTACACCAGTATGTAATCCCAGCACTATGGGAGGCCGAGGGGGAAGAATCCCTTGAACCCAGGAGTTCAAGCCCGGGCTGAGTGACACAGTGAGACATCTTTACAACAACAACAACAAAAACAAAATAACAATAACAACAAATAATTACCTCAGCCTCTCGAGTATACTGTAGGTACAAAGCCACCACGTGTACCTGTAGTCCCAGCTACTCGAGAGGCTGAATAGAGGGATTGCTTGAGCCTGGGAGGTTGAGGCTGCCGTGAGCTGTAATTGCACCACTATACTGCAGTCTGGGCAAGAGTGAGTCCCTGTCTCCAAAAAAAAAAAAAAAAGAGAAAAAGAAGCAGTTCCCCTAATGATTCTGGATCATTATGCCAGAAGTATCCAGGTTCAAAGCGATATTTTATATTTTAGTAAGTAGTTTTCACTAATAATTCTTCAGCAATCAACGAATAATTCTTCTGGAATACATCAATTGTTTGAGAATCATAAAAGAGATTTCCAAATACCGTACTCCAAAATCAGTAACACACTCTGAATCTGAATTGGGCTATGTAAATGTCTTCAGTTTACAGTTAAGTATAGATTTTTACTTGCAGTTATTTTCTCTTAGTCATTTCTTTCCTTCATTAAGGACTTCGTATTTTATTTTCATTTGCGTGCATGGACAAGAGAATGGATGCATTCATTTTGTTGTTTCTAGAGATGAATACAGAAAATGCCTAGTGAAGACTGAGTCTGGCTGTGATTTACAAAGTTGGAGCGTTATAGCCAGTAAGCCTGTCAGGCAGCCCCTGACAGCAGAAGCAAGTCTTGAGGTGGGCATGAGAAATGACAGCCTTCTTTATGCCAGAGTCTTATTACCATTTTGATTTAAAAAACATTGTTTTGGGTCTCAGTAAACTATTGTAGCCATGAAAATGAGATAAAATAACTATTTGGTTTGTCCTATGTATATTCTATATATGAAAGGAAGAAAAATCAGTACATGGCTATCAGTCTCTACAGAGGAGGGGAAATAATTTGTGCTTAGATATATTAATGCCTAACTGATGTTTTATATATGTGATCATAAGATATGTCATTTACTTAAAATTTATAGTTAATCCCCTTTTTTGCCTCACCTACAGACAAAATGGCTTTATTCCAGCAAAATTAAGTCAGAAAATAATGTTCACTGATTTAGATGTTGATGACAGATGGGTCTTAGGTCAGGATAACAGCTATGGCTGGGAGACATTGATTGTTAACATTTATGCCCCAATAATGAATGACCTGAATTTTTCCCACATGTTTGCTCAGGAAACACAGGGCTGTGGAGGTGTTGACGTCATAGAGGCAGAAGGATTTGGGGCCAGAGTATATTCACTGCTGGCAGTCATTCATTAGTAAATCCTTGGTAAGAGAGTTGGATTTGAGTGACATCTGGAGGCTTTCTATACCTAGAGATGGGGGAGTTCTGGGTTTGTATTTTTTTCTGGTAAGCTAGATTCATCTTTTAGGAAATACCATATATATAATTGATGGGTTTAACATTTCACATTGAGAGGAGGTGAAAGATTGAAAGAATTGAAGAAGAAAGATTGAGTTTGTATGATTTTTTCCCCTGAATGAATTTGGTTAATTTAGTGTTAGGTGCTAATATAAAACATTGCTTGAGCCATGTAGTGTCAGGAAAACATATCTGTTATTAGTTCTTGGTTGCCATTTAAAAATGGATATTGAAATTTCCTTTACCTAGCAGGAAAATTACAACAGTGATCCTTGAATATTTGGAAAGGACACATACATTCCAAAGTGTCTAGTGATGAGGCAAAATTGTTCATATTGAATTCCTTTTTCTTGCTCAAGGCCATTTCTGGAGGAAACTTGTAATATTGGAGAAGTTACATGAGCACATTGTGTTTGCTGCATGGAAAGGAGAATATAAGGCTTCTCAGCACAGTGGCTAAGCAGATCAAGAGTTGAGGTTAGGTTAGCAATCATGAGGCTGAGGTGCAACTTAGACTCCAGTCCCCTATAAAATATACCTTATAGAGTTTAGAGATTTGATGCAATTCAAAGCAAATTTACTATATTGAACATCAGCAATGTCCCAAAGAAGACCATAAAATTCTGTGGTGGTTAAAATCTGTTGTTTAAACATTAGAAGTATAATATTAAACATTTCTTTCTGTTGGTTCTCGTCCCATTAGAAGAGCTAGATCCTAATAGCTCTTTGGTACCTTATCAAAACAGGAGAAACAATAATTTAATGATCCTTTAATCCAGGGGTGGTGGCTCATACCTGTGATTTCAGTTATTTGGGAGGCCCAGGATCACTTGAGGCCGGGGAGTTTGAGACCAGTCTGGGCAACATAGTGAGACCCCGTCTGTACCAAATAAAAATTAGCCAGATATGACGGTATGTGCCTGTAGTCCTAGCTACTCAGGAGGCTGAGGCAGGAGGATTACTTGAGCCCAGGAGTTTGAGGCCCACTGTAATCTAGCCTGGGAAACAGAGTGAGCCTGACTCAAAAAAATCCTTTAATACTTTTCTATTCAAGAATTTTTCTTTTCAGTCCAAGAAGATCAATATGTTACCAACAAAGCAATTTCCCATCAAAATGGCATCTTTGCCGATTCAGTGCCACAAAACCAATACCCAAACCGAAAGTGAACATCTAGCAGTGCAGGCTTTATTGATGGCATGGGATTGAGAAGCTCAAGAGAGCTGGGAAGTCACAGAAACAGGCATCTCTAATGAAAGGGTTGGGTATTAAAAATAAGGGGACGAACATTCGTGTTTTCTTCTGGGAACGGGCAGAGAACTCCTCAAAACCAGAGTGCTGCCTTCCCTCCCCCACCTTTTGTTTCAATGGGTTGTTGTCATGGTGATTGTAAACTGTCATGGTGCTGTGAGGTGTATCATTTAGCATGAAAATTAGATTATAACGAAGTTAGAGTTTCTTCAGAGGTCAAGAAAGCTGCC
This sequence comes from Homo sapiens, assembly GCF_000001405.40. Lineage (NCBI taxonomy): Eukaryota > Metazoa > Chordata > Mammalia > Primates > Hominidae > Homo > Homo sapiens. The sequence goes on from NC_000012.12 coordinate 20,491,535, forward strand.
ATCTTGGATCCCGCTAGTCTTGGCCAGTTTGGTCACTAGGGGGACTTTTGACCTCAGGTGTCCCATTTTTAAAGATAAACAGAGTTAAGGAAGGATAGAAATTCACCTATGTCATGTAGGCATCATACTGGGTAACAAACCTGCAACACATTGTCTAGACCTCTGTGTTAGAGAATGATTATTCATACTTTATGGAAAGACCTTGTAGTTAAGATTGTCAAGTAATATTTAACTACAAAGTGGATTGTCTGCCTTAGCTAGGTTACTCTACCGGTATAATCGAATCTCTTTACAGTAGTAGTTAGTAGTAGTAAGTAGTGTCCAATGTTACTGCGTTTTTGTTTGAGAAATAATAAAATTCAAATGTTGTAGAACTATAAAATATACAGATTTAAATTCCCTGTTGTAATCTTACTTCCCAGAGAAAATTCCTGACGATAATTTAGTACAGAGAGTTTTTTTTTGAGGCAGAGTCTCGCCGTGTTGCCCAGGCTGGAGTGTAGTGGTGCGATCTCAGCTCACTGCAACCTCCATCTCCCACGTTGAAGCTATTCTTATGCCTCAGCCTTCTGAGTAGCTGGGATTACACGTGTGCATCACCACGTCCAGCCAATTCTTGTGTTTTTAGTAGAGATGGGGTTTCACCACGTTGTCCAAGCTGGTCTCAAACTCCTTACCTCAAGTGATCCTCCTCCCACCTCGCCCTCACAAAGTGCTGGGATTACAAGTGTGAGCCACTGCAGCAGTCCTAGTAGTCTTTCAATACTAAAATGACACATAGACCAGCATAGTGGGGGAGGCAGGAAGTATTGCAGGGTGAGTAGAAGCACAGCACAGCCTCTGGAGCCACAGTGTCTGGGTTCGAATCCTGTCTGCTATATGTATGAGTCACAGTCTGGGCAGGAAATAGATGACTCAGGGGTCATTGAAGACTTTGAGGAAGTACCTAGTTATAGAAGTATTAAGAAAAGCAACAAGGAATGATGAGGCAACCTGGGTGCCCAAAAAGTGAAAGTGGTTATCACTAGGACCAAAGGCACGAGGAGAGGGAGGTGTAACTGAGACCCAGTGAGAGCAGTGCCTGTGGGAAAGGGGCTACTGAACAGGAGCTGTGGCTATGGGTAGAGAAATGCAGCCACTATTGGATTACGCTGCTGCACTGAGCAGGTGGGGGCAGGGCAGCGAGGGGTGATTATAAATACTCACCTCAACCTCCTTTCTTTTATTCCACACTCACTGATGGTTACTGTCATGGGCTGAATCCTAACAAGATCCATGGACTCCAGAATCCAGGTGTTGTAATTTGTAAAATCAGCCTCTTTAGGGCAGAGGAAAAGGAAGGAGATGAGTAAGGGTGGGGTGGTGGTGGCGGGAATAAAGACTTACAAGCAAAAAGCAAAAACACTTACTAGCTGTGTTTGCTAGCAAGGCACTGTGTTTCCTAGTAACTCTGTGCTTTATTTTCCTTATTGATTTAAAGAGGAGAATAATAGAACCAATAATATAGGGTTATTATGAGAGTTAAATAAGTTAATATGTATGAAATGTGTAGGTGAGTACCACCTGTATAGAAATTAGTCAGCAAATATTGTTAATAGTATCATTAACACTTTATAGATTAATTCATTTATGAATTATGAATTAATTTTACATGCACCTTTTAGCTGTTTCTGATTTTTACTTAGCAGTGTATCTTGATCACCTCCTTCTCTGTCTGTATATGTACATATACATATATGGACAGTCAGCCCTCTGTATCTGTGTGTTCTGCCTTTGTGGATTCAACCAATTGTGAATAGAAAATATTAGAAAAAATAACAGTACAACAATAAAATAATATAAATAAAAATAGAACTTACATAGCATTTACATTATATTATGTATTTTAAGTAATCCAGAGATGATTTAAAGCATATGAAAGGATGTGTATAGGTTATGTGCACATACTATGCTATTTATCTATGAGGGTCCTAGAGCAAATTCCCCTGAGATACCAAGGGTTGACTATATGTACATATACAGACACACAAACACACACAGATGTGCCTCACTTCTCTCTCTCTCCACACATTCACACTCACACCCATTCACAAACTACTTTTCTTTTTTTTTTGAGGTGGAGTTTTGCTCTTGTTGCCAAGGCTGCAGTACAATGGCGCAACCTAAGCTCACCGCAGCCTCCGACTCCCAGGTTCAAGCAATTCTACTGCCTCAGCCTACCAAGTAGCTGGGACTACAGGCATGCGCCACCAAGCCCAGCTAATTTTGTATTTTTAGTAGAGACAGGGTTTCTCCATGTTGGTCAGGCTGGTCTCGAACTCCTGACCTCAGGTGATCCGCCTGCCTCGACCTCCCAAAGTGTTGGGATTACAGGCGTGAGCCAGCACGCCTGGCCGCAAACTACTTTTCAATGGCTTCAGAGTATTCCAATGTATGGATATACCAGAATACACTTAAACCTTTCTGTTTACAAGGGGATTCAGACTATTTTCAGTATTTTACCATTATGCACAATGCTGTAGTAACATTTGAACTTCTAACCTCTAATTTTGGATTCAAGTGAAGCAAGTGAGTTTTGTGTATTTTGAGTCATCTAGATTAAGTTGTCTTCAGGCCGCTCTCTGATGAGAAGGAATGTAAATGAGTGACATTAGTACAAATATTCAAGTGGCTGAAGCCTTTTATTTTTCTTGGTCCTAACCCAATTCAATTTTATAGAGAAAAAGTTTATAGAGTTTTTACATGACCTTTAACTTTATTGAAGAAGAGCTTTTAAAATATTTTCTTGATACCACCATATGCCCTGCACTTAGGTTTCATATTGTTTATGAAAATATTGATAGCTGTGTAATCAAATTCAGGGCCAAATATTTTCAGTGTTTGATTTTATTGTAATGTGGTCAGAGAAACATAATTATAGGTGAGTGACTTGAAACTCATGCTGTGTGTAGGTACATTTCTTAACAGAATAATGTATCTCGTGAGTGTTATGTATGTGTGTCTCTGTGTGTGTTTGTGTGTCTCTGTGTTGTGTGTGTGTATAGTTTTGTCCTCAAACTTATTTCTCCTTACATGATAAATTATGACTTTCCTTTCCTATGGAATAAATGTTACCAGTTCAAGTTGACCAAGTGTGAAAACAAGTGACATTTATTTCCTGCTTTCCTACTTCTGGGCAGAATTGGAGTGGAAAGTAATACATGTCGTTCTGCACTGAAATATTTAGGACTATTTTGCCCTGTAGTAGACAATTTAGGCTTAATAAAAAGGTTTCCATCCAGTGTTTGCTAAAGGTAATTGAAGAGAATTGGAGAAAATAATATTTTAAACAATTCCGCAAAAAAAAAAAAAAATACATAAATAGAAGCCCTATGTTTTGATGGCATTGATGGCAGTCTGTTCTAAATTCAGTACAACTGTGTTTCATCAGATAAGTTACTTAGCACAAATGTGATTCATGTAAAGAAACCGATTCTGAATCATTATTTATTTATTTAAACATAGTGTCTGTCTAAAATCATTCAATTTGAGAATTCTTCCATATGGACAGTGGACAAGAGAATGTTCCATGAATTTTTATATACTCTCCTTTGCCCTAAGTCTGCCTGTTTGAAATGTGTTCAATCAATGCCTGCTTGGAGTTCTGCTATCCTCTTCTTTCCTCTCCTGTTTTCTTGACCATTCTTCTTGTGGTCACCAATACAAGTTCTGTTCATCTAGTTGTCTGGGCTCTGGCTTGAACCTTTATTGCTGGCACTTAGCATAACAGCTAAATACTTAAAATGCTTTCATTGTACCAGATTTTGGATTTCTTTAATTTGTGACCACAAGCTCAGTGTTTTGAAAGGTAGAATCATACAAAGAAACAACTATAATCTAATTAACCTAAGATAAGTAGTTAATGTTTTATGTGTCTTCATCATTTTATATATTTTACATAGAACAATATACTTAATTTTGAATATTCCTTTTAAACTTGTCTGTTTCACAGGCATTTTTTTCTGTATTAAGTTTTCAAAAACATTTTTAATGGTCATGTGCCAATTTTTTTCTATGGCTATTACATAACATTCTCTCTTGTTAGACATTTTTGTTGTTTTCGACTTTTCCCTACTACAATTAATAATGACATGAAAAGTTTTGTATAAAACACTTCAAGTTGCAGAACATCTCTTTACAGAATATTCCTAGAAGTGGAATTATTAGGCCAAATGGTAGGAATACTTTTAAGCTTTCTGTATATGTTGCCAGATTGCTTTTTAAGAAGGTTGTACCAATTTACACTCCCACTAGCAATGTAGGAGAGTGCCTGGTAACTTTTTAATTGGATTTCTTTGATAAGAAACTAAATGGACAACATTTAACTGTTCATCAAAAAGAGAGAGGAGTTTGTTGAATTTCTGTTATTGCACTAAAGGAATTCTACATGTTAAAATAAATCATTTAATTTTTATTCTCATTGTCATCAGACTATAATAATACTGAATTTGATTCACATTTCCCCCTCTTTCGTACTCTTAATGTCAGTACAAATAAGCAAAGGTTACAGAATACTGTGAGAAATGGTGAGAAATGGGAGCTGATTCTGTGCTACTTACTCAAGAAATCATGTGCTGTTCTGTGCACACTATCTGTCTCATCAGTAAGGAGGAAAGAGATAGATGAGTGCCTGATACCAATTAAGTATTCCATATGTTTGATGTGTGGATGCATAAATGAAGTGATGAAGTGATAAGCTCAAAAACCTGCTATTATTGAAAGGCCAGAGCCATCCTTTGCCATTGTGGTATAAGTGGACAAGCCCCCTTACACAGATGAAAACATGGTTGGCTAGTTACCATTATGCTCCTTAGAACTTGTTCAAGAGGACTTCAGGTCACTGTAGTAGAACCACCTCCACAAACAAACCAACACAATTCTCAGAGATCTGACGTGACAGCTCTGATTCCTGATGTTCTCATGGACCTGGGTACTCCACATCCCACCCCCCACCGCCACCCCGCAACACCCCGAATTCTCTCTCTGCTACCTCATGGGCCAAATTCTTTTGGGATCCATACTAAGAATTTATTTTGGCTCTTATCAATGAGCTGTCCACGTTCCGTTGTTGGAATTCATCCAAAATTAAGTGCCTGACTTCAGGGTTTAAGAAGTATACTTTTTTAGATTTTGCTTTGCTTTGCTATGTTGGATAGAAAAGATATTGGTACTGAACTTTAGCTTCTATCTTTCACGAATATGGGCTTTGTGCTCAAAGAGAAAAGTCTTCAACCATGGCTGCAGGATTTTTTAAAATATAGGACAAATAAATATATACTATATGAAAGTGACAGAGAAAGTTGAACAGATTCCAGAAGAGTGTAATTTATCTTACTAATGATGCTCTTAGCAGGGAGATGAACTCAGGAAACATAAGAGAAGTTCCATGAGGACGCCTTGTACTTGAATTCCACTTGCTGTAGTATCTCAAAGTTTCAGCGTTATCTTGGGTGTTTATGTTACGTGTTGAAGTGGGCGCTTATTCTATAATGGAAGCTATATTATTAGATCCTTCTTCTCAAAAAGCCAGTCAAATCGCTTTAATGAAAACTGTAAGTAGTTGTGCTCTAAAGAGGATGCAATTATTTAGGAAACATTCTCATAAGATTTAAACCAAAAGCAACTTAATGTGATTCTGATACAACTGATTAAGTACTTTATAGTTGTCAATCCCAGAAACATAACTTATCTCAATTGAAAAATGTATATAACAGATAGTAATTTTTATAATTTATTACAATTGTTATATGAAGTCATATTTAAATTATAATAAATTATATATAAACTGATTATTTGAAATGTAATGAGTTCTTCATAATCTCTTAACTGAATGGAGGGCTGTATTCTAAGAGTCTCCTCTATTTTAATGTTAACAAGATAAAGTCTTGGGCAGGTGTTTCTGCTATAACGTGATTTTAAAGTTTTTAAAAAACATAGGTTCTACAAATTGTGCCCTAAAAAAAAAAACAGGATCATGAGAAAACATAATAATTCTAACCAAAATAATAGTGGCATTAGAAAGATATGTTAGTACAAATAAATAAATAAATAACTGATATAGTCAATATAAACCTAATCATAGAAAAAGAAAAGATGAAGGTGGATTATTCAAAAGAGATGGAAAGAAGAGTTCAGAGGGTGGCAAATGCAAAATGCATCAAAATCAGGAAAACAAACATTGGGTATTTCCAATTAGAGACTCATTGATCAAATAGAACAAAGAAGAATACTGTGCAGGTAAGGTTTATGGATTACTCTATATATTACTCTTTGCCCTGTTCTGTTCAATTGTGTTAGTATACTTTATGTTCTGCTGCTGTGATGACTTTGTGATTAAACATTAACCAGCTCTCAGGGAGTGGGGAGGAAATCATGTAAGTCAATATATCTTTTGCTATCCCACTGTTTACCAATTGCGTATGAGCTAATTAACTATGCAGAAACGTGTTATAGCAGAAAAGATTTAGTAGTGTTATACGGTAGGCTAAAAGGAGTACTGGTTAGAAAAATTATCAAACTATATCCTATCATTTTTCCATTTATCCATATCAAGCATTTTCCACTATAATCTCTGTTATGTAAACTGGTAACTATACCTATGTTGTTAAAGGAAAATTTACCCTAATGTTAAATAATATAAAATCCCAAGTCTCATAGATTGGTGGGCATTGTGGAGCTTGCAGATTAAAATATACCGCCCACCCCCCCAACTGAAGGAAATGTAGGAACTCTGTATAGTCAGCCTTCTGTATCCCTGGATTCTACATCCATGGATTCAACCAACCTCAGATGGAAAATATATTCAAGAAAAAAAGTGAGTGAGTGTGTCTGAACTGAACATGTGCAGACTTTAAATCATTATTCCCTAGACAGCAGACTATACCAACTATTTACATAGCATTTACATTGAATTAGGTATTATAAGTTATCTAGAGATGATTTAAAGTGAACGGGAGAATGTGCATAGGTTATATGCAAATACTATACCATTTTATATCAGGGACTTGAGCATCCCTGGATTTTGGTGTCTACAGGGTCCTGGAACCAATCTGCCATGGATATCAAGAGATGACTGTATTCTGTAACCCTTTTCTGTATCTCAGATTATTTCAACATAAGTTTTTTTAAAAAGGCGTTTACTTCTTCAAGCTTTGTCTTACAGGTAGAACCTATCTCTTACTGGTAGAACCTATAAAATTGAACATTTTTTCACAGATAAAGAGTATAATGATGGAAATGTTTCTTTTCCTGTTTTTCTTTTTCTCTTTCCTTGCTTTCTTTCCTTCCTTCTTCCTCTGCCCCTCTGCCTCAGTATGGATGCAAAAAGGAACAGCAGTAAAGGCAAGAATGTAAAGTCATTGATGCCTCAAATTGTCATGAAAGAGAAGGACCAATGATCATCTGTATGTTATACTTTTTGGTAGAAAATTGGCATATGCATGTGTTTTTGCACTTTTGGGGCCATGGAAAGTAAGGATTAAAAAATTATATCCTGTGGAGTCTGAGATGGGTCCTGTTGTGTGCTCTGACATCAGCAACCCTGTGACCTTGGACAATTTACTTAGTCTAACGGTTCTACAGTTTCACATTTATATGGTAGATTTAAGACCATACTCCTGTAGAATTGTTGGGAAGATTATAAGAGGAAATACTTGTAAAATGCTTAACGTTGTGCCTAAGGTGCAATAGTGTCTCATTGGCTACTGTGGACTTGTTTGAAATTATTAATCTTTAGTCATCTTTGTATATCATTTCCATGGACCCTTACAAAATGGTTAGAGATATGCAGTGAATAGAGAGACTTTCATAAGGATGCCGATTACAATTTGACTGTGGATTGTGCCCGAGGTTGTTCCTTGTATCTGTTTTAGAATTTATAATAACAAAAATGAAATTAACAAATTGATTTTTATGATATAACATATATTTAAGGGTCAACTGTTAGTATTCATATAATTAGACTAATGATGCAAAAACAAACATTTTAAACAAACCTTTCTTATTAACCTTGTTCAAGTTAATAAGATCCAGTAATAATGTCATCCAAGTAGTGTACATTTTTTCTTTCTCTCCACCCCGATTCTGCTACCTTTACATATATTCAATTTTCTTGTTATTTTATTGAAGTACAATTTGTATGCACTAATGCACAAGTCTTAAATGTACGGTTCAATTAGTTTGGCCAATGTATATAACCTGCATATATTTTCTCAGCTCATATTACTAGTTCCTTTATTATAATTAACAGCATGCAACACATTCTGAGTGGTAACGAAGGTCAAATGTATGTGGGGCATTTTAGCTGTACGCTTGTTAATCCTCACAACCCCACCTGTTTCCTACTATTATTCTAATTTTACTGATAAGAGCTGAGTTTAACAAGATTAAATGACTTGCTGAGGGCACCAGCAAAGCCTACCTTAAAACACAAGCTTGGGCCCTTAACCAGCATACTACACTGTATCTCCTTCACTGCCGAAGAAGCAAGAGTCTCTGCCACCTGTCTAGGTTTCCAGAGTTTCTTTTTCACTCTGTTGAAATTCACAAAAATTCTCTTACTCAAACTTATTAGTTATTGTGTATTATGAGAATATTTAAATCAAAATTGGATCCAAGTCAATGTATAGGGAGACATTTAAGAGTTTTCCTGTAAGTCAAGGGTGTTCTTGAAAAGAGAACTCAGATACCGTATTAGATATGATAAAGTAGAATACATCAAGAGCAAAATATTCTAATTCGAATTTAGTGCATTTTATCTTACTTGGAATATTATTGTCTATTATTTTTAACTGATGGCAATACATTTTGATGCTCAAATAGCATTTTGTGTACATTGTTAAAAAGAAAAAGATGATTATCTTTATACTCTGAAGAGAATACTTACCTATATTACTGAAAAACAGTTCATAAATCTAAACTTAGTTCTCTAATCATTTTTTATTTAGACTTCAAATATTTTCTTCCATGTGATATCCTTTAAAATGTTTTCTTTTCTTTCTTCAGGATTTTTTTTCTATGTTTGTTATTTGGGTCATTCTTCAGCCAAGTTGCTAAGCAGAAATCTGTAAAGTAGTAGTTTAATCAAATATGTTCCTCAAGTTGTTTTAAAAATATGTATATTTGTATCTTGCTGCAGGACTTCTCTAATTTTTTAAAAAATTGATCGATGTGTAAGAGGCTTTCATTCTTTCTTTCTTTTTTTTTTTTTTTTTGAGACAAGGTCTTGCTCTGTTGCCCAGGCTGGAGTACAGTGGCGCCATCTCAGCTCACTGCAGCCTCGACCTCCTGGGTTCAAGCAATCCTCCTGACTCAGTCCCTGAAGTAGCTGGAACTACAAGTGTGCGCTACTATGCCCAGCTAATTTTTGTATTTTTAGTAAAGATGGGGTGTCATCATGTTGCCCAGGCTGGCCCTGAACTCCTGAGCTCAAGCAATCTGCCCACCTCGGTCTCCCAAAGTGCTAGAATTATAGGCATGAGCCCCGGCAGCTGGCCAAGGCTTTTATTCTTTCACTGTAGAGAATTTATAAGTATTACAGCTAAACAAGAAAATAACGTACTAATGTGGATTCATGGTTCAGGCATACAAGTTTTTTCTCTTAATACTAGGTTCTCTCAATTCTGTGAACAAGGAGTTGTACTACTTTTCTCTTTGGGCTTATGAAACATCTAGAATAATTAAATCAGAAAAGGGAAAATATTTGTTAAGTCAAAGGAAGTATTTTCTTCATCTTTGTAAACATAAGTCTCTACAGCACCGTAATCCATATAACCTCAGCGTCAAGTCAGATTTTTTTTATTGCCTGAAAACTGCTAAGTGAACACATTATATGTAAAATTAAAGTAGTGGAAGTATACATGATTGAGCATTTAAACTGGTTATATGCAATATTACTACTCTAAATAGAAATAAAATTATTCTGACAACCTTGTTTGTGCCAAGTTTTTGGTTATTTAAAAGGAGTAAAACTTTCTATTTACTTCAATAGACGTGATGTGAAATTATTCGTAGAGCGAGGTAGTTAAATTTTGTTTGCTTGTTTGCTTACCAAATCATACCAGAAGAGTTACTTTTTGTTCATTTAATGAGTACTTATAAAAAATGAAGCTATTTTTTAGTGATTGTAAATATTTAAGTGATCATTCCAGACTATTTTGCAAAATTCAAGTTAGTTTGATGCTGTAGTAATACAATCAAAAAAGGATTCTAGATTTTGAGAACAAAGATAATAGAAATGATTGCATCATGCTTTTGATGTATCAATTTAGCACATTAAGCTGTCATTATTCCAGTCTTATGCTAAATAACACCCCACTTCATGCAGTGCATCCTGATATGATATTAAATATATACAGACTCATTCTGATTTTTATAAACTGTATTTGTTAAGCTTTCCAATTTGTATGAATGAACTTTGAAGCACTGGGGAATACGGATAATTGTTCACTAATTTACAAATGATACTTCACAGAGTAATATTAATCCAAAAGATAATAATCACATATATTTTGTGAGGCTATAGAGGAGGCTAATACCTTAGATGTATTTTGTATGAATTACTGTATCAGTTAGGTACTTCCTATTAAATCACGTGACTGACTCCATTCCCAGATGGTAGATTTTCAGTTTTATAGATTAGCAGGTCTAGGAAAGAGTAAGGTTCAGCTGAATGCTACTGATCACTTCCAACTTCTTTTTATTATCTAAAATGTATCACTTAAGGTATGAGTCTCACAATCATACAGAAAAGTATATTTAGTCAAAAGGATGGCTAGTATGGTTAGACTTTAAAGGAACCATTGGAATGAATCCCCGCTACCTAGAAAACTCTTCTACTAGGATATATGCCTATGACTTAATCTGTCATCTTATTTGCTCATAATTCAAATGTTCCTTGCCAGAAATACCTTTCCTGAAGTAGTTCCCCCAAAAAATGTTTGTCTGTAGTCTGTCTTCCTTACTAGAGTGTGATCAGGTCAGGGACTTTCCCTACTTGGTTCACCTAGAGCAGGTCTAGCAAATAGAATGCATGTGTATTTGTCTATGGAATACATGACTGAAAAAGTGAGTGACTATAGAGGTAAAAAGAAGTTTTAACATCATCCAATCTAACCTTTCCAGTTTATATCAAGGAAACTAAGACTATGTATAAAGGAAACTAATGGTTAACTGAATTCCTCAATTATTTCCATGGATTGAGGAAATAAATACCAGAATCACAGTTCAGTGCTTAGGGACACTTCGGGACATTCACTCCTGCCAATAGAAGATGGTTAAGAAGTGGTGTTTGGGAGCTGGACAGACATAACTTTGGCCAGAGTTTGAATCCTAGCTATACCACTTACTAGCTATGTCCCTTTGTGAAAGATATTTAATCTTTCTAAGTCATTTTCTTCGACTATAAATGGAGATGATGCATATCTCGTTGGATTATTGTGAAGCCTAAATGAGATCATGTATCACAGAGCCTGGCACAAGGAAAACTGTTATAGCTGTCATTGTCATTATCATCATGACCGTTTAGTCCTTATATAAATTATATAGGCATTTAATCCATGATTTTCTATAGTACCACGGTAGTATTTTTTCCCAAACTTAATGTATTTAGAACTTAGTTCACCACAGATGATATATGAAGTTTATGAGGTTGATATGCTAGTTTAGAATACTAGATAATACTAATATGAAATTTGGTTTCTATACTAGTTTATAATACCAGTTACTATTAAATACTCATCAATCTAGTGTTTCTGATGCCTGGACTTTAACAGGTATTCCATAGAAAGACTACACTTTTATCTGTAATAGATTTTTGATATAAGAAGGATGCAAATTCAGCTACAGAGGTTGAAACTCTGTGGAAAAAAATAATTCAAGATAAAATGCTTTTTTCTCCTCCTCATCGATTTTCTATCCACAATAGAAAAATTCCATCAGTCAGAAACCATTCAGGAGAAGATATGGGTAATGTCCTAGACATATAAATTATATAGATGCATATTGATCATTCCCTATTATATAGAGTGATCTAATTTGAATTTCTATTTTTTGAGACTAGAGTCAGACGTAATAATATTATTTTAAAAAAGTTGTCCAGATGCATGTTATTATGTCATAACTACCTTATTTCAATACATTTCTGTGTTTGATAGTTTTGCTTATTTTAGGTTCTAATTTTAAAATATACATCATTTTTCATATTCTTTAGAATTTATAAACCACCCTAGAATTTATAAACCACCTTTAATGTGTCATCATTAAATTGTAGCTTTCAAATGTAACAGAATCTGTAATTTACTGTTACAATTAGAAGATATGAATCAATTCCTTAGCTTAAAATTTTTTGTTGAAAAAGAAAATACCATGACAACTGACTGTCTTCAGAATCATCTAGGGCTGATTGATTCATAATCTAAATTTAGGGATTGTTCATATCAGAATCTAAGGAGGACTTCACGTTGCATTCATTTTGTTAATTCAGCAAAAGTAGTACTAGTTAGATCTGGGAAAGTGGATGTTAAACTTTATGAATGCCAGACTGGATTATAGTTTTCTCATTTGTACAGTTAGCTTAATGATTTCTAAAACCTTTTTTCCTTTATTTTCCTTTTCCTTCTCCTGTTACTCTGTTGGTATTCTGCATGCAGATAAACATGTGTATCTACATGTAACATGTACACAGAAGCCAATTCATATATGTGAAAAAGCTATTCACTCCTGACCACAGAGAGCATGTCTTAGTTTTCTTTAATCCTGAATGCTGGAGTCTGATACATTTTAGACTTTCAGTGAATATTTCTTGAATAAATTTTAAAATATCTCTACATCTATTAAAGAGACCATATTCTTCTAAGATGACTGTATTAGTTATCTATTGCTGCTATTACAAATTACTGTAAACTTTAATGGCATTAAAAACCACAAATTTATTAATTTTATAATTCTATATAACTATACAGAACTGTAGGTCAGAAGTCTGACATGGACCATACGGAGCTAAAATCAAGGTGCTGGCAAGGTCTCATTCCTTTCTCAAGTATCTGAGAGGGATCTGTTTCCTTGCCTTTTCCAGCTTCTAGAGGCTGCCCAAGTTCCTTGGCTTGCGACCCTCTTTCTCCAGTTTCAAAGCTGGCAAAGGTGAGTTGATTCCTTCTCACATCACATCACTATAATTTCTACCATCTTCACGTCTCTCACTATTAACTCTGGCCCTCCTGCCTCTTCTTATAAGTACCTTGTGATAACATTGGGCCCACCCAGAAAATCAGGATCATCGCTCTAACTCAACATCCTTAATCGCATCTGCAAAGTAACTTTTGCCATGTACGATAACTTATTCACAAATTCTAGGGTTTAGAACATGGACATCTTTGGGGGCTGTTTTTCTGCCAGGCACTCTGAGTGTATGCCAGTAGCTGAAAGCACCAGAGGTCTTTTCCTTGTAATTATACAGGGAAGTTGCTTTTTTGCTTAGCAAATACAAGTGCTTAGGCCAAACCTGTCTGAGGTTTTAGCTCAAAGAGAAGTGCTCCATTCTTTTAAGTTTAGATTTCATTCCAAATGTGTAACCAGCAATTACTTTCTATAGTCCTATATTTATGGCCTATTACTTGAGATCCTGGTACAGTAAATTCATAATGCATTAGGTCATTAGACAATGACAGGGTTCTGTGTGGTACATGGCCAATTTTTTGGAACTTGACCTAGGAGTCTCCTTTTCTCCTACTGTTAACTTTGCAATCTCTTATGAATCATTGTTTTTGTCACTGTACCTCATTTGCTCATCTATAGATTGCAAATGATCACTCAATCTAATTCAACTGCTAGACTAGTAAGATCACAATGAAAAATGTTCTATAAAGTGTAGAGCTCTCTTTCCATATGTGGTACATTTTTAGGTCCTCTCAAGGGGGCTCTTTTGTACTGAAGTGTTTTATTTACTTTAATGTAAGCATGTGCCATGGTGAATCTTTGCACATTACTGAAAAGAACTCAGTGTTTAATAAAATCATACCTAGCACTGCCTCAAATGTTAAGCTTTCTGGTAAATTAGACAAAGCAGATTTATCATGCCATTTCTTTTTTGAATGGCAGTGTTAGTCCAAGTTCCTGTTGATGGTCTCACTATTCTTTCCATAGTTCTGTTACATAAATGTGAAACTTTAATACCTAAATAATTCTAAATATATTTTTAATGAGGAAGTCTTCAGGACAGTGGTTTTCCAAGTTATTTTGTAGCAGAAGGCTTTTTGCAAGAAAATATTTTTGTATATGGCAGCATGGAGCTGCCATATACAAAACAAATATATGTGGAGCTACTCTGGTTGTATAAGGTGATAAGGCGCCAAGTCCATTGGTTAGTGCCCCCAAAACACATATTCCAGTGTCTGCTAACTTCACTGGTTTCTAGGGACCATAGTGGGTTTCAGTGGATAGGGCTATTTATTTGGAAAATATTTAATAAGTATTGAAATATGCCAAATAATATATATTAGGGTCAAGGAGCTATGGGAACTCTAAAGGAAGGTGTGTGTGTGTGTGTGTGTGTGTGTGTGTATGTGTGTGTAGCAGGTTAAACAAATGAGTTCTCCAAAAATTTATTTTGTAAATGTTAATGCTAAGTCAGTGTTTATTCTCTGAGCTAACCTCACCTATAAAACTGTAACCCATGTGAAAATTAACACTTCAGATTGTTTCCTTGGAAGTTATACTATACATTTAAAAAACAGGTGTTTTATATGTTGTTTCTATAATAATATGCACTATACACACAGTATTTCATTCCAGTATAACAGTCTGTATAATTTTGAAATTTTTTTCTGCATCTGTCCCCCACAAACAGAGAATAGAGGCTGTGGTGTTGGGCATTTAATGTATGAATGAGTACATGAAACATTTTTATTAATCATCTTATGAAAGGATTATTTTGCAAGAATTTTTTGTCATAACATGTAGATTAGTTTGTAATAAGAATCTTATAATTGTATTTTTTCTCAAACTTGATATATTTTGTAGTCATTTATAATTTTATAGACGAATTTATAATTTGGCTCATACATATCTTCAGAAATGATATTTGATACGTTAACCTGGTTAATTGTCTAAGATGTGCATCTTGTGTAACTATGAATATACATAAAGTGGATAAGAGAAGTAACATGAAACTTCTAAGGAAAGTATTTGGTAAGAGAGAGAATTCTATTTGTTTTTGAAAAATTATGGCATCAAGTTAATTCATTATTTTTATGTAATGTTTTAGAGAAATTGATCACTTAATGTTTCATATATGTACAAAATTTAGCTCACATTTGTCATCAAAATAAAGTATTTTGTGAGAAACAGGTCATTTTTCAAGAAGACTACTTATTTAGTAAATAAAACCATAAAATATTTTAAAGATTTTGGTTGGAATTTTAAAAGACTGTGTATATTTTTATTCTTTATAAAAGGTTATTAAATTTAGTTTTAAACTTAATTCACATAAAGGGTATTTATTATGATCCGGGGGGTAATTGTGCACAGTTCCGCATTCACTTTTTGGATTTATTTTTTTCCCCTCATCCCAGAAGCCAGAATGTAAGCTACATTTCTGTTTGTATTGGACCTTTGAGAGACTATGCTACATAGCTAATGGAAAAACCTGCATACGAGTCCAAGTTCTGCCTCTTCTAAAATTCATTACCATAAAGGAAGTTGGTTAGCCACAGGGAGTTTCTTAGGCTTTCTCAGTTTGATTTCTTAGTCCCTAGAAAGTTCAAGTCTGTAAAAACTAGAAGTTTTTATAAGGAAGTTATGAGAAGTAAATGACAAGGTATTTGAAAGTACATGACATTGTGTATGGCATATGTTAATTGACCAGTGAATGCTTTACATCCCTTGATCTCTTAACTAGAAATTAAGTGGCAGACTGATAACTCCTAAGTTCATATCGACAGCTTCCCCTCTTCTGAATTCCACACTCATATATCCAATTGCAATAATTGGCTTCTTGACTTAGATACCTAACAGACGCCTCATACTCCAAATGTGCCAAATGGAACTTCCAATTATTGCCTCCAAATCTGCTCCATCCTTTCTAACAGCTGATGGCAACTCCAACCTTCCGCTTACTCTGTCAGAAATCCTGAAGGCATCTCTGACTCCCCTTTCTCTGTTACACCTCACATCCAATCTACCATTAGTTCAACTTGCTAAATAATCCAGAATCTGGTAACTTCTCACCATCTCTGCTGCTACAACTCTAGCCAGGCTGGCATCATGCCTAGCTCTGATTACTACAGAAACCTCGTAGCTGTTCTCTCGGCTTCCACCTCTCCTTCCTCACTGTGTATTCACAACATAAATTAGCCCGAGTGATCCTTTCAGAACCTGAGTCAGTTAATGTCACTCCTCTGCTCAAAACCCTCCAATGGCTCCCGTGTTAGACCTTACAGTTGCCTACATGGCCTGTGCAATTAGGCTCTTTTGTCTTTGTCATTACCTCATCTCTCATTACCTTTCTCCTCACTTACTCCAATGCAGCTATACTTATCCTTACCATTCTTTGTGTATGCCAGGCACATTCTCATTGCACTGGCTGTTTTCTTTGCCTGGACCACTTTGTCCCCAGTTATCCCCATAGCTCACTTCCTCTCTGCCTGTGTCTTCAAGTTTTTGATTAAATGCAACTTCTATGTACCTGATCCCTCCCGCAGGACTCCCATTTCAAATGGAAACCCCACCCCCCATAATACCAGCCCTCTTTATGATACTCTAAAGCACTCATCTTCTAACACATGCTAAAATTTACTCATATATAATTTTTTTCACTTGAATTTGAGCTCTACAATGTTACCTGGTTTGTTTTTTTTTTTTAGTTTTGTCCTCTGATATTTCCCAATCATCTAGAACAGTGTCTGGTACATAATAGTTGCTCAATGAATATTTGTGGAATGATTTGAGTAAACAGCAATTTGATCAGAAAAAAATGCATTCTTAGAGTTCTTTCATTTCATGCAGTATTGCTTATTTAAAAGGAATCCATTTAGACGTCATACCCTTTAAAGTCGGCAGTTTGAAATTTGGCAAACAACTTGAAAGCAGCCTAGATGAAGCGGTTAGAATATGGTGGTAGCTTTGCAATTGTACTACCTGGGATCGATTCCTATTTTTGCCACATAAAAAGCTCATTGTGATGATCAATTTTCTGATTCTTTTTGTGAGCTCAAATACTTGAAATAATTAACCAAGTAGTTGATACCAAAAAAAAAAATCTGGGTTTCTGGGTTTTTGATTGTTTTCTTCAGTACTTTTTTTTTTAAGCATTAAAAATCCATACATATGATTACTAGTTTTATTCTTGGAGATGCCATTCTTACAGGTTAAGGAATTATATCTTTAAATGAGCAAAATTTCATTATAATTTGTTGATGCATGTATTTTTCGTATATAGCCAGCATTTTTCCCTCACCAACATGTGTATTCTGTTACCGTATCTCAAACTGCCCTTCTTATGCTGGATTTGTGACATTGTGCGTCATCAAGAGCTGTTCTCAGAAACGCAGATTCAATTACGTCTAACAAACAGGCCAAATATCTAATCTGCCACCATTACAGCTATATTAATCTGCTTCTATCCAGTAGGGCCTTGGCTTGGATTACAGTAGGAAACACCACATCTGTGTCCACAGCTGCTGCCTTTTAAACAGGACCCATAGCATGATATTCTGGACAAGGGCCTTTTAAGGTGTCTAGTTTTAGGTGTTGGGCAAAGCCTTTCCTTTAGTGTTCTGGGCTTCTAGAGCACCACCCATTTTTCCCCTTACAGAATGTTCACTTTCTGTCTTCTGGGTACCCCTACATTAGTTTCTGTTGCCCTAATTAAGACCTCTTTTCCAGAAGCAATCTATTATTTTTGTCCAGTGAGATCTATTTACCCTAGAAGTGTTTGTTCTTATACCTTAATTTTTAAAGTTTTTTTTCAGTAAAAAACAGATATGAATAAGTTGGTAGGAAAACTATTTTAAAAGGGTATTTTTGGCCCTATAAAAATCCCAGCAGGTATCTCTGCCTACTTTTTTGTTTTATAATGTCTAGCTCTGAAATTATTGTAGCCTCTGTTTTCTGTTTGTTACCAGATGATATTTTAATGTTTTCCTTCCGGATGTTAAATGTCTTTTCTTCTCTTTAGTGCCACTTAGAAAACTTGGAAATAAACAAAAAATGAAGCTCATATATTTTTTTACCACTGTCTAGAAACCATTACTATAATGCTGGTCTTAATTCATACTTACTAGAATTGGGAGATGTATTTGACTTACTCATAAATTTGATAGGTGGAAAAAGTAGCTTATTTATTACGAAGCTGAAAATGTAATGTTTTTTAGCCATTTGTATTTTTTCTCATGAATTGTCTTCTCATTTACATTTTAAATATTAATGATATTTATATGATAAAACATTTCAAATGTGCTTGACATACATTAATATAGTTTTCAAATGGAAATTTTTAATCATTTTATGGTAGACATTATTTCATTTAAAAAATTCTAAAATGGGCTTTATTTAGATAGCAACACATTTTATCAGTATTTTCTTCTAAATTTTTTCATTTAGCTGATTTTTAACATAGTTCTTTAATACTTTTGGAATTCAGTTATACAAATGGTAGTTGCATATAATAAGCAAACTGTGAGTTTTTTTCTAAATTGCTATACAAATTTGTCAGCCAGTTTAATTGAATAATGTATATTCTTTTCTGTTGGTATGTAATATATTAGATCAACTAAAATAATCCACTAGAATTAGCAAACTAGGTAGAAATTGACTATATTTAATTAGAGCTAGAAGCCAGATAGTACAGTAGAGAAATGGATGGCAGTTCAAAATTCTGGAATATGAAGAAAAATAGAAAAAGAGAGAAATAGCGGAAAGTAGTTTTAGAGATAAAAATCTATATTTGAAAAAAGAGAGGGACTTGAGTGTGTATGCTGTGGACAAATTGAGGGCTGAGATGGAGAAGTTGAAGACACAGGATGGATTAGGCAAAGGATTGATGAAACTATATATTGGAAAGGGCAAGAAAAGGGAGTGTAACTCCCAGATGGATCTGTCAACATGGGGTAGAGATGAATGCTGTTTCCATTGTAGAAATAGAAGATACAGAGAGTTATGGTGCAGGTAGATTTGTAGGTAGGAGGGCCTGAAGTTGAGGAAGATTCCATAATATGTCCTCTGTTTCTTCTATAAATTAAGAAGGGAAGCATTCTCTGAGAGTGAAGAGGAAGGAAGGTCATACATGTTATTTATATGTCTTCTCCTTCATTCATTTGCTCAAAAAAACACTTATTGAATGTTTCCATGTGCCATGTTCTGTGTTAAGACTAGAAGAAGCAACCAAAAATGAAGTGCACAGTGGAGTCTATCAAACAACTTCAGTCACGAGTCAGCCAGGCAGCCACATGATGAAAAGGACTCTGTCACTTCTCCACTGCAACAACTAAGTCACCACTGAGTCAAAAATAGGATCTGCTTGACTAGGTGTTGCCAGTTTGGGGAAAACATTTTCAGTTTGGTTGATGGCATCAAAATTTAAAAAAAGGCTTCATGTTGATACAAGTGGGTAGATATGAAACCAGGTGTTAAAATATACACATATATTTCCTTGCTCCGCATACTGCAGTGTTCATTGCTACACTCCAGCAGCAAGGATCATACCCAGCACTGAGATCGTGATTTCTAATACCTTTGCAAATTGAAGGAACCAGAGATCTGTGAAAAAGTGGCTTAATCTAGGGCTGGTTCAGGAATATACGAGAAAAGCTTGGAGTATCTTTTAGTGCCCATAAATTAGGAAGTGCTCAAATACACACACACACACACACACACACACACATACACACACACGATGGTGATATGTCAGTTGGACACAGGAGCCAACTGAAAGAGTTCCCAATGGCTAAACAACCTAAGAAACAAAATGAATAATGTATTAGATTATAACCCAAAGTATAAAATAAATATTCATGATCCTGTACTAATAGAAATGATTAAATAGATGGGCTAAATAGCTGTCTCTTATGTAATAAAATTCCAAATAGCTTATGTGGATATTGTCCTCCTTAAGGATGTATAGTGTAACTCGCCATTCCTTAAGTGTGGGCTACTCACAGTGGTTCCTTCCAAAGAGAGACTTGGGCAAAGTCTTCTCAGGAGAGAAATGGGCAAAGAGAAAGAGAGACTGCATTGGAGAAACCTTACAGACACTGCCTCAGCCAGATGATCAAGGTGACCATCACAATAAGTGGTGTTGATAGTATAGACCCATAATATGATGTAATTAGAATACCAGTTTGCCTATGTGGTTGTCTCCTCAAAAATCCATAACTCCATCTTATGAAAAAAGTTCAGACAAACCCATTTGAGGGATATTATAGAATATACACGACTAGCATTAAAAATGTAAAAGTCATCAAAAACAAAGTCAGAAAAAATTGTCAGTCAGGAGGAACCTGAGGAGACATAAAGACCCAAATGTATTATAACATCCTAGATAGGACCCTGGAACAAATAAAAGACAATAGATAAAAACTATATCTGAGTAAAATATTGGTTGTGTGTAATAATACGTCGCTATTGGTCCATTAGTTATAACAATTGTACTATGCTAATATAAAATGTTAATAACAGAAAAGTGAAGGGGGCTAGTGGAGGGGGCACAGTATAAGAGACTATGCTATCTTCAAAAGTCTTCTGTAAAAAGCCATCCTAAAATAGGAATTTTGTTTAAAAAACAAAAAATCCGCTCTGCAAATTATACACTCTTTAATTATTTTGAAGCTGCTCTTATACCAAGAGATGAAGACAAATCCGATAAGTACTATTTTGATTTGTCAAATGCCCCTTTGTAGAGGCCACGGAAGCTGATGGAGTAATATCTACTGTTGCTTTCATATCTTTCAGCAGAGGAATCAGGTAAAATAGTCAACATTTTACAATGTTATTGCTTGGGGTTTAGGAAATTTCACCTCCCAGAAAGGTTCTATGTGCTTATTTTTAATTACACAATGGAATATCTGGCAGAACATAAGACATTTTAAGCTGTAAGTAGAATGATTTTCCAGGAGTTTCTGAGCATCTTAGAGCCTACATTTACCATTATCAGAGGCACCTGAGTACTGCTTCGTAAATTGCAACTTCGTTACGTTAGATAGTGTCCTATTTCCATGAGAGTGATGACAGATTCAGAAGTGCCAGGCTCCAAGGAAGTTGTTCACTGGGAGAAAAAGACTCAATGTAAAGCATATTATTTATTATTATTGTGGTAACACCTATCATTATATAAATATAACCATTCAATAATGCCGTATTATTCATAATAGAAGTCACCAGATTCTTATCCATTCTTCGTACTCTGGGCTTCCTATGAGTAAATGTATTTTGTTCTTTTTGCAGAATTAAGTAAACAGAATTATTTCTGCTTTGCCAAAGGATGTTGTCAAAGGCCTGCTCCTCTTCTGCCTATATATTTTTCTTTTAACATAATGTATGCCCTTGAGCAGTGATTCTCAGTCTTTCGTGTTTTACATTTTGTCACATGCTATACTGAAAAATTTGGGTCCCACTGTCATAGAATCAAACCATGTTTATAGTCATTCGATGCATATATGTTTTTATATTTCTAATATAAATTTATACGATTTTAGCAGTAAACTATGTTAATACAGTACGTTAGAAATATTTGTGGGTGTTGAGTAAAACCAGAGAAAATAGGGGATTTGGTAAAATATTGTCTATTTCATAATATCTGCTGACTGACATTGCAACATCTCTAAAGAGAATTTGTTTTTGAAAGGCAGAAAATAAACTATTTCATGAGTAATAGCAGCTTAGCATTGTCTAACAGCTACAAAATCCATCAATGACATATACTTTCTCTGGAGAAAGGTGTTAGCCCTTGGGATGGTTGTAAGACAGGTTTTGTCTCATTTTCCTTAATCTACAAACTGTTGGATGTAGTTTTCCCAGTTGTATTAATTTCTCATGGAATTTGTGGAAATATACACTAAAATTACTTTAGCATTTTCAAGATTTTCAGATTTTTTTATGACCTTTTCATCAGTGTCCTATGTTAGGAGATTGTGTTGATATGTTATATTAAACTGTAAGGACCACACAAGCAGTTTTGACACATCTGATAGAGATTCCACTGAAGTTTTACTGAGATGATTGAAACAATTTAGACAGATTTCAGTCAATTTATCAGTCAGTAGGACTTTAAATGATGCCATTAAATGAGATTAAAATATTTCTGAATTTAATACTGCCAACTTAAAGTACTGTTAACTTTTTTTGGCTTGTTTCAATTGGAAGAAAAAAAGAGGTAGTGAATATAACACACATCTGGAACTAAGAAAACTAATTTGTAAGTCCCACCTCCTCCGCTAACCATCTGTAGTCTGTTACACTTGCAGTGGCTTCCAACCTTGGCTGCACATTAAAATAACATGGGAATAGGTAAAAATCCCAGTGCCCAGGTTTCACCCTAAAATAATTAAATCCACATCTCTGGGGTGAGACACAGGCATTTTATTTTTGTTTGAAATTTTCAAAGAAGATATCAAAATTTGCAAGGCATAATCAAATAAGGCAATTAACATACTTTAGCCTATACCTCATATTTTGCTTGTTTTTAGTTTCAAATCATCCTAGGATATTATTGATTACTCAACTGATTGACATGGTTTGGGAAATAAGGTATTTTGAAAGGAAAAATGTCTTCTTTTTATAAACTGTACAGGAACCTTCTATTAAATTCTGTAAATGTCATTGATCTCAAATCCATGCATCACATGTGTAAATTATATTATTTGTGTTGTGTTTGAAGTAAAGCATGATTGATAACATTTGATGTGAAAATATATGCAATGGCAGTAACGTTATCATTTCTAAAAGAACAGAACCCTTGAAGACAAAGGGTAGAAGTAATGTCAGTCCTGTTTCTACAATATTTGAGCTATGTGACCTTGAGAAAGTCATTTAAACTTTCTGATTCTTAATTCCCAGGTCTATAATTGTTATACTTTAGCTTTGCAGTTATAGATTTGTTCAGTGTTAACATCACTTGTATGAATTATAAACTTATTGTTAGTTAAACATGCTAGAAAAAGTTGAGAGACAGTGAAGCATAATAGAAAGCACATGGTTTTTGGAATTGAATTTGGCTTCCCACATTAGTTGTATCTTACTAGCTGTGTGACTTTGGCATGTGACCTAACCCAAGTTTATGTAAAATGGTTTCAATAACATGTTCCTGTCTTAGCCCATTTTGTGCTGCTGTAACAGAATACCTGACACTGGGTAACTTATAAAGAACAGAAATTTATTTCAAGAACAGTTCTAAAAGCTAGAAAGTTCAAGATTATGATATCAGTATCTGACAAGGACCTTCTTGCTGCATCATCACATGGCAGAAGGGCAAAGAAAGGGCAAGAGGGGGCCGAACTCATCCTTTCATAATGGTATCAATCCCAGCCATGAGGGTAGAGCCCTCAGGGCCCGTTCAACTCTTCAAATTACTACATCTTAATACTGTTACAATGGCATTTAAATTTCAACGTAAGTTTGAAGGGGACAGATACTCAAACCATAGCACTTTATTAGAAGTTGTTTTAAGAATTTAATGAGACAATATATGTTAAGGGCCTACTGCCTGGCATATAGTAGATACTGAAGAAATGGTTGTTGATAGTGATGATAATGTAATATACCACTAACATGTTAAATGTGTTTCTGAATGCATGACCTCAGAATATATGTCAAATATATACACTGGTTCCTTTTTACAAAAGCAAGTGTTAATGAATGAGTGTAAAACTCCTTAGCTTAAAAAGTCCACTTTACACATCTATAGGTAGTGATTTGAGAAGTTCCTAGAGGACAGTTGATATGGTGTGTTAGATAACCACAGATTGGAAATGCTAGCCCTCTGGACACTCAAACTTTAACTCTGGAAACTGGGTTACACTGGAAAGAATCTACAATAAACTGACCTTCCACTGGACACGTGGAGTATTCTAACTAATGCAGAAATCCGAAGCAGACTAGAGTATCCCTGATCTCCTTAGTGGTGTAGAATCTCACACTGTATTATTTATTTATTTATTTATTTATTTATTTATTTATTTATTTATTTATTTTGAGACGGAGTCTCGCTCTGTCGCCCAGGCTGGAGTGCAGTGGCGGGATCTCGGCTCACTGCAAGCTCCGCCTCCCGGGTTCACGCCATTCTCCTGCCTCAGCCTCCCAAGTAGCTGGGACTACAGGCGCCTGCCACTACGCCCGGCTAATTTTTTGTATTTTTAGTAGAGACGGGGTTTCACCGTTTTAGCCGGGATGGTCTCGATCTCCTGACCTCGTGATCCGCCCGCCTCGGCCTCCCAAAGTGCTGGGATTACAGGCGTGAGCCACCGCGCCCGGCCTATTTTTTTTTTTTTCAGAACATGTTGGCTTAGTATTCTCTGGGCAGGAGGCCATGCCAAGGAAAGTTTTTGACCTTTCAAAACCTCCCAAAGGTAATGGGAGAAGTGATAATTATTACGGAAATGTGAAGACAAGCATACTTTTTTTTCATAGATTCTTACTCAGACTCATTCAAAAAGGGATGGATTTTGAGTATTCATTTTGGTGAAGTCTCTGACCTTATTAGATAGTGATACCTCCAGGTCTTGCTTTATGTGGGGTCAATTACTGAGCCGTTGATGAATTTCATTTATTTCTTGTTTAATAGAGTGGCACTTAAAATAAGTGGACATGTAAAAGAAAAATAGATTTGCTTGATTTGTATCTTTCAAAATGGTAGTGAAACAATCCTGTAATTTACACGACCAGTTCTACTTCACATATATTTTAAATGTACTATGATCAACATAGTCATTACCTGGCATGTAGAATACCTATACATTTACACATGTAAAAAATGAAGCCTCAATGTCTTTGGTTTGTGCTGGATCATTTCTTTCAGGGTATGGCATTCTCAAGTTATTTTCTAATGAGGTTTCTTTAAATTTTTCAAGTTGCTTTCACTGCGATTAATTTAATAGTGAATATGTTTATAAAAGTCTGATTCTAGAGACAGGCTCTGAACCATTATGCTATGGCCTCTTTGACTACAAAAATCAAACGTTTTTATTTTCTAATTTGTTAAGTTAAATATTTTTCTATGTAGTGAAGCTTAACTAATTAGAGAGACCAGCAGGAATTGTAATGTCACCAATGTAATTTACATTGAGATAAGTTTTATTCAAAAGAATGAGCTAAAATATTTTATTCTGTGAGGCTAAAAACTATAACTAGGATGAGGAACTCTTTTCTCCCAATACAAATTATAGAATTTCAAAGCAGGAAGAGCATCTTGTTTTACCCCTCTTTGTACAGATGGGAAAAAGAGCCCCAGGAGAGCACAAGATTTGCTCGTGTCTCACAGGCATTTACTGAATGGCAAAGTTGCCAGTAAAGCCCTGTAGTTTGACTCTGTCGACAGCAGAAATGTGTTCTTCTATTTCATACTTTCCAATGCGGTTCTAGAAAATGATAAGTAATTTTGAAAGTTGGTTTATTTCTTTCAGAGTAGCTAGTGCCATTTGTTGTACTTGTTATCATTAGTGCCTACACCCATTGATTCAAAAAGGTTTGATTTAACAACTAAGTTGATCTAGGTACCAGGAATAAAACATGACTGAGGAAACAAGACATAGCCCTGGTTCTTGACCAGTTTATACTATGAAGAAGGGGTTGGACTATGGGGATTATGTGACACTTTGAACAACGGGGAGAAAAGAGGATACTTTCCCTCTGAGTATATTTGGATTGCTTGGTTATAAAAATGTTGTGTGATTATTGTAAACTCTTATTCAGAATGTTTTTTCTCCGTTGTATAATGGGCACCATGATGACATAAATAAGCTTCTTTATAAAATTTCTGCTGTGTTTCCTACAGCTCCCTCCTATGACAAACTGAGTATTTGTGATTTAGTTCTACTGGATGATTTACTTCTACTGGATATCCTTAAGATTATATTTATTTACAAATAAGTAAAAATCACTGAAGTGGGATCCCTGGGTTTGTTGTTATAAAACTTATTAATTATCTTAAATATCAGGTTTTCCTCTCTTCAGGCTCAGTCAGTAGGTCAGGGAAATGTCATGTGGGGCCATTTTCTCTTATCCCTGCCACTTTGACAATGGTTGTCAAATTAGAATGTGCACACCAATCTCTCGCTAACTTGACAAATGCACATTCCTAGGTCCCAACCTTAGGATTATGACTTAATAAGCCTGGGATCCTGAATGTAGCCCACAGAAATCCACTTAGTAACACCCGTTTACAAAGAGACTCCTAATCTGCGTGGTCCAAGGCACATTTTGAGAAACACTGACTGTGCTATGTTCTTTTCTGGAGACAGACAGGGACTCATGTCTCCCTCCTTGGCAACAGCTATTCTTTCATGGGTAATTCCTATGTACTATTTGAATATCAAAATATTTTTATCTCCCTAAGAATGGGGAGACACAACGTATTTGCCCCATAAGGGTAAATTGCAAACAAATTGCTCCAGTGCTTCAGAAAGGACTGGTTATTCATTCCTGGGACTGCTTTATAAAGAGAGATCTTCTCAATATTCAAATGTATTACAGGCATAGAAAATTTTTTGCATGAATATATAAAGACTAAGAATCAGTTCTGTTTTTTACAGCCTGAGAGGACATATTTTGAAAGCTTTCTAATCCTTGCTATGACAATGACTGAACTTTTAGAGGGCTCAGAGTTAGAGCTTCAAAGATATTTAATAATGGAGAAAAAAAAAAGATTCATTTGGGAGAAGATCTCCAAGTATAACCAAATTTATCCCTTTACCTGTGGCTAATAAAATAACTGAATTCAAAAAGAAAGCAAAAGCAATATATATTTTGAATAGAAGACTGCTTTTTAAAATTATGTAAACTATTCTGTCATTAAAAAAAAAGCCTTCCTAGTGTTGGATTGGAGTATTTCCATATTTGGAAACCAAGATTAATAGATGTTTCAGATCCGAAGTGTTTGTTCTTCCATCTTTTTTTCCCCCTTTTGCATGTAAAAGAGAATGGTGACCAATTTTTTTGGTAAAAGAGTTAATAAATCACTTAATAATGGATTTAAATGAACAGAGGCATAATCAGATTTTTTTAAAAAAGACTTTTATTTAATTCTCCAGACGCAACACTTAGATAGGACTTTCTGTACTGATGGATTTTTTTATAGCTATGTTGTTGAATCTGGTAGCCACAGTCACATGTGGTTATTGCATCCATGAAGTGTAACTAGTGTAACTGAGGAATTGAATTTTTTAAAATTTGATTTCATTTCATTTAATTGAAATTGCTACATGTGGCAGATAGTCATTGTATTGATCTGTGTTGCTAAAGAAGATTGTGTAAAATGGTTTTCATAACTTTAGGGGTAGCAGTTGGCATTTTTATGAGACTAGGAAGTATATGATTATGTAGTGTTGTAGTTTATGTGACTAAATGTGGCTCCTTATGGAGGAGTTCTTTAACTTTGCCATACTTATAAAGATAGTTATTATTTATTCTCTCTACTTATATTTTGAAAGTCCCTCTCTTAAAGCAAGTAGATATCATGGAGTGAGTCTGGAAACTCCTGTTACAGAACACCAGGAGTGGCCAAATTATGACTGGTGCCCCCTGGAGTTGTGCACACAGAGTCTGTGGCTACCCCTATAAGCTGAGTCACATCTCAAGGCAATGTCATATTCACTTTTATGTCTACAATGCTTGGTATGGAATTGATTACTGACAAATCTTTGTTAAGTAAGGAATATATATCTCAATTTTGATATCCGCAATAATAAAGGATAGTGAATAAAAAATATTTTACTGTGTGCTCATAGAACACATTGTATGAATTTGCCCTTTGATGTATATATTCATTAAGTTCTACATTTATGAAGTACGCTTTGTGGAAAGTATTAATTTAAGTATTTAATACGAATATAATTCAGACACAGTATGTCTACTGCTGATTAATGAAGAAGGGAATGTAAAAATATGTGCTGCATCATAAAGTAACTGCACTAATGAACATATGTGCAAGATGTAGTTCCCAATAGCAAAGGAAGAGAAAGGGATTTTTGTTTGGTTGATTGATTTTCTCAGTCCTGTGGCAGAACAAAAAAGGCACATCAGAGAAGGAAGGCTGCCATCAGGGAAATGACTTTTGAGGCGGGTTTTGGAAGATGAGCTGGAGCTAGCAGAGGGGTGGTGAGGAAAGTAAGGCCTGTGCTGCTCCAGGTACTTTGCTAAGGGACATCATCTCACATCGGTTTTCTCCATACTCCTCCAACGTAGATGTCCTTAATCCTCATTTCAATGATGATGCAGCTGATTCGGATTTAAAGAAGTTTGCCTAAGGTGACATCGCTATTCAGTGAGGGTACTAAGCTTTGAACCTAGGTATGTTTAACGCTAAAGCCTGTGAATTGCACCATAGTCATTGGTATCAGTAATGAAAAATCCAACGTGTTTGGTGAAATTCAAGTAGTGTAGTATCGCCAAGCACATGATACAAAGAGAAGCAACTGAAGTGCTGGAATGGAGGCATGTGATAATAAAAAACCATCTATGCCATGACAAATACACTGGACTTTTTTCTGTAAGTAATGTGGAGCCCTGGGTGGGTTAGTTTTAGGCTGGCAATGACATCATGATTCCTAAAGAAATTCAGGAGCTAAAATCAACAGCATATTTAGCTAATTATTTGACTTGAATTTCCATTCAAATTGGCTTTATTTTTTCCTGAATACGCAGTTGCTTAGAAGTGGTTGAGTTCCATCCTGGTGCGTGCTGGCTATCAACCAACATAGGAGTAAAAATTCACCATGAGTAGTCAGCCAAAAGACACATGCAGATGCTTAGGAAAATAAATTATAAATATTTCTTATGTCTGCCAGTAGAATGAGAAGATTTTGCTATATTGTGTTTTTTGATAGTTGGCTTGTTTTACTGTATGCTTATGAAAACATAAAGTAGCAGGACAACAGATCACATTGCCAAATGATTTCTAGGATTTGGCCCAAGGTTTGATGATCCCTCTGCCGCTTCTTGGCTTTGTATGCTCAGAAGCACCCACCATCAGCTGTCAGCCCTGTGGCAAAAGGAGGAATGGGGTCAGAGTCAGGCAAACAGAAGCCAGAGCCAAGTGTTGTTCTGAGAAATACTAGCATCTGTTTAGTGCAGTGAGTTCTCTGCTTTGTACTTGGCAACCCACTTGGGACTCATGCTGCAAAGGGGGCTGATGATTTAAAACTGAGGGAGGAGATCCAGAGGGGAGACCTTGGCTCATGAAACATCCTCTTCACCTCTGTGATGGGCCGTTCTTCATGTCCTACAGTTTGAACTAAAGAATGGCCTCGGCTTCTCCTGTGGATGTAAACATATTTTGTTGCAAGTGCCATTCGTTTTATTTGTTGTATACCTTTTCCTTCAAATATATTCCTGGCTAAACTCCTGGCTGTCTCTCCTGGAGTGTTTTTTTTTTTTTTGTATTCTTGGGGTTGTAAGAATCAGGTTCATGTGGAGGTGTCTAGAAACAGGCTGGCTGGACAGGAAGGAAATAGGTGGATATAGTTTTAAATTTATACACATCTTTTGGAGCCAGGAACTTCTACACAATCTAGCTTCTATGAGATAAAATTTGTGGTACGAAAGAGGAGTGGTAACATGAATAATAAGAGATTTTTTTTAAGTCTAGAAAACCTTAGATGTTGGGAGTGTAATCAAGCATTTTAGCCAGTCATTTTGAAAGGTAAGTGAGTTTAAATGAATTGAATACTCAGTTGTGAATTAGTGATACTGAACATGTACACTGTCTTATCAGTGTGTTTCATAGTGATTGGTAATGCCCAGATTTCCAATTTGATACACAGTCCATTTTAAAAAGATATATGTGTGTATTTTATACGATGCTTTGTAGTTTTGAAGTTTTGAGATAAATTATTTAGAATCAAATGCTCATGGAAATGTCTGTAATATTAAAATAGGTTTATTTCAAGATTATTAATTCATTTGTTCAACGAGTGTTATTGAGCGTCTGTTGTGCCGAACCCTCATTAACCTCAATAGGGAAGGTACTAGGTTCAAGAGGCTGAAGAAGAGACCCCGAGCCAACAAAGGAGACATGGAGTTTCATTAGGAGCTTACATACAGTGGAGAGAGTCAGTGGCAGTGGGCTGGACAGGAGAACCAACTTACCTACAGAAATGATCCAGTGGTGGCAGGCTGGGCAGGAAAACCGCAACCACTTGCAAACAGCATGCAGTTTATGTAGCATTTTCACTTAACACTCTCTCCTTTATGACCTCCACCTGGCAACCCTCATTAACCCCAAACTCAGGGCCTCATTCCTCTGTATGGCCCATGTTCCATGGGATGGGATGGGGTTTCAGATGTTCCTCACAGACAAAGAACAAATCTTCGGGCTGTCCACTAGATTCCCTAGCTTGGGACACACTTTCAGGTGTGTCTACTGTACAGGGTCATTCTAAGGGTTTGCTTAAGTTTACCCTACAGCATCATTCACGTCTGCTCTCTCATGTGCTTGCGATACAGTGACCATCAACACAAGGGCCCTGGTCTCCAGGAACTTACACTCTGTAGAGCAGTGTTTTTCAAAGTGTGGTTCCCAGATCATTAGTATCAGTGTGCTGGGAATTGCTAGAAATGCAAATTCTCAAGTCCCCGGCCTAGACCTATTGAATCTGAAACTCTGAGAGTGGGGTTCAGCAATTTGTCTTTTAACAGGTGATTGTGAAAGTTTGAGAACTACTGCAAAAGACAGATAATTAACTGATGATTATTAAGTATGCCAGAAAAGGCTGAGTTTTACAAAGAAAATAAAACAGGGAAAGAAGATGGACAGTGTAAAAGTGTGTAGCTTTTGGGGTGTTGTCTTTGTCTTTGAGCACTTGACTGATGTGAGAATATCTGGGAGGAAAGCTTTGTGGTTATCTCGGTTAGAGATTTTAGTGAGTTGAGGCACGGTTGGAATTGTGATGTCTTTAGAAGGGCTGAACCTCCAGAATTTGCTGTTGAATAAATTGGAAATGTGATGTGAGAGGGCAGAATGATCCTAAGGTTGTTGATGGTACCTACTGATCTCTGATGTTACCTCATAGTAAGATGGGAAAAAATGAAATGGGGTGGGGCAGGGAAAAGCAGACTTTGGGGGAAGAATAACACATTTTATTTTAGAAAAGTTGTTTCAAAAGCTCATTAGCCATGTGTGAAGCTATATTTGTGAGTATGCCATTCATGGGGAAGGTTGGCACTGGGAATATTAACTGGGGAGTCATGGTCATATAAATGGTATTTTAAAAAACTAGTTAGCCTGAGATCACCAAGGGAATGAATGCACATGGAGGAGGTCTAAATACCAAGTCCTGGGGTATACCTGGGCGGTGGGGTGGGTGGCATTAGGCTAAAGATAGTGAAAATTCTAATGAATGATAAGTAATATTTTGCTATGTTGATCTTGAGATTGATATGTTGAAATGGCAGCATCCTAGACCAATCCCAAGTTTAATGCCTTCCTTGAAGTTGCCATGTTTCTGTTTCGGAGTCCTTGGTGCCACAGGTCCCTCTTGACTTTCACAGGCCAGGGCTTCTTGCCATACAGGTAAGTGTTCTCCCTTCCCAGCTTATGGGATCCAGACTCATCAGCTGCCCGCTGTAGGTTGTCCTTAAAACTTAGAGAATATGCAGAGAGCATACACAATTCTGCTTAGAGGAGGAGCACTCTCCTTTTCCTCTTGTCTCAGTTGTGATCTTGTCTTCTTTCTCTAATTTCCTTTTCCTCTATTGAACTTTCAACAGGCAAATTCTTTGGTCTGCAGAGCCAAAAGAATAATTGTCTTTCTTTTTAAGTTAATAGTACTTAGATCATTTTGACAGTTGTCTTATTTATTACCACTTACACAGAGGCATTTCTTAATGTTGAATTCAAATGTTGATTTTTAGTGTCCTAGACCTTGATATTTTCTGATTTGAATACCCTGAGCTGTTGACCAAAGCAACAATGAAATTTATAATTTCTTAACGGGTGTGTGATTCTTGGGATTTCTTTCAGAAAACAATACTTCCCTGATGTAGGAATGTATCACTTAAAGTAAAAAATGTTTTTAAAATTTGAATTATAGAAGAGAATAATCAGTGGATGATTCACTTCGTAGAAAAGTTCTTTGCTTTAAAATGACTCATCAAGTGCTATTGGGAACATTTAAAATGTTATTTCAATTGCACATACTCTTTAGGAAGATACAAGTTTATTACTTTATATGTGTGTATCACTGATAAAAGGTATTTTCATATATTTAACAAAAATTTAAAGGGAGGAATGGTTAAATGACTGTCTAAGGACTCATACCTCTTTAGTGGGCAACCAAGTCTTGAACCCTAGTTACCAGTTGTCATGTTTACTTGTAGAACTACCATCACGGCCCCAGGGGAACAGCTTAAGAAAGGGATAGGAGGAATAAAATGGAAGCACTCTATAGAATAAGTCTTCATCTGTACTCCTGATTTAACAAATTCTGATATTACCCACTGTGTTTAGGTTTCAGTGACAAGTTTTCGTAGCAGTTGCGGCTGCATTTAGCTCTTCACATCCTCCCAATTCTAAAACTGCAAGGTATTGTAACGATAATCTGTCCCATTTCCTCGTTTTTGAATGAGAAAACCACAGCCTAGAGTAGCCATTACTTGCCAAAGCTTTTTTTCTTAGAAGAGAGGGGGGATCTTCAGTTATCTTCTAGAATGTGACAAAATTTTGCCAAGATCATGGTGCGTGCTCACTAAAAGATGATGAAGTTTATTGCCTAAATCTCAAATTCAGTCAAGATGCTACTTAGGCCAGCTTTTAAAATTTGTATAATAGCTAGTTTTTTATTTAAATTTTTAAATTGTGAAACAGATCACAAATTAAAGAGCACATATAACATATATAGTATTACATATGCATATCATTTAAAAATATTTTATATATAGCTATATATCTTATGTATGTTATTTTTACTATAAGAATAATAATAAAATATAAAATGAACACACAGGCATCAACCATTGAGTCTAAGAAGTAACCATTCCACAATCTTGGAAAGCCCCTGTGGGTCCCTAATCTGTCTCACCCCATTCCTTGCCCTCAGAGGTAACCTCTGTGCACTACCCTCTTGTGGTTAGAAGATGGAGCTAGGCCGGGCTCGGTGGCTCACGCCTGTAATCCCAGCACTTTGGGAGACTGAGGCGGGTGGATCACCTGAGGTTGGTAGTTCAAGACCAGCCTGACCAACACGGAGAAACCCCGTCTCTGCTAAAAATACAAAAAGCCAGACATGGTGGTGCATGCCTGTAATCTCAGCTACTTGGGAGGCTGAGGCAGGAGAATCGCTTGAACCCAGGAGGCGGAGGTTGTGGTGAGCCGAGATCCACCATTGCACTCCAGCCTGGGCAACAAGAGTGAAACTCTGTCTCCAACAAAAAAGAAGATGGAGCTACATTACTGCTCCGGAGCCTTGGGCAAGTTATTATTCTCCCTGTGCGTCAGTTTCCTCATCTGTATAAAAGGAATAGTAATATATGTGTTGTGAGGACTGAATGAGGTCACCCAGGAAGTGTGCTTACAAAAATATGTTGTGTAGTCATCATCGTTTACTATTCTTGTTACTATCATCATGTTCAGTTTTACATTTGAAGGACTTGTAATGTTGCCAACAAGATGGAGTTTGAGGGACTAAAATTGATTTTAAGAATAATAATGTTGTTGTTCCTTTTTCAAATCTTTTAACATGGAAACATTCTGATTTGGTTGGGGGGGGGGGCTTTTGACATCATCTGTTTCACCTTATCACTGTGTACTTTCAAAATATCTTCAAGATGCTTTCATTGAAGCAACAAGAAAATTGTTTTGAACAAAGACCCTTTAGTGTCAGTCACTATTTCAGAATATAACACCAGTCATTGTTTATATGATTTACTCTTAATAGGATTTTGATATTCTGCTGTGTAACGTTGCTGCTGACTGAATGTCTTTGAAGACAGTAAAATTTGACCGACTACAAAATATTACTTCATTTTTGGGGGGTTTAGTCTGTTTGGTAAGGTTACTAAAGAGTACTTCTAAAAGTATGAGAGGATAAAGGATTGAGATATAAGAGAAAAGTTGACAAAATCAGAAAACTGTGCAATGAGGTAATGAGTAACCAAAACTTGCTATCTTATCAGTACTGAGAACTGCAGAAAAATTTCTTACTTGGAGATTTGTGCTTTTCTTTGAGTATTCATAAATAAGAGTGAAAAACAATAATCACTTTTCTCAGTAAAAGAAAACAACCTTATACTTGAGGACTTTTGTTTCAAAGTTGGTAAGGCTTTGGATACTAATATAAAATTCACCAGTAAAGTATTTTGAAACTCTTAATGCCACCTGTGCTTCTGAATTCATATGAAGATTATTGTTTGAGACCTCTGTGGTGACATGGACATCACACTTGAGGGGTGAGACATATCTTCACCTTCTTTACACACTGGCTCATCTTCTATTTAGTTGATACTATTGTTCCTCAATAAAATTATTTTTCTCTCTATTGATATTATTTTCAAGTTGACTTCTAGTCAGCAACTCTGTAAGTATCTTTTTATTGGCTTTTAGATTCTGTATTTTAAATGAGCCAGCAATATTTCAATTTCATTGAGATTGCATTATATCATTTTGAAAACTTATTTGCCTGTGATTAAATTTTTGAACAATGTCTGGGATCTAAAAACTCACTTGAAAATCATTTTTTAAATCAAATTTTTTTAAAAAAGTGTTACAATTATAGCAAGTCATCATGGAAAAATAAAGTAATATGGGTATGTATAATATGCCTTCTAAACCTCTAAGCATCTGGAAGCAGAGATCCATGTTCTGTGAATGACCTACTAATCTTCTTAATGAGTTCATAGCAAGGCATGTGGTATTTGCGATAGAAAAGACTCAGTAAAAGCTGTCTTCCATTCAGTTTTTGAAAAGTGAATGGATGCCAGTTTATGTTATTTCCTATAGTGCCTATCTTAAACTGATTTTTTTTTTTTTACTTGCTGAATCTCATTTCATGTCAATATGAGTTTTGTATTGGTAATATAGTGTTTGTAATTGATGATGTAGCCAACTCCTTTATTGAAGTAAACTGTGAAGCTAATAAAACATCTTCATGTTTTAAGGCCATTAGGAGACATTTTTTTCTGTGTGTGTGTGTGTGTGTGTGTGTGTGTGTGTGTGTGTGTGTGTGTGTTTGAGACCAAGTCTCACTCTTGTCCCCCAGGCTGGAGTGCAATGGCGCGATCTCGGCTCACTGCAACCTCCGCCTCCCAGGTTCAAGCAATTCTCCGGCCTCAGCCTCCCGAGTAGCTAGGATTACAGGCGCCTGCTGCCATGCCCGGCTGATTTTTGTATTTTTAGTAAAGAGGGGGTTTCACCATGTTGGCCAGGCTGGTCTCCAACTCCTGAGCTCAGGTGATCTGCCTGCCTCGGATTACAGGGGTGAGCCACTGTGCCCGGCCGTGTTTTTTTGTTTTGTTTTTGTTTGTTTGTTTTTTAACATAATGAATACTACAACAGAAACATAATTAAATAGCTTCTAAACATTTGAGAAGATGAATGGATCACTCGTTTCTAAATGGATAGCCAGGAGAGTTAGTTAAGTATTTCTGATCTTATAGTGAATGATAATGTTTGTACAACCTAATAGTTGCCCCTTTTCCTTTCTTTTTCTTCTCTAATAATAATAGCAAAAACATTGTTTCTGGCATTCAGTGAGTGCCAGATAAATAGAAAGGCTATGAGCTTGATGCACAGTTTCTTTTCTTTTTCCTGGGTCCTCTCTCCTCCCAACCTACATTTCTTGGCATCTTTCCGCTGTCTGTTTGTTAGAGTTCTGACTCTGACGTCAAGGACTCACAGTGAGTGACCCCCGTGGCAAACCTGTAAAACATTATACAACATGAATAAGAACTTTCTTATTAGATCTGCAGCTGGCTGAGTACAGACATATGGCAGCAAGGATGTTTTGGAAGAAAGGCATTGCTTGACAAAGAACCCAGTCTCTTGAATAAAGGTTTATACTGGCACTCTTTGATGTTTATAATACCCGATGCCAGGGGCAAAACTTTTTTCCCCCCATTATATTGTTATTTTACTGTTTAAACCCCATCATTTTATATGTTGCGGTGGCTAAAATGTAGAAGCAGACATTTTATGTGTGTCTGTATAACTTTAAAAGGAAAAAAAAAAAAAAGCAAAACTCAAAAAACTTTCTCAGGCTCTGTCTACCCGGCTGTAAGTGTTCGATTTTCTGAGGCTGAGACTCAGATTGAAAGTGAGGGAGTTTGTAAGAATGGGCCCAGTCCTTTTGAGCAGGTTTTAAAAGGATGATTAAAGGGTACATAGGCTTTGTAATGCCCTGACAACTTTAATTGTTTCTTTTGGTGGTTGTCCTTTTTATCGTGAGTAGTTGTTCTCAGTTGCTAAAAATTTAGGCTGGGAATAATTTCCAACCTAGGAGGTTGTCACACTGATTTGCATTTGGTTTGTTATTTCTTAGTCTTTTCAATGCAGCCCTGCTTTCATCTTACTCCCTTTCTCAAACCCCAGCTACTGACATTATGTACATGGTTGTGTTTTGTGATCTGTGCTAGCACACTGGTGTTGAATAATATATTGTGAAATATTCTGATGGTGACAATTCGGTAGTTGCCCCAGGAGGAATGATGACACTTTGAATCAGAGGCACAAGGACAGAGAAGTTCAACCTAGTGGAGAGCCAAGGTAAATGAATGAAAGCTTCTGCCTCCACAAGGAATATCTAAGTCCTTTTAGCATGGTTCTTTGCAACCTTGATTATGTTTATAATGTTCAAAATCTTTGATGAGGCCATTGTCTTCCTAGTACTTACTGCATCTACAATAATTTAGTCATAAGATATTGATAAATAAGGTATGCCCATTGGACATGCCTGATGGGATTTTAATTAACATCTGCCTTTGACAACTGAAACAACTGAAGGGAGGGAGAGGTACATGACTTTTGCAGAGCACATATTATGACAGACGCTAGGGGTATAACATCTAGCAAATAGGTACTTGATGACATTTTTATGAATACTATGATTTATCAAAATAAGTATATCCTGAGAAGTATATATTTATAGATGAAACAGAGTATTTACAGAGAATAGACTCTAGTTTAGAGAAACTGAAGAGCATTAGTAAAAGTGTTAATAAGAATAATATTTTAAGTACTATGAGGGACTTTTTTCCTGGTTTTTAGGTTTTCATGTTAAAAATTCATGAGCAGGACAGATATGTTTGTCTTGTTGATTTTATCTCTATAACGGGAATTCAAATTTTAAATATGTTCTAGAATCATGAAAGTCATGGCTAGAAAGGTCTTGGAGATTATCTAATTGAGGAGTCCCAAATCTCTAAATAAAATCTACCAGAAGAATCATAGGTCAATTACTACATGTATAATTGTTCCAAATAGGTTTTTCCAGAAAGTGCAGAAGGTAGCACAGTCCTCACCAAGTTCTTTCATTCAGCAAGTGCTATCAATACCACTTACCAAGCATATATTTTACTTGGAGAAAATGAAAATTGCTCCATCCATAATTGGTTGAGAGCCCCTTTAGGTATAATAATAATCTTCCCTATTATGTAGTTGAGAAAACTGAGACCCATATACTAAGAGTTGAATTGTGTTTTCCCCAAAAGATATGTTGATATCCTAAGCCCTAACACCTCAGAATGTTACCTTATTTGGAAATAGGGTCTTTGCAGAGGTAACCAAGTTAAAATGAAGTCATTATGGTGGGTCCTAATTCAACATGACTGGTATCATTATAAAAAAGAGAAATTTGGACACAGACACCCCTGGAGGGCAGATGGCCATCTGAAGACAGAGAATTCTAATGATGCATCTACAAGCCAAGGAACCCCAAGAATTGCCAGCAAACCAAACAGAAGCCAGGGAGAGGCAAGGATTCTTCTCTTACAGATGTGAGAGAGCATAGGCCTGTTGACATCTAGATTTCAGACTTCCAGCCTCTAGAACTGTGAGATAATAAATTACTGTTGTTCTAAACCACTGAATTTGTTTACCTAGTTATGACAGCTCTAGCAAACTAATACATCATAGATATTAGTAGTCATGGTCTCCTGGAGAAGTAATTAGCAAGGTAGTCAAGTCTGGAACCCAGTTTAATTCCCAGGTTCAGTGCTCAATGCCTGTCTCTAGAAATAAAACTTTTTAATTTCTTTTGCTGTAAAGATAAATGCACCGTAATTCACAAATTGTTATGAGGACTATTTTTCTGTTGTCCATTTTTTTGGTTATCTTTTTACTGACTTATTTCATTTATAACACAATCTTGAAGTCTGATAATTTCAGGTACAGACTTCATTTATTAAAATAAAAACTCAAACTTGAGGAGACGAAAGTTATTCGATCATTTCTTTCACTTCCCACAGTTGGTTAATGAAATCTGGAGAATAATATAATTGTTATATCTTTTTCTTTGCTTAGCGTAAACACTCAAACTATAAGTTATAGCTGATAACACTCAAATTATAACTTATAAGCTGTACCATAATTCATAGTAGTCAATGAATTAGTCAGCTAAACTTGAACATATTACTACAACTTATGGGCATACCCAACTCCAGATAGTAGAAATAAGACTCAGAGTATACATTTCATGAGATAAATCTAATGTGAGTATCCAATAATAGATTCAAATATTTTTCAAGAATTGACTATGAGTCTGTGAATATATATTAATGACTATACAATACTTTTTTTTTTTTTTTTAAGAGATGGGGTCTCACTGTGTAACTCAGGCTGGACTCTAGCTCCTGAGCTCAAATGATTTTCCCACTCTTAGCTCAGCCACACTCTGCGTAGCTGGAACTATAGGTGTATGCCATCACGCCTAGCTTAAAATATATTTTATTAAGAATTGGTGCTATGGAAAAGTATTGCTTCAACCATTTCCCCCTTTTCAAGCTAAAATTAATTAGTAATTTAAAAAGAGACATGAACATCAACAAATTAAACAATGGAACAAGGATCATTCAAGTCCTCCTATAGGCCTCTTGATCTGTACATTAATTGGAATAATGGTCTGTTCTTTTTGTAGAAATTAATCATGTTCTTAAACACCTCCATGCAGTGTAAGTTCTGACTGTTTAATTAAAACTTTATAGTAAGCTCAAACTGGGATCCTGAAAATGAAAAGATATTTTTTGTTATCTGGTTCAGGTTTTTGTTAGGATGAGCACTCTCCCTTATGATAATCCAGAGGTCTGCTCCTTTGAAATGTCACCCCAAAGTAGGTTGCTTGAAGTTCCCAGAGGCTAAGAGGGTTCCCCCTATCAGGACATAGTTATGACACCTACACAGCTCCCCTCTTAGCTTCATCCCTCTTAGAAGAGTTTCTATTTATCTTCATATTCTGAGACGAAATTGTTCCATTTATTCTACTAACCTCAGCAAAAGCTGGTTATGTTAAAAACAAACAAACCAAAAAACCTAACTGCATCTAGGTAAACATTTTCCCATATTTGTTCTTGCAAGATGGCTGATAAGGCATTATAAGTGGTGATCCCTTTATTCCATCATTACAGGAAAAAATAATGTTTATTTGATGTGAAGGGGAAAAATTAAAATTAAAGATAATTCTATACTTCGGATACTTGACCATATTAAATTTACAAAATGTATAGTTGAGTTTTAAAATCACAATATAAGTAGATTTCTTCTACTCACAATCATTATATTAGATAAGAAGGTACTCCTCTTGATCTCTCCTTTGCTCCATCATAAAATCCTTACTAGATGGGTAAGACGGTAGTTGTGATAAGACAGTAGTAGCCTATCCTGTCTTATACGTTTCTGTGAAGCCCAGAGAGGTGACATGAATTTCTGAAGGTTGCAGAACTGAGACTTAAAACTTAGTGTGAAATTTATTCTGTTGGAAAAAAAAATTGCACTGTAACTATTTCTTTGAACTTTGGGAAGTATATCCTTATTAGAGAATTACAGTGTCAAGACATTGCGCTATTATTAAACAAATGATACCACTATTTTGACAAGAGTGGTACTTTCCAAAATACCTAAGAAGTTAATTGAAGACTTGGAATTATCAGAGGATTTATTTTATGTTGAAAATTCTGACTTATTTTTAAATTGTTTATTCCATCTCATAAACTTCTATTTGTTATTTAATTTTAGGAACTTTGAAATAAAAGTTTTTTTTTTTTAATATATCTTATGTCCTGTGTGCAAGTCTAATGGATAGATCTGTACCTTGAAGTTCCAACTTCTGCCCTCAGAGATGAAAGTGACAAACAGCAAAATATGGAGCAGATACATTGAAAACTTTAAGAAACTTAATTTTTATTTAGTTTGTGCTTATTTACTAATATGTTCTCTGAATGCAAAGTAAGTATACATGTAGAGTCATCTTTATGAAAAGCTATATAAAGAGCTATAAATAAAAGGGATAGATAGGTAAGACAAAAAAAGGCACACTGACAAAATCTGCGGTAAGAAATATAATGAGTTAGATTCTAGGCATTTGTCTTATTTAACATGGAGTAATTTGTGGATATATATATATTGTGTGGGTATTTGAAATTTATGTAGTTATTTTAAATCATGTAATTTATGCAATTATTTTATATTTATGTTAACTTATTTATGTAATGATTTTACATTTATTAAGCTGACGATTATGGTATATGGAACTTAAAGGTATAAATATACCCATTTATGGTATATGGAACTGAAAGGAATAAATCTATCCATTTACCAATCAGTCTGAGAGATTCTCTGGTTTCTTACAAATACAGATTGGCAACACCGATGTGGTTAAACATGACAGGCAAATAACTACCATTCAATGTGAATATTAGCAATACTGACAAGAGAAATAACATTTGGGTTGAATAGATACATTTATGTCAGGTTTTTGTGTATTAGTTTCTCTCTCTTTTTTTTTTTTTTTTTTTGAGACGGAGTCTCGCTCTGTCACCCAGGCTGGAGTGCAGTGGCGCGATCTCGGCTCACTGCAAGCTCCGCCTCCCGGGTTCACGCCATTCTCCTGCCTCAGCCTCCCGAGTAGCTGGGACTACAGGCGCCCGCCACTACGCCCGGCTAACTTTTTGTATTTTTAGTAGAGACGGGGTTTCACCTTGGTCTCGATCTCCTGACCTCGTGATCCGCCCGCCTCGGCCTCCCAAAGTGCTGGGATTACAGGCGTGAGCCACCGCGCCCGGCCAGTTTCTTTTTATTGAAAGTTTGTCAACACAGTCAACAAGAATATATTAAGCGTCCCATGCTATATTGAGATAACTTTCAAACATAATACAATTATGGTAGTAATAATAATTTGGAACTTCAACTATACTACTTGACATTTTAGCATTTATGTAATTAATTAGTTAACTAACTTGTAGGTGCCAGGCACAGCTAGGCCTACCATTAAGGAGTTTGCATTTTTTTCAAGATAGTTATTTATAGTACAGTATGAAAAGTACACAAATTTTGAGCAGTATTTTCCTTTTTTCATGGCTTCCCTTATTCAACTTCTTTAAGTAAGTAAAATTCCACCTCAGAAATGGTTATCCATGTTCCCTATCTCCTCCATTCCTATTGTCTCTGCCTTGACTCAAGACCTCCTTATCTCTTGCCTGGATTATAGAACTGTGTCATAACAGGTCTTTCTGCTTGGAGTTACCCACCTTCACTTGACCACAATCTGTGATACCCAGTTTCTTTTTCTTTTTTTTTTTTTTTTGTTTTGAGACGTGGTCTCGTCCTGTCACCCAGGCTGGAGTGCAGTGGCGCCATTTCGGCTCACTGCAAGCTCCGCCTCCCGGGTTCCCGCCATTCTCCTGCCTCAGCCTCCCGAGTAGCTGGGAGTACAGGCGCCACCACCACACCCAGCTAATTTTTCGTATTTTTAGTAGAGATGGGGTTTCACCGTGTTAGCCAGGATGGTCTCGATCTCCTGACCTCATGATCCGCCCCGCCCCCCTTTGGACTCCCAAAGTGCTGGGATTACAGGCATGAGCCACCGCGCCCGGCCCCC
The DNA here is from genome assembly GCF_000001405.40 of Homo sapiens. Classification (NCBI taxonomy): domain Eukaryota; kingdom Metazoa; phylum Chordata; class Mammalia; order Primates; family Hominidae; genus Homo; species Homo sapiens. Next base: position 20,533,789 of record NC_000012.12, read on the forward strand.
ACTTTCTTACACTGTATCTTTCTAAAGAATAAGTCTGAACAAAGTAGTGACTATTTTAAACCAATAGTATACATTTACTAAATTCTTAGCCTGCCTTTCAAAATTACATTCAGATTTTTCCACCATTTTCTTTTTAGTGCATCTTAAGTACAGGTCATCCGTGCGCCCGTCTTTTTTCTGAGCAAATCACCTGTGTACTTTCACATTCTTAGCATCTGCCAGGGGTGTTCCATATACCTGGCATGATCCTCCAGCCCCCACTACCCGACCTACTTTATTTCTTCCTGGTAAAACCCTCTTCAACCTTCAAGCCACACGTTATGCAGCCTTTCCTCGCACTGAGAAACAGATACTTTAAGGGTTATGATATTTATTATATTGTAATTATTTACATGTTTTGTTTCCCTCTAGAGAATGAGAGTTCCTCCAAGGTGGAGACTCATTCAGCTTTTCGTCTCTCTTACATAACCTGTGCCTGGCAGGTTGTAGGTACCCAGTGATTATTGAATTAGTTAATATACGCAATATGGATTTGCTTGTCAGAGCATGAGTATCCATGGCTTTCTGAAGTCCTTCAACCTTTGCTTGTGCTACTTCCTCTATTTTGGTCCTCTTCAATAGGCGAGGTGATTATGATCTACCTCTAATGGGTCACAGTGACCCCAAAGGCAAAGCAATATATTGATCTCCCTTAAAAGGATGTATGCCACGAAATAAGTGTTTTTATCTTCTCATCCATATTCACATTTATACTTTAAGTGCAATGTCCTGAGTGAGACAAACCTTCACACTAATCTGTGTAATTAAAAATATTGAAATCTCATTGCTTGGCAACCACTCTAGACCTTTGGACACATTTTCTGGCGCTGTTAAGGGGGCTCAGGCTGCAATTGAGATATAGATTACCTATTTAAAGGAATCATATTTTTCCCCTTTGAAATGTCTGTCCTTTATCTCCTTTTGATGGATTTTCTAATTTATTAGGCTTTGCTTTTTTGGGAAGTAAATTATACCTGTTGACACAGTTGCATCCTCATGCAAAAACAAAGATGATATCATTAATATTTTATGGCTTAATCATTAAATGTGAAAGGGTGAAATGCTTGTATTGCAATTGAAATGAATCTTGAATTGACCAGGTCTTTCTCTGTGGGAATAAAAAGAGAATAGGTATGAACTTTAATAAAAAATGGTGTTTAACTCTACATTTAGCAGAGGTCTTCTAAGTAATTTTGCCATCAGTTTTCTTCCCACAAATTCTCCCATTACATAAATAATCTGCTATTATGTTGATAGACTCATCTTTCTGAAATATAGACATGTTCATATAATTCATAGTTTGAAGTGTCTGATGTCTCCTCTTGCCTTTAAAGAATACCCTGAACTCTTAAACTTCACGTATAAGGTTCCATCTGTCTTGACCCCAATCTACCTAGGATTTCTCCTCATCCCTGGTAATCTATACATACCTTAAAACCCAACTCAAGCATTACATGCTTTCTTTAGCTCAGTTTTCACTGATGCCCCAGCCTCTTAGGGAAGAATTCATTGTTTCCGTATTTGTGAATTATAGCACCTACCCATTCATATGTGGAGGAATAAAATGTAGAGAGTAAGAGTTAGTGTTTCAAAGGCAGACCTTCTGGCTGTTTGCATTCTGTCTGTGGGACCTTCAGAGGATTCCACGGAGTAAAAGCACTCTATGTGTCCCAGTTCTATCATTTATGAGAGAGGGGAAATAATACTGCTCCAGAAGGTTATTTTGAGGATTTTTAAAATAATGCATGAACAGTACTTAGTACATGCCTGGTACACAGTAAGGACTCAACCACTAATAAAAAAAATGTTTTGTGTGCTTACATTTTGTTTTGATATGCTTACATATTTTTCTTCCCTATTAAAATGAGATGGCCAGAATACTGTCTTCGTTGTACAGGCAGCATCCAACAGCTCTCAGCATATAATATTGGATATGTGATTATTAATATATGTAAAGGGTAACATATTGGTCAAAACATTAATTATTTGGAGAATTATTCGATTAATAAAATATGTTTTATACATATTAATGCTGAAATCTCTGCTCAAGTGTTTTAAGAGGGGATTTACTCACAGAAAATAAAGGAAAATGAAAGCTACTAGGTGAACTATAGTTTAAAATAACAAATCCAAAAATGTTAGATATTGCATCTCTTCAGTGGAGTATTATGCCTGGAGCCAATTTTGAAATAAAAACAATGTAAGTACTTACAAAATCTCCATTTGGTTCAGACTCTGCAGGTGGAACTAATGTAAGTGGAAAGATTCCTAAATAATTCCAAAGTCACTATGAATAGGAATAATGATCATCATACATATACTTATCACTTCTATTAGAAATAAGCCATGCTTATACATATTGTTTAATATAGCCAAAATATCTTACACATAAAGAAGTTAGTTATAATTCCCTACTCTATTCCTCAATATTTTTAACAGTGCTTCTCAAATTTAAATAGGGATGACAAGACTGATGTTTATCAGGTTTTCCTCAAGGAGATCCTTTACTGTGAGGTGTGTGTGTGTGTGTGTGCATAGAGGTATTATTGAAATATGATTCACATACCATGTGATTTATCCACTTAAAGTATACAATTCATTGTTTTTTAGTATATTCACAAAGTTATGGAGCTATCGCCACTAATCCAGAACATTTTCATCATGTCCCCTAAAACACCTATGCCTGTTAACAGCCACTTCTCATTTCACCTACCTCTCTACTACTTCCAGGCTTAATCAATGACTAATCTATTTTCTATCTTTATAGATTTGCCTATTCCAGACTTTTCTTATAAAAGTAATCAAAATATTTGCAGTCTTTTGTAATTACCATCTTTCACTTAGCATAATGTTTTGAAGGTTTATCCATGGTGAAGTATGTATCAGTACTACTTCATTTCTTTTTGTTGCCAAATAATATTCCATTGTATGGATATACCATTTTTGTTTATCCATTGATTAGTTAGTAGACATTTTAGTTGTTTTTGCTTTTTGGCTATTATGAATAATGCTGCTATTAACATTTGTGTTCAAATTTTTGTGTGGATATTTGTTTTCATTTCTCTGGAATATACATCTAGAAGTGAAATTGCTGGATCATATGGTAAATCCTTGTTTATAAGTTTGAGAAACTGTCAAATGGTTTTCCAAAGTGAATGCATCACTTTGCATTTCCACTAGCAAATTATAAAGGTCCTCATTTCTCCACATCCTCAACAACACTTGTTATTTTCTATGTGTGTGTTTTAAAAATGGTTTTTATAGCCATACTGATGGGTATAAGATGGTATCTCACTGTGGTCTTGATTTGCATGTCCACAGTAGCTAATGTTGAGCATCTTCTCATGTACTTGATGACCATTTGTATGTCTTCTTTGGAGAAATGTCTATTTAATCCTGTGCCCATTTTTCAGTTAGATTATTTTCTTTTCATTATTGAAGTTTAAGAGTTCTGTATTTCATATACAAGCTTTCTGGTATAAGTCTCATATCAGATTTATGATTTGACAATATTTTCTCTCAGTCCTTGTATTGTCTTTTCACTTTCTTAATGCCATTGTTGTGTGTGCTTATTTTTAAAACAAAATCTGATGACAGATTATTCTAAAGGCTAGATTTTAAGGTTGATATTTGTTTTCATGATGCATCTACTATTATTTATTTTCGTATTTTCTGAAATTATTAGTTTTTTAATTACAGCTATAACATTTTGAACAATAAAATTCTTAATTTTAGTGTTTTCCAAACCGTGCTCTGTGGTACACAAGATGCTCCATGACTAAGGTAGATTGAGAGATGTTGTTTGCTTTATTTCTTACTCTGAGCACACAATATTAAAGGCCATATGATATTCTATTTTAAAAATAACATGTCTAGCCCAGCATTTCCAAAAGCCGTTTTAATCTTTTTCCCTGAAACAGCTATTAAACCCAAGTTCTGTAATATATACTTCAGAAATATTGTTTTAATCTATTCTCTGAACTAGTTTTACCTGGCTTGTAGGACTATCTGCCTTTGTTCTTAAAAAAAAAAAAAAAAAACTTGTGAGAGTCTTTTTAAAATTCTATAGTCAGATCTATGACAACAAAAGAGACTGAGACATCCACAAGTTATTTCTACCATGTTTGTTTAACTCAGGAGATTGAATTTGATGTGTTATATACATGGTATGAACCAAACGCATAATAGAAATTGGGTCTTCTCTACCAATCAGATAGTTAGAAAGATATGCTTTTACTTCAGAGAAAATTCAAAGTCAGCTAAAGTGTGTAGGTCTGTTTCTTTTCAATTTCCAGGGCCTTTTCCATTATGTATTTGCTGCCTACCATTATTGCTACTATTCCATGAAAAATCGCACTCTGTGTGTGTGTGTTTAGATTTGTATATGTCTGCTCAAATAGAGCTTAATGGTGACATTTTTATGGCTTCAGGATGTTGGGGTGGAGGGAATTATCTTCCCCTCATGGTCGCTTTGTGTCAGATGATCATTGCTTCATCTCTAGAATCCTATATTGCTTCTGGACAGGGAAAATAGGAAGGCAGAAAGGCAAAAGAGACAAGCTAGCTGAGTTTTCCCCTTTTTAAAGACTTTCCTTAGAAGCTTCACACAGTGACTTCTGCCCGTATCTCATTAACCAGGACTGTGTTCCATGATCTCCTGATCTGTAAGGGAGTTAAGGTTGGGGGAAATAGTTTCCTAGCTGGACCCATTGCCATCTCTATGAGAACCAGGGTTCTGTGAATAAGGAAGAAGAATACGACGTATTATAGGATGGACAACTAGCATTTTTGTCACACAAGGCATGGGATGACAGAAAATTCTGAGAGTGAAGAGCTAAAAATTCTTTACTACTTGTGTATTCAACAGTAGAATTTTAAAAATCAACTCCTTATTGTAGCCTAAACCACCTGGGTTCAAGCAATCCTCCTGCCTCAGCCTCCCAAATAGCTGGGACTATAGGTGTGTGTCATCAGGCCTGGCTAATTTCTAAAATTTTTTGTAGACGTGAGATCCCACTACATTGTCCGGGCTGGTCTTGAACTCCTGGACTCAAGCGATCCTCTGGCTTTGGCTTCCCAAAATGTTGAGATTACAAGTGTGAACCACCACACCTAGCCTTATTTTTTTTTTTTCCTGGACAACACCAATCAGTTATTCTTTTTAAAAAGCATGTATTGAATCCCTTAACACGTGCCAATTATATTCCACATAGCAAATAAGATCCATAAGGTTTCTGCTATCCTGAAACTTACTTTCTAAAATGGAAGATAGACAAAAGCAAGTACCGGTTGAGAATCCCTTATCTAAAAGGGACCAAAACTGTTTGGAGTTTGGAATTTTTCAGATGTTCAAATATTTGCATATACATAATGAAATGTCTTGGGGATGGGACCCACGTCTAAAACACAAAATTTATTTATGTTTTATGTCTACCTTATACACATAGCCTAAAGGTAATTTTATACATTTTTTAAATTTTCTTTATAAAACAAAGTTTGTGTACATTGAACCATCAGAAAGCCAAGATGCCACTATCTTAGCCACCCATATGGGCATCCTGTGGCAAAAAAAGTTTCAGATCTTGGAGCATTTTGGATTTTTGGACTAAGGATGCTCGAACTGTAATGAAATAATTACACAAGGTTATTTCAGATTGCAGTAAATGCAGGAAACACACTTGGTCATATGCTGAAGAGTGACAAGAGAAGATGAGGGTAAGACTGGCCACTTTTGTTCACTTAATAAAACCCAGCACCTAATACCATGCTTGGTGCAGGATAGGTGCTCAGTAAACGTTTGTGTTGGATGAATGGATAGATGGATGGATGGATGATCAGTCACAGAAAGTGTCCTGAGGAAGTGTTACTTGAAGTGACACCCGAAGAATGAAAATGAGCTGACAATGCTAAGAAAATGGGAAAATGTATTCTAGGCAAGATGAACGGCATCCAAACCTTTAGGTTATATCAGTGAAATCAAATTTAATTCTAAAACAAATGAGAAGCCATTGAAAGGTGTTACATTGATTATCTCATCTGGGCTTCACAAAAATTACGTGAAGTAGGTAGTCTTATTATTCCATTTTGCAAATGAGGAAACTTAACCTAGAAATTATAAAATATCCAGATTCACAGAGCTGGTAAGAATGAAATTGGGATTTGATTATAAGAAATTCAGCTCGAGTCCACCCTTAACCACTGTGCAATGTTGTAAACTATAAAAGTAAACTGTAACAGGACTAGATTGTTTAAACAGCAAGTAAAAGCCTGAAAAGAAGATATCTGCCAATTTAATGGATTCAATTTTTAACCACATTGTCTATTAGTGACTCTTATGAATTGAATACATAGCACAGTTTCTCAGAGCCTCCACTGACCATCTTTCTCTTTCAAAGTAAAAATTGTCTTTGTATATTACATTATGGACTGGATTATTATAAAAGATCTAGTTTCTGGTTCTAATGAACGCTGAAATATGGAATTGCTAAAAAGTAAATTTAGTTAGAATAACAATAGCTTGATAGAGGAAAATCATTACAAACTCAAGCGGAGAATTCCAGTTTAGCTATGCCCTTGAAGTTGTTATTATACTTTGCATATAATTTATTGATTCTGAAAAGTTGGATTTGCCATCTTCTGAGAATATTATCTTGGGCATATGGGGCACACCCTGCAACCAGAAACAGCACAGGAATAGTCATTCCTTCATGACAACTTCTACGAAAGTGTAAATTGAGGCTAACAGGAAAATCACCCTATTACTCCTGTAAAGTGACGATAGCTTTCAGTTTTCAAATGCGACTTTCTGATCATGTTTGAATGTGTTTCTGTTCATGTTTATGGAGAAATTTAAGAATTAGAATTGTGATTCTTAATTCTAATTCTTAAATTTCTCCACAAGTAATAGGAAACTAAAGAATTTTTCTGTGGTAATTTCATTAGGAAAACTTTGGCTAGGACATGGTGATAATGTGCAGATATTTTGTTTGCCATGTCACATTCTTCCCCTTCTTTTCTGGAATGCAATCAATGGTGAAACATGTTTTACGGTAAAACATTTAATACTCCAAATTGTGAATAAAGCAAAGAGAATGTGTTTAATGTATTTTTTAAATCATATACTTTCTTTAAGACCCTCTCACTCCTAACATAAGCTAGAGTTTTCCGTTTCAATATATAATCAAAAAACCAAGTATCCTATTAAGTGTATATTATTGACTCAAATTGACAAGGACATTGGTAACTTTCTTTTTTTTTTTTTTTTTTTTTTTTTTTTTTTTTTTTTTTGAGACAGGGTCTCCCTCTGTTATCCAGGCTGGAGTGCAGTAGTGCAATCGTAGCTCACTATAGCCTCGAACTCCTGGGCTCAAGCAATCCTCTTGCCTCAGCATCTAGAATAGCTAGGACTACCAGGTGCACAACACCACACCTGGCTAATTTTTAAAATATTTTTTGTAGAGACTGAGGTCTCACTATGTTGCCCAGGATTGTCTCAAACTGCTGGCCTCCTCAACTGATCCTCTCACCTCAGTCTCTCAAAGTGCTGGGATTACAGGCACAAGCCACCATACCTACCCCTCTATTTATTTAGTTTTTGCCTTCAATCAAGGATACAGTACATCGCATTTGCTTGAAATAGAAAAAAAGAATGAGCAAGTCTCTCGGTTCTTGTACTTGTGGTAGGAATAGAGACAGAGAAGTACCTGGTTAATTATTTCTGCACCTGCAATTCTAACGACCTCAGTTAACTACAGTTTTAGGTCATACTTTACTCTTCCTTTTTTTCTATTTCTTCCTTTTTCCTTGCCACATCATCTATTCCACTTTATTTTCTTTTATTCCTAAATAGAGGTCTGCATAATATATCACTAAGAGGAATACATTTGCAATAAAACTTTTTTCTGCAAAAAAAGCATTGGTTTTATTGTAAACAAACCTCTGAAATTACTTTCAACATATCAAATGGGTCATGGACCCGTGAAGAATTGAGGGGGAAGGTCAAATTTAGGGGCAGAGATGTACTGTAAACTTAGTCAAAAGAATATCTTCAAGTCTTATAATAAATTACTTTCTTCAGCATTTAAGAACTTGAACACAAAATGCACATGTCTTGTTAAAATCTAATTGAAAGTGGAACTAAAGTAATTTTTGGCACAAATCGGCTTTAGAGGACAAATAAGAAAGCCAAGGGTCGCGTAATGGGGCTAGTATATATTGTAGTCCGTCTATGCTTTTCTCAACAACCTCCCAAAGTCTAGCTGATTGGGGAGTAAGAAATAAGTAGCAGGGAAAATGTTTGGAATTTTGTCTTTTGCTGAAGGTTTCTTGGCACTTATGAAAACTTCATTGAATGAAATAAGACTTTAAAAATTTTGTAAAAGACTTTTTGGAAAAACGTAACTTTCACATTAAAATTATATAAAAACCAATTCAGTATTTTTCTCATTTATAAGACTTAAAAATGAATTCAATGTTTTAAGTCACACCAATTACTGAGATATATTTTTTAAAATTACCTATTTATCAATTTTAAAGACCATTTCTAAAAAAGGAGTTTAAGTAGAGAATATTCCTTTGAGTTAGATAGTTTTTGGTATACGTAACAGCATACACACACACACACACACACACACACACACACACACATACACTTTTAATTTTCTTGGACTTATATATTTTAGGCCCATAAATGTAAACCATTTGGATATCAAAGCAATGTTTATGTTTTTCAGCACGTAATTTTAATGCTACAGTCTGAGAAATTGTATGTTGTTTAAATGCAATACATCACAATGTTTGATAAATAAAAATAAAAACCGTTAAACCTATCCAAATGCAAGAACTCATAAATATTGTTGAGTTAAAGCTTTTGATGCAGCTGAGGCTATGTCTGGATTTTATTATTTTCCCTAGGATTTCCAATTTTTTCTAAGAAAGGAGATCAATTTTATAGATTAGTCTCCTGAAGTTGTGCCAGTGGGTTCGTCTGAGTTTTAATAATTTTCTGTAGAAAATAGCCTTGAATGTGTCTTTTCACGGGGCATGGTATGAATGAAACCTAAATATATAGGGAAACAGAGATATTAGCATGATCCAGTCATAAAACAACAGGTGAAGAGCTAGAAATAATAAATGAGGCCTTTATTTTATTTTTTATTTCCTACTCATTTACTCAAATTGACATAAATAATGCAAGAGGTAGTTTGACAAACTGTACAATACAGATTTATAGTCACATTAATTGGTGCTTAGGGGTTTGGGTTTCACCTGAAGTTAAGTTCATATAGTTAATAAAGTCATAATGCCTTGTTTAAATATTTCATGAGAAAATTGCATTTTGTTTTGTCTACTCAGAACCTAAAATCTGTTTTATTGTGGTTATTTTATAAATATTTGCATGGAATTTTTGGAGTAAGTTTATTTGGTTTGTTTGTTTTTTTTTTAAACAGGCCTAACTATCAATTGCATTGGAAATTTGATTGTGTTTCCAACTAACAAATAATAATACACCTGGAAGTGCAAGTCCTTTCCATATTGAACAGACTCTCTCTAGCTTTTCCTTAGCTGATCTTTTCAAACGTTTGCTATTTGGGCCTCTCTGGCCCCAAAGAGTAGCCTTTTGCTACTCTTTACGCTTGAGGAAGATTAAGCTATCCCAGGCCTCTCATAACCAAGGGGATCCATTAATATTAAAATTTAGATTTTTCCACTGTTAATGCAGAAAACCATTGATTCAGTAGACTTCATGGTCATGCACATGCGTTACATGTTACTCTGAGTAATGCTGCATGAAGTTTTAATTACAGATTGATCAAATTCTATAAATTGTGTTTTGGCGTGGCCAAGGAATGGGTTTTTCCTATTCTAGTTTAATAGAAAGTCATAATATATATCATGTGAATTTTACGTTTCTCAATGAATTAGATTGCAACAATGCCTAAGTTTGATTATATACTTATTAATAGTGATAACAATTATAGCTCACATTTAGTAAGTCCTTACTATGTACCAGGTATATAAGGCTTTTTAAACCTAATGATTCATTTAATGCTTACAAAACCATACAAATTGGATGCTATTATTAGCTAAGTCATGGAGACATGAAACTGAGGCACAAAGACATTATATAACTTGTCAAGATCAAGTATCTGGTAAGACTGAATATCAAGTCAGAATTGGGATTTGAACCAGTCTGGACTCTAGAGCTAACATGCATAACATATAGCCTACACTTTTTAATTATTCAGAAGGTACTTCAAGACTCCTGTGGTGCCTTTGGGTTGGCAGTTTCAGTATTTTTTATGCTTACATAGAGCATAAGATATATAAATATAAAACATTATATATAATATATATTCAAATATATATTTTATATGTGTATATATATTTCCCTAATAAATATTGAAAGAATGCACACATGAATGAGTGGATGGGTGAATACAGAAATGAAAAATTTGTATTGAGATGTGCTAATAGAGAATTTGGTATAACTAAACATCTGATATATAATTTATATTTTGAGGTAACTCTTTAGCCAACATTTTAAAATATGATTAATTTATAGTACTTACGAAGGATTTTCAGAGACATTACATTTTTCTGTTATTTCACTGTTTTAAACAAGATGGAGATTAGAGGGTGGAAAATGGATTCTGGAGAAATAAACCCATCATATTAACTATAACCATGAGTTCCTTGAAGACAAATCAAATCTGATGTCTTTTCTTTCTCCTTATGAATATACTTCAGTACGAAGGACCTGATACTTAGTTTGGACCCAGTAATTATTTATTGTTGTAAGTAGCACAGTAAGAATAAAAACGTTTATGATTTGCAACCAGCCAACCTATATTTTAATCCATATTTAACCACTGGCTGGGTTATGTTACATTTCTCCTCTCTTAACTCATTTCCATATCCATAAAATATGGAGCATATGCCTCTATGGTTTCTTGGTGATGAAATTATGTATTAAAAATTATAAAACTGTAAAAAATATATCTCAAAATGTGTTTGTGTTCCATGGAAAACTGTAAATCTCTCTTGAAACAAAAAAGTTTCTATAATCACATACTTCTAGAAATATTTCATCTGAGTTCCTTTAAAACTTCCTCAAGCTTTAACATGCTAACAGGTACTGGGACTATCCAAGGAGGGATGATATTTTGCAGAATTTCACAAGCTTATTTTACTTTATTACCATTTTTCATAAAATACCTCACAGGAAAACTTAAGCATGAGACTGATGTGATTACATTATTATTAATAGTCTCCAAAATTCAAATTAGCAATAGAAGTTGTAAAAATTTCAAGTAATCAGGATAAACCAGATGTATTAAATGAAAATAATGGAAGCTTTGTAAGATTAGTGGCAGCATATAGGTTTAGAGGAATTATTATCATTGTGATAACAGGGACAGATACAGAATTATGGAAACATTCTAAAGCAGTATATAGGAAGATCATTATCAGAAATAGATAGAGAAATTGTAGTAGAGAGGCTAGAATTTCAAACTCCAGAATATCTGAATTTGCCTCTATCTGAAGCCTTCTCATTCCCAGTGCTTATGAAATTTACACTGGCTGCTATATTGAAATGCTAAGAATCAGAATCAGGGATTTAGTATCAATCAAGTGGATGGAATTTAGCTAGTTATCACCAACTGTGAAAGGAAAAATATCCGTTAAATTCAGTCACAATGCTATATATCAGGCTCTCAGTGATTTTTTAAAGGAGGGTCAATTTTAAGAATTCTAAGGAATCTCTTTGTTCCTGCTAATTTGTCTGAAGGTTTACGAGGAATACAGGAGAAAGCTAAATTGTTTGGGGAACAGTAAGAGATTTAGATTCTGAGAAAGATCCTGGAGGAAAAGCTGGGGCCAGTATGCTGAAAAAGACACAGTCCTCTTGCCCTACCCCAAGAGTAAAGGGCAAGAGGTAGTGGCTGCCAAAAAAAAAAAAACAAAACAAAACAAAACAAAAAAACCTGAAAAAACAAAAAAGTTTTGTGGAGAGATATCGAATGGATATTTATATGGCTTTTTGCTGTATTTTGTATAATGTAATGATGTCCTCTTGTCTCCCCATGAAATCGTCAGTGAAATCAACATCACTTGCTAATACATTGTAGAGTGGGATTGATTTGAGGAGCGGGGAGATGTGATGAAGTAGCTGTAATAGAGGTATTGTGTTTATGAGACTGTGGCTGCTAGTCACATCTGTTTTACCCACACGAGGCTGATGTGGTCTTCTAGTTTGTAAATTATGATATGCAGGCGGTTCCTGCCAGCAGAGATTTAAAAAAAATTATGCAGGTGGGTAAGTCTTTTTCAGCACCACCTGTATTAGGTCTTTCTAGATCCCAAATCCCAGTATTGACGACTGGAGGGCTGATAAACAGTATATGGCAACCCCAGGAATTCTGTTAGCTTCTTTGGCCTAAGCCCCGGACCAAATGCAGACTTCCACTCTTACTTTTCTGAAGAGTGCAAGGTAATTTTGACATTCTTACTCCGTTAATAAGAAGAGACCCAGGAAAGGACCACCAAAAAAAAAAAAGAACAATTTCCCAAAATGACTAGACAGGTGCTGAGACTGGCCTAAACTATCAGAGATCTTCCCAATCCAGAGCACTGACCTCTGCTAGAGCCTGCAGTCAGGGGAGACATACAGTTCAGGCTCATCTTCTCACATGGAATGCTGCAGAGAGCAAATATAGGTAGCATAGAAATTAAGGAAAAAGAGTATGCCAAGGAAAGAATCCAATCAAACATGCCCAGGTTAAAGAAGTGCTTTTAGTTTCTTATCAAATCAAAAACCGTGTGCTCGTCAGAGTAAATGTGGTTCTAAAAGGCAACCCCTGCTCTCATGCATTTTGTGACTCTTGAAAAACAAAACCCATATGTAAAGGGACAATAAAATTGTACTATTTAGTATGACTAATATAAGGGTGTCTTTGTGGCATGTGGTGCATATTCTATAAATTCTTGTTGTATTGAATGGAATTAAGTAAGAGTTTGGGGACAGAAGAATCCCTGGTGTATTAGTATTTCCCTAGATAATTTTTTCTTGTAATTTTGAATTAATGAAGCTAATAATTAACTTGTAGACCAATTTTATACTAAAGGAAAATAGTAAATACCAAATATATAGCTATGATCACAAAGATCCAATCCCTTTTTAAATTTAACATAGAGATGCTTTGCTGCTCCTAAGGTACCATTCCTGCTCCCGCCTCAGAGCCTTTACATCTTCTATTTCCTCTGTCTGGCATGCATTTCCCCCAGGTTTGTGTGTCTGGCTCTTTATACAATTATCTGATAAAATGTCACTTTTTTCAGAAAGGACTTTTTCGATCTACTGTACTTATATAAACTTACCTCTGCTTCCAGCCCCTACCATCCATTACCCCCACTTGTTCTCCCTTCGTTTATTCTATTCTAAGCTTCTTTATAGCTTTATCATCACCTGGTATACTATGTTTCTGTGTTTATCTTCTTCCTTCACTAAAATATAATAGCCAGGAGGCAGAGATACATCTTGTTTTGTTCAATGGCATACAGTTTGTGCCTAGAACAGTGCTTTGCACATAATATGCATACAATACATATTTACTTAATGAGTACATGATGAAATAGAAAGTGGACTGTGTGGTAACCTTTACATCCTTATATGTATATTAGTTTTATATGTCTTCAGAAATATGTTTTAGCCATCTTCAGCTGCTGTAAAAGAATAGTTTTCTTGAGAGTAGTGCAAAGATAACTGTGGTGACTATTACTTTCCATCGTTATCCTCTTTTTTTCATATCTAAAACTTCTCACCTCTTTAAGGTACACACAAATAATAATTTTTTATTTCCCATCTAGTTACAGTCCTCCTTCAGCTTTCATCCCTTTAGTAATAGTTGTGGTGAATTTTTTCTCCCGAGAAGCCCCTAAAAAGGCGTTCATTTTTACGTAAACAAACAACAGGAGAAAAACATATAAACATGAAAGCAAAATATTTTACCTACAGAAATATATTTTCAGCAATCTATTTCTCATGCTATTGTTAAAAATATCTCTGCTTGGATAGAACCTTTTTGTTTCCATGCTGACTTCTTCTTTGCTTCTCCTGTGAACTTTTTAAATTCTGTGTTTGGCAGCAGTTTTGTTTTCCTTGGAGCTAAGTACTGTGTAACATACTGTTAGCTGAAGGCTGTGATGTAGAAATTTATTATTAAAAATAAAAGACGGAGAGAAGAATTTATTCCATAAGGATCAAAATGACTTAGTGTCAAAGCAGTTAGGATTTTCAAAATGCTTTCTATAACAGATTGTGTTTCTTTTCAAGGAAGTTTACTTTGTTTGCCAGGAATAAATTTAAGGGTCTTCATTGTGCCTATCTTGGTTAATGAGAACTGAGAAGAGAAGAAACATTCTCTTTTAAAAAAAATTTTTTTTAGAGAATTTCTTCATCAGACGGAAAGATTTTATTTGCCATTTGCAGGCATAACCTTGGTGACCTATATATCCCCAGACCTTCTGGTAAGATGCTTATTAAAATGTCATTACCCAGAGGAGTAATCATAAACTAGCCAGAGGGTATTTTTTATAGATGGTGAGAGACAAACATTTTTTTTCTCCCTGAATTAAGTAGTTATGTACTCTTATCAACTAGAATATATTTAAACTTACTTTTATTTATTTTTCCAGTCTCAATCTCTCCCTCTCTGTTTTATGTTTCTAGCAACTTTATGTAACTAATCTTAAAATCATTAGCATTCCTTCTCCAAAAAGAGTATCATATCATCTTAATAAAGTTTCTCTTTTCCCAGAATTGCTTAAGTAGCATGCTGCTATTCATTTCTCTTGAAAGTTTAGTCAAAATGAATTATTTTGCAAAAAGGAAAATTCCACAGTTTCTATTTCTTTTCCTCATTGTCTGTGGCCCATTAACGTCTTTTATCTGCTACTATGATAATGTCAAATGATTACTTTGGTCATCTGCAACTTAACACTAATCTTATCTGTTTAATTGAAAGGATGTTTTGACTTTCTCTTTGAAATAATATCAACATCATTTTGCACTTAATTCTGAAATTCATTGACCTCAATGTGCAAGCTGTCTTCTTTACTATTTATTGTGAATAACCATTTTTTTTTATTTGTTGTAATCACACATCAAGAAAGGGCTAGGGAGATGTCTTTGTGAAACATTTATCCCTATGGTTCTGTTTAATAGGAGTACTTACCAGTAGCTAAATGCCTCATTTTATTTTAAATAATCTGTAATATTAAGTCAGTTTATCACACTATGAGTAGTTTTTTTTAATGGATTCTGACAATATGCTGCTTATTGTAGTCTTTCATCCTTTATCTGAGAACTATGTTTTTATGACAGTAAAATATTTTTTATACAAATAGGATAAAAATTCATATGCTGTCATGCGCTAATATGAAGTTTATCCTTACATCTCCCACTCTCCACCCCATGCCCCATCTAGTGGCCAGAATGCTGTAATCGTGGGAAGGAATAAAGCTCTGACACTATGCAGTCCCTACCCCCATCATTGCCTCTTTCTTTGCATTAAAAAAAAAAAAAAGAAAATACACTGAAATAATAAATGCTAAATTTTGGCTCAGATTATTTTAATTAGAAATGGAAGTTTAATGATAAACACTTTGTATTCTTCAAATCCAAAAGGAGAAATATCCTGTTTACTTCCTTTGGTGCTCTTATTGACTGTAGAACATTACAGTATCTCATTTGTCATATGCAGAGTTCATTCTTTTTGAATATATTTCACATAGGATGTAGATTTCTGTAACATTTTTTATTACTTTGAAAAAAGTAGCCATAGTGTACATTTTAAAATACTACCACATTCTTGGTCAGCTCATACCTTTCAAATATAATATAAAGATGATATTAATATATAAATAAGAATGGAAAAGAATTTCTTTGCCCTGCATATTTCTCAGTTTGTTATATAATGCTAGGAAATAACTCTCTGATACATAACACACTTGGCAAATTTTACTGTTTTATGCTTTAAAAGAAAAAGTCAAATTTAGATAGTGAATTTTTTGAAATGCATCTTACAAGCTCTGATTTGCAAATTACCAAATTGATCTTATCTTCTGGAGTAAATGATGACCCAAATTAGTCTACATTTTGAGTGTTTTTGTTCTTTGACTAAAATCGTCATCGTTAAGATAATTAATGGCAGAAGGCAGTGAATTACATGCTTTCCTCATTTTAATTCTGGTCCTACAAAAATGTTTCCTTTTTGACTTACTGTCATCATGAAATATTCTCTCTTAAATCAATATATTGTGGATTATAACTTGTGTTTGTAAGATTTATTTACCTCTTTTAGTTGTGATAGGAGAATTTACCACCTTATTTTGATCCTGTTAGTTTAAACTCATTAGCAAGGAGGATAACAGTGTTAATAGTCAGCATTTTGTAAATCTTCCAGAAGATTTTGATAAATCATTTCACTAGAAGCCTATTGCTCAATTTATTGCCACTTTAAAGTTGCCAAAAATAATGAGCTCATCTTCCTATTTTAATGTAAGGTATTGTCAATGTTTGAAATGTGTCAAGAATTGTTTTTGATAGTTCTAGTGAACAACTAATGTTTCTAAATCATACTACTTATTTCATTAGTTAATTATTGCTTGTGAACCATATTATAATCATCTTTAGTATCAATAAATATTTTTGAGATGATATAATGCCAGTAAATCCATAAATTAAAAAATTAAAGCATTAAAGAAATATCTACTATGTAAGCATTCAATTTTATATAATGATTATCTGGGTCAGTGTACCCAAAATTGTGTGCTAGCCAAACTACAATTAAATCATCATGATAATTCCAAGGCTTAAAACAATTGACTATGTCTGTTAAAAATGAGTAGCTTAAAATTCATTAAATTACTTTGTTATGTTTTTTACCTATTATACTGTGAACATTTCACATGTTCTTTTTTATAAAGGCCTTGGAAGCCAAATTTTAATTGCTCTATGGTATCATTTTGTATACCGTAATCTATTGAGTAATTTCCCTTTTGTTGGATAAACAATTAGTAGCACATTATAGTTACTGGATTTTTAGATCTTAGTTTACTGGTTCAAAGGGTATGAATTTTTAATAATATATGTATTATATATATTTTATATGTGTGTAAATATATATATACAATGTGTATAAATATATATTTGTTATATAGTAGCAATATATATGCTTAGTTTACTCCCTGTTTTCCAAATATTCAACATTATTAATTTGCAAATATAATAGGCAATAGTAGTATCTTGTCATTGTTTATATTGAATTTCTTTTACTTCCAATAAAGTTAAATGTCTTTCCATAGATCTATTTATTTTGTAAGTTGTTCTCACTCTTCCCTCAGTTTTTTACTAGGGTTGGGATTCTTTCAAATTTGTAAGAACCCTTGATATCTTGAAGATATTATTCTTTACCTAAGTTTACTACAGATATTTTACCAATGTGACATTTGTGCAAATACTCTAAAGTTTTATATAGCCAGATCAATTTGTCCTCTTTTGTAATAAAAAAAAAAAGTCTTTAAAAAAAGATTTACGGACAGGATTGACAGATTGATAGCTCTTTCTCGATTCCGTGGGTGGTGGTGCATGGCCGTTCTTAGTTGGTGGAGCGATTTGTCTGGTTAATTCCGATAACGAACGAGACTCTGGCATGCTAACTAGTTACGCGACCCCCGAGCGGGTCTGCGCCTGCCACCTGTGCGGGGGCCGGCAGGACCCCGACAAGCAGCTCATGTGCGATGAGTGCGACATGGCCTTCCACATCTACTGCCTGGACCCGCCCCTCAGCAGTGTTCCCAGCGAGGACGAGTGGTACTGCCCTGAGTGCCGGAATGATGCCAGCGAGGTGGTACTGGCGGGAGAGCGGCTGAGAGAGAGCAAGAAGAAGGCGAAGATGGCCTCGGCCACATCGTCCTCACAGCGGGACTGGGACAAGGGCATGGCCTGTGTGGGCCGCACCAAGGAATGTACCATCATCCCGTCCAACCACTACGGACCCATCCCGGGGATCCCCGTGGGCACCATGTGGCGGTTCCGAGTCCAGGTCAGCGAGTCGGGTGTCCATCGGCCCCACGTGGCTGGCATCCATGGCCGGAGCAACGACGGAGCGTACTCCCTAGTCCTGGCGGGGGGCTACGAGGATGACGTGGACCATGGGAATTTTTTCACATACACGGGTAGTGGTGGTCGAGAGCTTTCCGGCAACAAGAGGACCGCGGAACAGTCTTGTGATCAGAAACTCACCAACACCAACAGGGCGCTGGCTCTCAACTGCTTTGCTCCCATCAATGACCAAGAAGGGGCCGAGGCCAAGGACTGGCGGTCGGGGAAGCCGGTCAGGGTGGTGCGCAATGTCAAGGGTGGCAAGAATAGCAAGTACGCCCCCGCTGAGGGCAACCGCTACGATGGCATCTACAAGGTTGTGAAATACTGGCCCGAGAAGGGGAAGTCCGGGTTTCTCGTGTGGCGCTACCTTCTGCGGAGGGACGATGATGAGCCCGGCCCTTGGACGAAGGAGGGGAAGGACCGGATCAAGAAGCTGGGGCTGACCATGCAGTATCCAGAAGGCTACCTGGAAGCCCTGGCCAACCGAGAGCGAGAGAAGGAGAACAGCAAGAGGGAGGAGGAGGAGCAGCAGGAGGGGGGCTTCGCGTCCCCCAGGACGGGCAAGGGCAAGTGGAAGCGGAAGTCGGCAGGAGGTGGCCCGAGCAGGGCCGGGTCCCCGCGCCGGACATCCAAGAAAACCAAGGTGGAGCCCTACAGTCTCACGGCCCAGCAGAGCAGCCTCATCAGAGAGGACAAGAGCAACGCCAAGCTGTGGAATGAGGTCCTGGCGTCACTCAAGGACCGGCCGGCGAGCGGCAGCCCGTTCCAGTTGTTCCTGAGTAAAGTGGAGGAGACGTTCCAGTGTATCTGCTGTCAGGAGCTGGTGTTCCGGCCCATCACGACCGTGTGCCAGCACAACGTGTGCAAGGACTGCCTGGACAGATCCTTTCGGGCACAGGTGTTCAGCTGCCCTGCCTGCCGCTACGACCTGGGCCGCAGCTATGCCATGCAGGTGAACCAGCCTCTGCAGACCGTCCTCAACCAGCTCTTCCCCGGCTACGGCAATGGCCGGTGATCTCCAAGCACTTCTCGACAGGCGTTTTGCTGAAAACGTGTCGGAGGGCTCGTTCATCGGCACTGATTTTGTTCTTAGTGGGCTTAACTTAAACAGGTAGTGTTTCCTCCGTTCCCTAAAAAGGTTTGTCTTCCTTTTTTTTTTTTTATTTTTATTTTTCAAATCTATACATTTTCAGGAATTTATGTATTCTGGCTAAAAGTTGGACTTCTCAGTATTGTGTTTAGTTCTTTGAAAACATAAAAGCCTGCAATTTCTCGACAAAACAACACAAGATTTTTTAAAGATGGAATCAGAAACTACGTGGTGTGGAGGCTGTTGATGTTTCTGGTGTCAAGTTCTCAGAAGTTGCTGCCACCAACTCTTTAAGAAGGCGACAGGATCAGTCCTTCTCTCGGGTTCTGGCCCCCAAGGTCAGAGCAAGCATCTTCCTGACAGCATTTTGTCATCTAAAGTCCAGTGACATGGTTCCCCGTGGTGGCCCGTGGCAGCCCGTGGCATGGCGTGGCTCAGCTGTCTGTTGAAGTTGTTGCAAGGAAAAGAGGAAACATCTCGGGCCTAGTTCAAACCTTTGCCTCAAAGCCATCCCCCACCAGACTGCTTAGCGTCTGAGATCCGCGTGAAAAGTCCTCTGCCCACGAGAGCAGGGAGTTGGGGCCACGCAGAAATGGCCTCAAGGGGACTCCGCTCCACGTGGGGCCAGGCGTGTGGCTGACGCTGTCCGACGAAGGCGGCCACGGACGGACGCCAGCACATGAAGTCACGTGCAAGTGCCTTTGATTCGTTCCTTCTTTCTAAAGACGACAGTCTTTGTTGTTAGCACTGAATTATTGAAAATGTCAACCAGATTCTAGAAACTGCGGTCATCCAGTTCTTCCTGACACCGGATGGGTGCTTGGGAACCGTTTGAGCCTTATAGATCATTTACATTCAATTTTTTTAACTCAGCAAGTGAGAACTTACAAGAGGGTTTTTTTTTTAATTTTTTTTTCTCTTAATGAACACATTTTCTAAATGAATTTTTTTGTAGTTACTGTATATGTACCAAGAAAGATATAACGTTAGGGTTTGGTTGTTTTTGTTTTTGTATTTTTTTTTTGAAAGGGTTTGTTAATTTTTCTAATTTTACCAAAGTTTGCAGCCTATACCTCAATAAAACAGGGATATTTTAAATCACATACCTGCAGACAAACTGGAGCAATGTTATTTTTAAAGGGTTTTTTTTCACCTCCTTATTCTTAGATTATTAATGTATTAGGGAAGAATGAGACAATTTTGTGTAGGCTTTTTCTAAAGTCCAGTACTTTGTCCAGATTTTAGATTCTCAGAATAAATGTTTTTCACAGATAAAAAAAAAAAAATAAAAAAAATAAAAAAAGATTTAGATTTATTTAATTTTTTTTTTATTTCCCAAGATAGGTTGAGTATTTACCTGGATTTTATTCTATTTTATATTTACAGTTTTGTCTTTTTAAAAATTTGTCTTTTAAATCTATAATTAATATTACCATTTATTATAAGGTTAGGCTTTAATTATTTTTTACCCTCAAAAGTCTATTTTTCTTTTTCTTTCTTTTTTTTTTCTTTTTTTGTGAGACAGGGTGTCACTCTGTCATTCAGGCTGGAGTGCAGCAGCGCGATCTCAGCTCACTGCAATCTTGGCCTTTCAGGTTCAAGCGATTCTCCTGCCTCAACCTCCCAAGTAGCTGGGATTATAGGCGTGCCCCACCACGCCCACCTAATTTTTGTATTTTTAGTAGAGAAGGGGTTTCACCATGTTGGCCAGGCTGGTCATGAACTCCTTTTTTTCATTAGTTGAATAATTCATCAAATACAAAATATTTTTGATGTTTTCTTGCTTATATTTTGTTAGCACACATACGTATATTTATTCCAAATTATTTCATTCATTTGCATTTTTAATGCTAAACCATTATCCCCAAATTTGGTTAAGTTTTATAATATATCTTAATAACCAGAAAGGTATTTTCATCACTTGTAACATTTTCTAATGGATTCCTTTCTTTTGAGATGGAGTCTCACTTTGTCTCCCAGGCTGGAGTGCAGTGGCGTGCGATCTTGGGTCACTGCAACCTCTGCCTCCCAGGTTCAAGCAATTCCCCCGCCTCAACCTCCCAAGTAGCTGGGGCTACAGGTGCACACTACCACGCCTGGCTAATTTTTGTACTTTTAGTAGAGACAGGGTTGACCCGTCTGGTCTCGAACTCCTCACCACAGGAAATCCGCCCGCCTTGGCTTCCCTAAATACTAGGATTACAGGCATAAGCCACTGCGCCCCGGCCTCTAATGGATTCTTTTTTATTGTATATACTTGAGGTGTACAACATAATATTTTGATGTATATTTACAATGTAAAGTAATTACTAAGGTCAAGTAAATTAACATCGATCGTCTCTCATAGTTTTAACTTTGTGTTTGGTGAAATCACCGAAAATCTACCCTCTTAGCAAACTTCAGCACACTGTATAACATCATGAGGTATAGTTCTCATATTCTGCGTTGTATCGCTACACTTATTCATCTGACATAACTGATTATATATGTTTATACTCTCCAATGAAATTTATATTCTTTCAAAATTAAAAATACTGTTAGCTTTTGATTGAAATCTAGTTAAACCTGAAATCTAGTTAAATTTGTTTGAGTAGAATTGAGCACTCAATAGTTTATAGAATTAAGTCTTCTTTACCAGTAGCACTGTATGTCTTCAGTAAACTTTTACCATTTTCTGTATATGGTTATCAAACATTTCTTGATAATATTCAAAGGCATATTATTTTTGTTGCTATTGTGAACAGTTGTTTGTTGTTAAGTCTACTTAGGAGTCATTGCTGCTATACAGAAAAGCTAATAACGTACATAAATTCATTTATAGTCCATCTTATTGGTGTGCTAGCTTATTAGCTGTAAATACTTCTTCAGCTGGTACTGATGACTAATAAGATTACTGACAGATGAATGGAGTTTCATTTCTCTGAGTCAATATCTTTTATTTCCTTAATATTCTTAATGTTAAATGTTATTTTCAATAAGTAAATATTCTTCTTTGTAAGCAAGGTAGCTCAGGGCTATTACCACCATAGGAATAACGTGATGATATTTTATAGGTTATTATTAAAAATCTACGTTTTGTGACTATGTGGGCATATTTCATATTAAATATTTAATAATTTTACTCTTTAGAACTCTCAAGATTTTTATAGTTTTGAAGGAGGATTAAAAATTATTGAACTGATTTGGCCTTCTGGTTCTTATCATTTGCGGCAGTAGATTTAACTGCAGTAGTCATTTACCCAGAATATTTTCTTAAAAAGCTAAAGGCTTAATAATATGCAAATAAAGCTTTACATGGTTTAACATCTATCTAGGATGTTCCTGACAGAGCTACACAGTAGCTTCTTTTATCACACAGTGATATTAAAATACTCTCAAAATGATTAGAAGTTGAAATATTAGCTATCAAACCAGGAGTTTGCTACTAATTTAGGTATGTTAATTTATTCATGATAGCTATTTAATATATTACTAATAAAGATTGGAACAACCTGATTATTCTTTAAAATAAAGAAGAAAAATGTTTGTCAGGTAAAATAATCATTTAACTTATTATAATTTTCATCTTTCCAGCTCATGGGGCATTCAGAATGGGACCACAAACGAGGGCCAAGAGGATCACAGGTAAGTTTCTTTTCCTTTTCTTTTTCACGTTTCGTTTCGTAACACTTTCAGCCACGGGTTTTCTAAAACTCAAGAGATAATAAAATGTGGAGCGAGGAAGAGGCAAAATAACCATGCCATTTGTTTTTATTTAAGTTAACTATAATTAAAGTCTGGATTTCAAATCCCAAAGGCAGATGCCAGGATATTCCTTCTAAGAGCTTTCTGGTATCCCAGATTGGTTGTGTTTATATGAATATAGATTTTATATTCATCTTGTCTCGGCAGAATACATTTTGATCAGCAACCCACTCTCTTTATTCATTTCCTTTGACAATTTTTCCGTGTATTTTCTTTTTTCTTCAGCTTCCTGTTTTTGGTTAAATATTTTGAAATATAATCAGACTAAACTCTGAACTAATTACAAGATTTTGTCTCTAAATTAACTCTCTTCATCTGAGGGAAACAGAAAGATGAAAGGACCTATTATTTTTGAAAAGAAACAAATTCTAAGTCTTTCTATATTACCAGAGTGTTTTCATTGTCTTGCTTTATGTCTTAGGCAAAGAGAAAAGCTTCCATGACGCATTTATGCTTTTTAATGACCTAATTAGACAATGTGGATTTGTTTTGCTTTCATAATTACTTTCCCTGATGGAATAAAGGCTGAGCTTTACACTGAGAAAATTATTTCTCCTCCTAGAGCACTTTGTGAAGAAATGTAAAAATAATTTCTCTCATGGCAGGCTATGGTTACCTGACTGTAAACATGCAAAATAAAAATTAAGTGGGTGGAAATTTTTGCTTCTATTGCACACATTTTGCATTTGCTACTAAAAAATATATAAATTACAAAGGGCAGTTGAATGTGCAATACTGTAAATGAAAGTTCATTGGAAAGTGGGGGCTTCTCCCAAGTGTTTACAAAGCTGATTTGTTCTTGTGTTGTCATTAAACTTGTGTGAATAACTCTACTTAATTCCGGTCACTAGGAAAACAAAACCAAGTCAATCAATTGTTTTAGTTCACATTTTAATGACTGATTTTATTTCTGTCCAGTATCAATTTGATTAGTAAATAATGTAAACCAATTAAATTAGGATCATCTAAAAGAATTTATGCCTTACTTTATTTCCCTCATTTTTATCTCCCCTTCATTTTCTCTGAAAACTCTTCCTCTGTACACATCTATAAAATTTTAAATCAAAATTTGCTGCAAGGTCAGTAATGAAGGGATTAAATTAACATAGAGTAAATTCTTCATGATTCGAAACCAGTAAAAATGTAAAGATAAGTGCAAATAAGAAGGTCCATGGTTTCTGATGATTGCCACCAAAACATTTTGATATTCAAAACATGCCAAGCAAGTTGTTGAGGACATGTCTCTTCAAAGCAAGGTAGTGTTATATATAGAAAATTATTGTTTAAGATATACATCATTTACTCTCTATTTTGCTTACTTTGGTATAATTTATCTTCAGGTTTAGATTGGTCACTATGTCAATATAAATTGACAAAAAAAAAAAACCTCACAATTGTACAGTATGGTTTTTGTTAACTTTCAGTATAAAAAGGACAAAATTTTTAAAATTCCAAATATTGCATATAGCTAGAAAATGTGAGAATTCCACATATAAACAAAAGCTATTTTCATAAATAAAATTTGATTATATTTGAAAGCCTGAGGTGGTTCTAAAAAGCAAAAGCATTAAAATCGGCTTGCATGAATTACCATTATCAACATCAAGTCTTTTTTGGATCTCTTAACCAGCAAAATAGCTATTCTAAATATAGTATACCTTTGTCCCATTTTGATTCCTCAACTCAGATGAAAACTGTCAAAGTAAAAAACAAACACAACACACCAAAAGATAAGAACAATAAGAACCATAGCAAAAAACATTAAAAAGAAAGAGAATTTCCAAAGAATTTGGAAATTTCAGGTAGATAAATTAAGTCTTAAGTAATAACCTCTTATCTGATTTCAATTCCCTGCTGACGAAATAATAATAATAATAATAATAATAATAACAATAATGTTTTCATGTTTTGGATAATTGATCCCTTCTTTTATTGCTATTATCTCCTTGGTCAATATGTCTAAAGCCTTCCAGCTTTTCAAGGGGAACTTCAGACAAGTTGCACTTGAACACAGACCTCTTAATAGTTTACTCCAAAGCCTTGCTCAAGTCCCATCTTAGTTAATTTAGAACTGGTTTCTAAGCACTTCCTATGTTTACAGCACTGTGGTGGGTCTAACTGAAGACAACTGAAAAGACAAGTATACTGCTTTCCAAGAGCTCACAAATTATGGTTGGAAATACAGCAATATTTGTATATATAATTCACATATAAGGCAATCTGATAGACGCAACATTACATACAGTATGTGGTGCATGATGACATATCTGTGAATGACAGTATATATGATGGTGGTCACATAAAATTATAATACCATGTTTTCAGTATGCCTTTTCTATGTTTAGATACACAAATACCATTTGTTACAATTGCCTACATTTTTCAGTACAGTGACATGCTGCACAGATTTGTAGCCTAGTAACAATAGGCTACAGCATATAGCCTAGGTGTATAATAGGCTATACCATCTGGTTTGTGTAAGTATACTCTATGATGTTCCCACAACAAAATCCCCATCATTAAGTGACATATATACAAAGTGTAATAAGACTATATATATATATTGGGAGGCCGAGGCAGGCAGATCACCAGAGGTCAGGAGTTTGAGACCAGCCTGTCCAACATGGTGAAACCCCGTCTCCACTAAAAATACAAATAATGATAATAATAATAATAATAATAGTAATAATAATAAGCCAGGCATGATGGTGGGTTCTGTAATCCCAGATACTCGGGAGGTTGAGACAGGAGAATCTCTTGAACCCTGGAGGCGGAGGTTGCAGTGAGCCAAGATCATGCCACTGCACTCCAGCCTGGGCAACAGAACGAGACCCCATATCAAAAAAAAAAAGACTGCATATATACAAAGTGAGATAGGATTTAGGTGGAAGAGTATTTCTTACTCCCTAGTAGACTAGGAAATACCTCTGAGAAGTGATGATGTCTGAGGTGTGGCTTTAAGGATGGGTAAGCTTTCGAAAGTACAGAGGAAAAGGTGGATGAAAAAGCTTTGGTAAAAGTCTGAACTGAGAAGAGTGTGGGACACCTTTGAATATATGTGAATTTTTTTATAACTTCTGTATAAATGCTTTTGGATGGCAACTCTTACAGCAATTACTGTGAAGGGATAATCTGGAGAATGCTATACTTTATTGACTAGATAGGCAGAGGAAGTTAAGAGGGTCAAGAGTTTGAAACTGAGTACTCTAAGAATTAGGACCATTAACACAGAACAGTTTAGATGAAAGATGATGACTTCAGGGTTGGCAATATTAAGTGACAAGTGAAGGTGACAATTCCAAAATGAAGTTTCAGGCACATACTCGAGGCCTGATTAGAACAAAGGGTGTCAGTTTGGGAATGCTAATCATACAGGAGATAATTGAGCTCCTCCAGTAGATAGGCTTCCAGAAAAATATTAAAAGAAAAAACAGAATAAAAGTCTGATTTTTGGAAAATATGCTATAAAGACTAGAAACAAGCTGAGGAGGGAGTTAATATGAGTGTGCATGATCTTACTAGAGACCAGGTGGAGGAGAAATGATTCAGAACCAAAAGTAGTTACACCAAGGAGAGGAATGAAATCACAGACCAAGGTTCAAGAAAATTAAAAATGTAGCAGATGTCTTTGGGTTTAGTGATTAGGAGGACATTAGTGAACTTTCAAAAAACAGTTTTGAGAAAGAAGTGGTGGAAAGAAGAATATAGAAGAGAATAGTGTAAGATACCAGAAGAGTCTCTTGGAAGAGCTTTGTTTTAAAAGAAAGTTGGGATTGCAGAAAGAGGTGGCAGCAAGAGTGATTTATTTATTTACTTACTTATTTGTTTATTTTTAATGCTAAGGTGAGATGTGTGTCTTAATTACTGGCAGATGAAAAGAATTAGTGTGGAAAAGAAAACACTGAAAATTCTCAATAGTGAGCTGATTCAGGACTGAGGAAATGGTGCGGTTCAGGGAAGGGAATGTGCTTTCTTCCAGAGTGGTCCTTTTGGCACTTCTTTATGTGTTTTCCTCGCCGGAAACCCACCCCCACCCCTACCCCATACCAGCCATTTACACTATATCAGAGAAACTGGCCCTGTTTGCAAATGAAATACTGGATAAATCCACCAAAAAGTACAGATGGGTAAGCTTTGAAAAGAAAGTAGAGGCCAGGGGCAGTGGCTCACGCTTGTAATCCCGGCACTTTGGGAGGCCGAGGCAGGTGGCACCTGAGGTCAGGAGTTTGAGACCAGCCTGACCAAGATGGTGAAACCCCACTTCTACTAAAGATACAAAAATTAGCCAGGAGTGATGGCATGTGACTGTAGTCTCAGCTACTCGCAAGACTGAGACAGAATAGCTTGAGCCCCGGAGGCAGAGGCTGCAGTGAGCCAAGATTGCGCCGCTGCACTCCAGCCTGGGAGAAAGAGCGAGGCTCTGCTAAAAAAAAAAGATATTTCTAATAGAAAGAGAGAAAAGAAAAAATAAGAACAGATATTATAACATTAAAAGGTATTATGAACCGATTGACTTCAGTTTTCTTGGTAGGATTGAGGATATAATAGTGAAAAATCTTGAATGCTAGAAAACATATGGAATAAATATTGTTTTAGATATCTAAAAAAGGGAACTTGCTTGATTCCTGCCCAGTACAAAGCAGAGAGCTGTGTCAGATGTGAGTGTGCTAGCCTGCAAGATGAATTTTAACATATTTTACTTTGATTCGCAAAACATGGATATATGTCAGGTACTTTTTTTTAGCCTTTGAGGAATCAGAAATAGACAAAACGTTGGCATCTAGCAGCATCTAATTTTTTTTTTAAAGTCAACCTTAATTATTGCTAGGATAGAGTTAAGCTTCCCCTGGCTTCTCCCGGGATACTTAATAAATAAGTGATTTTCTCAAATTTCCCTTTGTATTTCAAAATTGTATCATATATGCATTATCACAGAATTTAAGATGCACCATTCATATCAAATACTTGTCCTATAGAAAAATACCTATCTCTCTTCTAGCAAATTCCAACCCTTAATTGCATATGACTTTTTAGACGCAGCAAGAATGTCATTCAAGCTGACTTATATTACTTTATTCTCAGTAATTCTCTTTCATAATTTGTCAGCTCACTCATAGCTTTCTGGCTGATTTTTCTTCTTTCTTTTTTTAAAAGTATATAACTCTCAAATAGTAGATCACCCAAATGTAGGAAAGATGCTAAATGATAAATAAACTTCCAGCAGCATGCAGAACTCCTTTGTCTGGCAGTGTTCCCAGTAATACCAAATGAAGTCAGGGGATGAAATTCTCAGAAGGCAATTACTTGTTGTTTTTTCTTCATTTTTATTTTTTATTCTTGAAGGAAAAGTTTTCCAGTGGGAAGTAAAGAGAGGCAACAGAAAATATGCTTTTTTTTTTTTTTTTTTTGGAGACGGAGTCCGGCTCCGTGCCCAGGCTGGCGTGCAGTGGTGCGATCTCAGCTCACCGCAACCTCTGCCTCCCTGGTTCAGCGATTCTCCTGCTTCAGCCTCCCAAGGAGCTGGGACCACAGGTGTGCACCACCACGCCCAGCTAATTTTTGTGTTTTTAATAGAGACAGGGTTTCACCATTTTGGCCAGCATGATTTCGATCTCCTGACCTCGTGATCCGCCTGCCTCGGCCTCCCAAAGTACTGGGATTACAGGTGTGAGCCACCGTGCCCAGCTGCTTTTTTTTTTTGTTTTTTAAATGCTTAAAAACAGTAGGAGGACATTCCAAGGGGCCAATAATTTACTTATCACTTAGTGGAGGCTCCTTGTGGAAAAGATTAGTTCAATTTGTGAATTTGTAAACATCCTAACACTTTAATATTCTTGGAACCCTCAGGCCTTTATTTACCAATAGTGAAAAACTAGCAAGTTTTTAGTTATTTAGTATATTATTGGTATTTGACTACCAGCCAGACTGTATTAGCTGGACTTAAAAGTACTTACAAGAAACAAATTTTTGTGTTGTCCATCTGGTTTTCAAATGATTGAAGTCTTTCTTTAGATAATAAAATTCTGGTTTGTATGATTCTAAATAATTCAAGTATTGTGTGTAAAATACTGGAAGATAGCTGAGTATTCCGATGGAAAAAAAGTGATTAAATGCACACTAGACTATCATCAGTATGCTTACAAATGACCCATGGCCTATTTTGGAGCAGGTCTTTAGTGGTTTAACAAGTCCTGGAGGCAACAAATTGTAAAAATTCTAGACTAAAAGCAACTACCTAGATCAGTGAGCCTTTATAGCATAATGTTAAGTCTCAAGGATGAATTTTGATGAGGAGTCATTGTGCTTTACTTTTTTGTCTGTAATTTCAAGGGAATGGATCTGATTGTAATACCTACTGAAGTTGATTAACCTAATCATTTGCCTACTAATGGCCTGATGCAGTGACAGGTCACTTCTTTTCTAGGTTAAATCATTTGTTTTTGATAAGAGAATGTGGAGAGAAATTTAAATGCCTTTTCATATTTATCTGGAGTAATGCCATATATATTTATTGAAGTTAATTCCTTTTAATACATTTTGGAAAGATGACCAGCCGTATTTCCCAGGAATTTGTTCCAAGGGATTAATGTGAGCAGATTGGGAGCTCATTATTAGTCTCTCAAATGTCCGACATGTTACCAGGGAATAATTTATGCCCTAGAGCTAGCTGCCAGTGCTACTTTTTCTACAAACATAGTGTCTTTCACTTGCATTTCTTCCTCCTTTTTCATTTTTCCATATATCAACCTAACAACTATCAATATTCGTTCAGAAATTTTTCCAATAATTGTTTAACTTTTGGCAACTCTCCAAAGACAGTTTGGTTTTGGGGTTTTTCGTTTGCTTGTTGTTTTGAGAAATTTGTTTAAATTTTGCTTATACTAACGGGGACCACACAAAATATATTTGCCTAGGGCCTCACTTAGTGTAGGGATGGCTTTGTCATTGCATGTAATAGTGACAGGAAGGGACCTAAATATCATATCTATCTTCTCCATTAGGTCTTCCTATAGATATTTAAAATTTTATCCTTTAGTCAGTTCTGCACTATTGGACAATTATTTTTTACTCTTCCCCCACTCTTTGAAATTGCTTTTATTTAGTTACTGTTTAGTATTATGTCTTTAATTTGCATTGACAAACTGCAAGACACAGTTTTTAGCAAATCTATCATAGTAGGGATATTGCTGACAATCATAGTAGGGATATTGCTGACAATGTCCACAGCACACACAGTGTCAAGAGGATGGGGAGACATTTCTCTCTGTCCTCAGAGAAGGGAAAACAGTGTTTCTCTTTAACAACTGAACCCACTAGTATATTAGTTCTCTAGCATCCCTGGTCTCTACCTAGTAGAGGCCAGAAACAACACCCTCAGTCCCCAAACTGTGATAAGAAAAATGTCTCTAGACATTGTCAAATGTTCCCTGGGAATCAAATTTGCTTCTAGATGAAAACCACTGAAATTACAGCATAATCTCATTGATAGGTGTATGGAAGATAGTAAATAAATATTTAGTGATTAATCTTGACACTTTATGTAGGAAAATGAGAACATGTTTCTTCAAGCATTTATGCTTTCAGGTTTTCAGGTTTCATCTTTAAGTCTATCGAATAGAAATTTTAAAGAACATATTCATTTCATTGTGAAGTAGTTTTCTCAGAGTGGAATTATGTCCAAGAAATCTAATGGCTAGGTTAGGGGGGAATGTACTCTTCCCACACTTACACATTTAAGTGATTCGCAGGAGGAAAGAGAGTTTGGCTCTGTCCTCACAGTAGTTTCATGGAACTTCTGTTTCAGGGAAACTGATGGATGACCTTCAGTAAGTGACTCTTTATTACAGGCCCTGGTCTCTTAAAAGAACATTGATGAACAGGAATCAAATCCACAGAAATAAAAGGGAAAATTGCCACTGGCATTTATGCTTTTATTGTTTTCCCCATGTTTATAGATTAGTAGACATGTTGTTTAATACTTATTGAATGACCCTCTTATGTTGGGGCCTGTGGACATCATTTCCATGACATGGGCACTACCTTGTGTGTGTTTAGCCAAATCACAACCTGTGGTACTTTATTTGAAACGAAACAAAGCAATCAAATAAACAACCACTGATAATAGATGTTTCTCTGCAGGGACTGCAGATAGTTTAAGCAATAGTTAATTTTACTAAGTGTACAAAAGCATATTTTGAGAGAGAAATAAAAACAAAAATAATACCTATTACTTTAAGCCACAGTTTCTGACCACTGTTGCAGTTGTGACTTTTCTTATATTCTTTCCCCCAGATAGCTTATAGTACACATTAAGAAAATTAATGCAAGTATTTTGCACGTACGTTCTTGTAAAGCAAATATACACATTCTGAAAAATTTCCAGCTCTCAAGTTTTGCCTTCCACTTGAGAGAATAACAGGAGAAAAATATGCTAACTTGATAACAGTTAATTTTATCTTTGAATTGCAATATCTGACAAAGGGAAATAATTTTTATCTCACGCTGGGTGATTTTATACCATCAGCAGCATTGAGTAAGATCTTGTTTTTTATTAATCCTGACAACATACCCTAAAAGGGAAGTTCTGTGGGTGGATTTTTGATTTTTACTTCACTTATAGATAAAACTGATAAAAAAAGATTGTGCCAAAAATAATCAGCTTCTCATAGAAGATTAAAATCTAAGACTAGGATGTATTAACTAGAACAAATAATCAGATATAGAGGTAGGTAAAGGTGATATAGGGTGGAGGAGGTTATATGGAGTAGTAAGGACAGTTAACTGGAGAGGGTGAATTGAGGCAAAGAAAACGGGAAATGTTGATCTTTTAAGATGAATATTAACATCCATTTTCATATACTACCAAAAAAACACAGGATACAGGCTTTTAGTACATTCTTGGTACAATTTTTTTTTATTTGGGGAAATTGAATGTTTTAATTTCTTATTAACACATATCCAGGCTATATGTATAAATATGTGTTTCTAATAGCATTAACATCTTATTTATGGTACAGGAATTTTTCTTTACAGCCACTCTAGGGAACAAACTAAAATACTGTTTAATAGCATTCCTCACAAGATTTTATATTCTCATCAAAGGTGCTGATTTTCTTACAAAGTTTTACCTTGGGAGAACAAAGGTGGTTTAGCAGTTATGTTGTCAACATTAAGTGATTGTCCCACGTTATGTAAAATTCAGCCATCATGTAAACATCAGTAAACCCAAAGTTACCAGGGCTGACAACTACAAAGAAAAAGCCTGGAATAATATTAGCGATATTAACTAAAATTATCTTAAAAGTCACAAAAATGAAACTTCTTGTCAGATTTGATTTTCTAGATCACAGAACTTTGTTTTTGCTTTTTGGCGGAGTTTTTTTTTCTCCTTTTTTGGTGGTGATGCATTGTGTAATAAGCGATTCTTGGAAAACTCTTAAGTGTTACAAGTTAAAGCTTATTCTTATTGGAAATCTGCAGGTTATCAAACTTGCATCAAAATAGTTTGCTCGCTGAGTTCTGTGGTGTTGTGTTTAAATACTTCTGGGTGACAATTTCCACTTGGATCTCTACAACTATTTCCATTTTAGAATTTTGTAATCATATTCTTTGTTTTCAAATCATTTTAACCCTGAATTTAGAGAAAGTTGTTTACATAGTATCAGCGATACACACTTAAAAGGGTATTTTTTTTTTTAAGTTTAGGAGGAAAAACCTCTCAGAAAATTGTGGGTGAGACAAACAGATGGAGTAGAAATCACAAAAATAAACTACATCATGATCAGTCAGGAAGATGTAGCGCAAACAGATATAAAAGCTCTAGTTCTCAAAGGACTGGGAGCAGAGGAGAGGAAAGAAGTTGTCTATCAAAGATGATGATTGGAAAATATAGAAAAGACCATCTCATGAAGCAAAAAGAACATGGCCATTGAAGCCATGTTGAAGTTAGAAACGTGCAGTGAATTTTTTTTTTGTTTGTTTGTTAGTGGGAATGAATGATGATTTGGGTGACCGACAGGTCTTAACTCCACTTTTACCACTCATTGTCCCTATTCAGGTGTACGGTGACTTAGTGCCATAACTTTGGTGACATTTCTCTTCTGGTGCCTCAAAAATATGGTAGTATATGCACAATTATTGCATTTTCAGGCCTTTGCATGAGTTTTTAAAGAGTACTCCAATTAACTATAAGTTTAGGAAATGTAATCCTAGGACAATTTAGTTTTCTTTTTCGTGGAGAAATACAGCATGACTTCAAACAAGTTTTGCTAAATAGTGAATTTGCAGCAGCCAGTTTTGTTTTATAGTGATTATGGCAACCTTGTGTATAGTGAATTTTTAATTAATATTTCTAAAATAAATGAAAACATTATAATTTATGAACTTACTTAAGAGTTTCATTTATTCAAGTAAGCTTTGCTGAACCAGTGTGTCTTGAGGAAATCTGTTAATCCATAATAAAATATAGCAGCCCTTGAGGAATTAGTGAAATTATATCTAAAGCATGAATAATAAAGCCAAGAAGCCTTTTGTTTTATTTATGCTATTCCCCTGCTTTCAGGCTTTTCTGTTTTGAAAGCGTACAGCTAAGTTGAGATTCCCAACTTTTAATGTCCATGATACCTTATTGTAGGACAGCATATTATTACTTTGACTGTAAACTGAAATTACTGGATGAGGAATAATTTGTCATGTTGTCATTACTTAAGGAGAAGATAGTATTTAAATATTGACTTTTTCATACAGGAACATGTGTTCTCATTCTCTAGGCATGTGACTACTCCCCCCCACTTCCTCCCTTTTTTCTTTTCTTTTTTTCTCTTATCACATGGAACTTTTGGGCTCAGGAGTGATTCTGTCTCATGCAGCTTAGGGATCTGAAATTTACATAAGGACTTTAATAGAAGCTTATGACACATGATATGACCAGGCTTTTCACTATGTTTTGCCATTTATTTGGCTTAAAATCAATGGAACAAACTGAACTTGGCATTACTATTTCTGTTCAAAAAGAAGAAAAATATATAATTTTACTGTTTTTTATGTTTTGGTCTTGGCACTGTGGCTTTTGTTTATGGAAAAAGACAAGAGAGGAAAAAAGCATTATTTTAACTTCACATGATAAATAATCATACCAAACTGATATTTCCTTAAAAAGTATTTGTTCGTTTTTCTTATTACAATGAGTATTGCTAGTAATTCAGTGCAAGTTTGAAATGATATACTGGTAATATCTTCTTTAAATAGCATTATAGGTTTAAGTACATCACCAACATCATAACTTTATAGAGATATTGCATTAGAATTCATCTAGTTTCTGTACTTATTCATGAATAAGAGATGCTTATGTAGATGTTATTTCTTCTTGACAAATTCTATTAGCATAAAATAAAAGCATTAATATTTACTTTTAATAAAAGTCATAACATTTAGCGTTAAGTTCCTTTATAAGTAAGTGCTTTATGGACATTATTAACTAATTTAAAACATCAACTATTTTTATCTGGAGTGAATTTCTGCCAATATTAATTAGGAAAAATAGGGATATAAATAACGTCTATGGCTTCTAAATATTTAAAAGACATTCTATGTTCGTCATTTTATGCACTGGTGGTTGTGGAACTTTTAATCAGTGGATACAGCATTGGAAGTAATATTTTTGGGAATGAACAGTGTTATACATATTATATGCATAGCTAGAAGCATAGGAGAGGCTGTCATTTGTTATACTAGATATCAAATTGTTGAACCCGTCTCTCTTTTCATGTGACACAACATTTCAAACATGCAGCACAGTATAGTGAATAATGTACAAAAGCTAGGTAGATTTAATGAATATTAAAATTTTCTGTATTTGATGCAGTATTTTTGTTGATAGCTATACGACTGCTTAGAAATAATCTCATTAAACTTTTTCATAATGTATACATTATTCCCATTAATAGATATATACTTCATTAAATTTATTTTACTATGTTTGACCTTTTGGGAATTTAGAGAATATGGATAAAGAAGTAGTTTAGAGAGCATGGAAAAGAATTAGAGGAAATGGAAAGGATTAATTTTCAAAGAGACAAGCAAAATTGGTTGATTTTAATTTTTAAAGGCTGAGTACATTGATAAATGTGGATACAAGTAATAACTATTTTAATACCACCTGGAAAAAGCTGGCATATGGCCACCACATTAATAAATATGTGTGTATAAATGGGTTATTCTAAATGAATGAGTGTTGTCATAAGCATGCCTTATATTAAAAATAAAATCATTATCTTTATGGAGATATAAAAAAAGTAAGATATTTTATTAACATTATTCTTTTCCAAATATGCTAACTTTGGTAACCACATTTAAAGTCTTTTTGAAATCATGTTTTAAAAAATCATCCCTATGATGGTCACCAGATTAACTTCTTAATATCAGCTTCATTTAGAGAAACTATGAAATTGGAAAACTGATATTATGTATTGCTTCACTGTCTTCTACAAATACTTTCTGTACATTGTATATAAATCATGTGCTTAAAAGATAAAGATGTTCTATATATTTTTATTTTAAAAGTTTATTTATTTATGAGGGAATTAGGGTTACAATAGTATGTCTCTCTCTTCTTTCATAACCTTGTAAGGAGTGTCCTGTTCGCAGCAGAATAGTTTTTGCAGAACAAAATCACAGGATAAGAGAAGAATTGTAAAACCCATTAAGGCATTACCCTATTTAATATTTTTATCATTAATTAATATGCCCCTCATAATGCACATTTACATTTTGACATCAAAAAGAAGAATATGTAGCTAATGTATGAATGATAGAATACAGATTTAGAAAGCTTTCTCATTAACCTTCAGTTAAAATACTAAACTAAGAAGATTCAAGAGGAGAAAATAAAATTTTGCACTTAAGTTTTTAATAAAACTTCAGTGTGCAAAGTACCTGCGTATTTGTTCATAAGCAAATGAAGAAACAAAAAGTAAGATTTAAGAATCTGGATTGACGTCAAGCCCAATATCATATGGCTTTTCTAACAGCAAGTGCCACTTTGGGCTTCACTAACGTATTTATGGCATACAGAACAGAATAATTAATTCAATAAATTCTGCACTGGCCAGATGACCTCTGCAGTGTTGAATTCAGTTCTGAGTACATAATTTCAAGAAGGATATTGAAAAGCTGATGCACTCACATAAACAATAAATATGTCTAGAAACAGTGTCCCAGATGAGGTGGAAGTTTAGCTTATGAAAGAGAACTTATGATGAAAAGCAAGAGAGGGAGAAAAATTGTGCTCTCTTAAGTTATCAACACGGTGGCTCACGCCTGTAATCCCAGTGCTTTGGGAGGCCAGGTGGGTGGATCACTTGAGGCCAGTGATTTGAGACCAGCTTGGCCAATATGGTGAAATGCCATCTCTACTAAAAATACAAAAAATTAACTGAATGTGATGGTGCATACCTGTAATCCCAGCTACTCGGAAGGCTGAGGCAGGAGAATCTCTTGAACCCAGGAGGTGGAGGTTGCAATGAACCAAGATCATGCCACTGCACTCCAGCCTGGGCAACAGAATGCGACGCTGTCTCAAAAAAAAAAAAAAAAAAAAAAAAAAAAAAAGGTGTAAAGGGAGTGAAATTTTTCTCTTTGTCATTCTGTAAGGTGATATTTGGACAAGTGAATAGAACACAGAGCAGTCAGATTTTGCTTAAATATAAGGAATACATTTCTAGCCATTCAAATTGATTTAAAAATAAAATAAGGCAGTGGTTTTCCTAAATATGAAATAGGTTAAATGATTGTGCATAGAGAAGTGTCTGTTAGAGTAGATGAGCCAACTTCGTAAGCATTCATTTTTTTGTTTCTGAGCAGTCATGAACAGACCAAGATATGAAAATCTTAATCTCCTAAATTATTGTGTGTCTCAGTGTACCTCAGAGAAGAGTCCTGTAACTATGCTCTTCATTTAATGGAAATTTCCAAATCTAGGCAAACCATGAGTCTTAAGCTCAGATCTAGGCTGTCTTCTGTACAGACTAGAATTGTCAGCTCCCCTTGAGGAGCTGTTTTTAAAGCAGTCATTCCTATGGACTAGCAGTATCCATTCAGTATCAGCTAGTGAACTTATTAGACGTTCTGATGGACAGTGTTTTAGATGAAACTAGAAAAGTCTTCCTTTTAAGAAGTTTCCCAGGTGATGTGACAAGTGTTCATGTTATGATAGCATCAGCTTAAATGTGTCAGTATGGATGATGATTGGATTTCGGTACTTAAAGTAATCTTTGTATTGCTTCTGCCTAAAATTCTAGAGTTAGAGCTAAATTTCTTTACTACTTCATGTTTGTTCATCCATGAATTGTGGGAGCTTATATTGTAAACTGATCTCAGTCATATATTCATTAGTATGGATGAAAGATAATGAGAATAATGTTTGATGAGGAAATGAGGGAAAATAAATGTGGGTACTGAGTACTGTGTTGAAAGACAGGGAAACAGCATTGAGGATTGATACAGGTCTCTCTTCTCACAGCCTCTGGCACCACAGCAATAATATTGTAAACTCTAAGGAGAGCCATTTACATTATAGTGTACATGAATGCTGACCCCCCTGGAGTTGTGCAGCGCACAACACTCACAACTGCATACATGATCCTTTTAAGCCCTTTACATCTACTTCTGTACTTAGAATTACTTCCAAAGCCTAAACTTGAATCCTACATTCTGATTAACTCTCAGGAAAACAAAACAAGGCCTGTTTTTTTCTGACTCCTAGCTTTTCTACCAGTATCTTACCTCTCTGTCTAAAGTAGATCAAATATCCTGTACTCTGGGTGGCATCATGTTATTTCACTCCTCTGGGCCTTTACAAGTACATTGTTTCAACTTTTAATAAATCTTAAATACAACTGAAACATTATTTGAGTCCCAGCTCTAAGCACTGTTTTCGTAACACATTTTACATCCATAATGCATTTATCATAGAACTTAGAACACTATGCAAAATTTCCCACTAGACTAAAGCTTCTAGTATCCAAGTAGTACTTCATTTGACTCTCCAATAGTGATTGCCACCCATAAGTTGTTCAGGAAATGTTGAATCAATGAATGAGAGTGGGGCATAAAATGGGAAATTTGAGCACACAGAACTTTCATTTAACCTACTTCACTATTTGACTATGGTGTGGCCTTGCTTTTAATTGGAGGATAGCTGGAGTTGCAATCAGTATTCATGAAAGCATGTTTTTAAAAAAATGAGAATCAGTCTAACAGAATCTGAACTTTAAAGAACATCTCATTACTGATTATACATGGTGACGATATTTTCCAAATCGTGGAGCTTCTACTGGGAAAAGGTATGAATAACCTTTTTGTTCTATAATGATTTTCAACAGAAATTATATTAGAGAAGGACAGTTGAAAGCCTTTTAAAAATAAATTCATAAAGTAATCCAAATCAAGTTTATGATAAACTGGCTCAGTGTATTTATTAAATGTATTTTTAGTTAATTTTTAATGAGTTATAAAAATATGACCTGGGACCAAAAAACTTCCCAGTAAAAGTTCTAGAATGATTTTTTAAGATGTTACAAAACTATCTTAGAATGTTAAACAGAATATTTTATTAACTTAGAACTGTTCACTAAACTCCCAAATGAAAACCAGATCTTTCCATCTCAGTAAAATACTAAAGTATCATGAAACTTTATAATCCTTATCTAGCACCAAATCTACATTTATCTAAAGATTGACAATGTCCATCCTTCTGCATTTTTTCCTATTTTCCTCGTGGATTAGTAGCATATTTAGAATTTTTGAGGTTTCATGCTAAAATTTATGAAGGAAAATGAAATATATAATACCCCGTCACAGTAGAAGGGAATACTAAACATCTGTTCAAAGAATAACTCGTTGAGCAGACAAGTCATTTAAATATAAAATATGCAAATTATACAAGTGATTTTAGTGCTTTGGACAAGATTATTCACTGCCACGGTCCTTCCAATTCTGAAGTTCGTGCATGTATTTTATGTTTTACTTAGAATAAGTTATTTTTGTAAATGTATGAAATACCAAATCAGAAATGCCAATATATAATATCTTCCCCCCATACTGTACTGATTGGTATTCATCAGTAACTACCAGTCAAATGACTAGTCTACATTTCTAAACACACTGAAATTTCCAAACTTGGGAGTTGGTTCATTTGAGAGTGAAGTGCTTAACTGGTGATACTTGTGTCTTTTTAAAAACTGACTTTGATGGTAAGTTTTTCGTATTTTATAAGTAATTTTTCATTGCTTCCTGTAACAAAACATAAAAGATTTAAAATAAAATACTTAAAATATACCTTGAATTAATTAAAGGAAAAAGAAAGCAACATTAATTGAATATGTATTTTTGCCATATATTGTGCTAAGTACTTTTTTCACAGAATTTATTTTAATCTACAAAATAATTTCTGAGAATAGATAATTTATTTACTCAGTTAAGGTTTTGGGGCATCTCCTGTGTGTAGGCACAGTGCTGGTGGTGAAGCAGTTCCATGGGAAACAGGACAGATGAACTTTTGGTTCTCATGAAGCTCGTATTCTAGAATTCTAGATATTATTATTATACCTTTACCTATGAAGAGACAGACTTGAATAGTTGTTATGACTTGCTGAAGTCACTGAGCTAGAAAGAGGTAAGACTGTGTTCAAATGCAAGACTAAGATGCAAGACTGTTTTCAAATGCAGGACAAACGCAAGAGGTAAGACTGTTCTAATTTGAAAAAGCCACTTTCGTCTCTTCTGTGCTATATTCCCTTCCCCAACATATATTTAAGATGTGATTTATCATGAAGATATCCAAACACTTTACCATATAAGGTCAAAATTCAGTTTTTTTATACTGATGCTAATTATGATCATTTAAAATAAATTCATTTTTATTTAATTATTTGCTAAACCTGAATTTTAATTAGAAACATAATCCCTATATTGTGATAGAGATTATAAATTGAGTCTCAGAAATTTAAATAACTACAAGGTCAATCTTCGAGTAGTGGGTTTTCCAAACAGTCTTGTAAATGTGCAGGAAAACAAAAACATTTCAGAATTGCTTTTCTGACAAAAAGAAAAAATGGAGATTTCAGCCCACGGAAATATAGCCCTGCATTTTCTGCTTCTAAGCCTGCCTTATGTAAATTAGATTTATTATGTCCAGTACATGAAGAAATTCCATGCCAAACCTATATAGCTCTTTAAGCTTTCTACTTCACCACATTTGCAGCGGGACTGTTAAGTAAGTTAGTTTATTTGGAGTAGAAATTACCTCTGAATATGAACTTTGGAAGACTTCTAAAAGTGATATAACCTCTCATTTAACCAGCACGAGGTCCATGGGGGTAAAATTAACTATACCTGGTCTTCTTAAAGCTGCACATCTGTGAAAGCAAAAGGTTATAATTAAGTTTTTCTGGAATTTCATGAAATTACACATTTTAAAGTATAGTCCTGCAGGACTTCACATTAACTGAAATCAAAGACAGCCTGGTACAGTGGTGAAGAGAATGATCTTTGAAATAATAAAAATTCCAAGTCCACCACTGAATGTATACGTGACCTTAATGAGATATTTAACCTTTGGAAGTAATGCTTTTTCATCTAGAAAGTGAGTCAGTATCTACTTTGAAAGTTTGTTCTGTGGATACAATACGTTGGAAGACATTAAATTAAAAAGTATGTGGAATAAACACTCTTATTTAGATGATAGCTTTCATCATTATCATTATCATCACCATCACCATCAACATCATCATCTTGCTCCCACCACCACCAGCTCCACCTGTATATCATGCTATACAAGTATGCTCAGCATGATGAGCCCAGGCCTTCTTTTCTCTGATCCTTCAGAAAATGACTTACATGATGCCCTTGGACCATAGAGGATCAACTTACAAGGTCACATTTGTCTCACTGTCCCTAATATAGCAATATGTAGCATCTTCTAATCTTTTTCTCCCACAAACGGCAAGATATCTCAATATCATCCTACAGTAAAGGGAGATTATACTGCCTCATAATCTATTCTACCAAAATGATTGTTAGGAGGATCCCACCATTACACAGATTTTTTGTTCATACTTTAGAGATGGCATCGAAACCAAGCCCCCAAATGGAAATATCTTCCTTCCAAGTTTCTATAAATGCCATTGGACATACTATTTATTGAGTTAACTTTGACTACATGAGTAAGACAAATTATTTGTCTTAAGTTGGAATGCCTGTTTTTCAAGTAATTTATGAGGAGGAATATAATATTATCCACAAAGTATTCCTTAGGAATTTTCAGTGGGAATAGTAATTTTGATGTCCTGTATCTTATTTTTATGAAAGAAATTAAGACAAAGTTGTTCTTACTAAAATTGGATTTACTTTTTAATCGACATTCTTATTAGTTAGCATCAAACAAAATGTTACTTAAGTAAATTTCAGCTTACCTAATTTATCTTATTTAACTCTTTCATTATGGCTAATATAGTATTTGGAATTAAGCTATAAAATTAATTAAGATTAAGCTGTAAGAAAAAGTTCTGACTAAAATTAGGAGGGAAAAATAAAGCTCTGATTAAATAAACAATTACAGAAAAATAAATTTTAACTCTAAGATAAATTTGCCTTGCAACTTGGTTTTGATGTACAATTTGTGTATTAGCTGATTAGGTAACTTCAAAAGTCATCAGCTGTCTACTGGTTACAATACAGGGAACATTTGGGAATCTAACCTATTAACACATAATTTAATAGGTAACACATATTACTCTCTAAGATTGTTTGGGATCATCTACAGACTTTCATCCAAGTGAAAAAGAGTTCTACTTCATTCTGAGTTAGGTCACAAGGTCCTGTTAATTTTAGCTGTTTATAAATTTTCACTGAGAAGCTGTTCTTTCATCCTCCTATTTTTTTTTAAGCTCAAAGTTCTTGATTTAATCTGATAAATGAGCTCAAGTTACAGATTCTAATCTGATAATTTTTAGTTTCTTATGCACCTGATTGAAATAAGGGTCTTTTTTAAAAAAATGTAGCACAAAACCCAATGCAAAACAACTAAGAAATTTGGTCAATATTTGTATATGTACACAAAGAACTTACACC
The DNA here is from genome assembly GCF_000001405.40 of Homo sapiens. NCBI lineage: Eukaryota > Metazoa > Chordata > Mammalia > Primates > Hominidae > Homo > Homo sapiens. The sequence continues at coordinate 20,575,959 of NC_000012.12, forward strand.
TAAAACCTATTGCTATATCTTAATTTGAACTTTTTAAAAAATTGATTAATTTTTGTGGGCGCATAGTAAGTGTATATGTTTATAGGGTACATGAAATATTTTGATATAGGTATGCAATTCGTAACAGGCACATTATGGAAAATGAGGTATCCATCCCCTCAAGCATTTATCCTTTGAGTTAAAAATAATCCAATTATACTCTTTTAGTTATTTTTAAATGTAGAATTATTAATTTGCATTTTTATTATACTAATCTATAAAATGAATACTATTGAGAGAATTGCTTAAATTTTAGCATTACCAGTCTTTAAGTTTTCTAAATATGGTTTTGGAGTGAAATATTATCTTACCTTTCCAAAGCAAGGAATTTGCAAACAAGATTAGTCTCAAGTATTAATTGAAGTATGAGTACTATTTCATATGTTACAATTTTTATATTATCTATTGAATGTTAGATTGGCAGGAAATAGCAAAATTGACTAAAATAGAGATGTGAACATCCTGAAATAAAGACAGTACTATATACAACTAATTAAAAACAGAGGGATGAGTAGTTTGGCAGAAGCATTAAGATATCTGGAAAATGAAATAAGAATTGCCTTGGTCTTACATGATGTGAAAGGACTATATCCACTACTAGCAATAAACAGAAAAGAGAAACTGACTTTCAGCATTAAGCATTCACTGGTGGAAATGAAGTTAGACAGTTTTCATTTTAAGTGTGCTCAATTTACGGATATTCACGGAAATATAATTTGTCAAGTAGAACAATCTTCTTGTCAGTTACAGAAAAGATATTGATAATGAGAATGTTATTTATCTTCCCTTAGCCATGTGCTATTATGGGCTCAGATTGGCTTCTCGTTTTTTAAATGGAATGTGTCCAGTTGACAGAATACAAGATTCAGCAACCTAGAGAGTAACATGGAATTTTACAAAGAAATAAAAGGATAAGTTGGAAACATGAAGTTTTTTTTTTTTAAACTAAACCAGGTGAGGTCCCCCAAATACAATGAAGAGATTGAGGAGTTAGCACCCTCCAATACATCACAGGTGCAGCAAATGCAATACCACTGTATTAGAAGTACTTTAGAGGGGGAAAATATTAAATCTTCCCATGGTAACAAGTAGAAACTGGAATAAAGACTACTCAGATTATACATGAACCACCCCCACCCCCAAACAAGGAATTACAGAAGAGTTTTCTAATTTTAAAGAGCTGGCTAGAGCCAAGTTACATGAATAGGTGTGAAACAGTGGTGCTTTGGGCACCCAGTGACTAGGTGAGCATGGCCAAGAACAGCATTCTAGAGCACGCAATCCATGTGGGTCAAGAGTGTTGAAATATGATGAAATGGTGGGTTAGGTAGGAATCACTGATACATACCTTGTTTGCCCTGCTAAGGACCTGGGAATTCACCCGGTAGATAATAAAGAACAATCAAAGGATTTTAAGTAAAGAAGGTTTGCTACATTTAATGCCCCTCTCCTCACAGTGTTATTGAACTGTCAATAATATCAACACACATTAAACTGAACCGCATATTCAGTTTAATGTGTGTTTTTGTATAATTTGAACAAGGCTGGAAACCAGGAGACCTGAACTCAGATTCCAGCTGGCTTAGCCCCAAATGAGCTGGGTAATCTTGGACCAGTCAAATAATCTCTTTATGTTCATTATGTTGAACTAGTCAAATAACATCTTTATGTTCCAGTTTTGCTAATTTTAAAAAAGAATGAATCTAGCTTGGATTACCTCTACTATCTCTTCTTCTTTTATTTTGTGGTTGTGTTCTGTGGCACAGAAATGGAATTTAACACATACAGGAAATGTGCAGTCATTTTATTTACCAAACACGGGACGGGCCAGGGGAGAAGCATTTGTTTTCTTGTATAATTAAGAGAAAGCTGTTGAAAATATAAAGACAATTGAAGTAGTAGTTTTCAAAAGATGGGAAGGAAGTAGAGGTGTGAATTCGGAAACAAGCTAGTAACAAACGTAGGTTTGAAAAATTTACCAGAGTGGGAGAGGGGCAGTCCTGTGAGAATTCCACTCATTTCGTTACATGTTCCAGGGAGAAACTGGATAGGTTAGGGTCAATGAAGTCGGAAGAAATTCTTAAAGATCACTTATGCATTAGGTTTCACTTTGTCTCTAGGAGTTTCACACTATTCCAAAAGAGTACAAGGCAGGAGTTAGTCTAATATGCTCCCCAGAGAAGGCTTCATAAATAAGCTATATTCTTTATGATCTTTATTTTCAATTCAAGGACCGTGTCAGGATAGACAAGGTGGTACTGCAGTATTAAACAGACCCCAGTTCTCAAAACAGGGAGGTTGATTTGTTGCTCCATACTTTGGCTAGGGCTCTGTTCTGTATCGTCCTCACTCTGAGACAGAGATGGTGGGGCAGCCACCGCCTAAGACATTATTAATCACCGTGGCAGAAGGAAGGAGAATTCTATTGGGTATGGCTTTGGCAGTTAAGTGTCACGTTCTGGAGTAATACAACTAATACACACACACACACACACACACACACACACACACGTAGTACTCACTAATGCGCAGGTGGAAAATAGGATCATCACAATAAGCACTATCATTTGAAAGAGAAGAAAAGAACCCACACACCATCACTAACCTGAAGCAATTCCAAAATCTTACTGGGAGGCTATTTGAAAGTCCCTTATCCTAGGGCTAGATACATTTTTAAATTATTATTATTAGATCTGGTTCTGCTTCCTGGGAGAAAGCCTCTGTCTATCGTTCTCTGATCCCCTGGTCCCACTCTCCCTGGTCTCCCTGATCTGATTATCTTCTATGATCACCTATAAAGTGAGCATTGGAAAGGATGCCGTCCTGGGGGCTTTGCAGTTTCATTTGATCACTTCCTATATGTAAGTCTTTAGGAGTTTAAGAGTTGTGTTAGGTACTGAATAGTGTTCTTTTCATAGTATAATACTCTCAAAACCATAGCTCCTTTTAAAATTAATTCAGTACAGTTTTGTATGCTAATAACTACACCATCAGTTTTATTTTTTTTCTCGGATGTACTTTTAAGATTTGCTGTATTTCTGTGTCCTTTAGGTGTTGTGCTTCTCACTCCCAATTTAGGTGATGATAATTTCAGACTGTCAGGCTTTGTTGGGAAACCCTAGAAGATTTTCCATGAGAAAAGAATTTTTAGTCTCTTTTCCTTGAGTTATTCTATCCAACTGAAAAGATATATTGAGTCCTATAACCTTAATTTGATTTTGCTCTTAAACACTTTAATCCATTCATAGGATTTATAACGGGTGTGGTGTCCACATCTTGATTAACCCTTACTGAGGCTGAGTTGAAATATGCATTTTTAGCTCAGTGCCCTTCCCAGTTCTTCTCCTATTTAAGAAGGGAAAGCAGTTGCCTTTTCCGTGTTCTTGGACCTTTCTGTTCCCTTTTTTTTTTATCCTTGCAAACAAATCTAGTCTTTTCTGAGCTCATTTGTCTCTTATACCTTGTCAAATACAGATCACAGTAACCAATAAATGATACTTACATCCTGTTGTCCATTCTCTCTGGTAGAGCTACAAGTCCATTAGGTCCTTCATCTACCTTCGAAATATTGCAGACAGCAGTGTTACCATATGCTCCTTCTCTGTGTTCCATAGACCACCTCTTTCCAGCCACTAATGCCAGGTTCCTCAGCACCAGCTCTCAGGCCCCTCCCCTATTGCCTCATGTAGTTGGGATACTTCACAGCAACAGCCCACTCTGGGTACCAGTTCTGAATAACTTTCTACTCTGCAATCAGCAGTATGTACAATGATTCAGAGTTGCGCATTAGGTAATGCTTTGGTAAAAATCAAAGGTTCTTAGGCTCAATCAAAGGGATTGAGAAAAATCTCAGAGACTGCAGAGAAAACAATTGAAGAGCCATGTATTATAGAAATTGGAGTGGGAATGAACTCTCACAGAAAGAAAAGTACCAACTGAAAGGCTGGTCAAGATTTGATTAATTCACAAAGAAAATTACAAAAACTTTAGGAAAAAAACCTAGTATTTGGGATGTACAAATGAGACCATGCACGTTAGATCAAAATTTGGTAAATATAAAAACAAACATAAACATAAACTATAATCAATTAAAATTGTATAGTTAGCATCAGAGAAGTATTTCTTTAATTAAATTAAATCCACCTTGCCCATGATAGATTAATCATGTAACAAGCCACCTCTTAGGGGATTCTGTGCCAGTTTAAATAATTTCATGACTTGGGGGTAGAGAATTGTGAGGAGGGAAGAAAGATTTGCTGGGTAATTCCTGCAGGGTTCAAAAGACATGGCTCCTTACCTCAAAACTTACAACTTGTATTAAAAAATAATAAGGCACACAAAAATTAGGAAGACATTTTAATGGTCTACTGTTGACTACAGTAGATGGAAGTTGAAGAGGAGAAAAATCTGTATAGACTGAAGCCTTCAGGGATAATTTCATATAAACTGGTGGCTTTAAAGGATAAATAAAAGTTGTTTGGGGTGGAAGAGAAGAAAAGGCTATTTCAAAATTCAAAAGTCATAACCACACTGGTAATATTAAAAATATTCTCAGGTCCAAAAGCATTTAGTCAAATTAGGACTGTGATCATAGCAATCAATGAACTAGTGTGCATTTTGACAAGCAAAGGCTTTCTGATTCTTTTCTGTTTCTCTTTCTATTGATCATGGGGCTAGGAAAATTGCTACAAATTATATTTTGCTATTTATTTTTTGTGACATCAAGAGCAATAATGTGTGCTAAGTCAGAGGAATAAATGTACAGCCTAGTATTAAAGTAATGCTCCTTTACCCCCTCTGCACACTCGCATGTTGCTGTCCTAACAAACACGCAAATATGCAAGCGTTTCCTAGAAGTGACAGCTAATGGTATAAATTAACCTCTTGAATCTGGCATTTTCAAAACTACTGTAGCACATAAAAGATAGTGGTGAAATATGAATAGTAAATGGAAGAATGACATGTCCTCCGCCTGCTTTCAGAAGCAAATAGAGGGTTTCACTATCAAGAAAATTATAGGCTCTAGGTTTGTTTAATTACTGAGATTTTCAAACAACCTTTCTTACAATGAACTAATTTGGGTTTGAGGAAAAAAATAGCAGAAGACAGTTCTTTCTAAATTTTCTTTTAAAATTATGAAAAGCACTCAGAACATTGGACTTAATCATTAACAGAATAAAGGCAAACCAGAAATGGTTTATATAGTTTAATATGACGAATGCATTAAATTAGAATAGCGGGTAAAAACTTAATGCCAAACAGAAGGCTTATTGCCCCAAATTCTCAGACTTTCATGACTTTGTGGCAAAATAATAGATTTTGGTTTTGGTTTTGTTTTGTTTTGCTAAAGGGTCATCAAGCAGCACATGACTAAGTAATATTGATACAGGTAGTGGTATGAGAAAGTTGTAAGGAACTAAGACAGAGAACATGCTTCACAGCTTAGAACCAAATGTCTACTACCACCTCACCATTTACTTTTTTTCTCATGTTACAATTTGTTGTAAACCAGTTGAATACATCCATAGATGTATTTTCAACATTATAGACGTTACGACTTTTTCTTTGTTTGAAATTGAGCATGTAGTATGTACATGTACATAGATTTCTTTTCTTTTCTTTTTTTTTTTTTTGAGACGGAGTCTCGCTCTGTCGCCCAGGCTGGAGTACAGTGGCACGATCTCGGCTCACTGCAAGCTCCGCCTCCCGGGTTCACGCCATTCTCCTGCCTCAGCCTCCCAAGTAGCTGGGACTACAGGCGCCCGCCACTACGCCCGGCTAATTTTTTGTATTTTTAGTAGAGACGGGGTTTCACCGTTTTAGCCGGGATGGTCTCGATCTCCTGACCTCGTGATCCGCCCGCCTCGGCCTCCCAAAGTGGTACATAGATTTCTAAATGTAAAATCTATAGAGAAACTGTGGAACACCAGAATTATAAAATTGGGCATAGCTTCATTGACTACCAGTATAATGAAAAGAAGCTCCTTTCAAAGATTTAATTCTACGTTCTAAAATATGTATTGTGTTATTTAGGTTGGGATTTTTTTTTAATTTTCCAAACTCTTAGCAAGTTTTTGTTTTCTGATTCAGATTCCTCTAAAAAGAACTTTTAATAAAAAGACATTTGTCTCCAAATTAAGAACTAAGGAAATATCCTTTTGTGGTTAATCACTTTAAAAATGAATATGAAATTATTATTATCGTTGTTATTATTGAGACTGGGTCTCACTCTGTCACCCTGGCTAGAGTGCAGTGGCATGATCTTGGCTCACTGCAACCTCTGCCTCCAGGGTTCAAGTATTCTCCCACCTCAGACCCAAGTAGCTGGGAATACAGGCATGCACCACCATGCCTGACTATGTTTTTTGTATTTTTTTGTAGAGATGGAGTTTCACCATCTTGGTCAGGCTGGCCTCGAACTCCTGACCTCAAGTGGCCTGCCCGCCTCAGCCTTCCAAGATGCTGGGAGGATACAAAATTATTTTGATGGAAATAACACATGCTGCATGATTAATAATTATATTTTAAAATATTACAGAATATTGTAATAAAATTATAGTGATAAATATATATACGCTTATATAGTAGATAATTAAATTTAGAATGGTTTGTCATCATTGATCCATGTTGCAAGCTAGACTCTGAAACCATATTTATTGCAACTACAGATATTGATATTTATAGGAATATGTTTTGAGACCATAGACTTTTTTCATGTTTGTGTTTGGTTTTGTCTATTTGTAAATGGAAACATTTATTTTTAATGTGATTCTTGATTGCACTCAAAAACAAGTGCACTGGTGGAGTCAATTTATGATGGAGTATAGAGGTGAAAGAATAAAGGGAAATACATATAGAAATAGCATTCTCCCACAATCTTAATATGCAGAGGGAAAAATAGTTAATTTTAGAAATAACTGAAACTTAGCTGTTCTTGAAAAACTACCCCTCAAATGAACTCTTGAATTCCAAGGAACAATTTAAAAATTACAGACTGATTCCCTTATCCTTCACTTTTTCCCTTCCCCCAATTGTCTGATGTCTGGCTTTCTACTCAAATTCTACTCAGTTCAGTCAAGCCCCTGCCCAGAAACCTGGTTAGCTGGTTTGTTTTCCCTCAGAACTCAGATTCTGAAATACTCCCCTCTACTTTGCCTCATTCATAGAGTAAGTTTTTGAATATAAATAAAAAACTACACACTGGGTACAGTATACACTGCTCTGGTGATGGGTGCACCAAAATCTAATAAAAATTCAATTTTATTTTAAAAACTTTATTTTTTAAATCATTTTAAATCTCTCACAATGTCTGTAGTTTCAGTGAATAAAGAGTTTGGAATTAGGAGGTCATGAAATTTAACTATATAATCTTCCCAGTGATTTCTATACTGACCTCAAGTAGTTGTTTCATTTGCCCTATCTTAATTCCTACTGGTGATTTCATTAGGAATAAGGGTTTTGATAAGAATAGCGTTAAACTGGATTTCAGTAATGAGATGGTACTTTGTAGAAGCTAATGGTTAAGAGCACAACAGGCTGTAGAGTTGCAGACTGCCTGGGATCACTTACTAGATGGGAGACCTTGGGCAACTTACTTAAACTCTATGAGCTAATCTGTAAAATACACATAATATTAGTACCTACTTTTCTGGATCATAAGAGGACTAATGAAATAATCTATATAAAGTGCATAGACTGGGCCCTGGTATAAGATAAACCTTCAACAAATATTCATTTTTATTTAATTTACTGTTACTAATTGGCTTTTTTTCATTGATCAATGAAAATTGTTTTAAGTAACTAATGTACCTACTTTGATTTTTATAGCCTAGAAATAGTAGGAAAAAAATCACAAGTGATGTGAAATATGTGTTAATTCTATTATAGAACAGGAAAGCTGTTCCATTTCTATGAAAACTGGGAAGTACAAAGAGTTTGACTGATGAGGGCAGAACTAATGCTGATTGGTGAAGGTAGGTCTTGGCTCAGGTTCAGAGAGAGCCATCTAATGACCACAACCTTCAAGTTCTAGACGCACCTACTGTGTGAAAGGTGAATTCCTTTTTGCTTTTAATAAAGGAGAATCCAGAGAAAGACTGGTTGTGCTCTTGAGCAGGGTGGGACACCTAGGAAGTGTCTCTTGTCAAAGACATAATCCTTGATTTTGCAGGTCCAGAAATTCATTTTGTGAGGTAACCTAGAAAATTAAAGTCTGAAATATTAGTTCATTAGAAAGTTACAAATGAGTGAGATGAAACTTTGTCAACTCAAAAATACATAATAGGTTTGTCAGAAAATTACAGATTGTGATCAATAGCCCAGGGCATTCCAACAAGCAGTACATGACACCTCTCAGAATCTCAAACTGTGATTCAGAGAGATGTAGAACATTAAATGAATGTTATGCTGTATAAGTCTCCTACCTCCAGAATGTTTCTATTTATAAAGTTTAGTAGCATTTTCCCCAAATATCAGAACCTCCTTTTTACCAGGACAGGATTTATACGCATTGATTTTTCCTTGGGGGTTGGCAACCTGTACTTTTAATTTAATGCAGAACGCCAGATTCTTGATTAAAATATTTTATTTTAAAAAAATTGACTATAAGACTGCTGAATAACTTCTATTGTCCCTTTATTACATTACAATCCTTAGGAATAACTCAGAAGAATATGGCTATGAATTTGAGATGTTTTATTTTGACCCAAGCTCAGACTTGTTCTTAGGCAAGATAAGGCCTGTTCTGTAAAAAGTATCCATCTCAAGTGTGCCGTTAATATTCTGAATGTCTTCCTTTTCTGGCAATTTTCATTTTTTTTATGTCCTTGCTTTCCTTCCCCTTAAAGCAAGCTACCTGTTTTCTGGGCAGTTTTACTCTCTGTTCTCTTGATTCCTCTGTTATTAAAAGAAAAATAAGTTTCACTTAAAGGTAGTTATGATTAGGCAAGGCACTCAGAACATTTTTCACTTCTTTGTTTCACTATAGAAAATACGTTAGAACTTTTTGCTCATTGATAAAAGCTTAAAAGTACAAATCTACTAATAGTACCTCAATCTTGTTCTTTCTCTAGTTGCTAATTTGACATTTTCCTCTGCCTGATTATGTCGGAGGATTTCTCATTTTCTATCCCTAAGCCGTGCACAGCTCATAAAAAACAGTAGTTGCCAAGTGACAGGTGTTTTTGGAAAACTTGCTTAGTTTATAAGTTCAGAGAAGACATTGCCTCTAAATCAGCAGCTACTAATGACCTTTTGTTCCAGGGAGTTGTTAGAGATCCAGATGAAGTCCTGTAATTGAAGCATAGTTTAGGCTTAGCCCAGAGTTGGTATTTTCCAAATGTACTTTGTTGAGTTTTTGTCTCTGCCCTAAGCATTTATTCTTGGAATTTTCAAGATTCACACAGTTTCAACAATAGGTTATTCATTTTCTTGCCTTCTCTTCCCATTCTCATGTTCTGCTTTAACCAAAACAACGTAAGTTATTGAATATCATGTAATGCTAGAGTGTCAACAGACCTGTGTTTCATTCTGTCCTCACCATTTGCCAACTGAGAGACCTTTAGTAAGTAACAAAACTTCTGTGAGTCTGAATCTCCAAATGTAAATGGTAATAACAGTCTCACTTATCAAGCTTTTGTTCATTATTAAATGAGATAATTTGTGAAAATGTCTAGCATGCTACTAGACAGATAGTATATGTTCAATAAATTCTCATTGTTCTCCTTCAGCCTTAAGTTATCTTTTGAGTGCTTTATTTTTTATTTTTCACTCTTTTGCTTTCTTTAGTAATGATATTTCAGTTTTGACTTTGGTTCATGCCTTTTCCTTTCTGTGTCTTCACTGTGCTTGCCTTGCCTTTTCTTCTTTCCTTTCTTCCACAGACATATACTGAACACTCAATACTATGCTAGACACTGCGGATACAAAGGTGAATGATACTGTTTGATGGAGTTCACGGTTTTATGGGAGCATGGATATGCACAATCAAATGTAGAATTTAAAATGAGGACAAGTGTACTGGGCATTTGCAAAGCAAAACAGGTTAGCAAAGGCCTCCTGGAGGAGGGTAATAGCTGGAGTAAACCTTCAAGGGTGGGACTAAACCAGTGCACAAGGGGGTGTGTCTTCTGTGTAAAGGGAACATGTTCCAAAAGCAAAAAGGCAAGAAACAATCTGTTAAGAAGAAACCACAAAGATTTCCTAGGAAGAGAGAATGGCATGAGTTGAGATGGAAATGATTGGGAAAGGAGAGTTAAGTCATAGAGGGTCTGGGTTTAGATATGACACCCTCCCCTTTAAAGTTAGTCTGAGCAAACTTTCAAATTATACAGCACTCTTATTATTTCTTCTGACCTCCGCCAAACCTCTCACGTGCCCTTTACTACCTTAGCTATTTCTCCTAGTGGGACTGCGTCATATTCCTCATGTAAGTTGGAGTAGGATTAAAAGTTTATTAGATAAAAGGGAGCTCTTAAAAAAGATTTAGTCTTAAAGTGACATAGTCATATATGTACTTTAAAATCACTTCTCTAACTTATAGGATGAATGAATTTTCACAAAAAACTTAGATTCTGTATGAAGATGGCTCCGATCTACTAAAACTTTGTTTAACTTGAGGAACTCAGAGCTATGTGAAATTTGTGAGGAATTATAATTGGAAAATAATGGTTTTAAAGGTTATTGTTAATATTAGAATGTTTAACTTTTTTTAAACAAAAAGTGAAAAAGCAAAACTTAGGAAAGACGAAGGCTTAGGTCTACAGCAATGTAACTAAGCAATTCCAAGATTGCTTAGTACTTACTACTTAGCCTAATCTTTAATTTGATACATAATATTGTTTCTCAAAAATCTTTTGCACTGATAGTGGACTAAGTAGCAAGGATCAGTAATATATAGAATCTCATTCAGATATGTATTTTTTTTACCTTCAGGAGTGGTCCACTTGGTTGGCTTTTAATGAGGCCATTTTACTCTTTGCTGTTAATGGTATTTGCTCATTTGCAGGAACAGGCTAGGTATTGTATTTATCTTTTCCCTTATAAAGAAAAAAGTGACAGTAGGCAATAAATAACTTAAAATTAGTAGGCTCTGCTGGGCGCAGTGGCTCAAACCTGTAATCCCAACACTTTAGGAGGTCGAGGTGGGTGGATCATGAGGTCAGGAGTTCGAGACCAGCCTGACTAACATGGTGAAACCCCATCTTTACTAAAAATACAAAAATTAGCCAGGCGAGGTGGTTGCGTGCCTGTAATCCCAGCTACTCAGGAGGCTGAGGCAGAAGAATCGCTTGAACGCGGGAGGCAGAGGTTGCAGTGAGCTGACATCACACCACTGCACTCCAGCCTGGGCGACAGAGCAAGACTCCACCTCAAAAATTAAATAATAAGTAAATAAATAAAATTACTAGGCTCTTCTATACCATGTACAAATATTGGGATGAATTTTTTTTTTTAATTAGGACTTCTGGAAAAGATTTGTGTTTCATAGTGTTTCTTCTAGAATTTTACTATTTCTTTGACAGAGAGTACAAACATTCAGTTGACCTGTTTGTCTTTTGTTCAGTAATTCAGAAAAATATATTTTTTATGGAACATATCTAAAGCAAAATAGCTTAATAGGTATATCATCTGATTTCAACTTCGGAAAATATATAAATGTACATCTAAGCTTCTAGTGAATGGTTGAAAGAAGTATATATGGTGTGTAAGTTCTTAAGCCGATGGATTCAGCCTAGAGCAGCAGACCTGTTCCCAGCATTTTAACACTAGGTGTTTATTTACAGTGATCAAAGTGAGAATGTGTTACATCAGAAGTTAGATTAATAGTTTTCTTTAACACCTCTACTTTCACAATAAATGTGCTTTAAGTCCTGACATACAGATAGAAAAAGGCTTTAAAGTTGCTTTTTAATGTGATGATCTATACAACCTCTAACTGGAATTTGAAAGCTGGGGCCAAATACCACTGCAGCTCAGATGCTAAAGCTGTTTCTTAAAATGAGGCAGATAAAAAATAGAGAAAATCTTTTTTAAAGGCTACTTTGCTCCTTTCCTTCTCCATAACTAAATGTTGGAGCTTTCTGCTGGGGAGGGGAGAGCAAAATTGGAGGTGGAAGAGAACCATGAAGAAGGCGGTAGGGGCAGTTGTTTTTCTGTGCCTGCTGACGTCAACGAAATTGCCAGATGGCATTTGAATGCTTTGCAAAAAGACAGGAGCCTTTTATTACAGCTGTCACATGGGGTTTCATTCATTTGCATTCCCAGAAGTGGTCTAAAGCTTTCCCTAATGTAGGAGTAATGAGGGCTCTGTACCTTCAGAGACCCAGAGGGCCTTTTGTAGGATGTTGTTACTTTAAGTGGCTCTGATAAGGGACACAGGCTCAGAGAATGCCATGTTTCACTGTCAGCTTCAGAGGACCATAAACTACTCAGCTTCAATTAGGACTATAATGTGATCATTCAAAAAATATTCTCTCCAGAAGGACTTTTCATGGATCGTGACAGCTGCGGAAACACATTCAGGGGGACCTGAAGGGTCTAGCATGGCAGTGGTGGGCTACAGAACAAAAATGCAGATTCCGTGAATTGACCCCAAGACTGAAAAATAACCAGTGCACAACAGACCTGAGCATACTACAAACAAACAGCTTTGCTCTTACCATTTTGCCCCATGCTGCCTTGTCAGCCCCTCCTCAATATGGGGGAAAAGTGGACCTTTCCGATAATCTGGGGCCCTATATGTAGGAGAAAAAGAAGTTGAAGTGCCAGGAGCTGCTCTCAGAAGCTGACCCTGGGGACACATTCTCAGGCCAGGCTGACCTGTCCTGTCTACACCTCAACCCTTCCCACTGCCAGAAGTTTTCATGTTTTACTTATTTTTTGCCTGGAATTTGTCAAGCTTTTAATTCATGGGGTTATCCTTTTTGTTTGTTTGTTTGTTTTTGAGACGGGGTCTCGCTCTGTCGCCCAGGCTGGAGTGTAGTGGCGCCATTTGGGCTCCCTGCAAGCTCCGCCTCCTGAGTTTACGCCATTCTTCTGCCTCAGCCTCCCGAGTAGCTGGGAGTACAGGCGCCTGCCACCACGCCCGGATAATTTTTAAATATTTTTTAGTAGAGATGGGGTTTCACCGTGTTAGCCAGGATGGTCTTGATCTCCTGACCTCTTGATCCACCTGCCTCGGCCTCCCAAAGTGCTGGGATTACAGGCATGAGCCACCATGCCCGGCCTCAAGTATGTTCTTTTTATAATGTACTTATTTCTGGGACAGTTAATTGAATAAATTGACTTTCAGAGCAAATTGGAAATTGAAAAAAAAGTGGAAAGTATTTATACCAGAAACAATATTTTTGCCATGGTTGCTGTAAATTATATTGTTCATGGTAAGTAAATTGACATATTAAGGGTGACCTAAGCTATGTTACCCAGCTTGTTTTCTTCCTAACCTTCATCTGAAATCAATGACCTGATAACTAACAGAAGTAGAAGGTTTGCTGGCAATAGGTCTGTGCATTATGCTGAGATAAAAAGCAGCAAGTATACCAAGAGCTTTGGAGTCTGGAGACCAGGGAGACTTAAAAATTAGTTCACATGGCCGGGCGCTGTGGCTCACACCTGTAATCCCAGCATTTTGGGAGGCCGAGGCGGGCAGATCACGAGGTCAGGAGATCGAGACCATCCTGGCTAACACGGTGAAACCCCATCTCCACTAAAAACACAAAAAAATTAGCCAGGCATGCTGGCAGGCACCTGTGGCCCCAGCTACTCGGGAGGCTGAGGCAGGAGAACGGCATGAACCCAGGAGGTGGAGCTTGCAGTAAGCTGAGATCGTGCCACTGCACTCCAGCCTGGGCGACAGAGCAAGACTGCATCTTAAAAAAAAAAAAAAAAAAAAAGAAAAAAAATTAGTTCACATTAGTTCATATGAAACATTACCTAGTTTCAATCTTATGCCTACACTCACGGTCATAATAGGTTACCTACAGTGCAACAGATCTAGTGAAAAATCTTATGCCACCTTGTGAGTTGGCAACGTATTACATGGATGTGAAGGCCACTGGCTTGAGTGATGGACAAACCTAGAATAGTTTTCCAAGTGCTCTATTACGCAGCATATAAAACAAAGGTACTCTTACTATCCCGTGCTCCAAATGCATAATGCATAAGCTCAGCCATGGAATATTTTCCAAATGTAAATAGTGGAACTGCTGCTGAGTGTATTCATTTCATTCTGATTTCTCTTTCTGATTCGGCTTCAGGGTTTGGGGAGATTTAGGAGATGATGGTGAAGATTATAAAATTTCAAGAAGCACCTTCCAACTTCCTCTGACCCCTTTTCTTCTCTCAACTGCAGGGGAAAGGGGCACAATCAGTATCTCGTATGTATGAGCAAGTTCCAGACCTGAGTGAGAGGTGGCATGTGGTCAGTTTCAAGGAACGAGAGACCAACATCCAAGAATAGTCTGGAGGAGAAAGGACATATCAAGAAACACAACTCAAGCTGGGTGTGGTGGCTCACGCTTCTAATCGCAGCACTTTGAGAGGCTAAGTTGGGAGGATCACTTGAGCCCAGGAGTTTGAGACCAGCCTAGGCAATATAAAGAGCCCTCATCTTAACCAGAAGAAAGGAAAGAGGAAAGGAAAGGAGAGGAAAAGGAAAAGGAAAGAAAGAAAACAATCTAAATGGTCAGAGTGATGGGAATTTTAAAAGGCAGCAGGCACACATTTAAATTATACATTCCCACCCTAGACAGTACAAAGATATGCAGATAGAATGGAAATTAGAAATGAATTCATGAATAAATGTTTCACCTCGGGTATACTTGGGCCTAAATCCCAAGAGCATGTAGGTTATGGTGGGTCTGTGATGTGTGTTTCATGTTTCTCCAAGAATAAACCTTAGGAAAGCTGTAATGATAATAGCATTGTCCCACTTTGCACGTCCTAGCTCCCTGTCCACTTCGAAAGTGCAGAGCACTTGTACCAGGCATAAGTATTGCCATTGTTGATAGTATAATGGTTGTTATTATCATCACTACTCTGATATGTTAAGGTTTGCCTGAATATGAATTAAAACAATGTGTTTCTGAATGTAACTGCAGGTGATAGTCCTTTCTGGCATATTATGCCTTTCCCCCTAAAGTCCTAAAACAGTAAACCTAGGTCTCTTTTGTGTCTCAGCTACAGAAAAATAATGTTTTGTTAATTCATCTCCTTTAGCCACAAAATAAGTTTTTGATTGTACAGTAATATACTATATTTCATATGTTGGGCAGTGCTACAGTTCAAGGACAGTATACAGCCAATGTACATACTTAACTCTGTTTTGAATGACATGAAATGACAAAGAAGTGAATAATCAATTGTCAGGCTACCTTAGGGTCAAACTGTCATCTGATCTGACTTTAATAATACTATTTTTCAATTAGAAGAAATTAGCATAAAATATTTTAGGACCTAGCATCTCAATGCTCATGGCTTGTTCCAGAATACAATTACATTTTACAAGAAAGTAGCCACAGGAGTGGCTTCATGATAACACACAGATACAACCTTCTAATGCCGAAGGCAAATTGCCAAAATATGTGCATTGTTAGGGATCAGAGGAAGAAAGAATGATACACTGTTCTGTTCTCTCATTTTGAGCCCCGTAAGTCCAGTCTAGGGGCTGGTAGAGAGGTGTTATTCTTTTTTCTCAGACTCAAAAACTGTAAGCCTACCCAGAGAATTCAGGTTTCACAGAACTTAGGCATTTTAACTTATCTCATGAGAGGCTGATTAATAAACCAGAATGTCAGTGTACTCATTTTTCTTGAGAACTGTCATAGCCAAACAGATTGTAATAATCGTGGTGGCTGTCCAGTATTTTGTTTTCAAAGTAAGAAAGTCTACCTGGGCAAACACATCAGTGAATAAGTAAATGTATTTATAATTTGGCAAACATTTTTATGCACTTCATTATGATAAGCACTGGTGATATAATAAAGGGTTAAGTAAAATACATGGTCTAACTTTAAAGAAAGATCTGCAAACAAATAATTCAAGGGCAACGATTAACATATAATTTTCAATATGGCACAGATAGCAGTATGTCTTCCAAGCAGAAAGACAATAATTCATAGTCTTAGGTAGGTTACATTACTGAAAGCTGATAAATTGCATCTGTTTAAAGATGTTAGTTTGGATTTAAGGGGAATTTTTTTTAACCCTTCAAACCTAAGGAAGAAAGAATATTGTGTCTTAAAAGCATATGGAATGCCAGTGTACTAATTACAGTGGAAAGGTCAAAAGGTTGTATTTGTTTTGAGGGAACAGAGAGATTGACTCTAGATTTTCAGAATTACCTTTCTTTAAAGGTATAAATTGTCATCCTGCAGTAAATAAAAGGAATTCGAACACCATATCCAATCATTATGTTTTTAAAAACTATAATATCAAACGACTATGCTAGCAATAAGTCAAAATTTGTTCACTCTATTTTTTTCCTTCAGTGTTCTAGTGTTTTCCAATGATGTATGTGTGCTGTTATTATAACGAAAGCCACTTTCTGTGAAGTGTCCACCTATGCTTGAGTACTAATCATAGAAAGGAGCTCTGAAAATAAGCAGCGGGCCTGTAGTCAGGGACTGCTGAAAATGAGGGAGAGCATCAGGGAAATTAGTGCACTGTGCCTCTTCTTTCTTCAGTACTCCTTTATGTTCATTGCTCATGGGGATCTGTGTTTGCCTGTTAATTGAGTGTGTTTATTGCAGGCAGTTGCCTTAAGTGACATGATACTCAGTAGGAGGTTGTGAGGACTAGAAGGAGGTCTTGTTTGAATACAAGGGGTGGGGGAGTCACACTTTTCAGACCGATTAGAATAATGAGATTCTCTAAACAGTTGAGAACCATTTGTAAGAATAGCACATTGTGTTAGAAGGCAATTAGAGCTCATTCTTTTAATAATTAGGTTTTTTGAGTTCTTACAGTATGCTGAGTACTAAGATTATAAAAATGAACAAAAATTGTTCTCAAATGCATAATCTGGCAAGGAATTTAGTCATAATTAGCAATACAACAATATCATAATAGATGTTGAACAAAGTACTATGGAGACTTCGAGGCTGAAGTGATTAATTTGGTGTCAGTTTGAGAATGAAGCTGGAATGTTTTTATATATTAAAGTTGAATCTTGATAATCAATACTAAATAAAAGAAATGAAGTGGTAGGCAGAAGTAACACCATAAACCAAAGCATAGGGTTGTGGCATCATATCTGTAAAGAGAATCCAGGTTAGCTGGAGGGATGAGGCATTAGTAGAGCACGTGGAGATGTAACTGGAAAAGGGCGGCGGGTTAAAGGTTAAATGTTAACACACTTAAAGACAACCAAGAAGTTGAATGTTGTTCCCTAACTTCGCGGAGCCCTGAAGTGGCAGAGCAGCATAATAATATCTCTGCATTGGGAAAAGCCAAGTTTGTGGCAGGAAGAAACTAGAAGAAAAAAATATTGTAGCCATCCTCGTGTGATATAATGAGAGATGGATTAAAGCAGGGATGAGAGGCTTTTTAAGGAAAAAAAAAAAAATGTCAGTCTTGCATGTAAATTTCCAGATCCACTGACCAATTTGATGTTGAAGGTAAGAAAGCAAAGAATAAATACAAATAAAACCTAAGAGTCAACGTGTCCAGTTTTGGTTAGTGATTTTGGTTTTAGCCAAGTAGGAAATACATGAGGAAAAGATTTCCAAAGATAAAATATTTTCTTTTGGAAAGTTGAGTGTGAAATTGCTTTGGAATATCTGAGTGGAGCTGTCCAGAAGCTCGAAGGAGTGGTCAGTGTTGGAACAACAGATTAGCGGGTACTGTATTCATTATAACATAGGGTGAGGGCTGGGAGGGAAGGGCACAGATTAATGTGGATAAAAATAATAAAAAGGAAAGCAGACAGTGAGTTTGTTCTCAGGCTGGAAAAAAGCTAGGCCAGAAGAAGAGGAGATGGCTGTGCCTGAGGTGCTAGGCTTCAGTAATGTCTGGTGGTGAAGCAAGAAAAAGCCAGGAATGTTGTCATTAGATATTTTGATTAAGATATTTATTAATATTGATAGAGAATTAGTGAGAGCAGAACTCTCTTTAAGGGCTTTCAAAATGTTAATAGATTATAATTTTTTAAAAAATGGTTAGCTCCTTAGAGATGGGGTCAAAGACCCTAATTTTGTTAGTAGAGGATAATGCTAACAATGTTTTTAAGTTGCGAGGAAAAAGCGAGGAGGAAAAAGAGAATGAATAAGAAATGCACTAATTAAAACAAATATGCTGTCTATTAGAAGGATGAAATTAAAAGTACAGTGGTAGGAGACTGGTATTAACCAAAAGAAAAAATATTATTTGCTCATTGAAACAATAGGGAGGAAGTCAAGAATTAAGAAGTCCTTTCTATATTTAGAAATTCATATGAAGCCGAATTAAAGTCCTCAATAAAGATTGGATAGCTTATTTTTGTATATTTTCTGCCAAGAAGAACTGGAGAAAAGAGAATTCATTTAAACTAATTAGGGGCTTTTTTTTTTTTTGCTGAGCCTGGTACCTGAGCAAAATGCTGTGGGGTTAGAAAATGAGTATGAAATGACGCTCATCTTTAAGAAGCTTACAGAATCCAAACATGTCTGAAGTGCCTTTCTATAAGAATATTAAATGAGTAGCATTTTGATTATTAATTTGCCTCTAGGATTCAGATATGGATAGTATGTTGGGGGCTCGCTTGCAGAAATGAGTCACTTGGCTAAGAGAACTAGCTGGTGCTCATCACTCAGCCCTCAGTAGGTTACCGTGTTTGGCTGAACCTAAGGTAATCATATTTTTTTATTGCCTTATAGCATTCTGAATATAATAAGATTATAACTAAAACTGTTCTCCTAAACTGAAGTTATTAACCCAGACTTGTAGATCGATACATTATAAAATTTTATTATTACCACCTATTTATCTATACAGTTGGTATATTATATATATACAGTTGGTAAAAAAAAATTATGCTGTATTAGAATATTTTCAACTGTAAATAAAAGAAAACTTTACTTCAACTAGTTGTAGCAATAAAGAGATGTTATTATTTCTCATGAATAGAAGGCCAAAGGAGGGAAGCCTTCAGGATTAGTGCATTTAGTGAATTCAGCAATGTTATAACGCACCTAGGTTTTTTATTCTCTCTACTCTGCTACTGTCTATAGTATTGGTCTCATCCTAATGCCGATTCTACTTGTGATCCAAAAATGGCTGCTGGCAGCAACAAACTTTCTTCTGAAGAAAAAGGATTTCCTTTTCTAGAAGCATGAAGCTAAGTTCCCCTCATATCTCATTGACTCACATTGACTTGGCCTACCCATTCTTGATCAAATCCCTGGCTTTGGAGTTGAAATTATCATGATTGGCACAGAGAGTCAATCATGATAGCCACTGCATATGCTTTGAAGACAGTTTAGAATTAGACATTTCCAAATGTCTTTGGACCTATTTGTCTTAATATCAGAATGTTATCATAGTCCATAGGAAATTTAATGAGGCTGTCAATTGGTCCAGCAGCCACAAGACATGCTTGATGGATATTCAAGAAGCTCTTATAATCTTTTGAGCCAGAGTAGAATGTAGCTGATGATAGAGATAATATAGCAAGTTTAAAGTATTTGTTTGAAGTATTGAAACTAGTAGGGAGACATTTTGAAGCTCTTTTTAGTTAGACCTTATTCTGTCTTAATTATATATTCTTCAGTTTGCCAGCAGGGCCAGCACTTGAAAGGGGCCATTGCATCTGCTCTGTGTCCATTTTTAAGATAAAGCTTTGCTTATTTGTTTTTATGGCATATTTCAATTAAAGCATTGCCACCCTACTTTAGTCCTTATCTCCCTATTTTAAGATGAAATGAAATTAAAATTGACTGAAATGATGGTTAAAGACAAATTTAATATCAATGTTTTTCCTACATCCTCCTCCTTATTTTCAGAAAAAAACATATTTTTAATCAGTGCTTGTATTAATCTTATGATTATAATTTTAAAAGATTATTTTTGAATTCATTTTGTCCTTTTTTGCATAGATCTTTGTCTTAAAGAACATGTGCTGAATTTCTGTAGAAATTGACTCTTCATATTCCATAAATCTGTTGGTATTACCATACAAACACTCTGTGGAAGCATTGACTGAACTAGCAATTATGTCTACAAGAAGAAAACAAATCTATGACAGAAATCCTGAGTGACTCACTATTATGACCAAATGACTTATTTACTTACTTAATTTCCTCCTTTATTCAGCAACACATTGTTGCTAAATGTGGAGTGGGGTATCATTTTGAAATACTTCCCATACAAAACCTTGATGATCCTGCCTGACATCTGCCCGCTAAATGTCTTGGTGAGCCACCATGTCTGCTGATCCTAGGATAATCATATTTTTTAATTGTCTCATAACATTCTGAATATAATAAGATTACAACTGAAACCAGTTTCTTAAACTGAAGTGATTAACCCAGACTTGTAGACAGATACATCATACAATTTTATATTCATTACCACCTAAGAGGAAAATGAAGACGGATGCCTTCCTTTTAGCAATAGAAGTCTCCACAAGAATCCACAAGTTTTTCCTTCCGGGGCAAACCATATGAACGATCTGGCTTAAGTATCAGAAATAGAGAGAATAAGTGGCATTTTTCTTGATGGAAAAATATTAATAGTGGGACCTTTCCTAATACTTAGTTCTGGGAAGAGTCTAATTTGACATTTTCAAAGAAGATGTGAAAGAAGGGAGTCAACCATGAAATCTTGGAGTTTACTGATGATGTTAACAAGTTCCCCTTAATAATCTTTATCTACTTAGGCTCTCATTAATTGGAGGAAGTGTTTATTTAAAAAAAATACCGTATAGCAAATTGGCAAGGATATTTTCATATCATTGAAGGTAAATGACTGTACATAGGAACGGTACCCAGTATTTAGCATTGTGAATAGCGTAGGGCTTCGGATCCAGACTACCTGGGTTGGAATGTCATCTCTGCAGCTTAAGATCTTTGTAACCTTGGGCAAATTACATAACCTTTTGTGTGCACTGCTTTCAAATGTTGAAAGTCACTCCCTTTACAATGTCATTGTTTAGATCTCTTGAGTTGCATCTTAGAAAATCAAGAAATTATATTACAAACTGTAGTGTATTACACCTACCTGCCCTATATGTAAAATGACTTACAGATAAGCTTACTCCATTCTCAAAAACCAGTAAGCAAGAAGGAACCCTCAGGTATTCTGAGAGGGAAGGGAGTTTCAAGTTCCCAACTCATTGCTGGGTGGATCAGAAGCTAGAAAGCCTTGAAGTCCATGTTTCAAAGATAAGACTTAGGTGTTGGATCTATGAGACTTATAGGGGCTCAAGATTTTGAGGGAAATGCTATATTATAGTGATAAGTATGTTTGCTATCTGTCTTTCACCCTTCTCACAATTCTCTTTTCTGGATAATAGGCTTTTTTGTTGGTTTTTTTCTTTTTTTGATCCTACTTTGAAGAGAGGTATGAATGATAATGGTGACTCTGTTCAGAGTGACCATTTTCAAAGTTTGGAAAAGAACCACATGGACAGATTCAGGTGTTTTAGGATCTGC
Organism: Homo sapiens; assembly: GCF_000001405.40. Classification (NCBI taxonomy): domain Eukaryota; kingdom Metazoa; phylum Chordata; class Mammalia; order Primates; family Hominidae; genus Homo; species Homo sapiens. The sequence continues at coordinate 20,597,624 of NC_000012.12, forward strand.
ACTTTGAGAAACAACTGTTTTCACTTTCAACCAACTTCTTTCACTCTTCTTATAACCAGGGGTACTGGATACACCCACAGGGTTTTCTCCTTTATCCTCTAACCCCTTTCAGTTCCCTGAATGCCTTCCACTAGACTGCAAGCTACCTAAAGGTAGCAGCCCTGATTCATTCATCTCTGTAGCCCTAAGGTGTAGATAGTACCAGGTACCCAATAGATTTCAGTTAATATTTGTCAAATGAATGAAGAAGAAATGGATATTTTTTCAGTACCTCTGTATTCCCTTTGTGACATTATTGAAATAGGGTAAATTTGCAGTGGAAAACAAACAAACAAAATTCTATCATACTTATGTTTTTTTTGTGCTCATAAGCTTCAAAATCACTTCTAACAGTGTTTCTTTAGAGAAAACACACTCTGTTTTCCAAAAATATTTTTACAAGTGTTTTGAAGTTTGATCTATTTTTAAGTTTGAAAACTTTATTATTCGATTGATGGAATCCTTGATTAGTTGTAGCAAATGAAATTTACTGACTTTTATTTCTTTTTTTAATTATTATTATTATTATTATTATTTTGAGATGGAGTCTTGCTCTGTCTCCCAGGCTGGAGTGCAATGGCGCGATCTCAGCTCACTGCAACCTCCGCCTCCTTGGTCCAAGCAATTCTCCTGCCTCAGCCTCCTGAGTAGCTGGGATTACAGGCTCCCACCACCACGCCCGGCTAATTTTTTGTATTTTTAGTAGAGATGGGGTTTCACCATGTTTGCCAGGCTAGTTTTGAACACCTGACCTCAAGTAATCTGCCTGGTCTCCCAAAGTACTGGGATTACAGGCGTGAGCTACCACACCAGGCCCTACTGACTTTTAAAATACATTTATGAGGTGTTTAATGTTGTGTTAAAAAATTGGGGGCTATTGAAATCACCCGCCCCCTCAAATGTTTACACTGTGGAAGGCAATAGAGATTATCAAAGGGGAACATTTTCTTAGTTGGTCAGACACAATATAGATTTTATTAACTCACAAGTGAATTATTCACAAATTATTTTGTGAAGCCTGGGGTACTTAGAGATTTCTGAAAGAAGAAATTGAAAGAATACTGTAGACAGAGTAAAGAAGACTATTATAGGAATAAATCTATTTCATTTCTTATGTCGCCATATCTCACCTATTTCCAAGTGCAAATGATTCTCCTTAATGTAACTTTCACTCTTTTCTTCCTGGGACATTCATGCTGTGAATGGCCTTGTTTCCCATGTTTATTGTTGTGGCAGCCTTGGTCAAATCAGCCTTCTTCTATGCCACACCTTAATCTTCCTCAAGCACTGCATACTGTTTGATTATATCATTTTCCTTGTCAGCCATCTTTCGTCATTCAGTTACCAACTGATAGAATTAGAAATCTTTGTCTTTCATTATTGGGCATCTGAAATCTAGCCTCATACTTCCCTTTCAACCTTCATTTCTGCTAATAAAAAGCAGTAACTTCCCCTGCCTGAGAGTCTAGTCTGCTAATGGACTTCTTTACCCATTCATCCTTCTTATGCAGTCCCCACGTGCTGCCTTCATGCTTCTTCCAGCTTTTCTGCTCTGCCCCCCACTTACTCTCTCTAGACCTGTTCTTTCACCTCACCAGGATCTCCAGTCCAGTTGGCCAATCTTTCTTTCCTGTCTGTCATACTTCTCCTGTTTTCTCTTTGTTGCCTTTTCAAGTCAAATTTTATGCTGAGTAACACTGGGAAGTACTCAACCGGGCCTTTGTATTGCTTGAGAATCTAGCCAGCTCTTTTTTATCCCTCTTTCAAAACTTTTCATTCTCGTTTGTACTTCTAACCTCAACATTGCCCACATCACGTTTTCAGCAAGGGACTCAGTGCCCAATTCACGGTGTAATTCACAGTGTAAATAAAAGTCAACGTATAAAAATTTGTTTAACTTCTCACCTATAAATCTGTATTCTTCTTTCTTACTGTTATCATGGAAAAGGTATCTCCCATTGTGAAAGGTTACTCCTGTACCCCTTACTTCCTTCTCTTGGATTTTTATCTATTTATCATTCCACTGTGTTTACCCTTCAGCATTTATGCTGTTCACATGCTCAGTAACTCTTTAGACCCTGTTTTCCCTCTGGATACTGACATATATCTATCTTCCATTTTACAGCCAGTTTTCATGAGACTTGTCTCTATGATCTTCATTTTTCTATCTTCCTTTCATTGCTCAATTTATTGCAATGTGGCTTGCTACCTCAGTGTTTCACTGAAACTGTAGTCTGTAGAGTTGCCAGTGACCTTCCAAATACTAAACTCATAAACATTTTTCAAGATTTACTAATCTCTCAAACACTGATCCACTGCTGACCACTCCTTGCTTCTTAACATTTCCTTGGTGCCATGGACACTACACTCCCAGTTCTTACTTGTCCCTTCTTATTTCCTTTTGTGGATTTCACTTCTGCCTGGCTTTTAAAAGTTGATATTGATTATGGCTCTAGCCTCAGTATACTCCTTTCTCTTCACACACTTTCATGGCAACATGCTGTTGAAATGACCATATATATGTCTTCAATGCCCAAATGTATATTTCCAGTTCAGAAGTCTCTCCTAATATGCCACTGGAATCATCCAATAAATACCTCAGTACCCTCGTCCAAACTGATTCCTTCTCTTTTGATTCCTCATTCTATGAAAGACTCTTAGCTACGTATCTTCCCAAACCTTCATCCTGAAAGCTAGCCTGACTCCTCTCTCCACACATACTGATGATGCCAGTATTCTACAGGACTTTCTTATTGCCCTTACTAGTTAATCAAAGCTCTTGAATATGGCTCATATTCCTGCCATGATCTGTTTCCTCAGACCTCTCCAGTGTCAACCTTTCAAACTGAAGCACTGTGTACTTCACCTGAGCTTTGTCTTCAAAAGGCCATTCTTTACCTCCAGGCCTGTTAAGATCTTTTCCTTTTCCAGAAAACACACCCTAATCCTTTGCTTACTCTTTTCATGTATGTACCCAATTGTGGAAAAATTTGTAGGATTGCTTTTTGTGTCAGTACTATTACTTCTCCTTGGCATTTTCACTGTTTTCTGGACAGTGCTTATTCCAGAATCAGGTTGTTAAATAATAGTTTTTAATCATGACTCCAGTATTTCAGTGTAACAATTCTCAGTATACTTTAAGTGTGAGATTAGAACATGCAATTGTGCTAGGAGGTTGAATGTTTTAAGATGGCTTCCAGAAAAGCAGTGATTTGTTTCAAAGAACTGTCTCAAACACTTTAATTTACTTGTCTTTTAAGGTACAGAATTGGAGAGAGGGCATTTACTTATCTTTGAAGGTTTGGAGTATGTTACTTATGCAGTCATCATTTCTCATATTATTGAGTGCCCACAAAGTACCAGATACCACACTGGGGGAATGAAACCTAGCATTGCCCTTGTCCTTGCACAACTTTGAGCCTGAAGGAGGAAGACAGACCATCACATATAGACATACCAAAAGCTGAATCGAGAATTGTGGCAGGTGCTATTGCAACGAGGATCTATGTATATATGTAAGATCTGGTCAGAGATGCAAGGTTTCTCAAAAGGTATAGCTCCAAGGCTTTTTGTTTGTTTGTTTGTTTGTTTGTTTGTTTGTTTTTTGGCTTGCTTTCGTTTCTGCTGTTTTCAGAGTATGAATGGAATATCCCAATAGGCATTAACGTGGAAATGTTTGTATGGTCCTGAAGCAGTCAGGGAAGATGTCCTGGATTAAGTGTAGAAGAGGCAAGTCAGTAGCCTAGATAAACACCCATTGCATATGGGGCAGGAAAAAGTCTAGTGTTGATATGGATAAAACAAATGGCAGTAAAGTTCCACAAAACAGTGTGTTCAAAGGCATTTGATGTTTTGTGTTAATATTTTAATCACAGTAGAAAATTACATGTGGGAAAATGTTAATCAAATTGTGCATGGGAAGAAGTCACGTTTCTAATATGTCTTATAAAAATTGAGAAACGTAACAACTAAAATGTTTGCAACTTAGACAAATCATTAATTATGTAATTGTAATTTCACTTTAACAATGATCCTGAGGGATAAGACACATTTTAAATTTTTTATTTCTACCAGCAGACTTATGTAAGTTATTCTTTTTTAGCTTTTTTTTTTGTTTTCTGTGAAAAAAAACTAAATTCTGCCTGTTAATGAGGCAGTAGCACTTGTTTTAAAAGAGATGGTCAGATAATTCTTTTAAAAGGCAGAATACTGCCATCTGTTGTTCACTGAAGTTTTTAGCCTAAGCAAACAGAAGCCTTAAGTTCAAATTTAATAGCAATTCTTGATATTTAACAGACAAAGACCAGCCCACATTTATCAGCTTTCTGAGTTCGTACTTATTTCAGAGATTCTTAGTTATTCCTATCATTTTTTAAAACTCTTTCTCATATCAGAGAAGTGCTCACATCCAGTTAAGTTCTCTTTGCTTCCTGTTTCTTCCAACAACAGAAATAATAATGTTTTTTATTTACAAAGTAATTTGTACTTAACCAAGCCTTCCCACATTTGTGTGAGCAGTCACATGAGTAGCTCATTGCCTGAATTTATTATATCTTTGCCAGCTACATCATCTTTTCTAATTAAGAGAAAGAGAGAAAACCAGCGTGCAACTTAAAGACAGCTAAGGTTATCTTCTGAAAGATGCGGGTTCTTACTAGAGTAAGTGATGAATAAGTATGTTCCATTTCCTAAATAATAAAACACTATTGTAAAATTGTTAACTTTGAGTTGTTACGTGAGTTCGCTAGTGTCTGGAAAGTAGTTAGAAAATATAAACAAGACAGAATTTTTCACCAATTTTTGACTTGTTTGCTGATAGCTTGCAGGGACTTGTATAAGGACAGAGGCCATGTATTCCATCTCATTTGGTGACTTGCAGTGCTCTTTGAACATCAAAAGAGAAGGATGTTAAGAATTCTGGTAACTAATGAAGTTTGTTATGTTTCACATCTCACATGGAACCTGCCCACAGACATGTTGGGAAGCAGTTTGATGAAGGGCCCTATAGGTTTTCCTCCTACTGTACATACATATTATCTTAAGGAAAAAATCCAAATGTAAACTCATATTCCCTGCCAGAAAATTAAAATACGCAAACATCTGCTTCCTTAGGATGGCCTTTAGCCAAGGTTCAGCCTACAATGAGTTACTGCAAAATTTTCACATGATTTCATTTTTTAAAAATTTCCCAACCAACTTCAAGTCTAAAATTATAAATGGGTCCTATGAAAGTATAAACACATATGCAATTTTGCTGTCTCTGAGGTCAGAACCAGTAATGCACCAAAGATCATTGTATCAAATCCAGCTCATCTTCTAAATTAATGTAGTACATTAAAGACCAAGATACCATTTCCTAGTATCACGGACAGCCTCCCAGAGAAAGAGTTGGAGGGATGGAGTGGCACGTAGTGCTACAGAGATGTAGGAGGAGACAGCTTCCAAAAACTCATCACACATCTTTTCCCAGCATTGAGGACCAAAGTTGGATGAGAAAAGCCCCAGTGACTATTTCCTTTTTATGTGTCATCTCTTACACTGTTTATTCGTCTCTTATCCCAACTCCCTTTCCACCCTAAGAATATTCCTCCCATGCTGTGTTTGCCTCCCAGGGTGCCTCCCAGGATGACTAAATAGAAAGAAAAAAATACTTCCAACAATGGAGCTATGATGCCTGCTTTTAGAATTCTTTTCACATCCTGTGTTATAAATCATTCCAATGCAATCAACCATATTAACTGAAACCAGGACTTCTGTACAATCACTTTTTAAGAACTTAAAATTAAAATCAGGACTATTATGAGTATTTTGCAGTAGGGAGTACAATATATCTGACTGCATTTACCTAGAGTAAGAAGTGGAAATAGGTTTTTGTTTTTATTGTTTTATTTATTTATTTAATTTATTTATTTATTTTGGTAGAGAAATCATATCTCTGTGCTATCTTCATTTATAAAGGAACTACTGGCCCAGTTCATGTAGGGGACAAACACCCACGTGCACAACATACATTTCTTTGCACACACAATCTTTCTCAACAACAATGTTTCACCAACAATAATGATAATGTTGGTGATGTATAATACTTATCAAACATATATTTTGGACCACGCACTCTCACAAGTCTTTATGTTTATGATCTCATTTAATCATCAATTACACTATACAGTCGATATTACTATTAATCCCTTTTTAGAGAGGAGACAAGAGCTAAAGAAATAAAATGAGCCAGGCATGGTGGCTCACGCCTGTAATCACAGCACTTTGGGAGGCTGAGGCAGGCGGATCACAAAGTCAGGAGTTCGAGACCAGCCTGGCCAACATGGGGAAACCCTGTCTCTACCAAAAATACAAAAATTAGCTGGGCATGGTGGCGCATGCCTGGGGTCCTAGCTATTCGGGAGGCTGAGGCAGGAGAATTGCTTGAAACCAGGAGGCGGAGGTGGCAGTGAGCTGAGATCGTGCCACTGCACTCCAGCCTGGGCCATAGAGCGAGACTCCATCTCAAGAAAGAAGAAAATAAAAAAGGAAAGGAGAGGAGAGAAGAGGGGAGGGGAGGAGAGGGGAGGGGAGGGAGATAAAATGAATTTACTTTTTAAATAAAATAAAAATCTTAGCAGATCTGAAATTTGAACAGAAGCAGTCTAACTTCGGTTCTTGCCTCCTTAAAGACCCCATGTATTACCTCATATAATAAATATTTGATATTGATGAATGAAAAAAACTTTCTCTTATATCCCAACGTTTTAAAACTCTGCTTTCCAACTTCCCACATACACAACCTTACAAATTATATATATGACAAAAATATGTTTTTCTACCTTTTTGCTTCCCAAATGCTAATTCATAAACCAGGCTTAGCTTTCTAGCTCTTGTTCCAGGAATGTTAATGAATAGCTTTAACACCGCAATTACATTATGTCTCATTTTAAGGGAAAGAAAATATTGAGTTTAAAATACTATGGAGCTCTCTTAACAGACATAATTAGGACAAATAGCTGGTCTGGGAATTTTAAAAAGTTTTTAAAGTAGAGAATCATAAAAATATGATATAAATTTTCTATAATTCTAGTAATATATTTTAACTTAATACATAGAGTATGCAGGTTTTTGCACATCTTTGATGAAGAGCCAAGAATGTTTCTCTCAAGTATGTGTCCACTGAAGTGACTGGAGTTTCAGGTTGCCGTTCTTACTTACACCATACCCATATTTCATATTTCATTGTACATGCTTGCCAGTTTCCGTTTCTTTATAGTGGAAACAACTTAGGAACTTGGAAGCATTCTGAGTTGAAAAGCCTTTAGGTGTGTTGTGATTTTCTTTTTGAATCTTTATAGTTGTATCTCCCCTACTTAAATCAAGGGAAATACATTCTTAGGCTCTCACCCTTATAAAATCTATTTATGAACTCTGTGTAAAGCTACCTGACTTCGTTTTCAAGGGAACAATTCCATTTTTCTGCAGGTGTCATTTCTTTGTAGATATTTTGTTAGTCTATGTAATTTACAGTGACAAATATAACAGGCCTAAAGAGATTTGGGAAGAAAGGAAACTGACACTAGGCAAATGCGTAACTTACCTATTGGGAGAAGTATATGGAAATTCCACCAAATAGCCTATTCCTTGTGATCTACTCAGTGTACACTAGGCAATTTACCATAAGAAGGAAACAGCATCAGTGACTCAATAACAATTTATAAGGTAGAGCTTGTGAAAGATTAGCAATTAATACAATAAGGACTTTTCTAAGTCTACATAATAATTTTAAAATCTTTTTTTAAATGTAAAATGCTTAAAGATGCCAAGATGTAATTTTAAAATCTTTTTCTTTTTTCTTATTTGATGGGGGTGTGTATGTGTGTGTGTGTAAATGTAGAGAAATGAATTACTTGCCCAATTGGAAGGGACCTTCAAAAGATCCCGCCCAGTTCTCTGATTTCAGAGGAAAAGAGCCTGATTGCTCTGTTGGATACAGTATTGCCTATAAGGAAACCTGTAGGTTTGGTTTTGGAAGTCATCATAAAACTTAAGATATTTTTAAGTGGCCTAATTTGAAGTATATAGCATTTCTACTAGGTTATCTAGATAATTTCTCAATTCTAATGTTTCAGCATTTGTAACCTATCTTCAAGTTTCATGTAGACTTACGAAGAGAGGCTTTTGGTGCTGCTTCTAATTCTTTTCCTCCAGTTAGAATAAATTAATTTCCAAAGCAAGTGACACGCCAGAATGTTCACTGAGTCAGAAGACTGGAGAATTATTACATTTTCTGCCTGTCAGCCTATTTAATTAAGTTATCAATTTAATCTGTGATTTAAAATATGTAGAAAGCAGAGTCATAACTTGACTATATTGGTGCTACCTCAAAGCAAATTTATCAAGAATTGGATGCATTATCTTCATCTACACCCCAGGTGCTAGATAATCTCCTTAATCATTTTAAAGAATAAATTTATGTTGACCCTACCATTTCTCCAGTCTTTTTCTGATTTTTCCTTTGGGCACCTTTACTTTCTTTAAAAAAAATGATGTGTATCTGCTTTTTTTTGTTTGTTTTCATTTACTCTTTTCACATAATTATTTCCTAAGCATTCTTAGATTTTATCTTTTAGAAATTCTCCAGTTCTCAATATTTTGGCATAAACTCAAACACAGCACCACAGCAAATAATCTGATATGTTACTTAATGATACATGATTTTATTTTACATTCTGTTCGTAACTTGGTTACATAGACTTGTTAGAATTTTTCATAGTTTGCAACTTACTTAGAAAATTTTAGAAACTTAGATGCCTTTTATAGCACGCAAATACCTTTTGACCTCCACACATATTCGAAGATTTCCCTTTTATCATATCAGTACTGCAATGTCAAAGTTTTTGCCCACTAGTAATAAAAATTAAAACAAATTGGCCGGGTGCGGTGGCTCACGCTTATAATCCCAGGACTTTGGGAGGCTCAGGTGGGCGGGTCACCTGAGGTTGGGAGTTTGAGACCAGCCTAACCAACATGGAGAAACCCTGTCTCTACTAAAAATACAAAATTAGTTGGGCATGGTAGCATATGCCTGTAATCCCAGCTACTTGGGAGGCTGAGACAGGAGAATCACTTGAACCTGGGAGGTGGAGGTTGCAGTGAGCTGAGATCACGCCATTGCACTCCAGCCTGGGAGACAAGCTCCATCTCAAAAAAAAAAAAAAAAAAATTAAAACAAATTTTCTGTAATTGATTGATAGGCACACGTCTAAAAGTATGTATAATATTGATTATACTTGTTGTATTTTAAACTTCTTATCTATAGCATCAGACTTTCTGGGCCTTTGGTTTATGATGAGTGAAATAACTTAGAACCACTCTAGATTGTAATATACCAAGGCCATTAACAATTGTGGTAGTCTAAAGCCAGGATTAGGTAGGACATCCTGGAAATGGGAAAGTAGACTGGATGAAGATAAAAGAGGAAAAGGAAGTTGTTTAAAAACTGAGTACTCAGTCGGGCGCGGTGGCTAACACCTTTAATTTCAACACTTTGGGAGGCCAAGGTGGGAGGATTGCTTGAACCCAGGAGTTCAAGACCAGCCTGGGCAAAATAGCAAAACCCCATCTGTACCAAAAATACAAAAAAATTAGGCATGGTGGTGTGAGTCTCTAGTATCAGCTGCTAGGGAGGCTGAGGTTGGAGGATTACTTGAGCCCAGGAGGCTGAGGTTGCAGTGAGCTGAGATCGTGCCAGTGCACTTCAGCCTGGGTGACAGAGTGAGACTCCGTCTCAAAAAAAAAAAAAAAGAAAAAAGAAAAAAAAACACATTGGAAAATGGTGAATTTACCAAAAGTATCAGTTATTTTTGGCTTGATATATAAAACCGCACTTTCCTCCACTGTTTATCGTACTGAAATGCCACATTTTCTATTTAAAGGTGGCAATCCAAATTTGGTTGCCATTTAAATAGTGTCTAGGGAAATACACTTGCATTTTCTGAAATGTTAAATATAAATATTTCTATTACAAGGAGAGTCTGTGAAGTAGAATGTTTTATATTGCTTGGTAAGTTTTTTTTTTTAAAGGAAAAGATTTGTTTGATCATCTGCACCATAAGAAGACTCAACTGCGATTTTGTGCTTAGTGTGGCTCGTACTGCACTGAAAGATGGTTTCAGATTGTTAGTTTTAAGACTTTTCTTTAAACTGGCTTTTATATAAACTTAACATTTAGTATTTATTATCACTATCTAAGATTTCACCAGTTAAATAAAACATTTCTGAGTACCATTGGTATACCTCAATATTTAATTATATTATTTTTTTCAAAGTTAATAGGCATGGAAAAAACTTCTGTGTGAATCACACAATTTTTTCTCACTTTGTACATGATTTAAAAAACACTACCAAAAACCAAAACCCCTCTCCCTTAAAATTCCTTAATAGGGACATCCTAGACATACCCATCCTTTGTAGCTTACCTGCTATTTATTGAAACAGCAGCCAGTCCATCTTTCTGTTTTTCACCATTTCATGTGTGGTTAGCCTTGGCAGGTTTGCTGCAAACAAATCTGATTGTTGGTTTTAAATTGCATGCCTCATTGAAGCCTTTAGTTATTTGAGCAAAAAAGTGGTAATAACTTCTTACGTGTGATGTGTCTGTTGACTGTAACATAATTTTATTCTAGAATCATGAAAACAACAAAGTGAGGACCTGACTTAATGATACTAAGGATATTTTTTTTTTCCAATAGTAGAAGTGTTCACTTCAGTTTCTTAGCTAATTTCAATAAGGATAATTTGTCTCTCGGCTTGAATGTTGCTTTTGTTTTCACTTAAAGACCTTTGCTTTTGCAAAAGCTACAGCATAATAGTAGCATCAAAATACATAATGTGCTTATTTTCTGAATTCTTATGTAACTGTGACATTGACTTATAAAGATGAGTTTTCAGTTTCTATTTTAAAAAGTACTTTTTAAATGTTTACTATTTTTTCTATATATACAAGAAATACATCTATTACTTTAAAGAAAAAATAAAATGTATTATAAAAAGACACACAATTTGATAATTATAAAAAAACTTGTCTTCTTCCCAATAATTTATTTAAAACTTGTAATTCTCATGAACATGTTCTACTTTTTCTTCAGATTTGTAGATTTTGTATACTGAGAACATTTTAAGAGAACTTTGTAGTTATTACTAGAGAATAAACTTAATTTCATTGTCAAAAACATTTAAAATTTTGTCTTGAAAACAAAGTTTGACTTAAAATTTCAAATTTGTATGGAAACAGTCCAGTTAATTGTTAGTTTATTAGAACAACATGGCTAAAAATAAACATTACTATTTCAGAGGATCACACTGGATGAGATTTTCAGAAGCATAATGATTAGAGATGCACTTTAAAATACTTATTTCTAAAAGGGAATGTTAGCTAAGTGGCATTTTTACAAACATTAAAAAATTGAATAATGATATTATCTCTATTTGCAGATGACATGATCTTTATATGTAGAAAACCACAACAATTCTACACGCACAAAAATTGTTAGAGCTAACAAATGAATTCAGTAAAGTTACAGGATTGAAAATCAACAGACAAAAATCAATAACATTTTTTATATACAAATAAGTCCCTAGCTGAAAAAGAATTAAAAAACACTCCCATTTACAATAGCATAAAAAATACTTAGGGATAAATTTAACCAAGGAGGTAAAAGATTTGTACATTGAAAATTATAAAACACTGATGAAAAGAATTGAACACAGAAATATATAGAAAAATATTCCATTACTCAATCAGAAGTATTGTTAAAATATTTATACTACCCAAAGAAATATAGAAATTTAATGCAATAACTATCAACATCGCAATGGTGTCTTCACAGAAATAGAAAAATGCAATCCTAAAATTTGTATGAAACCACAAAAAACCCCAAATAGCCAAAGCAGTACTGAGGGGAAAACGGTTGAAGGCATTACACTTTCTGATTTACAACTATATTACAAATCTATAGTAATCAAAATAGCATGCTACTGGCATAACAACAGAAACCTACACCAATGGAACAGGATAGAGAGCCCAGAAGTAAATTCAAGCATACATGTTCAAATAATTTTACACAAGGGTGCTAGGAGGACACAGGTGGAAAGGGGAGTCTCTTTGATAAAAGGTGCTGAGAAAGCTGGATTTCTACATGCAAAAGAATGAAATCGTATGTTTATCTTATACCACACACAAAAATCAACTCAAAATACGTAAAGACTGAAATGTAACACCTGAAACCGTGAAACTTATAGAAGAGAACATGGGGGAAAGCTCTCGGACATTGACCTTGGCAATGAATTCTTGGATAACACACCAAAATCTCAGGCCAAAAGAGAAAAAATAAGTAAATGGGGCCACATCAAACTAAATAGCTTCTGCACAGGAAGGGAAACAATCAACAAAATGAAAAGGCAACTGACAGACTGGGAAAAAAAATATTGGCAAAGCATGTATCTGATAAGGAATTAATATCCAAACTTTATAAATAACTCTTATAACACAATAGGGGAAAAATAACCTGATTAAAAAGTGGGCAAAGGACATGAACAGACATTTCTCCAAAGAAGACATGAAAGTGGCCAACATATATGTATGGAAAAGTGTTTAACATCACTAAGCATCAGGAAATGGAAATTAAAACCACTATAAGATATCACTTCACTCCTGTTAGGATGGCTATTATTAAAAAGACAAGATATAACAAATGTTGGCAAGGGTGTAGAGAAAAGGGAACCCTAGAACACTGCTGTTAGAAATGTAGATTGGTACAGCCATTATAGAAAATAGTATAACGGTTCTTAAGAAAATTGAAAATAGAACTATATGATCCAAATAAGATAAAATCACCACCTCATAAAGATATCTGCACTCTCATGTTCATTGCATTATTCACAATAGCCAAGATATGTAAATACCATAAGCATCTGTCCATGAATGAATGGATGAAGAAAACATGGTATGTATATATGCACACACGTATATACATACAATGGAATAGCATTCACCCTTTAAAAAGGAAGGAGATCCTGTCATTTGCCATAACATAGATGGACCTGAAGAACATTATGCTGAGTAAAATAAGCCAGACACAGAAAAATATTGCATTATCTCACTTAAGTGTAGAATCTTAATTTTTAAAAAAGGTCGAATATTCAGAGATAGAGAATAAAACAGTCGTTACCCTGGGCAGAGTCAGGGGAAGGGTCAGGAAATGGGGAGATGTAGGACAAAAGATACAAAGTAGCAGATATATAGGATGTATAAGTCTAGGGTATCTAATGTACATGAGGATTACAGTTAACGAAATTGTATTGTATTACAGATTTTTGTTAAATAAGGAGATTTCAGCTGCTCTTGTCACAAAAATACTATGCAAGACGCTAGATAATGTTAACCTGTCTCACTATAGTAACCATTTGACTATCTGTACATATACACATAACATGTTGTAAGCCTCAAGTATACACAATACAAATTATTTTTAAAATAAGTAAATAAAATAAAATTCTACTTTTAGCTCAGAAAAATAAAATTAACCCTATAGATACAAATATGACATATGCATGACTATGTATCCTAAAATTATTAATATTACACTTAAATTTTCATATTGGTTCATAAGAGATATTTATGCCTGTGATCAGAGAACATGGGTACTAGTATTAAATTATGCATTAAGTAATTACAGATATATTTAAGCACATAAAATTAAGATTTTCTGTTTTTGTTTTTTTGTTTTTCACCGTACTGGTTCAACACTTGAGCTATGGAATGAAGCTATTTTTCTTTGCAGCCTGATATTTCCACTTTCCACCTGTCTGATTTTGGCAAGTTATTTGTGTCTAATGAAAGTGAAAGTAATAATAGTACTTACTAATACTTTGTAGACTTGTGGTTAATATATATCAACTTTACCATTATTATTATAGTTATTGTAATTCTAGCAGTAAAAGACATAACTTTTCTGTATGATAATTTTACAGAGTAATTTATTCATTACTTACAGGTATTGCAGGACTAGATATCTTTATGGATGTTAGGTGTCATGATATTTTTCTAATTACAAGAATAATATATATTCACTTTTTCTATAACATACTTTTCCAACCCACTGAACAATATTTTCTAGACAATAATTTATGAATCTACCCACATCTTTTAAACAAGGATAGACAACTTTATAATACAGATATAATGAAATTTAAAAAAAAAAATTTATCTACTTATATGTATCTCGGTTGTCGTTGCCAGAACACTGCTATACCCTTTGTGTTATTGTTTTTATATGTTTAGATATTTGTAGAAGTATTTCTTTCGACCAGATATGTATGTTGTTTTGCTGGATCATAGAATATATACATTTAAGCTACTAATTGATAGGCTTAGCAAAGTTTCCTGCCAAACATTTTGGATTGTTTTTCCTCACTACTCGTTTACCCAAACCATTACTAATGCTTGGTGTTATAAATCTTTTACTGTTTTGCCAATTTTGTAAATGAAAGTTGTTTTTATTATGTTGATTTGCAATTTAATTATAGTGGACATAAGTGGCTTTATATATATATATTGGTTATTTACATTTTGTTTGAATTGCCTATTCACTTCCTTTTTCAATTTTGTCCTTTAGTGATTTTTTAGAAGCTCTCTGTTTGGATATGTTTTATCTTCTCTGTGTGGCAAACATTTTCTCACAGACCATTTCCTCCTTTGCTTATGGTATATTTTCTTATGTAGAAGTTTTTATCTTCATTTAGTCAGATACATTAGGAATATCCTTGGCAGTCTATGAATTCATATTATTTTTAAAGGTTATAATTTCAAGATTATAAAATAGTCCCTCATATTTTCTTTTAATCGTACAACTTTATACTTCTGTTTTTTCTCTCTTTGGAGTTTATTTACTTACTTATATAAGTAACTATATATAAGTAATATAGTTACTTATATAAGTAACTATATATAAGTAATATAGTTACTTATATAAGTAACTATATATAAGTAATATAGTTACTTATATAAGTAATAAACTATATGTAAGTAATATAGTTACTTATATAAGTAAATATATATGGCCTCTGTGTTTTGTGCTCTTCGTTTCTGCTGTGAGGACAGAGTAATGACTCTGCTCTGATAGGCAGTTTGGCAGAATATGACAGATGTGCCACAGAATCCCAGAACTGAAATTTCTATTCCAACCAACAACAGGAAGAGAGACAGATTGTGAACTAGCACACAAATGGAGTTTTTTTGTGTCTATCTCGAATAACATTCATTGAATAACTACCATTAGCAAAAATATTCATTGAATAAACACCAGGTTCAAGTGTCACATTAAAATATTACTAAAAATAACATTTTATGGTATATTAATGTTACTTTTGGAGTGAAATTCCTAAAGAACATAGATGTAAAATGTTGAGCTCTTCATAAGGAGTGATATGAAGTTTTTCTTCCCCAGATCTCTGAAACTTTTTGCCTTTTAAAAACTAGTGTTCATCTTTTTAATTTCTTCAAATATGCTTGACCCTCCCCAAGTTCTAGCATTAAAAAATGGGCCACAAATGCAAAAAAGGGTGGCAGCTAGGGCACATTTTAGCAGAATTTGAAATAGGTGGTGTGAATTTTACTGTACTGAAATCCTAAAGAATCAGCCCAATTCATTTCTTAGTGAAAAAGTCCAAATTAATGCTTTGTGCCTTCAGATTCAGGCCTTTTCTTGCCTGATCTTGTCTTGGTTTGTGTCTCAGTCTTCAGGAACCAGTATTACTGTGGACATCGCCGTCATGGGCGAGGCCCACGGCCTCATTACCGACCTCCTGGCAGACCCTTCTCTTCCACCAAACGTGTGCACATCCTTGAGAGCCGTGAGCAACTTGCTCAGCACACAGCTCACCTTCCAGGCCATTCACAAGCCCAGAGTGAATCCCGTCACTTCGCTCAGTGAAAACTATACCTGTTCTGACTCTGAAGAGAGCTCTGAAAAAGACAAGCTTGCTATTCCAAAGGTAGGTAGTAATGACATACCCCTTAAAGGGTTAAACTATTTTTTTTAATTGTCTTCTAGGTCTCCTTCCTGTCACCTCAACTCCATCTGCAGATTCATATCAGTGACTCAGGCAAAATGTGTTGATCGTGGTGACAGAAGTAATAAATATTTAAACATAAAGACTTCTGTCCTTATACTTGATAGTTTTCTATACATAGAAAATTTATCTTTTTATGTTACCTCTTTTATTTAATCTTTCATGTTACTTGCAAAACGTTTTCTCTTCTATATGCCAGGCGCTTTTCTAAGGTGATAAGGATATTGCAACAACAACAACAAAACAAAGAAGGCAGAAATCCTTGCTCCTTTCTAGTGCAGATTCTGTTTAAAATTCATTGACTCCTAAAGCTAAAGGTTCTTTACTCTTTGATTCTCTTGAATGATATACTTCAAAATACCCTCCTGACTTTCCAATACACAGTTTTGAACCCAGAACAGTTTTAGTCAATTATAGATTATTTAAAGTAAAATATATCCTTAGTGATTTCTATAAATATATATTTTATATGTAAAAGGAAGAAATTACACAAACATTCTTTTTACATATATGGCATGAGTTTTATGAAAGTAAATTGTAGGAGGATCCTCACCCAGTTTAGATCTCAATATTAATTAAAAATAAGTCATATTAAAGACAAATCAGTGTCAGTGGTCTCTGGTATATTCAGCACAGTTATTTATTTAGTAAACAATCAGCTATCCCTTTGAGCTGGTGGTCAGTCAGTAACATCTGTGCTTCTGCTGTTGTGAGTCTCTTCTCTCAGGAATGTGATCTTCATAACTTTGTCAATAACATATTTACATAGTTTCCTTCCAATATGAAATTCCCTGATAAAGATATACCTAAGTATAATATGATAGTAAGGAAATGGAGAGAGAGATTAACTGGTTCCTTCAGGTCTCAAATTAGACCTGAGGTTAGTGACAGATTTAAGGCAAGAAATCTGGTATTTAAGAGTGTTTGAGTTTTCTCTTCCAACTGAATTACCTTCTAAGATGCACATTCAGATGTTTAAGAGACACTGGAAACTATTTAATATCAGAGCTATTCTTAAATCCCAAGGTGACATATAATTCACTTCTCAAAATTTTTTACCTTCTTTGGAAGAGCAGAATGTCTTTGTGAACTATGCCTATGTGGTTGGTTTATTAGGAGTGATTAGCCGCAGATAAAAGTGGGTTGTGGTTCTGTGTGTTATGACTGTTGCTGAAGTTATAGGAAAAAGACCTTCGGTTTAACTTTTTCTTTTCTTTTTTTCTTTCTTTCTCTCTTTCTTTTTTTTTTTTTTTTTTTTTTTGAGACGGAGTCTTACTCTGTTGCTCAGGCTGGAGTGCAGTGGCGTGATTTTCGCTCACTGCATGTTGGCCAGGCTGGTCTCAAACTCCTCGTGACCTCAAGTGATCCACCCGCCTTGGCCTCCCAAAGTGTTGGAATTACAGGCGTGAGCCACTGCGCCTGGCCCAGTTTAACTTTTAAGGTCAAGAACCACTTTAGAGTGTTGGTGCTCATCCTAGTGATCCCAGACTCTTGTCTCAGTGCAGATGATGCTACATGTCCTGTTTAGGATATGGTGGGAGAAGAAATAAGAAGGGGAACAGCAGGTTGGCCAGCAGCGTCTCCTATTAAGAGGAGTTGACACTGATGACATTACCCATATCTCTGTTGTCTAAGTTACATTAATCATAAGAGAAGTGGTGCATTTTATGAAAGACTTGAGCTCCTTTCATTTGTGAATGAAGATAATAAAGTCAATAATACTTGGGGGTATGACTGTGGTGCAAGGTGATATAAATTAATTCATGCCCCCAAACAAGTGACTTTTGAGGAAGAACTTCTCATAATAACTAATATGTGTGTATAGGTGTGTAAATCCTGTTGAATAAATATAACTATAAAATTATCCCAGAGGCAATTGACTCTCACTCCTATAATCACATATTTGTATAAGCATTGAAATAAAGACCCTAAAAGGTTGGTTATGTATTTATTTATTTATTTATTAGACAGACTTCTGCTCTTGTCACCCAGGCTGGAGTGCAGTGGTGTGATCTCAGCTCACTGCAACCTCCGCCTCCCAGTCTCAAGTGACTCTCCTGCCTCAGCCTCCCGAGCAACTGAGATTACAGGCACCCACCACCACGCCCAGCTAATTTTTGTATTTTTGGTAGACGGGGTTTCACCATGTTGGCCAGGTTGGTCTCAAACTCCTGACCTCAGATGATCCACCCGCCTTGGCCTCCCAAAGTGCTGGAATTACAGGCGTGAGCCACTACGCCTGACTGCTTATTTTTATAATATGCATTCATTTTGGCCAGAGAGTCTTTTATTAAATTTCTGAGCACTCAAATTTTAGATAGATAGGTGATATTAAACCAATGTAATTTAGTCAATTCACTTCTAATTAAAAGCTTGTTTCCTTCTATTATATTACATAAAATTTAAGAGATATAAAATATTCTGGGTAATGAAGTCAAGTCTCTTTCCTAGCGCCTGAGAAGGAGTTTGCCTCCTGGCTTGTTGAGACGAGTTTCTTCCACTTGGACCACCACCACCTCGGCCACAGGTCTACCCACCTTGGAGCCTGCACCAGTACGGAGAGACCGCAGCACCAGCATCAAACTGCAGGAAGCACCTTCATCCAGGTGGCATACGGCTCCTGCTGGTTTAATGTCTCTTAGAGAAGTTACTTGCCAAAAATGAGTTATAAATTACAGGAGAAGGAAGGCTAACCAATTACATTTGGTTGGAGGTCAGCTTTGAAGATGGAAAGGGTACATGGTTCAAATGCAGAGCAGTATAGGGGTTAACATCAGATAATTAGGCTTAACATCTGTTGTGTGGCCTTATATATAAGTGGAAAGAGTGACTTGATGTGATCTCTGCCATTGTGACCTTAGATGGGAAGGGTTAAGCCCAGGATAAAGGTAGGTAATTTTATCTACATTGAGATTCATACCGAGACCCTTAAATCAAAAGCATACAACTTGACATTTGCATTTGATATGAGATCCCCCAGCCCAGTCATTAGCCTCCCACAAGACCAGCTGTCTTAGCGTTGTACAAAAGACAAAAGAGCAAATCAAAAGTAGATCATCCTAAGAACACCTAGATATGTTCAAACATTTGGTAATTTAAACTTTTCTGAGGATATTAATTCCAATTTTTGAAAGCAACTTAAAAGCCAGAATTATCAAAACTAAAGAAAAGGTTATATTAACATCTAAAAAGAATCTTGAAGAAAATAGCTAAGGAAAGTGCATTTAGAGGGAGATACTGTGTCCTTTTCTATTTAGAATAAAAATATTATACTTATCTTACTTTATTCAAATTCATTAATTGTGAGAACATTTACCGTATGATTTCAGGTTTTTGAAACACATGTATAAGTTTTATCAATGACCTAATGAATGAAAAAATATCCACATCTATGTCGTATTATATGACAGCAATATCAGAAGTAATTTTCTCCTGATCGTTAGCCTGGGATATAAATAAACCACCATACTGAGACTAATAGAAATATTTCAGATGATAAGAATTTAATGACTGCTGACCTTTCTTTTTTGATTAAAAATTTTTAATTGGTTTCTTCCATATTATTTGTATTCTAAGACATCTATAGAATTGGAAACAAACTCAAATGTCATTGTATATTTTATATGTCAGTATAATCCCACTCCATCCTATTACCTGGACTTTTGTAAAACTTGTAAATGAGACAAGAAGAGATTATGTAGTGTTTCATGAAAATTTCCTGACGGTTGAAATTAATTAGAAGTCAATGATCAATATTTTTCTCTAAAAATATTGATCATTGACAATTGCTACAGCAGCAAATACTGATAAATGCTAATAGTATTATAGTTAACTATTGCTTAATAAAATGAATTATGTTTTCAGCATGTATCATTAGAGTCTGCCCATTTTGCCAGTGCAACTTGCTAAGTTTCCTGTCATAGTATAGGTAATGCTTCATGATTTCCTTCCCATAGAATGACTCTATGAAAAATCCACTCATGCCTTCTCAAATGCCTTTTATTCTGTTATTCTTTGTTACTTGTAGTCAAATCCTATCTCCCCTGCTTTTCTCTTCTCTTAGTCAATTAAATGAACTTGAGGGTTTAAATTGAAATGATGACAAGGAAGGAAGTTCCAAGGACTTTTAAGAACTTAACGCCCAAGGATCTTGTCATTCTTCTTTGTAAAATGGATCATCCAAATATTTACAATAGAAATAAGGAAAATACTTACAATAGAAATAAGGAATAGCATACAATTCCATTCATTCTCATTCTCTCATTCCTGAAAATACTCGTAGATGTCTTGTCTGGACATTCATTTTCCTCACTGCCTAATATACTATCTCATAATCTCACTGTCCTATGAAAAGTACTGATGTAAAAATCTGAAAGCAATATAATTCCTTCATCATTGTGAAGAAAGGAAATTCATTCTGAATAGAATTTGATCCCTTTAAGGGAAAACTATTTATAAGTAAGTGGCAGTAGTACCACCACTAAATACAGCTAGTTTTGGCTTGATTATAAATCACAGTCAAAACCTTCTTTTGAGTTTTAGCCCTGAAATTGCTTCCCTTTTAGCCCTTTTATTTATTTATTCCTTTCCATATCTTTTCATTTATTGGGTTTCTTTGAGGAAGGACTACATTGATCAAAAGAAGAATAAGAATGAGAAATAATAAAAATTAGAAACACAACTTAACTCATATTCCTTTATATATACAGCTGGATAATTTACCCCTGGGTAATTTTAAATACAGTCTGGTAGAAAGCACACTGGACTGAGAATCTGAAGGGTCTTGGCCCTACCAACCACTCAGAAATGAAATGTACTGTGTTCTTAGAGGCAAGTCATTAGCCTGCCAGAATCTCTGTACCCAATTACAAGGAGTCATTAGGAAAAAGGGGAACTATGACATAATTGGAGGGGTAAATTAGATGGAAGAATACAAGTAGGTGCTTAAAAAATAGGCTTTAGAGAAATAGGAAAAGCTGAAATAAATCAGACCCTAAATGATTCCAAGTTGACCTTGGAATTGACCCCTGCCTGTGTATTCAGGCAAAAAGAAGGCAGTAAACTTGGCAAAAGAGACTGTTACCTGATCAGACTTTAAGGACTTAGAATGGAGTCATTACGGGGATAATAAGAGCATAAGACCACCTTTGGGAAGAAGATTGAGATCTTCCATCACAGGCACATAGATAATTTTCCTCTGCTGTGCCAGCATGAGAAAACCGTGTAAAGCCTTTCCTAAGCTGTTCTGCTTTACAGAATCCAAATTATTTCATATTCATGAAATTTAAACAGGAATCAGGAAATAAAGGACAGCGATGAAAAGCTGAAAACTGTGAGGGTCTCACACAGCAATATATGAAAGCACCTGTGAACTATAATGCATTTATATATAATACATTGATTTATTGTATTAATAGTAAAATACAATTATTTAGTGTATTAAGAATGTGATATGACTAGGATGTTATTTATCTTGAGTTCATTAAATCTGCATTTATTAAAGATACTCTAGTGTATTTTGCAAACTTGAAAATGAACACATTTTAAATGTTTTTATTTGAAAAAAATAGTAAATTGTTGAGATAGCCTTCATAATATATCTTTCTGATATATTAAAACATTCAGTTACTGTAAGGCATTGTCTTTAAAAAGCCTACTTAGAAAAGTAAAAGTAATAACCTATTCACTGTATTATGTAATGAGAACTGCAAACATTTGGGCCACATATACATTACATAATATTTCTTCACAGTAATCAGTTAGTCAATCCAGCAAAATGAATTAAAAGGGACCAGCATCACGAGAAAATAGTCAGTGTTGTTATCTGTTTCAGATCCAAAGTTTCTTTCAGCTCATTATTTCCTAAATGCCAAGAACTTGTGAAATACCTAGGATGTGCTTTCTGAGGAAGATGTCAAAGAAATATTTTTATGCCTTACTTAATTGCATTTTATAATTGCTGAAGGTCATACCACATTTCAAATGTCCTCATATATGGAAAACTGCTATTAGAAGTAAGGAGAAAAGATGAAGTTTTAAAATACCTGGGTCAGTAGTTGAAGAAAAATCTCTCTGAAATGGAAAAAAAAAATTGAGATAACAAGTGTCAGAGTGTCAAATTGACCTCAACACAAATTACACATCTTACCCATTGCCGAATTTACTAGTAATTAATGGATACAGACAATAGTAAGACCCATGCTTAGCATTCTTTCCTTTGAGAGGTCTATTAGTACAATTTTCTGAAAGTCCCTTTATTCCACATTAGCACATGTTCTGGTTTGGATTTAGCATGCAGTGTTCTAAGCAATGCATGCATAATATTACTTGCACAGAGGGAACCATTTTAGCTCTGGAACCTCTCCAAATTATATCGTATTAATTATAAGCTTATATGGCAATCTCCATGCATCCATGAGCCCATAATTCTATCAATTTTAGGTTTATTTACAATAGGCTACCCAGACAGACCAAGCACATCCTGCTTACATTGCCAATCTAAGATTGGCAAAAGATCAAATTGTCAAATCATATTTACGTAAATTATAGATTGTACCCAGTACCAAATTTACTAGTGCTTGAAAGGACACAGGTGTTAGCAAAACACAGACCAAGCACTTTTCCCTTGGAGCAGTCCAAGATTGTCAACACAACTTTCGAAATTCCCTTCTCTCCCACATTAGGATGGAGTCTATTTCAGATTCAACATGTATAAGTTTTAAGCAACACATGCAGAGAAATTTTGTCTTGGAATACCTCCAAAATTTATATCACAATCATTGCATGACTTACATAACATTCTCTAGTTCAGTCTTCCATGAATCTATTAATTCCACATTTATTTGCAATAAGCAACCTAGGCAGACCAAGTACATCTTGGTAAAAGCATTTGCTAGAGGAAGATTCTCCATTGCCTTTCTCCTAGTTCCTATCATCAGTGTGTTTAGCATCAGCTCCATTGTTGGCATGTCCCTTTTTACAAATTCCCTTGTAAAAAGGTAATTTGACTAGATCATTTCCGTCACAAGGAAATAATGCAAAAAAAAAACACCATTATTTATGAATGATTTCATGGTCATTCAATTTTTGAATACAGATCCACCAAAAATAATAGAGTACTGAAGTAAACATTATGACACTTACAGCTTATGTAAATTCACCCGCATCTTAACCAGTTAATCTGTAAGCCTCTTTTAGAAAATCTGTGAGGAACGTAATTTTAGAGTACAGTGAGAAGGTGTTTAATTTTTATTAATTGGATAATAAGAAAGTTATCTTTCCTCTTTGTTAACCCAGTATGCTTGATGAGTAACTGCTATATCCCTGCA
This sequence comes from Homo sapiens, assembly GCF_000001405.40. NCBI lineage: Eukaryota > Metazoa > Chordata > Mammalia > Primates > Hominidae > Homo > Homo sapiens. Next base: position 20,621,107 of record NC_000012.12, read on the forward strand.
ACAGAGATTGTTTTTACATAATCTGTTTCATCATTTGGAAGTACAGTGGTTCTGTCACTGAACCTGAACCAATACTCAGATTGGCAAATCTATTAGAGAAATGATGGTTGGGTTCTGGCAAGACTGGCCCAATAACTGATGAATAATTTGTTTAATTTTCTTTTAATTCTGTCTTTCTGGTGCTTTTAGTCCTGATTCTTGGAATAATCCAGTGATGATGACCCTCACCAAAAGCAGATCCTTTACTTCATCCTATGCTATTTCTGCAGCTAACCATGTAAAGGCTAAAAAGCAAAGTCGACCAGGTAAGTAACTTAACTGGAGAAGGGTTCATACTGTGAGTGTGGAGTTCTAGAGTAAACCAGACCTTAAGCGTTGAAATATTCTGAGGGTGCCCTATATTCAGATATGTTTGGTTTGTCTATTCTAATAACCAATTAGTTATTTTTTAGAAGTCTCAATAACCAATTAGTTATTTAAATTTCTACCTTATGTGATAATACAGATTCCTTCAAAGTTGTTGTATCAGATTTCCTATCTTGAACTAATTAGATGCATAGGAAATCACTTTTACCATCAAGGATCATCTGTGGTAGCATCATCTCATAATAGAAATTCCAATTTTTTAGTGTCTGTTAAAATTATTTTTCAGGAGTATGATATATATGAATTCAAGAAAGTGTTTTATTTACTACACATGAGCTATGATAAGGAATTTAGATATCAAAATTAAGAATAATAAAGCTTTAAATGGGAACATGAAATGATATCGGGGAAGACTACCTCATTTGTTCAGGGTCCTTGCTCACCCAAAACTGTAAAAGGAGTTTTTGTCAGATTCCGTCTCTGAATTGCCTTTCCCCTAGAAGCCCAATTAAGAACCTGGGAGATTTCCTCTGACCTTTCCTTTTTGGAATCTAACTTCATGGTTTCACTTCTCAGTATTACAGAAAATATCAATGAGATTTTCAGTAACTTCCTGCTTAGTTTCTTAATCTTCTGCCTTTAGCAGTTTAAGAGTTCATCAAATGGTTAAAAGGAAAACTGCCCACTTCCCACTGAGATATGAAACATTCAAGTTCTGGCTTCCATGGCAACCCCAAACTCCAATTTTTATGTCACCAGCCTCATGACATTGCTAGAAGCTCTGCTGGCTTGCCTCCCAAATAGCTGCACCCCTCTGTCTGGATCCTTCACTTCTTACTCCATGCCAATAGTCAGTAAATCATGCTATGAAGGCAAGAACAATTTGCAGGATTTTGGCTCACCTTTCTGAGGTTCTCTTCTTTATGGGAACCTAGTCCCTCAGAATTGTGTGCTTTGCCTCGATAGCTTTTTTGTACCATTTTATTGGAATTACATCAGTAAAATAGACCATTAAGGTAATCTACTTTTCCAACAACTAATCTGGTCCTCTCTGCTCTTTAGAAATGTTCATTAAATTTTGTCACTTAGAAGTCATTATTGACCTGCTAATAAAATTGAGCTTTCATCAGGGCCAGGCAATGTAGGCTAATGTAGGCAAATACTTAAATTGAGATATTCCTGAAGGCAAATACGGATTTGCTCAGTAATAAGGAGAATCATCTGGGACCCCAGCAAGGTAGAGAAACTGCATTTGAGAATTCCACATTAAACCCAAGACTCTTAAAGGGGTGCTAAAGTGATTTTAGGTATGTAGGACCCCTTGGCTCCCTACAAAAATATATATGGATACTTTTGGAAGGGAAGCATCACCAGTTAAGGGCCATGAGATTTTATCAGATCAGATTCAAACATGGAGCTTACAACCAGGATCACTAATTGCACAAAGAAACACCATGAGTTTGAGTTAACAGAAACAAAAATATAACTTTCTAGATCTGTAAAAGGGTTAAAATATTTAAATTAAAATTTAATTTAAAAATTTACATATTTAAGGAAAAATAATAGCAATGAGAAAAGACATAACTGCAGAGCAGCTAAATGTAACTTTTGGAAATGTAGTCAAGGAAATATTAAATAGCATAGTAGACTACTGAAGAAAGAATTATTAAACTGGGTAGAGAAAGATCGGAAGAAATTATCCAGAAAGCAACACAGATGAAGAATTGGGAAGTATAATAGATTTTAGGAGATATAGAAAAATGAGTCTAATGTACATGATATATGTAATCATAGTTTTAGTAGCAGATAGAAGACAAAAAATACTTAGGTGAAGCCTAGTAAATGGAAAGAAACTCACACGTAGATACAAAATAGTGAAACTACACAACACCAAAGATATACACAAACAAAAATCCTAAGGTCTACCAGAGAAAAGACAAATTTCCTTTTCAGAAAAGGCAGTCAGGCTGAGAGCAGAGTTGTCAGAAATACTGGCAGTCAGAACACAGCAGAATATTTTCTTCAAATTTCTGAAACAATATGGTAACCTAAAATTTTGTGCCTGGCAGATGCATCTTACAAGAATAGGAGTGAACTAAAGACAATTTGAAAGAAGTCAAAACTTTACCACCCGCCAAATCTTTACTAAAGGAATTTATGATGGATATATTCTAGAAAGAATATATGATGGATATATTCTAGAAAGAATATATGATGGATATATTCTAGAAAGAATATATGATGGATATATTCTAGAAAGAATATATGATGGATATATTCTAGAAAGAATATATGATGGATGTATTCTAGAAAGAATTTATGATGGATGTATTCTAGAAAGAATTTATGATGGATGTATTCTAGAAAGAAGAAGAAGAAGAGAAAGTTTGAGATCTAATGAAAATGTTAAACAAATCTGAAAACCATGGGTCAATCCAAACAAACATTAAATTCATAAATAATAGTATTTCCAGATTTGTGAATAGTTTTTATAAGATTTTTTAAGGACAGAACTAAAATTTCAGACAGTAATAATACGTAATTCAAGAGATGAAATATAAATTTAAGTGTTCTAAATCCATGTGTAGCTCAAAAAGGGGGTTCAGATGAGGAAACTGAGGGAAAAGAAGGTTAAGTAATTTGCTTTCTCTGGGTCATGCAATTAATCCTGAATACTTTCTTTTGTCCTAATGACTTCATACTAGAAAAAAATGAGGATGACAAATTGTCATAATTTAAAACTAGGATATTTTGGGTTCTGTCCTTGGGTGGGTACAAGATAATGGAAGGGTTTGGTTTTCTCTTCCTGTTTCTTCGGTTAAGTAATAACATAAAAAATATTGAATAACCAACATGATAAGATCAAGAAGCTGAAAATTATGGTTAGGGCAGACCCTGGAAATATCAGATCAAGTGATGGAACAGCCTCATATTCCTGTGTCCTGATCCCCAGTTTGTATGACTTCACTCTAGAAGAAAGAGCAAAGGAGCAAAATGTAAAAGGGAAGGAATGTCCACATAAGATACCACATGGGCAGGTGGTAGGAATGAGAGCCACAGGCATAGCAAGAGCCCCCTTCCATTCTTGCCATCAAGTGCATAAGGCATTTCTATCATGATCATTTTGGAGTGGATTTTGCATTGTGGCATCTTTAGACAGCTGTCACAGCACAGCTAAAAGTTTATAAAATAACCTATATCCCAGGCATGCTGAATCCAACTAATTAAATTCCTAAAGTTCAGCCAAAAGAGACAAACACATCTATCAAGAATCAGAGAGCCTAAAGAGATTACAACCCTCCCTAATCAGATGGGCCCTTCTGCTTTAAAATCCTTGCTTCCCTGTTTGGGTTGATGGAGCTAAGTGGTTGTGACATGTTTGATGCAGTTGACTGTGATGCATCCTGGTTTTCCATAAACTCCATGGAAAGAAGCTGGGAAGAGCCCCCTCGTGGCAAAGAGTGTAAGCAAATGGAATCAAATGAAATGTGAAGAGAGTCTGAGGAAACATGTAGCAGCAATAGGCAATGAGGCGGAGGGAAAGCGAGTATGAAGTAAGAAGAGGCATACAGAAAGATAAATACCCTGTTTCCAGAGAGGGCTAATGAAATCTGTTCTTTGCGCAAATCAAGTAAACAGCGTGTCCTCTAGTTCAGTCAATCAATGTTAATTTTAAATAGCTGAAACACAAATTATTATGCAGTTACTAATATAAAATAAATGAACGAAATCACATAGGACTCCTTTAATAAAAGCTTAAAAGCAGGAGATTCAAATATAATTTGTATTTTCAATTTTGCTCTTCTAGTATGAGTCACTGACATTGTGGAGCTACCATGATATTATTCTGCTTTAAAAATTCCTTGAATTTATCGTTACTGTATTTGCAGTAGTCCTTTCCCGGATTCTTGTAAGTTTGGCTGCCGACTGCAGTGATAAGAGATATCTCTACACCTATAATCTAGACTCTGTTTTTCCTATACAAAATTTGAAAATATAGAGAACTTTAATCATGGTATTGTGATTCTTCTTCTTTGGCATTCTCTTTAGATGCAATTTCTGCTTTGGAAAAAATATTCGGGCTATCCATTTTCACCTGGGCATGGAAAAAAAGAGATGTCTTTATCAGACAAGCTGGTTCCTTTTTTGTTCCATTAAAATTAAACTGAGAGAGTTTTATAGCACAAAACAGATGGATTCACTTAAATAATTCCCCTGTAGTATTGTTTATTTTCTCTCTTTGATTGCCCAAAATTCCTTGTGTCTTGACACACATTTTCTCATGCCCTCAGGAACAAGGAATTAAAGGCCGAATTACTCAAAGGAGTTGGCATTTTAGACTTTATTTTTAAAATTATATTTTTAATTTTTTGTTTTTAAATGTTTTGATTTTAAGTATTTCACATTAGGACAGTTTGAATCATTCAAAAATTTATATTTCATGAGCTATGTCTTCTTCCTGGAATCTGCTAAAATTACTCAAATATGAAGTGAAGATAAACATTAATATACTTGAGAGAATGCATGTTTATCGGAATCTCTTCACTCATGGGTGAGTGTGTAAATGTGTGAGTGTGCGATGTAAAATTAGATGAGATTTTCAAAGGTTTTAACGGTCATCCCTCTAACTTTAGACATGATTACATTGAAAGCATTTTAGAAAATTTTAAAAACTTCCAAAGGTTATTCATCCCTATTCCTTAGACTGTCCTCTTTCTGTATCTGAAATAATTTATTTATAGTTTATCCTTTCTATAAAGAAAATTTGGTTATTATCTGCATTTATCTCCCTATCTTTTTGAAGACCGATACGGTCTTCAAAATATGCATGCACATCCTAATTCTTTCTGTTTTTAAACTTTAAGTAAACTAAGATAATGCACACTAGGAAAAATAGTAGTTTGGCTTTGGAAAAAAAAAAAGAGAACTTATACTTTTATAACTTTAGCTTCTCACCTGCAGAATAGAAATATCCATGCTTCTCATGATTGTTGCCAAGAGTTACACTTTTTTTATATTTATTTATTTATGTATTTTTTGTGAGATGGATTCTTGCTCTGTCGCCCAGGCTGGGGTGCAGCAGTGGTGGGATCTCAGCTCACTGCAACCTCTGCCTCCTGGGTTCAAGCAATTCTCCTGCCTCAGCCTCCTGAGTAGTGGGATTGCAGGCATGCACCACCACATCAGGCTAATTTTTGTATTTTTAGTAGAGATGGGGTTTCACCATGTTGGCCAGGCTGGTCTCGAACTCCTGACCTCAAGTGATCTGCCCTCCTCGGCCTCCCAAAGTGCTAGGATTACAGGCATGAGCCACCGCGCCTAGCCGAGTTATGCTTTTAAAAGTGTTCAAAATATGTAGACAAACACTATAGAAGCAGAGCTTCTCTCTTACAGGTTTATTTTAAATTTCATCCCAGGCAGTAAATTTGATGTCTTAAAATCTGCTTGTTTGTTTAAATTTAGTTAATCCGTGAGTTCCAAGAACTCTAATGGTTGTGTGAATTTTAAAATGTGTGTTTGAGAGTGAATTGCATGTATCTGAAGCAATCAGCTGGCAGCTACTAAAACTTAGCAATGAAAAAATCACTCTTCTCATAAATTGCCTTCAGAAAAAACAGGGTGTCAAGACAGAAATGGACAATGTTCTCATGGGCTTTGAACTATTGTTCTGTTAAAAAAAAAAAAAAAAAAACTGTGTAGAAAACTGTCCCAAAACTCACAGTTTACTATGAGAACAGCTAAGGAATTGCCTAACACAGTGTCTATCAGGAATCTCTTTTTCTTATGACACAGCAATTACTTTTAATTGCTGTTTTTGCAATTACTTTTCATTGCAAAAACCACAATTACTTTTGCACCAACCTAATAAAACTTTGCCCTGGCCCTACCCAACCCTATCCAGACTTGCCCAGCAACCTCTCTGACCACGTTCCCTGCCCCTCTTTTTGCTTTTTGCTAAGCTGCCAGCCACTGACCTCCTGACTGCTCCTCTGACATCCCCCAGGTATGTCCCTCTTTCCTGAACATGCTTTCCCCAGCTACTTCTCTAAATGTCTTCTGTATTTCATGAGGCCTCTATTCAAATTTTACCCACCCCCACCCTTTCCCAGCCAGAGAGGCCTTCTCAGTCCACCTTATCTAAAGAGCATTTCTGTTCTTCCCTGCCTTCTACTCTGTGCATTGTTTTCTTCCTATTACTTGAATTTAAGTTAATTTTCTTTTTTATTGACTTTAGTTTTTAGTTTCTGTCTCCCCTAAAAAAGTGGGAGCTCCATTAGAGCAGGGTTTTTATTTTATAACCTACTCCATCCGTGGAGCAAGACTCACAATAACTACTTGTTGGATGAAGAAATCATTGAGATACTCAGTACAGATACCTCGGTAAACTTTCTACCACATCATACTAGGATTCAGCTCCTTAACGGCTACAGTGCCTTTCTAAGATTATCTGGAGTCCCTGTCTAAATCCAAAAAGTGGTCAAAACTAGACCAACCCTTTTTAACCTTTACATCAGAGCACCCATATATGTGTAATAGTATTTGTGAATATCGTAGCATTAGAGAAATGGGAAGGGATTTCAAGTTTGAAAACTAGACTTCCTTTATTTTATAAAATTATAATAAGAAAAACTAATTATGAGCTATTAGAGATAATATTAAAAATTGAGTTTTTTCTAGAGTTTCCAAATAAAATATTTCCTTTTTTAAAAATATTTTCAACCATTAAATAATTCACAGCAAACTTATAACCCACTTGCTGTGCAGAATCATACATTGACTGGGAAATTCTGAGTTAAAACCTTTGTGAACTTAATTTTTTGTTTTGTTTTTGGCTCAGGATACTATGTAATGTGAAGGTTTGTCGTTATCTTTGGAAAAATAAATGAGTCTTTTTAATAGACGTAGAAACCGAAATAAAAACCATCAGGCATGACGTAAGGAGCAATGCAAACGCTGCCTAATACGCCATGGGTTTTACTTCCCCCTTGGATAGTCTCTGATAGAGGTACTGGTTTATAAGCTGCATTTTACTAAGAGTAGCTGGGTTTACTCTATATTCTCCCATGTACTAGTACTGTGACCTTGGGAGGGTTTTTTAACCTCTCTGGGTCTAAGTGGTTTCGTTTGCTTAGTATAAAGGCTGGGAGGGGGTTGAGCTGCTGATTAGGAACTAACAATAGATATGTTGAGAAAGAACTAGAAGGGGTTGCTGCTCTTCACACTGAAGCAAGGGGAGAGTGAGATTTCTCATCTTTAACAACAACAACGACAAAAAGAAATAACAGCGCCAACAAGAAATTAAAAAGAAAATTACACACGAACACACAAAATCGTTCAACAAACTTAATATTCTTTTCAGTGGACCAGAAAACCTTTGGTATGACAACTCAAACTTTTGAGGAAGCTGGATCCTGGAAGCAAACTTTGCTGTAAGCCAGCTGCCAGCTAACCACACACATAATTTGATGATGTGAAGGTGGATGGCTGTAAATGTTCCTAAGTGGTGAGAAATAGACAACGACTTTTAATAATTTCATTTCATTTGCCCTACATTACATTGTTCAGCCATAAAATCATGAAAACCAGTAAGCAGGTTGTTAGGCAGAAGTTATTTCTCTCCTTTTTTCCATTTTAACTGCAGGCTGCCTTCTCTGTGTTTGGGAGAGAGTAACTTCAAAAGACATCGTCCTGGTCTTCCAACAGCCACGTTTTGAAATCTAAGCCAGTATCCTGTAAAATTCTTACAATCTAGAGTAAATACAGACAGTTTGGCCCAAATACCCATACTTGAAATGGAAACTTTAGGTCTATTGTTTGCTCTGAAATGGATTATATTACATTTTAAAATGTTTTCTTCAAAAATTATTTTGATCAAAGCACTCTTTCACACCGAAAGGTCTTATTTCACTGAAACTGCGAATGGTTAAGAAGGTTAATTTCCTCTCAGTAATGCATCTTCTGTATTTACATATTTTAAGCATCTGATGCCTGCTGAACTCTGCCCCCAGATACTGGTTAACGTTTAAAACAATAGCAGATCCTGTTCCTGCTAAAACCTTCACAACCTAAGAGAAAGTAAACACATGAGAAAATTTTAACTATTATTTCCATGTCAGAATGACAAGAAGAAACAAAAATGGGAGGAGAAAATAATATCCTTCTGTCCTGAAGTTACTCCACGACACCAGGGCTTTGGCTGTATGTGCCAACATTGCCACTATTTTTTTTATGATGATTCATTCCTCCCATTTAATGCTGTGGAGACACCCCAACCACACTGGCTTCAGATGTTGGTATGTGGAGGAGGCCAGCCCGGTGACCTGAGCAGGCACGTGGTTGTTACTGAGTTTGTAAGAGTCCAGGTGAAGTTCAACAGTTGCAATTTTGCATTTTAAAGACATTTGTTTAGTTACTTAACTCTCATTCTTTCTCAGGTGCCCTCGCTAAAATTTCACCTCTTTCATCGCCCTGCTCCTCACCTCTCCAAGGGACTCCTGCCAGCAGCCTGGTCAGCAAAATTTCTGCAGTGCAGTTTCCAGAATCTGCTGACACAACTGCCAAACAAAGCCTAGGTTCTCACAGGGCCTTAACTTACACTCAGAGTGCCCCAGACCTATCCCCTCAAATCCTGACTCCACCTGTTATATGTAGCAGGTAAGGATTTTTTATGAACTGAAGTTTAATAATAAAAACGATGATAGTTTTCCCCTAGAAATACCTACCACCAGCCCACGCAGCTTGGGGTAGGTTTGCCAAAGTATTAGACAACCAAGTATAGGATAATGTGATTTGTGTTGAATAGGCTACAATAAAAACTTATGTTTTAGTAGTTTTCTATTAATGAAGTTTAGAATCCATGCAGTTCATACAGCCAATCTTTAGAGAGGATACAAAACTGTTAGCTGTATATGTTGCCTGTTTGCTGATGGGGAATATAGAAAATATATAACTAAAAAATGATATCAAGTATTCTGTTGTAATTCTTCATTTTGTTGGAATGTTTGTACTTGTTCTCCAGGGAATGGGTTACATTGATATTAGGCATATTTAATTGTCAGTTTGCATTTCCCATTTTTGCAATTTTAAAATGTGTGAATAATACATTGCACAGGATGGCTGGACTCAAATAGTTCTCTGAATGAAATTTAAGCAATTGTATGTGCTATTCTATCATGTTGAAACAAAATTACAAAGTGTTATCTATCACAGAGGTTAAGAAAAAAATGGCCTAGCATGGCTGGAGTAATTATTTTGCCAATGTTGTCACGAAGAAATAATTATCTCTTCTTACTGGTTAATGTATTTTTATTGTTCTTCAGTAACAGCTTGAATAATTTATCTTAAAGCATTATGGTATTTTTTAAGTAGAAAAACAGTTGAGTGTTTTTAACTATGAGAGTACCTTGAATAAAACAGTATTTCATTTCTGAGGTTGATGAGGATAACTATTTGAATAAATGAGTAACTTGTTGGTTTTCTAGTATCAAATATTACCTCATAGACTCAGATTTTTTCATTGTATTCAGCTTTAAGAAATAGCAACTTATATTAAGCCTCATAATTTTCATTTTCATATTTTTTACTCATAAGTTCTGTAAATTAAATGAATGTTATTTATAATTTTTATTTTTACCTCCTTTATCTTTACCGGCATTTTTACATGAGAAATTATTTTCATTCGTTTGCCCAGAGCCAAAGTTATTCTACTATGCAAAAGTTATTCTGCTGCCCTCTATGAGTTTTTTAATAAAATAATTTCTGCAGGATATTAATCTCATCTCTTTTCCACAAAAGAGCAAGTTCTGTAGTAAAATATTCAGAAGATATATCATACATCCCTGTTAGAAATTCACAACACACATGGCTTTATTAAAACCTCTGAGAAGCTCTGTTAAAAGAATCCCTCTTTATTTATTTTTGTTGTTTCATTTAGTGTTTTCTGAATTTATTCGACCACAGAACCAATTTCTTTGGGTTAACACCCAAGAATTGCCCATGGATCGAATGTTTGGCAGAACACAATTAAGAAGCATTGTTTTATTGTATGCACCCTGAGCCAAGATGAAGCCCAGTGGAGTAATCTTCATCAAGGACATCTGGGTTCAGCATTTTTAGGGAGAGTCTCCCACTGTGGGTTCCGGACTTTTGGGAAATAAGTCCCCTAAAGAAAGGAGAGAGATGTTCAGAAAAGCTCTACCACTCACGCAGCTTTTTTCATCATAGTGTATTTTTTTTTTTTTTTTGTATTCTTAGCAGGAAGAATGTAATGGGATTTGTATAAAAGGTTTCAGAGAAAAACAAGAGGATTTCACTGTCTACTTGTTCAGTAATGTTTATAAATCCAGTAGTGTGTGTTTTATTTGTTTGGGCTTTATAAATCTGTAATTCAAACCAGGTTTTATTATTGCCTTAAAGGCAGCCACCCATGTAGGCACAGAGAGCTCCAGAAACACACAACTAATTGTTGTGGTTTCCCCCTGCTGAACTTGAAGAGTTTGGCGTTGAATCCCAGTCTCTTGGCTGCTGTAATGTCTATGCAACAAGCTATTTTTCTGGCATGAGAGCTGGCATATTTGAAGTACTAATTTAAATGGTCCTTTTAGGTATTATTTTGCAATGAAAAAGTTTAAGGCTAATAAACTCGACTTCTCCTGAGCTTCGTCTGAGAATGTAAGCCTACCAATTGCATCTCCTTTCTTTTCCCTTTTTGTCCTATCATTTTCTTTTTATTCTCTAACCCAAACTGACAGATTTAATAATTAGAAATATTTTACAGGTAACGTTTTTCTATTTACACTCAAGGGTTGAAAAGTAAAGTTACTTAGTATGCAGATACGGTCTACCTACCTCTTCTCTTAGTGCACACACGAGCACAATTCAGGAAAAAAAATGATGAGTTATTTAAGATATTAAACAATAAGCTATCACTACTTTTTTCATTTTAGAGTGGGTAGTCTGTGGTTAAATAACAAACAAAAAAATCCCCTGAGACCCTTTGTAATATCAGTCAGAAGGAAAGAACCCAGCAGCAAATGCAGAATCAAAATCTAATCATGAAGTTTCTAAACAAGACAGAAGAGGGAAGAGCCAGTTTATGGCCTGTGCCAGGCCATTTGTGGGGTTACTGTTTAATATTTAAAACAGTCAAACTTCATTCCTCCAACACCCTCTGTTAGAGGGCATTGCTCACCTCTCTTACCTTTGTTTTTCTTGGTGGTTTACGGTACATCTAGGGCCTGTTTCTCTCAACCAGCATCCTATGTAGTCAGTCATCAAAATGCACCCCTCTTTTGTTCATTTCCTTAGGGCCTTAACAAGTAACTGATCGATCTGAAAAAAAGAAGTCAATTTTTATTTTTTAGCAAAACATAAAATTCATATACTATCATTCTATTTCAACCTATGCTGTCTTAAAGTTCTGTTTAGACATAAAAATATCATAACCCAATTAAATAAAATAAATCTAATAATGAGGCTTTTTTTTTTTTTTTTTTTGAGATGGAGTCTTGCTCTGTTACCCAGGCTGGAGTGCAGTGGTGCAATCTCCACTCACTGCAGCCTCCATCTCCCAGGTTCAAGCGATTCTCCTGCCTCAGCCTCCCCAAGTAGCTGGTATTACAGGCATCCACCACCCTGCCTGGCAATTTTTGTATTTTTAGTAGAGATGGGATTTCACCATGTTGGCCAGGCTGGTCTTGAACTCCTGACCTCAGGTGGTCCACCTGCCTTGGCCTCGAAAAGTGCTGGGATTACAGGCGTGAGCCCATAATGAGCTTTTAAGCAGCCTGGCCCATAATGAGGCTTTTAAGCCGACAGAAAGGTATTTATTGGGGAAGATAACTTTTGTCTAAATATAGGTCAACACCTGCAAAATGGCTACTATAAGTAGGTAGCAGCCTATACCAGTATTCTCTAAATAATCTAACAAAATTTTACCATCACTTTCACCTCAAATATGATCTAGATAAAGGAGGAGGAGAATGAGAGTCAAATGAACTTTCTAATCCTTTGTATTGATTACTCTCTCACAAAAAAGAAAGTAGTACACTGCATATCAGCATTTATGTATCAAACAAAATGCATATTTTCACAAAACAAATAAGCAGAAGGTAGAAATATTTGACTATTGTTGTTTATCTTAATGTATACATAGATGGTATGTGCCTATGACTTTTTGAAAAGAGGAGGCTACACCTATAGCTCTTCCAATATTTTTTAGCTGTGGCAGACCATATTCCCAAGGGAATCCTGCTGATGAGCCCCTGGAGAGAAGTGGGGTAGCCACTCGGACACCAAGTAGAACAGGTAATTCATTGTTTTGGATTCTGTTGCCCAAAATGGAAATTGCCTTATTTTTGTTTTCCTGATCAAAACAGTGATCTACATTTCTGATATTTTGTGGGGCGCTGGGAGACGGGGTCTCATGATGTTGGTCAGGTCGGTCTCAAACTCCTGGCCTCAAGTGATCCTCCCGCCTCAGCCTCTTGAAGTACTAGGATTACAGGCATGAGCCACTGTGCCCAGCCTGATTTTTTAAATTATAGATTTAAAAGGACAAGGGAGAAAATTAAAATCATCTGTACTCCTACTCTCTAGAGTTAATCATTGGTAAAGTTTGGGTGCAAAGCTTTCCAAAATTTTTTAATACATTTATACATGTGTATATTTTTAAAACACAAGAGGCCATTTTATATAATATATAGAACTATATAGAAATATTATTTTATCTTGCTACTTCTGACATTGGAAGTACTTTAAGTGGTTCCCAAAACATAGCAAATACTCAATAAACTTCCTTCAGGCACCTTAGTCAGCTATGAGAAATGTCACAGTTGCTCAGAGAGGATAGACTTCAGACTCTGGGTGTTTACTGATTGGTCTTTTAGTTAGCACAGTTTACTGCTGACTGAAATGGCGACAGTGAAGAAGGACAGATGAGGAAGGAAGCCACAGGATTCCAAGAAATAGGATTGGATACATAGGATTGCCCATGCTCCCAAGCATATGCCATCACTCTGTGCTACACAGAGAACTTTATTCCTGGGTGTGTCAACTCAGTTTCTCCCACCTCACGTGCCCGTTCTAGAGTGTTTTAGTCACTCAGTGGTTTAATGTATAGGGAGAGAAATAGAGAAAAAAGAAACATAAAGCTGTAGGATTTGTTAAAGGTATGAACTGTTGATCTAAAAAATATTATTGAGGGGTTATTGAATGTCATGCGGATTACAGATTATAATTTCCATCTGTTTTACTTTGTTAAGAGATGTGTGATGTTCTCCACCCTATGATCCTATGTTCTTGGAGTGCTCAGGAAAGCAGTATTTCCCTAAACACTATATTTACCATATGCATCTTAGCAAAATTTGCTTAAATGAGCCCCCTTTCCCCATTGTAGATCTTGTAATAAGTTGTTCTCTTTTAATTGTAGATGACACTGCTCAAGTTACCTCTGATTATGAAACCAATAACAACAGTGACAGCAGTGACATTGTACAGAATGAAGATGAAACAGAGTGCCTGAGAGAGCCTCTGAGGAAAGCATCGGCTTGCAGCACCTATGCTCCTGAGACCATGATGTTTCTGGTAGTCCCATATCACTTAACTCACTCATTTACTTGAGAGATGAGCTTCTGTTACAGATATTGGCTCAGAAATGAATCTTTGAGGCCAGGCAAGGTGGCTCACACCTGTAATCCCAACATTTTGGGAGGACGAAGCGGGCAGATCACGAGGTCAGGAGTTCGAGACCAGCCTGACCAATATGGTGAAACCCCTATCTGTAATAAAAATACAAAAAAATTACCCAGGCATAGCCAGGTGCAGTGGCTCACGCCTGTAATCCCAGCACTTTGGGAGGCCAAGGCGGGAGTATCACGAGGTCAGCAATGAGTTCAAGACCAGCCTGACCAACATGGTGAAACCCCGTCTCTACTAAAAATACCAAAATTACCAAAATTAGCCGGGCGTGGTGGCACGCACCTGTATTCCCAGCTACGCAGGAGGCTGAGGCAGTAGAATCGCTTGAACCCAGGAGGTGGAGTTTGCAGTGAGCCAAGATCGTGCCATTGCACTCCAGCCTGCGCAATAGAGGGAGACTCTGTCTCAAAAAAAAAAAAAAGAAAGAAAGAAATTACCCAGGCATGGTGGCAGGTGCCTGTAATCCCAGCTACCTGGGAGGCTGAGGGAGGAGAATCACTTGAACCCAGGAGGCGGAGGTTGCAGTGAGCTGAGATCATGCCACTGCACACCAGCCTGGGCAACAGAGTGCCACTCTATCTCAAAAAAAAAAAAAAAAAAAGAAATTAATCTCTGAAACATGAGATTTACAGATGTATTTCATCCGGATTAAACATGTATTACAGCCCTTCCCATACATATCAATATATTTTTTCTCTTTCCAAGCATTATTGGTCTCTTAATGGTTCTATTATCTGGTGATTAGAAGCATAAGTATTTATAGTTATACAATAATTGCAGATATTTATTAACCCAATCAAAAAGTAAATATAGGAAAATGTATTATTTCATTCCTTAAAACAATATTTTATAAAGAAAGAAAAGAAAGATGAAGGAAGGGAGGGAAGAAGATATTCATTGTCTTAGGGCATCTGCTGGTTTTCTCTAGTATCTCCTTGACTTAGAACATGAACCAATATTTGTTTTTCTTGTCATATTGTCAGGCATATATTGGCACTAGCCACCTATTAAAATATTCTTTAATGATTACTTACTTTGTGTATTTAAAAAGATCCATTTAAGGAGGATGGAAGCATATATTTGAGTCAGCTTCATTTTGGGGAGGTGGCAAGTGGTAGAAAACTGTTGACTCTCAAGTGATCATCAATGGCTGCTATTATCATTTTTCTTTTACTGTATTTACTGTTTGTATTTCTAAGTCAGAGAGATCGTCAGGTAAAATAATGTATATGTTTCCCTATCCTCATTCTCTTTCTTCTTTTTTGGCAAATGTACTCTTAAGAACATCCTCGTTTGGGACCAATTATAAAAAACCTTTACTTTTACGTAGTACATGTTTCTCAAGAAACAGTAGGTCACATGAAATAAATTAAAATCCCTAAAAAATATGGCAATTGTTATTCTATAGGATTAATGTCCATTTTAAAGCATTAATATAAACTTAATTAATAATAGTAGGAATGATCAGGTCCTACTACTCATGGATTTCTTTTGAGAGCTTAATTTAAGGAGGGAACCCTCATCTCAGAAAAATTTACATGACTATGTAGAGATATAAATTTACATGTAATTTCAGAATATTCTGAAGTCTTTAAAACTTTATTTAAGAACCTTGCAGTAGTCCCAAAGTAGTTATACTAACTTATAGAAGAAACATCCGTGTTTTTGCTGGAGTGTATATGGACCAGTGATAGGCAAGCACCTAATAGTGCAAAATTTATATCTGAAATGGCATTTGTTCCTTTCCTTCTTACTTTGGCGTCAATGTCTCGTTCATGTTGACTTTTTTAAGCAAAGATCACTTATTCACCTTGGAGTTTTAAGTCATTTATTTCCGATAGCCACAGTTGTTATTGAATTTAGCAAAGCACAAATTGCCCTGTAGAAAAACTGCATGCTGTTTAAGTATTTTAATGTTAAACATTACAGGACAAACCAATTCTTGCTCCCGAACCTCTTGTCATGGATAACCTGGACTCAATTATGGAGCAGCTAAATACTTGGAATTTTCCAATTTTTGATTTAGTGGAAAATATAGGAAGAAAATGTGGCCGTATTCTTAGTCAGGTAAGAAATGCATTCATTCACACTAATTTAAATATAGGAAAAACAGTTCCTTTGTTGCTTAAAGCTCTGTAAATTCTTGACACTTGTGGATAGGTGTTATGTGGAGAAAGGAAGTTTTAGAACACAACATTCTGTAGATTCCTTGCTGTGTGTTAACAAAAGAAACTGGAACTTCAAGTGAGTCGAGTGTCATATTCTACAATTAAAATATGATATATTTTTAAAGACAAAGTAGGTGGGGATAGAGATATATAGACAAGGGACAAACGATCTAGAATTCATAGAATTAAGCAAAAGAAAATCTGACACAAGCCTCTAAAAGAAGAAAACTGCCTATTTAGAGATACTAATTTATTGTCTGTAATTATTTTTGATGACTTTTTAAAAACTTTTGAATATTACAGAGCTTAGGCCTTATCAAAGATAATACATTGTGCCAAAATGTGTTTCCTCCTAGTGTTATGAAAAACACATCACATAGAGTTATAGAATAATACTGTTGCTGCATAACCAGCCTTTGAGTATTGTTTTCTTTAGGCTAGACTACTCTCAAGGCTTTTCACATAAATAATTACTTGTTTTGCTGAAGAAGAAAGAAAACATGTAGAAATTAAGAATTTGAAAATGTTTGTTTTAAACCATAAAACAAAATGATGGATTTGCTGTACTATGGAATAGCTATCGAAATACACACCCTTAATTAAATAAAGAGGATGGTGTGATAATATGTATCAGCTTATCTTCACATGTTTTAGGTGTATTCTTATAAATTTGAATAAGTATCACAGCAGAGATAGTAAAGACCATCAAACTTGTGAATATAAGACTTAGGTAAGAATTCAAGACCCAACCCAGATCTACTGGGGCCACTAACACTTCTCTGCAAAACAATAGAAGAGAAATCACTGAAATGCTGATTTCTATGCAGTGCATCAGAGATGAGCTTTCTTTGGACCACTCAACACATGTCTCAATGTGGAACTTCGTTTGGGGTGAGAATCCTAATCTGTGAAGATTGAAGGGAAAAGATAGCAGGCCTTTCTTCTAGTGTTTGATTCTACAAGCACATATGGCTGTCTAGTCTAGGGGTACACTAACATTATTGATGGAATATAAGACACAAAATTCTTACAAAGTCTGTAAAATATTCAATTATTGCCTCTGCTAGACTCTATTCTGTCCATCACCATGTTGAGGAATATAATGGCAGCCCTTGCACTTTGCTAGGAGTTGAGAGTCCTGTTCCTCTTCCCTTCCTTTCTTCTTGGTGCTAAGCAATGTCTCTTACACTAGCTGATCTTCAGGACAGATTTAAGGGTAGCTGTTCAGTCCAATTCACCTTAGCCTCATACTTTAGGGATCCCCCTGGGAGATTGTGTATTTTCTTTCTGAAACCCATGGAAAACTGCAACTTTGAGGGAGTGATCTTTCCTGCAAATAAGCCTGTAACGGTGCCACAGGATGTGGCAATGAGTCAGGAAGCATTTTCTCTCTTGATTTTATTTTTTTGCTAGGGAGTGTGTTCCCTGGTATAGAGAGACACATCTCATCTCATTTTATATTTGATGTATATCTCACAGACTCTCGAAAACTTAATCTTCATAGTAACTTTAGTGCAGGTTTTTTTTTTAAATATGTATCTTATAGAAGAAGAAACTAAGGCTTAAAAGAGGCTATGCTACTCTTCTAAAGTCATATAGTAAATATTCAACCCAGGATTCCAAAGCAGATTTATCCATATCAGAAGCCTAGGGCTTTTACATTCATTCAATTGCTTCTCATATCTTCATAAAACACCTTGACTTATTATATCTTCAAGTTCTCCAAATGAGGATTCATACCTAGTAGAAAAGTGGTTATGATAGCAGTCAGTTTTACAGCACAAATGACAGCATACAGAATTTCATTACAGGTACCAACCACTCCCTTGAAGTTCTGTGAGCTGGGAATGGGAGAAAACAATTTGACCAAAATTGCTACAAAATATTTTCTAAGAGTCATGGATACCAGTAGACAATAAAAAGATTAAGGATAATTAACAATTAGATCCATGCAAAATTCAATAATGTATCTTTTGTTCCAATCATGTTCCAAAAACAGAGTAATATATTGATATATGATCCTTATTAGTCACTGTTTATGTTCCTAATTTCCCAGACATTAAACTTTGAACAAATGTAGTTTCATATGACTTGCTAAGTAGAACTTTTTGGGATTTTTCCTTTTATTTGAGTTTATAAGAACAAAAATCATGAAATTTTCATTATGGAAAATATGTATATATTTTTGCCATAGTGAGACTTTAGGACAGCTGAAATGAATTAATGTGAACATTCCAATAAATCACCTTTTGGCTGAGACTAAATGGAAAAAGTCTCATTTCAAAAGATTTTTAAGGAGACATGTGCAATGGAAATAAGTTCTCAGTTTCAATATACAGCCTGCCTTTTGATGACTATCATTTTAACCAACTTAAAAGGACACCCTTCAGATTTTGAAAAGGCATTTAATGTTTTCCGTTACCGATATTTACCTAGTTTCACCACTGTTCTCTTTATGTCTGACATACACATAGGGATGTTTCATAAGGCTTTGTCTTCTTTTACAGGTATCTTACAGACTTTTTGAAGACATGGGCCTCTTTGAAGCTTTTAAAATTCCAATTAGGGAATTTATGAATTATTTTCATGCTTTGGAGATTGGATATAGGGATATTCCTTGTAAGTATATGTGATTTGTGAAATAATACTTTTAAAATATGTCGAATTTGCTGTGGGTAAATGGGATAGTGAATCATTAGCAGGTAGCACAGAATTACACATGGTAGACGCTCAATATGGAGACATCATATGGTGATTAGGAAATATCGCCTGTGTGTTAGAATCCTGGCCCCTTTACTTTTCAGCTGTGTGAGACCCTAGGGTTTACTTAAGCTCTACATGCCTCATTTCTTAGTTCATAAAATGAGAATTATAGTACCTGATTCATATGATTGTTAGGATCAAATAAGATTATAATTTTAAAGAGGTTATTTTAGTGCCTAGCACACAGTAAGTCTGACATAAGTCCACTTTAATATGGCTATTTTTTGGAAATAAATAAATACTAAATTTATTGCCCATTTAATAACCCATCCCTTTTATTGGGTAAATTCAACTTTTGTTGTGGCATCTGAAGAGTTAAGTCACTATATATGTTTTCTCCACGTAAGATAAAGTTGGCTGGCGTTTAGAGGGACAGGAGGATGATGGTCTGATGAATAAAATAGAAAAGACATATGGAAGTGGTTATGGAAAAATGATAAGAAACACTTAAAAAATCAGGTAAATGGAAAGACCCAAGGAAAACACACAATCAAGTATTCAAGCTTTGAGTCTTGTGGGAATAAGTTTCCCATTTATAACAACAAGAAATCGGAACACAGAGGAGATGTTAAATTTTCATTATGTAGCATTTCAGGAATCATCGATTATAACACATAAGTAAAATGGTCCTATAGTGCTACGAAATATATGGTTTGGGAGACAGTGTCTATAGGTCGAAACAGGGAAATTGTGGAGATGTTCAAAAATCATGTAACACATGAAGGAAATAAATATATAGAAAGAAAAATAATCAAACATAATATATTGATCGGAACATGTCTTGGAAATATGTTATTTAAATCATATTTTAGCTTTTAAGCTTTTAAAAGTTTTAAAAGCTTTTATATTTGCTTATGCACCTCAGACTTCAGAGTCCCATAACTTTTTCGTAATTGTAAAGAGCTGAAATTACATTAAAAAATAATTAATACTAATAAAACACAAGTATTTCCAGGAAGGGGTATCACATCAACTTAGGGATTTATTATGAGCATATTTATTGTTTTCAAAATCCCATCCACCTGCTACATTGGAATGAATATACACAGCTGTTAGTGTATCATAGAAAAAGAGAATGAAAAACTGAATCTACAAGTGAGATTTTCTGAAGAATGTGGGACCAAAATACAGACAGAGTAAGGCAGTTGGAGTACGGGAAAGAGGAGCTCAACAGTACCAGGGCCCCTGGGAACATCTGGCTGACAAATCCATGGAAGTTGGAAGAGAAACATGAAAAAAGGGGTAGTTGGAAAGGATCTCAAGATAAGCCTTGCTTTCTTAATACAGTTTTCCCAGGGCCCACCCTGGTTGGATGCCAGTGATTGACCTAAGTGTTCACGATTTCTCGAAGGTCAAGGAGTTATATAAATAAACTTTTATAGAAAGGAAGACACTAAAAACACTAAGGAACAGCTAATCACTAGACTGAATTTCCAAATTCATGTTATATTTTCAAATGTATTTTAATGATGTAATTAGCCATAGCAAAGTTCCACTGAGTTCAAATTGATACTAAACTCCATAGACATAACTACCAACTTTTTCACAGGTGGTATATCATTAAATCATAGTTGAAAGATGGCAAATGTTTAAGTACAAAAATAAGTTTTCAGATTCTAAGATTTATTATTCACTTTTATATTTTCTTATTACATTTTTATATGTTACAAGTAATAGATATTTTTTACCCCTGAAATAGTGGGTTCTTTATTCCAGGTGAAAAGAACTTGTTGTAATAAACCTGCTTGTTCTATTAGAAGTCCCAGATAGTCTCCATAAAGGGAATTTATTTACATCTTCTCATAGGAAAGCTCTAGCTTCATTTGTGATCACTTTTATCTAATAATATTTCATATGTGCTGAGATTGTAAATTAATATGAATATTTATTAAAATCTTCACTTATCATTAGTTATAATCAGCACATACAAAAATTTGCTGTATACCTACTTGTTTTAATATTTATTTTGGACTATATTTCTAATGGTCCTATCTAAATAAATCCTTAGTTGAAAAGAAGCATAAGAGGAACCAAAGTTAAAATGGGGTTGGTTTAACTTTAATATGATAATGTGTGCAAATATTAGAAACTAAATTTCTTATTATAGTTCTAAGTGTACCTTTAACGGTTTTCAAGAAAAGAGGGTAAGTAGGAAAGCTTTTAAATTTGTAATTAGAATCCTTACAAAAATTGAAGAATCTAGATTTAAACAGAGAATTAAAGTAATTTCATGGTAGTAGCAATAGAAAGACAAGAAATATGGTCAACTCAATAATATAAATGTGATAAAAATGTATTTGTTCAATCAAACTTAGGATAAATTAATGTATGGTGAATACCCAATTGCATAAGGAGATAAATAATGTTTGGTGTCATTCATAGTCCCTTTCAGTTGGGCATTTTACTTAATAAAAAATCCATTCATATTCATTCATCGATCCAGTTATTTTTGAAGGTAGTTTTTATTTTCAAAGAGTTTCCTCTCTAAAGCATATTCTCCCTAACACCTCTCATTCTGATTTAAGTTTGAGAAGTGGGGAGAATGCCTCAGAAGTACCTGTGATCATGTAGCTATTTCATGGCAGCAATGAGAATAGTCCTGCTCAACCTATATTTAGTTCAGTTCAATTCAGCTGTACATGATGTGCCCACTGATTTTAAAGCTAGATATTGAAGTGACATGGTACATGCTAGAGGGGCAGAACTACCAGAGTATTAACTATATTCCAAAAGAAAAAAAAATATTTAAAGTGTTACCTCTATTCTTTATTACTTCTTCTTACCCTATGGTGCATAGGAGCATAGACAAAATTTTAAATACAAAATATATAAATTTGGATCTTAAAATCTGTGAATTTACATACAACTCCAACCCTCCATACCAGCTCACTTCAACTCTGTGCTTGAGGGAAAAGGAGAAAGTTGAGAAAACAAGTGTATCAAGACGGAAGAGGGAGATGGGCGGACTCTGGGAAAGAGGTAGGGTGTACCATGTGCTAGTGTATGCATGTGCGTCTATATGTTATTAAAGAGGGCGAGGGGGTTGCCACATGAGTGAAGGTGTCATCGAGAAGGCTAGGGGTTTGTCCAAAATGCAGAGATGAAGGAAGAAGTATGATGAGAATAAGGATAAAATAAGGATAGCTCTGATAGCATTTCTTATCCTTCTCAGTTGCCTACCCTGGCCAGAAGAAGAAGAGGAATCTTTGAGCATTTTTATGTATTACATAGAAACCTGTCAGTAACTTACATTGACCTTGCTAGCTTCTTTCCTGGGTGTCTTTGCTCCTGGGTTGGGTTACCAGAGAATTAATGACAAGAACAATGGAGATGCCAGCACTTGGCATAATACTGAGTACATGCTAAGTGAATATTTGATTAATAAACATGTCACTGACTGCTAACAGGACAGATGGTTTTCTATTCTTCAATCTAAGTGATTGATGACAGTATTATTCTCCTACACATACACACATATAACTAGATGTATATGTTTAGATAAGCAGCTGGATTTGGTTAGTGATTTTTTTTTTATTTAGTACTTTTAAACCTGTACTCGAAAGCAAAAGGAACATGTTTAAATATACATACTGTCTTTACCTCGTTTTTAAATCAAGATTGTACCAGCCTCATAAAATGAGTTTGGCAGCTTTTCTTCTTGTATTTTCGGCACTAGATTATTTACTTAGGATTAATTGCTTGTTGAAAGTTTGTTTTTTGTTTTTTTGTTTTTTTAAAATAAAACATTACCTATAAAGTTTTCTGGGCCTGGGCCTTGGGGTGGGGGACAGGGTGGATTAGAGCTCAAAAGGATTAGAGCTCAAAAGCTGCAAGTTCACCTGGAATAGATGTTATCAATTCCTTACCCCAAACAGGCTCTGCCAACACTGTGATACTGCCCCCCATCCACCTCCGTACTGCTATGCTCATGCACAGGTTTCTCTGACTTGCAACAATAATAGTAACTACTGGCATATAGTAATCTTCCCAGCTTGCAACAGGAGAAGATAATTTAAGAAGCTGGCTTCCAACATATCTCCCAAAAGTGGAACCCTACTCCCAGACTGCCATTTTCCTACCATAACAGGTCATTACTATCTTCTACCGATGGAGGCAGAAGATATTTTATTTTATTCTTACAAATCCAGCATTGATTCTGGGAGAAAGCTGGTGATCTATACTAGTTCTGTCTTGTTCTACAGCAGCAATTTATTTTACATGAATAATGTTTACACAAATTACAAATTCACCGTGTATCTGGCCCTTTAAAATATATTTCCTAATGTAATTGTCACAATTGTACCATGAATTTGGCAATATTATTCCCGTATTTTTAAGATAAATAAGACTTTTTACTCTGTCTTATTTTTAAGATAAGGAAGTGGATTTTAAGTAACTCACCCAAGTTAGCATGGATAATATTATAGCAGAGGTAAAAGCACACCTGTCCCAAATCCAGAAAATTCTAGTATGATCAATTTCATAAATAGCCCAAGTACAGACATAAAATATGATCGTAATTCTCTTGCCTGTGAATTATTTGTAAATGTAATGGGCTCATATCACTGGAGATGGGCTATACTCAGGGATATAGATGTCAATCTTAATGAAATTGCTCTTTCAAGTACCATATAATATTATTACTCATATTTACGATTGACACAGGTATACAAGTTTTGCTATTTTCTCCTCAGGAGGCTAGGATTTGAGCCTCCTCCTCCTCCTCCTTCCCCTCCTCCTCCTCCTCCTCCCCCTCCTCCCCCTCTTCCCCCTCTTCCTCTTCTTCCTTCTTTTTTTTTTTTTTTTGGATACAGTTTTACTCTTTCACCCAGGCTGGAGTGCAGTGGCGCAGTCTCAGCTCACTGCAACCTCCACCTCCTGGGTTCAAGCGATTCTCCTGCCTCAGCCTCCCGAGTAGCTGGGATTACAGGTGCCCACCACCACGCTCGGCTAATTTTTGTATTTTTGGTATAGACGGGATTTTACCATGTTGGCCAGGCTGAACTTGAGCTCCTGACTTCAAATGATCCACTCACCTCAGCCTCCCAAAATGCTGGAATTACAGGCATGAGCCACTGCACCTGGCCAGAGTTGAGTTTCTTTAAGCTCTTCTGATGAGATCTTTTCAAACCCACATCCAGGCCTTTCCACTGAATTTCTAGGGTGTTTACCTAAGATTTAGCTGCATATTGTCACTTAAAGACTGATTCCTAATGGCTGCCAGAAATTTAACACCTACCCAGGTGCTACAATTGCCACATTGACCATAGGTTTCCTCTTTCTTCTCTGACTAGGGAATAGGTGTTTCTCTCATATTCTCATTGTCATTCTTGTTCTCTCCTGTTTCTCTCTTCTCCTTATTTTAAGTATTATGAAGAAATGTAATCTCTTATACTAGAGAAGGAAACAGTATCATGGTTGGTTAGCAGAAATACAATATATAAAGTATAGGTATTTACAATATGTAAATACAATAGAATAAAGCATACTAATCAGTGAAGTATTATGAGGGGTCTGATAAACAAAAAACTTGGAAGAATTGCACAGAAAAGGAAGGTGAGCCAAGAGCACACTGGGCACGTGGTTATGGTTTGAAAGAAGTTGAACTGCACATGTGGAGTATGACCCCCTTCCCTTGATGATGGCATTATGACCAGATGGCATTATCTGGTTAATGGCATCATCAACCAGATGATGGCATTATCTGGTTTTCCTGTAGGTTTTAACTCTTCTAAATGGCTTAGCTTCCTACATTATTATACAAGAGGCTTTTCTTTTTCTTTTTAAGTATTTCTTAGAACTATATTCTGAAATTAGAATTTCTAGATCAGAGAATATAATTGATTGTGGCTTTGAATTTTGCTTGTGGATGAAATCTACATATAAAAGATATGTTATTGCAGTGCTTTAAGATTGATACAGAAAAATGGTATTATGTTCTATTCCCAGATTATTTTTGAGTACCATCTATCAGAGATGAAATATTATGTCTCATCTAGTTGAAGTATGTCATAGCTATTACATTTATTCTCATTCTCTGCATAGTTTTATGCAGGAGCATGAAAATAAGTACCAGAGTAAACATTACACTTTTTTCACACAGTATGTTTCCTATATACATAGTTTGTAGTCGACTGTTGACACAGATTTTTCCACTTCAGATACCTGCATGCATAATAAATGTTACAAGTAAGGTTTTTTTCTTGTTACGATGGATGTTATGGAGTTATGGAAGAGTAATCAAATAATATTTGTCCTAGAAAGTTTGGCCAACTTTCATGGAAATAGTAAAATGTTAGGACTAAACTGTTTGTCCAGTAGATGGCACTCTTAGTTCTTGGACCCCAAAGTTCATAAACTGATGACTGTTCCTGTTCACTGGTTACAGATCATAACAGAATCCATGCCACTGATGTTTTACATGCTGTTTGGTATCTTACTACACAGCCTATTCCAGGCCTCTCAACTGTGATTAATGATCATGGTTCAACCAGTGATTCAGGTATGTACGAAGTGAATCTGCACTGCCTTATGAAAGATGGGAACAAGGGTGTTTTTGTTTTTGTTTTTTTTCAAAAAGAAAGAAGTCAAGACAAATAATGTCAGTACTTTTTTAAAAACTTCTTTGACTCTCATTTTCTCTTCTCAGATTCTGACAGTGGATTTACACATGGACATATGGGATATGTATTCTCAAAAACGTATAATGTGACAGATGATAAATACGGATGTCTGTCTGGGAATATCCCTGCCTTGGAGTTGATGGCGCTGTATGTGGCTGCAGCCATGCACGATTATGATCATCCAGGAAGGACTAATGCTTTCCTGGTTGCAACTAGTGCTCCTCAGGTAAATCTTTAGATTTTGGTTAGGAGAACTAATTTAAAGATTTCTCAAGAAAGTGAAGTTCAGTGTGATTTATAACAGGCACCAAGTTAATATAAGCCAAACTATACATAGTCTTACGTTGAAATTCTCAGAGACCGTGCTAATTCTGAAAAGAAGCCATGGATTCTTCCAAGATTCTAATAGCAGGTATACAACTTTATTATCCATGGGAATCATTTCTCAGTTTTCTTCTTAGGAAGAAAACCTACTTGAATTCATGTTAATGGACCTCTTTAACAAACAAAAGGCAACCTATACAAAAGCCCCTTTCTGAAAAGATTAGAGAACCAAGCATTTCTTGGACTTTTAAGAATGTAAGGTTTCTTTGTATATAAATACCATTCCTTTGAAATATATTCAATATAACAATTATGATTCTTATGACATTATCTATAGGTTGGTAGGATTTTAATATCAATTTATTTCATTGGAGGATTTTTTATTTTTTTTGCCTAAACATAGATTCCAAAAACAGTGAATAAATTTAAAGTTCATCTTGGTGTATAGTTCTAAGTAAAAAATTCATCACTAAGTATGTAGACATACCCATTTATACAATCAAATTTAGCCCCTCATTTATTTAATTAGCTGAACCCAAGTTGCTAAACATTCTGAGATCCTCTGTTCTTCTACAAGATCTAGAGGCCAATTTCATTCAATATTGACTTTTCTGTTTTCTTCTTTGCCTCTTCTATCCCATTGCTGTTCATTTCCACAGCTCATCTTATAGGCTATTCTATAGTTTTTCTTGAATCTATATACAATAAAAATTATCTGATAATTTTTTCTTGACTATCTACCTTCTTTCCACTTGTCTTTCATACACCAGAATTATTTTTTCTAAATATAGGCAAAAATCCACTGGCCAGGATAATTTACCATTCAGATTATTTTACACGTCTACATTTTTATATACCTCTATGTTAATATTCTGTGCTTAGTGTTTTCTTTTTGTCCTATGTCTTTTTATTTCTCCATAGGCTATCTTGCACACTAGTGTTCAGGCATTTTGTAGGCAGCTTCCCTTTTTAAAAAAAAATTCTCTAATAAAACTTCTCTCTGCATTATTAGAGAATTTCAAACAAGTAAATGTCATTTTATGTCTCCGAATACTAGATAAAAGGTGATATTTCCTGTGGAGTGGAGTGAGAATGTTTTAAGTCATGGACATTTTGGGTATTCCATTCATCTTTAATAGCTGTATGTGTTTAAGAGGAGATAATGCTTATGCCAGATAGAGAAAGTAACCTAGTTACCTCTTGAGGTATTGTGGCATTGGTATAATTATATATTATATTTATATTTACATATATATGTAAATATAATTTTTTTCTTTTTTCTTTCTCCCTCCTCTTTTCTATTTGTATATAATTTTTATGTTTAAATTCCTGTACCCTACAAAGAAATCTAAAGAAAAAATCTTTTAAAAAATATCTATTAAGATAGGCGAGTGCCCCCTCAAAAGAGTTTGGACTAAGTTTTCAAGGAAAGGAATTTATCTTACAAAAAGTGGAAATTTAACCAAGAAAAATAATAGAGTCATTGTACAGTAATAAGTGATTCTTAATAAGCAGGAGTTACGTGATTACATTTCTTTGTTGTATGAATAAAAAGCAATTTCAAAAGCATTGCATATTCTCATGATTTTTGTGATTATTTTCTTAAAAAGTTGAACTCTTAACTGTCTTATTTGCCTAGGCGGTGCTATATAACGATCGTTCAGTTTTGGAGAATCATCACGCAGCTGCTGCATGGAATCTTTTCATGTCCCGGCCAGAGTATAACTTCTTAATTAACCTTGACCATGTGGAATTTAAGCATTTCCGTTTCCTTGTCATTGAAGCAATTTTGGCCACTGACCTGAAGAAACACTTTGACTTCGTAGCCAAATTTAATGGCAAGGTAAATAGAGCTGTACCCAGTTTTCTTTTCTTTTTCTTTTTTTTTTTTTTTTGAGACAGAGTCTTGCTCTGTCGCCCAGACTGGAGTGCAGTGGCACGATCTTGGCTCACTGCAGCCTCTGCCTCCTGGGTTCAAGTGATTCTCCTGCCTCAACGTCCCGAGTAGCTGGGATTACAGGCTCATGCCACCACGCCTGCCTAATTTTTGTATTTTT
Source organism: Homo sapiens (assembly GCF_000001405.40). Classification (NCBI taxonomy): domain Eukaryota; kingdom Metazoa; phylum Chordata; class Mammalia; order Primates; family Hominidae; genus Homo; species Homo sapiens. Next base: position 20,649,106 of record NC_000012.12, read on the forward strand.
TTTTTTTAGTAGAGATGGGGTTTCACCATGTTGGCCAGGCTGCTCTCAAACTCCTGACCTCATGATCCACCCGCCTCGGCCTCCCAAAGTGCTGGGATTACAGGTGTGAGGCACCGTGCCCGGCTGCATCAGTCTTCATTTTATAGACACATTGAAAGATATCATGGAAGCAAACTGTTGAACAAAACATGTTACTATGAACTCCCATATTTCAAATGTGAAAATGGAATACAATAAAATGTTTAACCAGAAGCAGACATATAGGTATTGATCTGAATCTAGATGCCCAAGAAGCTGAGATGCTGTCTCTATAGATTCTACTCTGTGCTACAGAGGAATAACACATTCTGTCATTGTGGTTTTTGTTTGATTTAATTTGTTTTCATCTCTACGGTATATTTGTATAAATTATCTGGCAGCAGTACAGATCAAAAACTTGAAGCAGAATTTTATACCTCAAAAGTAAATGCCCAAATATTAAGTTATGACAATTTTTTATGAACTGTAACTATATTATTTTAATAGTAATTGATAATAAGGCCAAGCACAATGGCTCACGCCTATAATCTCAACACTTTGGGAGGCCGAGGTGGGTGGATCACTTGAGGCCAGGAGTTCGAGACCAGTCTGGCTAATATGGCGAAACACCATCCCTACTAAAAATACAAAAATTGGCCAGGTGTGGTGGCGCACCCCTGTAGTCCTACCTACTTGCGGGGGCTGAGGCAGGAAGATTGCTTGAACCCAGGAGGTGGAGGTTGCACTGAGCCAAGACTGGACCATGACACTCCAGCCTGAGAGAGAGGGCAAGACTCTGTCTCAAAAAAAGAAAAGAGAAGTAATTGATTATATATGCCAATTTAAAAAAGCATTTGTTGCTAATTCAATAATTAATGATTTTTAAAATTTTCATTTTTGTAGGTACATGGTAGGTATATATATTTATGGGTTACATTAATAAATTCATATAATGTATAATAATCACAACAGAGTAAATGGGGTATCTGTCACCTCAAACATTTATCCATTGTGTTACAAACAATCCAGTTATACTCTTTTAGTTATTTTAAAATGTATAATTCAATTATTTTTGACACACTCACCCTGTCACCCATTATTATAATTTTATCCATAATTCGTTATTTTACTTTTTTTGTGAACTATTTTTACCATTAATTTACACAGCCAATAACATTTTTAAGTAGCTAGAGGTTCCCAATTATTTGGTATTATGATCCCTATATAATATGAAGACAATAAATGTTCTATTGTTTTTCTCTTCTATTCAACTTTTGTTTTTATCAAAGCAAAACATATATTAACTTTATCTCTCAAATAGGTAAATGATGATGTTGGAATAGATTGGACCAATGAAAATGATCGTCTACTGGTTTGTCAAATGTGTATAAAGTTGGCTGATATCAATGGTCCAGCTAAATGTAAAGAACTCCATCTTCAGTGGACAGATGGTATTGTCAATGAATTTTATGAACAGGTAACTGACCACTGTTTAATACAGCTTAATCTGTACTTACAGGTTGCTCATGAATTGCTCAAAGCTTCTAACAGCTATGAAAGTATGATCACTCTATTTTATATTCATACTTTTGTCAGAAAATGCACTGGTCAATTTTGATCAGGAGACAAAAAGTGACGTATAAAAATTGGACTAAAATATAATCATAGAACTCTATGATAAAAGTTATTTGCAAGCATTTGGGGGAAGAAGATATTGAGATAGTGGAAGTCAGATGTTAGGAAGATCCTTGAAATACTGTTTTTTTATAGATTTATTTATTATCATAGAAGGTAGTTTAAATGTATATGGAGTAGCTTGTATGTATATGGTAGTTTAAATGTATATGCATATCACATTAATTTCACTTACTTTCCTAAAAAATTTATTTATTATCATAGAAGGTAGTTTAAATGTACATGGAATAGTTTATATGTATATGTATATGGTAGTTCGAATGTATCTGTATATTAGATTAACTTCACTTTTGTAAAAAAATTAATAAGAGCATTATGTGAAAAAGCTAAAAAGAAATAGACATTTCATTTGACATGATAACTAAGAGTTAACAGACTACTCAGAAAGCTACCACAATTACATAAGCTGGGGGTGATCCTCCTGACATTACCCTACACCCATCAGAATGCACTTGAACCTTCCTGTTTGGCACTGTGAACCACTCTTAAAAAGAATGTGGAGGTGAAGGAGCATGCATAAAGGACAGGAATAAGTGACAGAAAAGCATGTGGAAAAAAATGAAGGTATTTACTCTTGGGGAAATATAACTGTCTTCAGATATTTAAAAGAGTGACATACTAATTTAGAAATCGGTTAATCAACATTGCTGTGGAGATTAAAGAAGATAAATTATATAACATACTTAGCACAGGATCTGATTCATAAAAAAAGTTAGATCCCTCTCTACTGCCCTAAAAAAGGTATGAATATACCAGTCTATAGAAGTTATTGGGAGGTAGTGTTCAGGTCAATGTCAGAAAGAAATTTATATTGCTAAAGGTATCCAAAAAATAGGCTGAGACACCATATTAATGGTAATAAATTGACTGTCATTGGACATGTTTAAACAAGAGATTAGAATGAAATTTTATGGTTACTATAGGTAGGATTCATATATAGAATGAAAGATTTTTTTTATTTTATTATACTTTAAGTTTTAGGGTACATGTGCACAACGTGCAGGTTTGTTACATATATATACATGTGCCCTGTTGGTGTGCTGCGCCCATTAACTCATCATTTAGCATTAGATATATCTCCTAATGCTATCCCTCCCTCCTCCCCCCACCCCACAACAGTCCCCAGTGTGTGATGTTCCCCTTCCTCTGTCCATGTGTTCTCATTGTTCAGTTCCCACCTATGAGTGAGAACATGCGGTGTTTGGTTTTTTGTCCTTGCGATAGTTTGCTGAGAATGATGGTTTCCAGTTTCATCCATGTCCCTACAAAGGACATGAACTCATCCTTTTTTATGGCTGCATAGTATTCCATGGTGTATATGTGCCACATTTTCTTAATCCAGTCTATCATTGTTGGACATTTGGGTTGGTTCCAAGTCTTTGCTATTGTGAATAGTGCCTCAATAAACATACATGTGCATGTGTCTTTATAGCAGCATGATTTGTAGTCCTTTGGGTATATACCCAGTAATGGGATGGCTGGGTCAAATGGTATTTCTAGTTCTAGATCCCTGAGGAATAGCCACACTGACTTCCACAGTTGTTGAACTAGTTTACAGTCCCACCAACAGTGTAAAAGTGTTCCTATTTCTCCACATCCTCTCCAGCACCTGTTGTTTCCTGACTTTTTAATGATTGCCATTCTAACTGGTGTGAGATGGTATCTCGTTGTGGTTTTGATTTGCATTTCACTGATGGCCAGTGATGATGAGCATTTTTTCATGTGTCTTTTGGCTGCATAAATGTCTTCTTTTGAGAAGTGTCTGTTCATATCCTTCACCCACTTTTTGATGGGGTTGTTTGTTTTTTTCTTGTAAATTTGTTTGAGTTCATTGTAGATTCTGGATATTAGCCCTTTGTCAGATGAGTAGGTTGCAAAAATTTTCTCCTAAAACCATAAAAACCCTAGAAGAAAACCTAGGCAATACCATTCAGGACATAGGCATGGGCAAGGACTTCATGTCTAAAACACCAAAAGCAATGGCAACAAAAACCAAAATTGACAAATGGGGATCTCATCAAACTAAAGAGCTTCTGCACAGCAAAAGAAACTACCATCAGAGTGAACAGGCAACCTACAGAATGGGAGAAAGTTTTGTGTTTTTAAAACATCATGAAATCATGTATTGCCTTTCCTAAGAATGGGATTAATTCATAAATCTCGAAATATGGAAATGCAGAAAAATGTAAATTAAAGGGAAAATTCATGTATAATAATACCACTTCTTAGGCATAATTGTTGCTGATATTTTGGGATATTTCCTTTATTAATTTTGCTAGATAACTGCTGGTTAAAAATCTCCCTTTTTTCCTCAGAAACATTTGAAGCACTTCAAAATAAAACATTTGTACAGTAATATTATTAAACATATAGATAAATAAGAATATCAGAAACCACACAATCACAGGAGATATATTAAAATTCAAACAAAATCTGGGATAAGGTAACCCCTTGAATTGAGCAATAAATTCTTTAAAGCTTTCTGGAAGCCAAAGCAAAAAAAGGAAAATAGGCTACATTTATATATTTTTAAAAAAATTGTTCTCACTATTGCATTTTTTTTTTTGAGATGGAGTCTCACTCTGTCACCCTGGAATGCAGTGGCACGATCTCAGCTCACCGCAACCTCCGCCTCCTGGGTTCAAGTGATTCTCCTGCCTCAGCCTCCCAAGTAGCTGGGATTACAGGCACCTGCCACTACACCCAGCTAATTTTTTGTATTTTTAATAGAGACGGAGTTTCACCATGTTGGCCAGGCTGGTCTCGATTTGCCCACTTTGGCATCCCAAAGTGCTGGGATTACAGGCGTGAGCCACCACGCCCAGCCTCACCATTGCATTTTCGTGCATTTATATTCTCATATAAAAGACACTGACTTGTGTGATTAAAATATCATCTACTTATACATTAGAATTTAGACTTTCTGTATTTCTCCTTGATAAAAAGCAAAAACCTCAAGTTCAGAAAAGTACTAATTAGCAACAGTGTTTCTATAGGAACCTTAGCACTTGAGGTAGGATCCTTTAGCTGTCAAGTAAAGAAGTTTGTGCATTAATGCCTGGGGTTTTACATATTTACAAATTTCAGATGCCAGGTGAATGTTGACTTCACTTGTATTTTATTTCTAGGGTGATGAAGAGGCCAGCCTTGGATTACCCATAAGCCCCTTCATGGATCGTTCTGCTCCTCAGCTGGCCAACCTTCAGGAATCCTTCATCTCTCACATTGTGGGGCCTCTGTGCAACTCCTATGATTCAGCAGGACTAATGCCTGGAAAATGGGTGGAAGACAGCGATGAGTCAGGAGATACTGATGACCCAGAAGAAGAGGAGGAAGAAGCACCAGCACCAAATGAAGAGGAAACCTGTGAAAATAATGAATCTCCAAGTAAGTTCTAAAACCTAGTTCTAATGTGTTTTCCCTGGGATTGCTTTCTTACTTTAGATGAATTTTATGCTTCTTATGAAATACACAATACTTCAAGTCTAAACATCATTTGCGGAGTTTGACTACGGATAGCTCCCTTCCCCAATATCATAATAATAGAAATCCCAGACTATGGAATCTATAATAATAACACATATGATACAAAGATATCTTCTCCGTCATGAAGTCATGAAGTTAGAAAAAAATAATAATAAGGAGTTGAAGCCTATTCTTCAGGGTATCTGGTTTTTTGTTTGTTTTTTGTTTTTTGAGGCAGAGTCTTGCTCTGTCACCCAGGCTGGCGTGCAGTGGCACGATCTCGGCTCACTGCAAGCTCCGCCTCCCAGGTTCATGCCATTCTCCTGCCTCAGCCTCCTGAGTAGCTGGGACTACAGGTGCGCAACACTACACCCGGCTTTTTTTTTTTTTTTTTTTTTTTTTGTATTTTGAGTAGAGATCGGGTTTCACCATGTTAGCCAGGATGGTCTCGATCTCCTGACCTTGTGATCTGCCTGCCTCGACCTCCCAAAGTGCTGGGATTACAGGCGTGAGCCACCGCGCCCAGCTGCTTCAGGTTATGTTAGCGATTTAAAAGTGAAAGAATTTCAGTTACCATAAAGACCAGTCATAGGTTTTTATTGGCTTGGTTAGGGGAACTCCATGTGAATAGATAGGAGGTAGTATTCATTTGTTCATTCAACAGACATTTATTGAGCATCTGCTCTGTGCCAGGTATCCTTCCAGGTACTAGAGATAGAGTTGTGGGGAAAAAAAGACAAAAAATAAAATAAAATCCTTGCCCTTATAGAAGTACATTCTAGTGGGATCAGTAGACAATAAGCAAAACAAGTGAGTATATCTATAGTATGTTAAATACAGTATTATTTACTGTAGTGATAAATGCTGAGAAATATGAGAGTAAAAATAAAAGGAGGGAGATATGAAATATTATAGAGATAGGTTAAAATTTTAGGTAAGATATCCAGGGATAGGAAAGATGTAAAGCAGGGAAAGATTTGTAAAAAGAAAAAGAAAAGACCTGCAAGAAGCAAGGGAGTGCTCCCTGGGGCTGTATGTGGAAAGAGGATTCCAAAGAGAGGAGAAAGCAACCTGTGCAAAGGTCCGGGGATGTACATTGGGTGGGGTGTTCAGGGAGCAGCAGGAGAACTGGGATAGCTGGAGCAGCAAGACAGAGGCAGCCGGGAACGAACTGTCCAAGGGAGAGAATACAGTCATGGGTTCTTAGTTGCTGTTTCTGGTTGGGCCAGTAAAGCCCCTTCCTCATCCCACTGTTCTGCTTATCACTAGAGACAGAAACTAAAAACCATGGTTTCAGGTGCTAAAAGCCTAAAACAAAACAAAACAGAAGAACAGCAACAACAAATAAGTCAGCCTGGACAAGCTTGGAAGGTGGGACTCTGTAGGTCACGGTAAGTGTTGTGGCTTTTACTCTGAGTAAGATGGGAAATCGTCAGTGGTTTTGAACGGAAGAGTTAGTAGACTCAACTTACATTTTAACTGGACTGCTTCAGCTGCTCTATTGAGAATATGCTTGGGGTTGAGAAGGGAGCAAGGATAGACATAGGGCGGTCAGTTAGGAGACCATTGAAATTATCCAAGTGAGAGATGCCTGTGACTTTGAACCAGGGCAGTAGCAACAGTGACAGTGACAACCTATCACATGTGATAATTGGCTGGAGTGCATCATGTGGCCAATCTAACCTATTTAGCTTAATTGACTATGAAATCATTTTTATTTATGCCTCTAAAGCTACTCTCCTATTTATCCTGTCATGAAACAAATAGTGACTAATAGCATAATTAGTAAAAATCCATGACCCTTGCAATGATATTGCACAAATACTGCTCCTAAGAACATAGTATGTGATTTCTGTCTACCTTTACAGATAAAGTACAATCTTAATATCCTCAAGGTTCTTACCAAAAATACAACCAGTGAAAGACATTCTGATCATTTCGTGCCTATTTTTATCACAGTCAGGATAATGCACAACTTGGTTCATTCCAACCATCTTGTAAGGAGATTAACCTTCTACTGATCCATTTTGCTCTCATATAAGCACCTTGTTGTAGGCACACATAAGCAAACATAAAGAAGTCCTTATCAATTATGAACTTATGAAGTAAAATTTTGCAAATTGAGTTTTAGATCAGATCTGGCCTGTTAATTACTTTTTGTAGAATGGGGGAAAATTAAAGTTGTTTTTCTTCAATATGCTACTGTCAAAGTAATTATATTTCATTTATCTGATGCAAATAAAAAGACTTCCATTAGAAAATTTGTACTAATCTTGAGATTCAGAGCTAGAAGCCAAGACTTGGAATTCATGGGTTATTCATTCATTTTTTTCACTTAATAAACATGTATTAGTTTTCTCTTTTTGTTTGTTTTCATTTCAAAGAGCCAGGTAGTTTGCTGTCTTACTAAGAATAAGACAGTTTTTCCACTGAATGAAGGTATTGTCAGCTTAGCCTCTGGAAAAGCTTTGTTCCCAGGGGCCCTGACTTACTGCTCTTTGAACTCAAACACATGGAAAATACAGACGCACAGATCCAGGCATTGGGAATTGAAGGACCCAGGCCAGGAGACTTAACAGGCTCAACTTGTCAACCTAGCCTTTAGCAGCAAATGCTACAACCACATATTCCATTTCTTTCTGTTCTGTAGGGTTGGGTTGTCATACCTTCCAGTTTTTATCAAGTTCACTAAAGCAGGAATGAGAGACTTTTTGGGTTCTGTTTGCTCATGCCTTCCAAAAGTTAACTGACCACATTATATTACAATTTAAAAATATCCCATCCACAATGATTTGATACTGTAGCTTTGGAAATATTATCTTTAAAGTATTTCTTTACAACCAAGAAAATGATAAATATGGAGCAACATTAGTATTTACCAAATATTGGCCACATAGAGTAACAGAATTTTAGAAATGAAGGGGGAATCAATGCTTATCAGTTAGCTGCCTCACTTTACATATATTAAACTAAGGCTCAGAAATTTAAATGACATTGCAAGGTTGTAGAACCAGAAAGGGAACCTAGGTCTCTTAATTTTTAACTTCAATGCTTTTGGCTCTCAGTAATGTTAATATCAGAATTCATACTGGCTAAAATGGTTACCTTGACTTTGCCTAATACTTAGGTTTCAGAAAAAAATAAATATGCACAGATAACTTCTGTAGTTTGTAAAACTTGGAGATGTCCCAGGAAACAGAATAAAATGTTTCAATATGGTATCCTAGGAAAAGAAGGTTTTTATCCCACCTTATAATTAAATCTGAAAGATTCCTACAGTGAACTAAGAGGTTCCTAATGAAGTACTAAGCTGCATTTAGAATTGGAGCAATGAAAGGCTCTTTGTTCTCCTTTCAAAAGGTTCCAGTACAGAACAATTTGGCTCCCAATACAGGCATGTTTTAGACCACCTGCAGGCTCTAATCTACGCAAATTTATTTGGTACAAACTTTCTTCTACGTCACCTTCTTATTCAGTATAATTCCAGAGAGGTTTATTGCTAACATTTAACAGTATTAATAAGAGAACAGTTGCTCTCATGGGGACTGCCCTGGAAGGAAAAAAGAGGAAAATTGAGCTTTTGTTAGCTTCTTCCCTATGAATGCACTGCCATCAATGTGTATAACTTTAAGATGAAATAATCACCTTAAACTGAAGAGTGTTTGCTACAACTGTGATTCAAACCTGTCCTTCAGACAGGGGTCCTCTGTAACTCTCTTGATTCAAAGGATTAGCTTAAAAAGTATATTAACATTTAAACATTTCTCAACAGAATTTGATTTATAACAAAAACGAAGTAGAAATAGACAAGTAGAGATAGAAGAGTAATTTTTAATTTGCTTTAAAAAATCTGATGTATTAATGTATTTTATTGACTTTCATAGAAAGAATTCAAATTTATTTAAATTTCAATTGTATCTACTGCCCTTGTTAGGAGGCTTTCAAATGGAAGAATTGATATAAGGGGTCTTGGCCTGTGCCCCATACACTTTTGCCTATGTCCCAGTTCTTCAAACTTTGCTTGGAATACTGCTAGCTCCTTTTCACCCAGTGTTATTTAATTCTCATTACTTACATCCAGCCCAGGTACCAGGTCCTTTAAAAAAAAAATTCTACCTAATTTTCCACAGTTTGTGTCATTTGTGTTGCCATGGTTTGATGTATCAAAGAGAAATTGCACCAGACATTTGTTAAAAATGGCAACGAAGGCGTTATTCAAGACTACTGTAATAGGGGAGACAGATTGAACTCTGTTGAAGCAAAAGGTGGGAGAATTGTTCAATGCTGCTGTGAGCTAGTGAAAAAGTGCTGGAGGATGTTATGTGAGCATTGGTTAGTATGATTAAGCCACCTGTTAATTGGTACTTACTAAAGTTAGGCTCCTACCTCCCAACAGAGACTAGGAGATAGGCCTGCCTGCTGGCCTACCTTTCTTCTTTCCTTCCATCCTTCCTTCCTTCATTTAAATCTTTTTTAAATTTTAAAATTTAAATTTTATTTTGTAAGACTGCAAAGCTAATTAGAGGCTGGGAGAAGATTTATCTATATTCCAGAGGGGCAGAGAAAGAATTTGCTATTACAGGTTTTCTAAAGTAAATGTTCTAACAAGAGGGAGGTCAGGGGCCTATAGTCTAGAAGTCTAAAATAGTGTCAAACTGAGAGAAATGGCAAGCCCATCTTGGTCACAAGAATATGTCTGTCATAAAACATAGCACATGTATTTCAGTTTTTGTCTTCTTGGCACTCTCTCTTACAGAGAGACTGTAAACTCCTTTAAGGCAAGATCTGAGCTTAATTGATCTGTGTTTCCAAAGTATCCTGGAAAGTATTTGCCAGTTAGTTTGAGTCCATCTCATGAAGAAATTATGAATATCATAATTTTTTTTTCCTTTTGACTCTGCCTGTGTTCATTTCCCTCAGCACTCATTCAATTTAATAATTGTCATTCTGTGTCTATATGGTTCAAAATTAATTCAAGATAATTTAATGTCCTTTTTATTCACTGTGTTTTAAAAATTAATTTTATTCTGTACAGTACAAGAAATTTCTGCAGTATATCAAAATAAAACTGTTAAAAGAATGACTAGCCCTTCCACAAAGATGTTGGCAGATGACCTCCAAGTTTCTTTGTCACCCCCATAGAAATTGGCTTTTTTTCTTTCATTATTGTGCTATTATTAAGACTTTTCTTTTTTTTCTTGCTCCCAGAGTAAGTCATATCTACTTCATTAAATAGACCCAAATATCCCTTTTGATCTTCCTGCTAACTTGTACTGTTTTTTTTAATTGTTTATTTACTTTTGTAGAGACAGCAGTCTCACTTTATTTATTTCTGTAGAAACAGGACCTCACTATGTTTCCCAGGCTGGTTTGGAACCCCTGACGTCAAGTGATCCTCTTGCTTCAGCCTCCCAAGTAGCTAAGATTACAGGCAGCATGAGCCACCATAGCCAGCATGAACTATTAACTCTTTAATGCAGTCTCAATTAGATCAGCATCTCCTGTAGACCACTTTTTCGTATTAGTTTTATTTTTACCACTTATCAATACTTCATCATTTACCTGGAAATGTGGAACAAAAACTAGAGAGAAAATTATTCATTTAGTAAACTTTTACTGAATGCTTTAGTAAAGTCTAGGTCTTCACAGATATTACATATACACAAAAGTAAAGAGAAAAGTCCATATACCAGGTGATATGGTTTGGCTGTGTTCCCACCCAACCCTCATCTTGAATTGTAGTTCCCATAATCCCCATGTGTCGTGGGAGGGACCTGGTGGGAGGTAATCGAATCATAAGGGGAGTTACCCCCATGCTACTGTTCTCATGACAGTGAGTGACTTGTCACAAGATTTGCTGGTTTTATAAGAGGCTTTTCCCCCTTTCCTTGGCACTTCTCTCTTTGTATGACCATGTGAAGAAGGATGTTTGCTTCCCCTTCCACCATGATTATAATTTCCTGAGGCCTCCATAGCCCTGTCAGTCAATTAAATCTCTTTTCTTTGTAAATTACTCAGTCTTGGGAGTTCTTTATAGCAGTGTGAAAATGGACTAATACAGTAAGTTGGTACCAGAAGTGGGGTGCTGATATAAAGATACCCAAAATTGTGGAAGCAACTTTGGAACACAGTAACAGGCAGAGATTGGAACAGTTTGGAGGGCTCAGAAGAAGACAGGAAAATGACAGAAAGTTTGGAACTTCCTGGAGATTGGAGGGTCATATGGTTTGGCTGTGTCTCCACCCAAATCTAATCTTAAATTCCCATGTGTTGTGGAGGGACCCGGTGGGAGATAATTGTATCATCATGGCAAGTCTTTTCTATGCTGTTCTCGTGATAGTGAATAAGTCTCACAAGATCTAATGGTTTTAAAAAGAGGAGTTCCTTTGCACAAGTTCTCTTTTTGGCTGCTGCCATCCATGTAAGATGTGAGTTGCTTCTCCTTGCCTTCCTGTATGATTGTGAGGCTTCCTGAGCAACATGGAACTGTGAGTGAGTGCTCAATTAAACCTCTTTCCTTTGTAAATTGCCCAGTCTCAGGTATGTCTTTGTCAGCTGCATGGAAATGGACGAATACAGTAAATTGGTACTGGTAGAGTTGGGTGCTGCTGAAAAGACAACCAAGAATGTGGAAACGACTTTGGAACTGGGTAACAGGAAGAGGTTGGAACAGTTTGGAGGGCTCAGAAGAAAAAAGAAAATGTGAGAAAGTTAGTTTGGAATTTTCTAGAGACTTGTTGAATGGCTTTGACAAAAAATGCTGATAGTGATATGAACAATGAAGTCCAGGCTGAGGTGGTCTCAGATGGAGATGAGGAACTTGTCGAGAACTGGAGCAAATGTGACTCTTGTTCTGTTTTAGCAAAGAGACTGGCAGCATTATCCCCCTGCCCTAGAGATTTGTGGAACTTTGAACTTCAGAGAGATGATTTACGGTATCTGGTGGGAGAAATTTCTAAGCAGCAAAGCATTCAAAGGCAACTTGGGTGCTCTTAAAGGCATTCCATTTTATAAGGGAAGCAGAACATAAAAATTCAGAAAATTTGCAGTCTGGCAATGCAATAGAAAAGAAAATCCCATTTTGTGAGGATAAATCCAAGCGAGCTGCAGAAATTTGCATAAGTAATGAGGAGCCAACTGTTAATCCCCAAGACAATGGGGAAAATGTCTCCAGTATATGTCAGAGGTCTTCATGGCAGCCCCTCCCATCACAGGCCTAGGGGCCTAGGAGGAAAAAGTGGTTTAATGGGCTGGGTTCAGGGTCCCTGAGCAGTGTGCAGCCTAGGGACTTGGTTCCCTGCATCCCAACCACTCCAGTTGTCACTGAAAGAGGCCAAGGTACAGCTTGGGCTGTTGCTTGAGAGGGTGGACGCCTCAAGCCTTGGCACCTTCCATGTGGTGTTGAGCCTGTGAGTAAACAGAAGTAAAGAACTGAGGTTTGGGAACCTCTGCCTATATTTCAGAGGGTGTACGGAAATGCTTGGATGATCAGGCAGAAGTTTGCTGCAGGGGTGGGGCAGTCATGCAGAACCTCTGCTAGGGCAGTGTGGAAGGGAAATGTAGGGTCAGAGCTACCACACAGAGTTACTACTGGGGCAGTGCCTAATGGAACTGTGAGAAGAGAGCCACTGTCCTCCAGACCCCAGAATGGTAGATCCACCAACAGCTGGCACCATGTGCCTGGAAAAGCCACAGACACTCAATGCCAGCCCATGAAAGCATCCATGAGGGAGGCTGTACCCTGTAAAGCCACAGGGGCAGAGCTGCCCAACACTATAGGATGCCCCTCTTTGCCTTCCACCATGCTTGTCAGGTCTCTCCAGCCATGTGAAACTGTAAGTCCAATAAACTTCTTTCTTTTGTAAATTGCCCGGTCTTGGGTATGTCTTTATCAGTAGCATGAAAACGGACTAATATGGAGGACTCAGAAGACAGGAAAATATAGGAAAGTTTGGAACTTCTAGAGACTTGTTGAATGGCACTGACCAAAATGCTGATAGTGATATGGACAATAAACTCCAGGCTGAGGTGGTCTCAGATAAAGATGAGGAACTTGTTGAGAACTGGAGTAAAAGTCACTCTTGTTTTGCTTACCCTGCAGAGCCACAGGGGCAAAGCTGCCCAAGAACACCTCCTGCATCATTTTGACCTGGATGTGAGACATGGAGTCAAAGGAGATCAGTTTTGAACTTTAAGGTTTAATGACTGCCCTATTGAATTTTAGACTTGCATGGGGCCTGTAGCGCCTTTGTTTCAGCAAGGAAACTGGTGGCATTTTGCTCTAGCCCTAGAGATCTGTGAAACTTTGAACTTGAGGGAGATGATTTAGGGTATCTGGCCGAAGAAATCTCTAAGCAGCAAAGCACTCAAGAGGTGACTTTGGTGCTATTAAAATCTCTCAGTTTTATGTATTCAGAAAGACATGGTTTGGAATTGGAACTTATCTTTAAGAGGGAAGCTGAGCATAAAAATTCAGAAAATTTGCAACCTGAGGATGTGATAGAAAAGAAAAACCCATTTTTTGAGGAGAAACTCAAGTGGGCTGCAGAAAATTTGCATAAGTAACAAGGAGCCAAATGTTAATCACCAAGACAATGGAGAAAATGTCTCCAGGGCATGTCAGAGACCTTAGTGGCAGTCCCTCCTATCATAGACCCAGAGGCCTAGGCAGAAAAAACGATTTCACAGGCCAGGCCCCAGACCCTCTGCTGTGTGCAGCCTAGGGACTTGGTGCCGTGAGTCCCAGCTGTTTCAGCCATGGCAGAAAGGGGCCAATGTACAGCTCAGGTTGTGGCTTCAGAGGGTGCAAGCCCGAAGCCTTGGCAACTTCCATATCATGTTAGGTCTGTGGTGTGCAGAAGACAGAAATTGAGGTCTGGGAACCTCCACCTAGATTAAAGAGGATGTATGGCAATGCCTGGATGTCCTGGCAGAAGTTTGCTACAGGGGTGGAGCCCTCATGGAGAACCTCTGCTAGGGCAGTATGGAAGGGAAATGTGGGGTTGGCGCCACCACACAGAGTTCCTACTGGTGCACTGCACAGTGGAGCTGTAAGAAGAGGGCCATTGTCCTCCAGACCCCGGAATGGTAGATCCACCAACAGCTTGCACTGTGCACCTGGAAAAGCCACAGGCAGTCAATGCCAGCCTGTGAAAGCAGCTGGAGGGGAGGTGCTGTACCCTGCAAAGCCACAGGGGCAAAGCTGCCCAAGGCTGTGGGAGCACACCTCTTGCATCATTTTGACCTGGATATGAGACATGGAGTCAAAGGAGATCATTTTTTAACTTTAAGGTATAACAACTGCCCTTTTGAATTTTAGACTTGCATGGGACGTGTAGCCCCTTTGTTTTGGCAGATTTCTCCCATTTGGAATGATTGTATTTACCCAGTGCCTGTACCATCATTGTATCTGGGAAGTAACTAACTTGCTTTTGATTTTGCAGGTTTATAGGCAGAAAGGACTTGCCTTGTCTCAGATGAGACCTTGGACTTGGACTTTTGGGTTAATGCTGGAATGAGTTAAGACATTGGGGGACTTTTGGAAAGGCAAGATTGTGTTTTGAAATGTGAGGATATTAGTTTTGGGAGAGGTGAGGGGCAGAATAATATGATTTGGCTATGTCACCACCCAAATCTCATCTTGAATTGTAGTTTACATAATCTCCATGTGTTGCGGGAGGGACCCAGTGGGAGGTAATTGAATCATGGGGGTGGTTATTGTCATGCTGCTGTTCTTGTTATAATGAGTTCTTATGAGATCTAATGGTTTTGTAAGGGACTTTTCCCCCTTTGCTTGGCACTTCTCTCTTCCTGCCACCATGTGAATTAAGGACATGTTTGCTTCCCCTTCCACCATGATTATGTTTCCTGAGGCCTCCCCAGCCCTGTGGAACTGTGAGTCAATTAAACCTCTTTCCTTTATAAATTACCCAGTCTTGAGCAGTTTTTTATAGCAGCATGAGAATGGACTAATACACCAGGGAAATTCACAATCTAATGGGAGGATCTTAGCTGAACTTCTGAACTCTTGGCTCAAGTCTAAAATCGTCACTTAGATGAGGGTACTGAGAGTTAAATGATATTCTGGTTGCTTGGAAAAGAACAGACCTCTCTTCTAAGCTGTCTACCAGCTGCCTACTTTACCTCTCTACTCAGAGGTCTTCCAGACACTTCATGTTCAGAATA
The DNA here is from genome assembly GCF_000001405.40 of Homo sapiens. Lineage (NCBI taxonomy): Eukaryota > Metazoa > Chordata > Mammalia > Primates > Hominidae > Homo > Homo sapiens. Next base: position 20,664,469 of record NC_000012.12, read on the forward strand.
CCTCTATTCATTTTCTGCTGATATGGTTTTGCTGTGTCCCCACCCAAATCTCATTTTGAATTGTAGCTCCAATAATTCTCATGTGTTGTGGAAAGGACCCAATGGGAGACACTTGAATCATGAGGGCAGTTTCCCCCATATTGTTCTCCTGGTACTGAATAAGTCATGGATCTGATGATTTTATAAGGGGTTTCCTCTTTTGCTTGACTCTCTCATTCTCTTTTTGCCTGACACCATGTAAGACATGCCTTTTGCCTTCTGCCATGTTTGTGAGACCTCCCCAGCCATGTGGAACTCTTGAGTCCATTAAACCTCTTTTTTCTTTGTAAATTATCCAGTCTCAGGTATGTCTTTATCAGCAGTGTGAAATTGACTAACACACCCTCAAATATACTCCTCATCCAACCTTCCCTTTCTCAGTACATCTTACCAACATACTCAACTGCTCAGGCCAGAAAACAGGGTTGTCTCTGATTCCTCCCTCTTAATTCCCTACCTCTAATCAGTTGCCAAGTCCTGTTGATTCTCCCATACAAATATATCTCATATTTATTGACTTTTCTTCATTTTCATTACCCCTGTCCTAATCCAGTCACCACCTCCATACAATATTGTACCAACTGGGCCATCTCCCTCCCTTTCTGCTGACTTTCAAAGACTCCATAAGACTCAGTATAAATGTACCTGCTTGTTCACTATTTTCCTACTAGAGTAAAAGCCTGCTGCTGGCAAGCATCATATTTATCTTGTCTGTCAGAGGGTCACTAGAACTGAGGACAACATTTTGGTACATATCAGGTGATTCATAAATAGATAAGGAATTTAGAAACCTCAATAGTGAATGCTGACATTAAATAGTCTTCTTTGAAATATATTTTTTTCTGTTTAAATTGGGTTTATTATTTTTCCTCAATTAAAGGATGTAATTCTGTGAAAATTTTTCTTAATATTTGCATGTTGAAAACTTTGAATCATTTGGTCAAAGAAAATGTAATGTATTTCTTTTTTAAATGCATACGTGCTGATGTATAAGATCTGTACAGGTTTGTCCAAGGCTCCCTCACAGACCCTATGGTCTAGAAGAGAAACTATTTGGAATATATGAAAATAAGATTTGAGTTTATTTTTTTTAAGTAGGGTACTCATTTATTCAGATTAATAGACAGAAGCAAATAATTTTCCAAAGTAGATGTAAAAAATGTACATTCCTATAAGCAATATATTAGTTCTAATTGTTAAATTCTTCGTCTACACTTGATTTTTTATAGTCATTTTCATTTTAGCTATTCCAAGTAGGCATAGAGTGCTCTTATGTTATAGTTTTCATTTGCATTTCCCTGTCTTATGTAATATGCAACTTTTTGTATTTTTAATCAATATATATTTGTACATATTTATGTGGGGCACATGATATTTTGCTACATTCATCAAATGTGTAATGATTAAATCAGGATATTTAGAATATCTGTCACCTCGAGTATTTGTCATTTCTTTTTTTTTTTTTTTTTTTTTTGAGACCGAGTCTCAGTCTGTCACCCAGTCTGGAGGGCAGTGGCACATTCTCAGCTCACTGCAAGCTCACTCCGTCTCCTGGGTTGAAGTGATTCTCCTGCCTCAGCCCCCCAAGTAGCTAGGACAGGCATATGCCACCATGCCCGGCTAATTTTTGTATTTTTAGTAGAGATGGGGTTTCACCATGTTGGCCAGGCTGGTCTTAAACTCCTGACCTCAAGTGGTCCATCCGCCTCGGCCTCCCAAAGTGCTGGGATTACAGGCATGAGCCACTGCACCCGGCCATATTTATCATTTCTATGTGTTGGGAAGTCCCCTCTTCCCACTATTTTAAAGTATGCAATACATTATTTTTAACAATAATCACCTTACTCTGCTATCGAAGAACTTATTTATTCTAACTAGTATGTTTGTGCTCATTAATCAATATCTCTTCATTCCTCCTAACCCCCAACCATACACCCTTCTCAGCTTCTGATGTCTGTCATTCTACCCTCACTTCCATGAGATCAACTTTTCTAGCTCCCACATAAGAGTGAGAGCATGAGATATTTGTCTTTATTGCTAGACTTATTTCATTTAACATAATGATCTCCAGTTCCATTAATGATGCTGCAAATGTCATAATTTTATTCTTTTTATGTCTGAATATTATTCCATTGTGTATGTATACCACATTTTCTTTATCCATTCATCAGTTGATGGACACTTAGGTTGATTCCATATCTTTGCTATTGTGAAGACTGCTGCAATAAATATGGGGGTGCAATTATCTTTTTAATATACTAATTTCTTTTCCTTTGATAAATACCCAGTAGTGGGATTGCTAGATCATATGGTAGTTCTCTTTTGAGATTTTGAGAAATCTGCATACTGTTTTCCATAGTGGCTATACCAACTTATATACCTACAAACAGTGTTATGAGTTCCCTTTTCTCCACATCCTTGCCAGCATCTGTTGTTTTTCTGTTTTTAGTAATAGCCATTCTAACTGGGGTAAGATGATATCTCATTGTGGCTTTGATTTGCATATTCCTGGTGATTAGTGATATTGAGCATTTTTTCATATACCTGTTGGCCATTTGTATGTTTTCTTTTCAGAAATGTCTATTCATGTCCTTGCCCACTTTTTAATAGAATTTTTTTGTTTTTGTTTTTTAACTGTTGCTTGATTTTCTTGTATATTCTGGATATTAGTTCCTTGTTGTATGAACAATTTGCATATATTTTCTTCCATTCTATAGATTTTCTCTTCACTATGTTGATTCATTTGCTATACAGAAGGTTTTCGTTTTTAGTTTAGTCCCATTTGTCTGTATTTGTTTTTGTTGCCTGGGTTTTTGAGGTCTTAATCATAATAATCTTTGCTTAGGTCAATGTCCTATAGAACTTCCCTTATGTTGTCTTCTAACAGTTTTATAGTTTTTGGTCTTACTTAAGTCTTTAATCTATCTTGAGTTGATTTTTGTATATAGTGAGAAATGGAGTCTAGTTTCATTCTTCTGCATGTGAATATCCAATTTTCCCAGCACCACTTATTAAAAAAGATGTCCTTTCTTCAATATATGTTCTTGGCACCTTTGTCATAAATCAGTTGGCTATAAATACATGCATTTATTTCTGGAGTCTATGTTTTATTGGTCTATATGTCCATTTATATACTAACACCATGCTGTTTTGTTTACTATACCCTTGAAGCATATTTTGAAGTCAGGTAGTGTGGTGCCTCCATCTTTGTTCTTTTCGTTCAGGATTGCTTTGGCTACTCAAGCTCTTTTTTGGTTCCATAGAGATTTTGGAATTGTTTTTCCTGTTTTTCTGAATAATGTATTGGTATTTTAAAAATAAAGATTGCGGGGGAGGAGCCAAGATGGCCGAACAGGAACAGCTCCGGTCTACAGCTCCCAGCGTGGTGGATGCAGAAGATGGTGATTTCTGCATTTCCATCTGAGGTACCGGGTTCATCTCTCTAGGGAGTGCGAGACAGTGGGCGCAGGTCAGTGGGTGCGCGCACCGTGCGCGAGCCAAAGCAGGGCGAGGCATTGCCTCACTTGGGAAACGCAAGGGGTCAGGGAGTTCCCTTTCCCAGTCAAAGAAAGGGGTGACAGATGGCACCTGGAAAATCAGGTCACTCCCACCTGAATACTGCGCTTTTCCGACGGGCTTAAAAAACGGCGCACCATGAGATTATATCCCGCACCTGGCTTGGAGGGTCCTACGCCCACAGAGTCTCGCTGATTGCTAGCACAGCAGTCTGAGATCAAACTGCAAGGCGGCAGTGAGGCTGGGGGAGGGGCGCCCGCCATTGCCCAGGCTTGATTAGGTAAACAAAGCAGCCAGGAAGCTCGAACTGGGTGGAGCCCACCACAGCTCAAGGAGGCCTGCCTGCCTCTGTAGGCTCCACCTCTGGGGGCAGGGCACAGACAAACAAAAAGACAGCAGTAACCTCTGCAGACTTAAATGTCCCTGTCTGACAGCTTTGAAGAGAGCAGTGGTTCTCCCAGCATGCAGCTGGAGATCTGAGAACAGGCAGACTGCCTCCTCAAGTGGGTCCCTGACCCCTGACCCCTGAGCAGCCTAACTGGGAGGCACCCCCCAGTAGAGGAACACTGACACCTCACATGGCAGGGTACTCCAACAGACCTGCAGCTGAGGGTCCTGTCTGTTAGAAGGAAAACTAACAAACAGAAAGGACATCCACACCAAAAACCCATCTGTACATCACCATCATCAAAGACCAAAAGTAGATAAAACCACAAAGATGGGGAAAAAACAGAACAGAAAAACTGGAAACTCTAAAAAGCAGAGCACCAATCCTCCTCCAAAGGAACGCAGTTCCTCACCAGCAACGGAACAAAGCTAGATGGAGAATGACTTTGACGAGCTGAGAGAAGAAGGCTTCAGACGATCAAATTACTCCGAGCTACGGGAGGACATTCAAACCAAAGGCAAAGAAGTTGAAAACTTTGAAAAAAATTTAGAAGAATGTATAACTAGAATAACCAATACAGAGAAGTGCTTAAAGGAGCTGATGGAGCTGAAAACCAAGGCTCGAGAACTACGTGAAGAATGCAGAAGCCTCAGGAGCCGATGTGATCAACTGGAAGAAACGGTATCAGCGATGGAAGATGAAATGAATGAAATGAAGCGAGAAGGGAAGTGTAGAGAAAAAAGAATAAAAAGAAACGAGCAAAGCCTCCAAGAAATATGGGACTATGTGAAAAGACCAAATCTACGTCTGATTGGTGTACCTGAAAGTGATGGGGAGAATGGAACCAAGTTGGAAAACATGCTGCAGGATATTATCCAGGAGAACTTCCCCAATCTAGCAAGGCAGGCCAACGTTCAGATTCAGGAAATACAGAGAACACCACAAAGATACTCCTCAAGAAGAGCAACTCCAAGACACATAATTGTCAGATTCACCAAAGTTGAAATGAAGGAAAAAATGTTAAGGGCAGCCAGAGAGAAAGGTCGGGTTACCCTCAAAGGGAAGCCCATCAGACTAACAGCAGATCTCTCGGCAGAAACCCTACAAGCCAGAAGAGAGTGGGGGCCAATATTCAACATTCTTAAAGAAAAGAATTTCCAACCCAGAATTTCATATCCAGCCAAACTAAGCTTCATAAGCGAAGGAGAAATAAAATACTTTACAGACAAGCAAATGCTGAGAGATTTTGTCACCACCAGGCCTGCCCTAAAAGAGCTCCTGAAGGAAGCACTAAACATGGAAAGGAACAACCAGTACCAGCTGCTGCAAAATCATGCCAAGATGTAAAGACCATCGAGACTAGGAAGAAACTACATAAACTAACGAGCAAAATAACCAGCTAACATCATAATGACAGGATCAAATTCACACATAACAATATTAACTTTAAATGTAAATGGACTAAATGCTCCAATTAAAAGACACAGACTGGCAAATTGGATAAAGAGTCAAGACCAATCAGTGTGCTGTATTCAGGAAACCCATCTCACGTGCAGACACACATAGGCTCAAAATAAAAGGATGGAGGCAGATCTACCAAGCAAATGGAAAACAAAAAAAGGCAGGGATTGCAATCCTAGTCTCTGATAAAACAGACTTTAAACCAACAAAGATCAAAAGAGACAAAGAAGGCCATTACATAATGGTAAAGGGATCAATTCAACAAGAAGAGCTAACTATCCTAAATATATATGCACCCAATAAAGGAGCACCAAGATTCATAAAGCAAGTCCTGAGTGACCTACAAAGAGACTTAGACTCCCACACATTAATAATGGGAGACTTTAACACCCCACTGTCAACATTAGACAGATCAACGAGACAGAAAGTCAACAAGGATACCCAGGAATTGAACTCAGCTCTGCACCAAGCGGACCTAATAGACATCTACAGAACTCTCCACCCCAAATCAATAGAATATACATTTTTTTCAGCACCACACCACACCTATTCCAAAATTGACCACATAATTGGAAGTAAAGCTCTCCTCAGCAAATGTAAAAGGACAGAAATTATAACAAACTATCTCTCAGACCACAGTGCAATCCAGCTAGAACTCAGGATTAAGAATCTCACTCAAAACTGCTCAACTGCATGGAAACTGAACAACCTGCTCCTGAATGACTACTGGGTACATAACGAAATGAAGGCAGAAATAAAGATGTTCTTTGAAACCAAGGAGAACAAAGACACAACATACCAGAATCTCTGGGACGCATTCAAAGCAGTGTGTAGAGGGAAATTTATAGCACTAAATGCCCACAAGAGAAAGCAGGAAAGATCCAAAATTGACACCCTAACATCACAATTAAAAGAACTAGAAAAGCAAGAGCAAACACATTCAAAAGCTAGCAGAAGGCAAGAAATAACTAAGATCAGAGCAGAACTGAAGGAAATAGAGACACAAAAAACCCTTCAAAAAATTAATGAATCCAGGAGCTGGTTTTTTGAAAGGATCAACAAAATTGATAGACCACTAGCAAGACTAATAAAGAAAAAAAGAGAGAAGAATCAAATAGACGCAATAAAATATGATAAAGGGGATATCACCACCGATCCCACAGAAATACGCACTACCATCAGAGAATACTACAAACACCTCTACGCAAATAAACTAGAAAATCTAGAAGAAATGGATAAATTCCTCGACACATACACTCTCCCAAGACTAAACCAGGAAGAAGTTGAATCTCTGAATAGACCAATAACAGGATCTGAAATTGTGGCAATAATCAATAGTTTACCAACAAAAAAGAGTCCAGGACCAGATGGATTCACAGCTGAATTCTACCAGAGGTACAAGGAGGAACTGGTACCATTCCTTCTGAAACTATTCCAATCAATAGAAAAACAGGGAATCCTCCCTAACTCATTTTATGAGGCTAGCATCATCCTGATACCGAAGCCAGGCAGAGACACAACAAAAAAAGATAATTTTAGACCAATATCCTTGATGAACATTGATGCAAAAATCCTCAATAAAATACTGGCAAACTGAATCCAGCAGCACATCAAAAAGCTTATCCACAATGATCAAGTGGGCTTCATCCCTGGGATGCAAGGCTGGTTCAATATACGCAAATCAATAAATGTAATCCAGCATATAAACAGAGCCAAAGACAAAAACCAAATGATTATCTCAATAGATGCAGAAAAAGCCTTTGACAAAATTCAACAACCCTTCATGCTAAAAACTCTCAATAAATTAGGTATTGATGGGACATATTTCAAAATAATAAGAGCTATCTATGACAAACCCACAGCCAATATCATACTGAATGGGCAAAAACTGGAAGCATTCCCTTTGAAAACTGGCACAAGACAGGGATGCCCTCTCTCACCACTCCTATTCAACATAGTGTTGGAAGTTCTGGCCAAGGCAATTAGGCAGGAGAAGGAAATAAAGGGTATTCAATTAGGAAAAGAGGAAGTCAAATTGTCCCTGTTTGCAGATGACATGATTGTATATCTAGAAAACCCCATTGTCTCAGCCCAAAATCTCCTTAAGCTGATAAGCAACTTCAGCAAAGTCTCAGGATACAAAATCAATGTACAAAAATCACAAGCATTCTTATACACCAACAGACAAATAGAGAGCCAAATCATGAGTGAACTCCCATTCACAATTGCTTCAAAGAGAATAAAATACCTAGGAATCCAACTTACAAGGGATGTGAAGGACCTCTTCAAGGAGAACTACAAACCACTGCTCAAGGAAATAAAAGAGGATAAAAACAAATGGAAGAACATTCCATGCTCATGGGTAGGAAGAATCAATATCGTGAAAATGGCCATACTGCCCAAGGTAATTTACAGATTCAATGCCATCCCCATCAAGCTACCAATGCCTTTCTTCACAGAATTGGAAAAAACTACTTTAAAGTTCATATGGAACCAAAAAAGAGCCCGCATCGCCAAGTCAATCCTAAGCCAAAAGAACAAAGGCTGGAGGCATCACACTACCTGACTTCAAACTATACTACAAGGCTAGAGTAACCAAAACAGCATGGTACTGGTACCAAAACAGAGATATACAAGAATGGAACAGAACAGAGCCCTCAGAAATAACGCTGCATATCTACAACTATCTGATCTTTGACAAACCTGAGAAAAACAAGCAATGGGGAAAGGATTCCCTATTTAATAAATGGTGCTGGGAAAACTGGCTAGCCATATGTAGAAAGCTGAAACTGGATCCCTTCCTTACACCTTATACAAAAATCAATTCAAGATGGATTAAAGACTTAAACGTTAGACCTAAAACCATAAAAACCCTAGAAGAAAACCTAGGCATTACCATTCAGGACATAGGCATGGGCAAGGACTTCATGTCTAAAACACCAAAAGCAATGGCAACAAAAGACAAAATTGACAAATGGGATCTAATTAAACTAAAGAGCTTCTGCACAGCAAAAGAAACTACCATCAGAGTGAACAGGCAACCTACAAAATGGGAGAAAATTTTCACAACCTACTCATCTGACAAAGGGCTAATATCCAGAATCTACAATGAACTCATACAAATTTACAAGAAAAAAACAAACAACCCCATCAAAAAGTGGGCGAAGGACATGAACAGACACTTTTCAAAAGAAGACATTTATGCAGCCAAAAAACACATGAAAAAATGCTCATCATCACTGGCCATCAGAGAAATGCAAATCAAAACCACAATGAGACACCATCTCACACCATTTAGAATGGCAATCATTAAAAAGTCAGGAAACCACAGGTACTGGAAAGGATGTGGAGAAATAGGAACACTTTTACACTGTTGGTGGGACTGTAAACTAGTTCAACCATTGTGGAAGTCAGTGTGGCGATTCCTCAGGGATCTAGAACTGGAAATACCATTTGACCCAGCCATCCCATTACTGGGTATATACCCAAAGGACTATAAATCATGCTGCTATAAAGACACATGCACACGTATGTTTATTGCGGCATTATTCACAATAGCAAAGACTTGGAACCAACCCAAATGTCCAACAATGATAGACTGGATTAAGAAAATGTGGCACATATACACCATGGAATACTATGCAGCCATAAAAAATGATGAGTTCATGTCCTTTGTAGGGACATGGATGAAATTGGAAAACATCATTCTCAGTAAACTATTGCAAGAACAAAAAACCAAAGACCGCATATTCTCACTCATAGGTGGGAATTGAACAATGAGAACACATGGACACAGGAAGGGGAATATCACACTGGGGACTGTTGTGGGGTGGGGGGAGGGGGGAGGGATAGCATTGGGAGATATACCTAATGCTAGATGACGAGTTAGTGGGTGCAGTGCACCAGCATGGCACATGTATACATATGTAACTAACCTGCACAATGTGCACATGTACCCTAAAACTTAAAGTATAATAAAAATAAAAATAAAAAAAATAAAAATAAAAATAAAGATTGCACTGAATCCATACATTGCTTGGGTAGAATGGTCATTTTAACAATATTAATACTTCAGATCCATGATCATGGGATGTCTTTGCATTCGTGTGTGTTGTCTTCAACGTGTTTCATCAGATTTTTGTAGTTTTCCATGTAGAGGTCTTTATCCATCTTGGTTAAATTTATTTCTAATTTTTTATAGCTATTGTAAAAGGGATTGCCTTCTTAATTTCTTTGTCAGCTAGTTCATCATTGGTATATAGAAATACTACTGATTTTTTTGTATATTGATTTTTGTATCCTGCAACTTTACTCAATTTATTTATCAGATCTAAGAGTTTTTTGATGGAGTCTATGTTTTTCTAGATATAGGATTATGTCATCTACAAAGAGGGACAATTTGACTTCCTCTTTTCCAGTTTGGATGCCTGATTGTTCTGAGTAGGACTTCTAGTACAATTTTGAATAGCAGCAGTGATAGTGAGCACCTTGTCCTTTTCTAGTTCTTAGAGGAAAGGCTTTCAACTTTCCACATTCAATATGATATTAGCTGTGGTTTTATTATGTGTGGTGTTTATTATGTTGAGGCATGTTCCTTCCTAGTATTTTTAGTTTTTATCATGAAGTGATGTTGAATTTTATCAAATGCTTTTTCTGCATATATTGAGAGGATAGATGCAAAAAAGCATTTTTATGCGAAGTCACCCAGTACTGAACTTTTTATTGTTGGGAGTCTTTATTGCTGATTTAATCTGATTACTTATTATTGGTCTATTTAGGTTTTCTATTTCTTCCTGATTCAATCTTGGTATATGTGTCCAGGAATTTATCCATTTCATCTAGGTTTTCTAGTTTGCTAATACATACTTGTTCAAAATAGTCTCTGATACTTTTGTATTTCTGTGCTATCAGTTATAATGTCTCCTTTTTCATTTCTGATTTTATTTTTGGAGGTCTTCTCATTTTTCTTGGTTAGTCTAGCTAGTGGCTTATTCATTTTGTTTATCTTTTCAAAAAACCAACTTTTGTTTCCTTGACACATTGTACTTTTTAAATTTTTATTTTATTTAGTTCTCTTATCTTTATTATTTCTTTTATTCTACTACTTTGTGGCCTAGTTAGTTATTGCTTCTCAAGTTCCTTGAGGTGCATTATTAGGTTGCTTATTTGAAACATTTTTAGTTTTTTGTTGTTGATATTTATTGTGTTAAACTTCCTTTTGACTACTACTTTGTGTTGTTTCCATTTTCATTTGTTTCAAGAAATTTATTGATTTATTCCTTAATTATCTCTTTGACCCAAAGGTCATTCAGAGACATTTTTTTTAATTTTCATGTATTTATACAGTTTCCAAAGTTTCTTTTGTTATTGATTTCTAGTTTTATTCATTGTGGTCTGAGAAGAAACTTGATATAATTTAGATTTTTAAAAAATGTTTTGAGACTTATTTTGTATCCTAGCATCTGGTCTATCCTGGAGAATAGTTCCATGTGCTGACAATGAGTACTCTGCAGCTGTTCAACAAAATGTTCTGTAAATATCTGTGAAGTCCATTGGCCTAAAATGCAGTTTAAATCCAACGTTTATTTATTAATTTTCTGTCTAGATGAGCTGTCTGGTTCTGAGAGTGGGATGTTGAATTCCTCAACTATTTTTGTGTTGAAGTGTCTCTCTCCCTTTAGATCTATTAATGTTTGCTTTGCATATATCTGGGTGTGATACTGCTTCTCAGCCTTTTGGCTAAGATCAGGTTTAGTATCTGGTTGCTCTGGTATTGGTGCATATATGTTTAGAACTATTCTATCCTCTTACTGAATTGATCTCGTTGTCATTATATAATGACTGTGTCTTCTTTTTACTGTTTTGACTTAATTTCTGTTTCATCTAATATAAGTATAGCTACTCTTGCTTTTTTGCTTTTGTTTGCATGAAGTATATTTTTCTGTCTTTCACTTCTAGTCTATATCTGTCTTTTCTATCTTTTACTTCTAGTCTGTATCTGTGTACAGGTGAGATGAGCTTCTTAGCACATAATTAAGTCATGTTCTTTAATCAATTCACCCATTCTATGTCTTGTGAATGGAAATCTTAGTCTGTTTACACCCAAGGTGATTATCGATATCTGAGTCTTCATTCCTGTCATTTTGTTAATTGATTTATAATTGTTATGTATATCTTTTGTTCCTTTCTCTCTCTCTCTCTCTGTCTTATTGTTTATCATTGCAGTTGGGTGGTTTTCTGTAGTGCTAACATTTGATTCCTTTCATTTCCTTATTTGTGTTTGCTCTACCAGTGGGTTTTATACTTTCAAGTGTTTTCATAATGATAGATATCATCCTTTTGCTTTCACATGTCAGCCTCCCTGAGGTATTTCTTGTAGTGCTGGTCTAGTGGTGATGAATTCTCTGAGCTTTGCTTCTGTGAGAAAAGACTTTATTTTTCCTTCATTTATAAAGGACAACTTGGCTGGGTATATGGTTTTTTCTTTCAGTGACTTGAATATATTATCCCATTATCTCCTGGACTGAATGATTTCTGCTGAGAAATCTGTTAGTCTGATTGGAGTTTCCTTATAAGTTACTAGATACTTTTCTTTTGCTGTTTTTAGAACTCTCTATGTCTTTGACTTTTTTTTTTTTTTTTTTTGAGATGGAGTCTCGCTCTGTCCCCCATGCTGGAGTGCAGTGGCGTGATCTCAGCTCACTGCAAGCTCCGCCTCCTGGGTTCACACCATTCTCCTGCCTCAGCCTCCCGAGTAGCTGGGACTACAGGCACACGCCACCATGCCTGGCTAATTTTTTGTATTTTTAGTAGAGATGGAGTTTCACCGTGTTAGGCAGGATTGTCTCGATCTCCTGACCTCGTGATCTGCCTGTCTTGGCCTCCGAAAGTGCTGGGATTACAGGCGTGAGCCACCGCACCCAGCCATCTTTGACTTTTGAAAGTTTGGCTACAATGCACCACGGGGAGGACCTTGAATTTTATTTGTGTGAGTTTCTCTGAGCTTCCTGCATCTAGATGTCTAAATCTCTTTTTGTTAGACTTGGGAAGTTTTCACCTATAATTTTGTTAAACAGGTTTTCTGTCCCTTTTATTTTCTTTTCACCTTCTGGGACACTGAAAATTCAAATATGTCATGCAAGCTTTGTTCATTATTATTATTTTTTATGTTTTTAGTGTTCATCTGACTGGGTTATGTCAAAAGACCTGTCTTCAAATTCTGATTCTTTCTTCAACTTGATATAGTCTATTGTTAAAACTTTTGAATGTATTTTGTATTTCTTTCAATGAATTCTTCATTCCAGAGTTTGTCTTTGGTTCTTTGTTTTTATACCTGTCTCTTTAGTAAATTTCTCATTCATATTATGAATTGTTTTTCTGAGTTGTAGTCTATCTCACTGAGATAGGCTTTAATATTGTTATTTTGAATTATCTGGGATTTCAAAAAATTCTTATTCATTGGAATCTGTTGCTGGAGGATTATTTTGTTCATTTGGAGGTGTCATATTTTCTTGCTTTTTCACATCTCTTGTGTCTTTGCAGTGGTATCTGTGTATCTGGTGTAGCAGTTGCTTGTTCTAATTTTTTTTTCTTTTCTTTTTATTTGAGACAGAGTCTCGCTCTGTCACCCAGGCTGGAGTGCAGTGGCACCATCTTGGCTTACTGCAACCTCCGCCTCCCGGGTTCAAGCAATTCTCCTGCCTCAGCCTTCCAAGTAGCTGGGATTACAGGTGCCCGCCACCATGCCTGGCTAATTTTTTGTATTTTTAGTAGAGACGGGGTTTTACCATGTTAGCCAGGATGGTCTCAATCTCCAGACCTCGTGATCTGCCTGTCTCAGCCTTCCAAAGTGCTGAGATTACAGCCGATTTATTAAATTATCTTTTGTCAGGGAAACTTTTTCTTGAAGGTGTATCTATGCTGCCAGTTGGGTAAAGTTCCTTGGCTTTTGATTTTGGGTGCAGGCAGTAGCATAGTCTCTATGATTTATTTGACTGTAAACAGTATCAGTAGTATCTATGATTCCTTCAGTGGCTTAGAGTGTGGTTATTAGTGGAAGCCTGTTGTAAAATTTTGCTGGGGACAGGGATGTGATGTGAATCAGTCTTTAGACCCCAGTGGTGGCAGCAGTGGGCCACATGTGCCTCTCCTAAGCTGCTCAGGACTTGGTGGATATGTGGGTCCTGGTGTGAGCTCCCTCTCTGAAGCAATGCCATCACATGATTTCCAGGCAGCTCTCTGTATCAGTTTCAGAGACCACATGGGTTGACAGACTTCCCCAAGGCTAGGACTGCAGGAGTACATGGTGGGAATGTGGATGGCTGGATTCATTCACTTAATCTTTCCTCATATTTTAGGGAGCCTCTCTAGGCTCATAGATGATGCTAGCTGAGCAGGCTGCCTTACTTCTCTCTTCTTCCTTACCTTAGGCATTTCCTGTAATTTCTCTGTTGAATTCAAAATTATATTTTAGATGATAAGTCTGATTACCTACTCACTCCATTGGTTCTTCTCTGTGGAGCAGGCAAGTACCAGATGCCTCTAGCCTACCGTCTTGAAGACACCCTCCAAGACAAGTTTCTTAAAGGAGGTATGCTAAGGTAGAACCTTTTTTTTGTTAGAAGTTATAAAATTCCAATGGAATGAGTATATACAAAAAGAGAACATTATTGGTTCATGTAAACATGATGTTGGCTATTATCAGTGCTTACTTGTTCCTGCGTTTGTCTCTGCCTCACCTGCCTAACAGCTTGTTCTTTCAGCCTTGCTTTCTTCATGAAGCTGGAACTGTAGCCAGCTCTAAGTTCACTTCATGCCAGATGCATAAGCAAAGGAGAAAGGATCTCCAATTACACCTCGCAAACCGACATTCATTCTGTGCAAATGAGAAATATCTCAGGGGAGGACTCAGGCCCGACTTGGGCCACACACACACCCATTGGCCAGTCACTGTGAAACAATTTTGTAGACTGGTTGTGAGGGCAGAAGTAGAATTTAACAACCTTTTCTGGAACCACATAATTGAAGGAAGGGGGAAAAGTTCCCCCTAAATGATTTTGGACGCACAGTTACCAGAAGAAGAGATAAAGATAAGGAGAAGAAAAAGGAAAAAATAAAAACAGAAACAGTATATACTCTAGGAGGTACATATGGAGTATCATGGGAATTTAGAAGAAAGAGATTATTTCTTAGAAGAATTCAGTGAAATCTGATGGAGTCTTTAAAAAATGAAGGAATATATACTCTCAAGTGGTTGCAAAGAACATTTCAGGATAGACAATACCAGCTTGAAAATATGAGTTCAGTGTAGATGTTTTAAAAATAAGAAAAGCAGAGTAGTTAAGTGTAGTTAACTACACTTTGAAATTAATTTTTAGTTTATTTTATTTTTTTGAGATGGAATCTCGCTCTGTTGCCCAGGCTGGAGTGCAGTGGCTCTATCTCAGCTCACTGCAAGCTCCGCCTCCTGGGTTCACACCATTCTCCTGCCTCAACCTCCTGAGTAGCTGGGACTACTGGCGCCTGCCACCACGCCTGGTTAATTTTTTGTATTTTTAGTAGAGACAGGGTTTCACCGTGTTAGCCAGGATGGTCTCAATCTCCTGAGCTCGTGATTCGCCCGCCTTGGCCTCCCAAAGTGCTGGGATTCACAGACGTGAGCCACTGCACCCAGCCTGAAATTAATTTTTTAGTCCACATGAAGCAGATGAGGAACATCAAAACCATCTTTAAATATATCAGTCTTGTAGATGTTTGTGAATTAAATTGATTGACAGAGACAGACTAACAAGAAGTTATTTCAGTGATCTATGTGGAAAGTCTTGAGAGCCTGAATGTAATGAGAATAATACCAAGATATAAGCAGAATCTTGCACTGAACATTGCCAAATATTAAATACTGTCCCTAGTTATTTGTCAGTGATATTTTAATGATTATTGCCATCTTCCTCTTTTTTCCCCATTCTCCAAAACTGCATTATTATAATATACAGTATTATAATATATATATTATATATATAATAATATATATATAATATAATATAATATAATAAGGTTATGGATTAACTCCTCTTAATTATCTGAAAAGAGATAACGTTCATGTGCTCAGCACACAACTAAGTAGTCTGATTTGGTGTTTTTTATTTTATTTATTTTAGAAAAGAAGACTTTCAAAAGGAGAAAAATCTACTGCCAAATAACTCAGCACCTCTTACAGAACCACAAGATGTGGAAGAAAGTCATTGAAGAGGAGCAACGGTTGGCAGGCATAGAAAATCAATCCCTGGACCAGACCCCTCAGTCGCACTCTTCAGAACAGATCCAGGCTATCAAGGAAGAAGAAGAAGAGAAAGGGAAACCAAGAGGCGAGGAGATACCAACCCAAAAGCCAGACCAGTGACAATGGATAGAATGGGCTGTGTTTCCAAACAGATTGACTTGTCAAAGACTCTCTTCAAGCCAGCACAACATTTAGACACAACACTGTAGAAATTTGAGATGGGCAAATGGCTATTGCATTTTGGGATTCTTCGCATTTTGTGTGTATATTTTTACAGTGAGGTACATTGTTAAAAACTTTTTGCTCAAAGAAGCTTTCACATTGCAACACCAGCTTCTAAGGATTTTTTAAGGAGGGAATATATATGTGTGTGTGTATATAAGCTCCCACATAGATACATGTAAAACATATTCACACCCATGCACGCACACACATACACACTGAAGGCCACGATTGCTGGCTCCACAATTTAGTAACATTTATATTAAGATATATATATAGTGGTCACTGTGATATAATAAATCATAAAGGAAACCAAATCACAAAGGAGATGGTGTGGCTTAGCAAGGAAACAGTGCAGGAAATGTAGGTTACCAACTAAGCAGCTTTTGCTCTTAGTACTGAGGGATGAAAGTTCCAGAGCATTATTTGAATTCTGATACATCCTGCCAACACTGTGTGTGTGTGTGTGTGTGTGTGTGTGTGTGTGTGTGTGTGTGAAAGAGAGACAGAAGGGAATGGTTTGAGAGGGTGCTTGTGTGCATGTGTGTGCATATGTAAAGAGATTTTTGTGGTTTAAGTAACTCAGAATAGCTGTAGCAAATGACTGAATACATGTGAACAAACAGAAGGAAGTTCACTCTGGAGTGTCTTTGGGAGGCAGCCATTCCAAATGCCCTCCTCCATTTAGCTTCAATAAAGGGCCTTTTGCTGATGGAGGGCACTCAAGGGCTGGGTGAGAGGGCCACGTGTTTGGTATTACATTACTGCTATGCACCACTTGAAGGAGCTCTATCACCAGCCTCAAACCCGAAAGACTGAGGCATTTTCCAGTCTACTTGCCTAATGAATGTATAGGAACTGTCTATGAGTATGGATGTCACTCAACTAAGATCAAATCACCATTTAAGGGGATGGCATTCTTTATACCTAAACACCTAAGAGCTGAAGTCAGGTCTTTTAATCAGGTTAGAATTCTAAATGATGCCAGAGAAGGCTTGGGAAATTGTACTTCAGCGTGATAGCCTGTGTCTTCTTAATTTGCTGCAAAATATGTGGTAGAGAAAGAAAAGGAAACAGAAAAATCACTCTGGGTTATATAGCAAGAGATGAAGGAGAATATTTCAACACAGGGTTTTTGTGTTGACATAGGAAAAGCCTGATTCTTGGCAACTGTTGTAGTTTGTCTTTCAGGGGTGAAGGTCCCACTGACAACCCCTGTTGTGGTGTTCCACACGCTGTTTGTTGGGGTAGCTTCCATCGGCAGTCTGGCCCATTGTCAGTCATGCTTCTTCTGGCCGGGGAGATTATAGAGAGATTGTTTGAAGATTGGGTTATTATTGAAAGTCTTTTTTTTTGTTTGTTTTGTTTTGGTTTGTTTGTTTATCTACACTTGTTTATGCTGTGAGCCAAACCTCTATTTAAAAAGTTGATACTCACTTTCAATATTTTATTTCATATTATTATATATGTCATGATAGTTATCTTGATGTAAATATGAAGATTTTTTTGTTTCTGTAGATAGTAAACTCTTTTTTTAAAAAAGGAAAAGGGAAACATTTTTATAAAGTTATATTTTAATCACCATTTTTATACATTGTAGTTCTCTCCAAGCCCAGTAAGAGAATGATGATTCATTTGCATGGAGGTCGATGGACAACCAATCATCTACCTTTTCTAATTTAAATGATAATCTGATATAGTTTTATTGCCAGTTAAATGAGGATGCTGCAAAGCATGTTTTTTCACTAGTAACTTTTGCTAACTGAATGAATTCTGGGTCCATATCTCCCAGATGAAAAACTGTTAACCAATACCATATTTTATAGTTGGTGTCCATTTCTTTCCAACACTGTTTGTTATGATTCTTCCTTGAGTACTTATATACAGACCTGCTCATTATCTAAACAATCTTACCTTCTAAGTAAACCTTGATTGTGATTTCCAGTTTTTATTTTCTCTGACGTAGTAGAAAGGAATGTTTACATTAAAAATACTTTTGTTTCTCATAAATGGATATTGTACTCCCCCCTTTCAAAGCATTATTTTACAATAATTCATGGCATTTTAAAAAATAAGGCAAAGATAATACGACAAAAAATATACATGGTTTCAAGGCAAATTCTCCAATAAGTTGGAAAATGTAAAAAGGATCAAGTGGATGCAGCCTCTACCTAAATAATTAAAATATATTTCAGTATATTTCTGAATTAACACCAGGTCTTCATTATTTAGAACTTACTAAATTGTTTTCATTTTCTTAGTTTTACCTGTGTATCTCCATGTTTGCAAAAATTACTATAAGTCAAATTTTGCCAGTGAATTTAACTATTTTTCTTTCCTTGCAATTAAGGGGAAAAAAGCATTTATCTTATCTTCTCATACCCCTTGCATCTAAGTACTTAGCAAAGTCAATATTTTCCCATTTTCCAAATGCGTCCATCTCTAACATAAATATTAATTGAACATAGAGCTATGTTTGGAGTGAGTGGACTGGCAGGACAGTTGGAAGTCCATCACAGTCTATTGACAGTTTCATCAAAGCTGTATAGTCCAACTAGTGGGGCAGCTTGGCTACTATGGTGGAAGTCTCAGCAAACTGCCTGGTTTTGTTTGTTTGTTTTGTTTTAAGGTACAGGAAATAAGAGGAATAATAGTGGCCAAAGCAATTAGAACATCTTCATTCCAGAACTGTGTTCAGCAATCCAGGCAGATTGATACATTTTTCTTTAAAAATAAATTGCTATTACAGCTAGACGTCAATTGGGATAAATAAAGGGATGAAGATCCACTAAGTTTGTGACTTTCATACACACCCAGTACATCTCAAAGGATGCTAAGGGACATTTTCTGCCAGTAGAGTTCTCCCCCTTTTTGGTGACAGCAATATTATTATGTTCACATCTAACTCCAGAGCTTACTTCCTGTGGTGCCAATGTATTTGTTGCAATTTACTACATTTTTATATGAGCCTATTTATAGGTGCCATTAAACTCAGGTCTTTCAAATGAAAGAGTTTCTAGCCCACTTAGGGAAAAAGATAATTGTTTAGAAAACCATAAAATCAATGGTAGGAAAAGTTGGAACTGGTTACCTGGATGCCATGGTTCTCTGTTAAATAAAGTAAGAGACCAGGTGTATTCTGAGTGTCATCAGTGTTATTTTCAGCATGCTAATAAATGTCTTTCCGGTTATATATCTATCTAAATTAACCTTTAAAATATTGGTTTCCTTGATAAAAGCACCACTTTTGCTTTTGTTAGCTGTAATATTTTTTGTCATTTAGATAAGACCTGGTTTGGCTCTCAATAAAAGATGAAGACAGTAGCTCTGTACAGGGATATATCTATATTAGTCTTCATCTGATGAATGAAGAAATTTTCTCATATTATGTTCAAGAAAGTATTTACTTCCTAAAAATAGAATTCCCGATTCTGTCTATTTTGGTTGAATACCAGAACAAATCTTTCCGTTGCAATCCCAGTAAAACGAAAGAAAAGGAATATCTTACAGACTGTTCATATTAGATGTATGTAGACTGTTAATTTGCAATTTCCCCATATTTCCTGCCTATCTTACCCAGATAACTTTCTTTGAAGGTAAAAGCTGTGCAAAAGGCATGAGACTCAGGCCTACTCTTTGTTTAAATGATGGAAAAATATAAATTATTTTCTAAGTAATAAAAGTATAAAAATTATCATTATAAATAAAGTCTAAAGTTTGAAATTATTAATTTATAAAAGTGAACTAATTGTGTGATTATCAAATCCTGATTAATGAGAAGTGAATAATCTAAAAATCATTTATATTCTACTGTGGGAGGTATTCTTGGTGCTTCCATGTCAGTATCGGGCTCTCCATTGTCCTCATCATTTATAGTACTTCTAAAATAATAATGGAAACCTCAATAAGGGTCTTGTCCTCTTCTGTCATCCTAACCCTGATTCTAGTTTAATGCCTTTCCTGACTTATATGCCATTTGTAAATAAACTTCCTTTCAAACTGTTAGAACGCTCCAATAAAACAAAGTTCTATGAACTTTCATAGTCTAGAAAAACCAACAAGATCCCCCTTATTTAGAGATTATTAGCTAATGTGTGAAAGAAATATCAATAGAAGTTCAAATGCTAATAGCTCAATTCCAGATAATTGAAAGCTAAAATATCTATGTACTTTGAAGCCAAACTGAGTTTATTTCATTGATCGAACAAGCAGCAACACATTTTATGACCATTGTCCTAGGTCGTTTGTGTCTTTATGAATTTGCTGATATTGTCAGTCCATTTTTTAAATCTTCAACAAAATTCAATTTTAAGATTAAGAAATCAGCAATTTTAGGTAAAGAATATTCCAAGATTAAATTGTTCTTTTTAAGAAATATATCAGTTTTAGGTCCTATGTTCACACATCAATTTGTTCATCTGGAAGATATTCAAATTCTTATTGGGAATGAATTACACTACAAACAATGAGTTGAGCTAAAAACTATACATAACTTAAATTGAGATTTGCATACGTATTTGTGTGTTTCACACCAAAGACCCATGCTCAGAGAATGGTAACATATTTTCCAGTCTATGTTATGCACCATGGATGTTAGGCAATGTGTGCTATTGCCAACACATGGTATTTGTTGAAATACATGTTGCTTTGACCTTACCTAATGGTGCTTTTACCTAACTTGAAGTGCTTTTTGTGTTCCCACCAGCAAATCATTCTAACAGCAGGCTAACAATGGTGAAGTAAAATGAACATTTTTGGGCCGGGCGCAGTGGCTCACGCCTGTAATCCCAGCACTTTGGGAGGCCAAGGCTGGTGGATCACCTGAGGTCGGGAGTTCGACACCAGCCTGACCAACACGGAGAAACCCCGTCTTTACTAAAAATACAAAATGATTCAGGTGTGGTGGCGCATGTCTGTAATCCCAGCTACCCAGGAGGCTGAGGCAGAATCGCTTGAACCTGGGAGGCAGAGGTTATGGTGAGCTGAGATTGCACCATTGCACTCCAGCCTGGGCAACAGGAGTTAAATTTTGCCTCAAAAAAAAAAAAAAAAAAAAAAAGAACATTTTTTGGCAAAATATGAAGACACGAAACTGAAGATAAAGGCTTCATTTCCATAGTGGAAATCAGTGTTTACCTGCTGATTCAAAAATACTGACCTAGTATCAGTGTAGGTAAGACCATAAAATACAGTGTATAGAATTATATATAAATGGAAAACAAAATTAGCTTTTGACATATGTTTAAGTCTCTAAAAGGAATCCACATTTTCTTTCCAGATACAGCTAGTTTTTCTCCACATGTTTTTAAGGTTGATTTCCTTGACACACATTGGTATCCTTGGGTTTCTGCTTCCTTGAAAAGTTGTGGAGCACAGAAGAAAAGCCTTCTCTTTACAGATAAAAAATGTTGAACATGTTCATGTTCTGACAATGAAGCAATGATTTCCTCATTGCTTTGCATTAAGAAGTGGTTCTTTAGTTATGCAAATAATTCAATAACCAAAAATGCTTCAAAGAGTAATAATAAATCACCATAGGTAAGTATTCTCAAGAATGTTTAAATTTGGTTTATTTTCTTGAAGCAAAGTTATTTAATTTTTTAATTTTTAACTTAAAATGAAACCCACAAAATGACATTCCGTGGTACTGAGTATTTTCACATAATCAGAACTGTAAACTACTGATTATTTTCATATACTCAGAGGCTGAATATTTTGATATAATAAGAACTAGTATCATATAACAGAAAACTAGAAAGAAGGTTTAATTCTTTTTCTAATATTCTACAAGCCTCATGGGGAAAATGTTTTATGAAGGATTCAAATACATTAGATAAAAATTAGTGTCAATAATTTAACTTTGTACAAATTATAGTCTGAGATCTTCTGAGTTTTCCTAAGACAAAGGAGTGTATTATCCAGCAATTTATTGTTTTGTGTTGTTATAAAATAAATGTTCTATTAATGTATATTTTATTTTACTAAGTTCTAACACAAAAGGCCAAATACTTATCTTTCCTACTAAGAAAAATTAAACCTTACTAATCTTGACTTTCACAGATGAAACACTGACCAGTCAATAAACAACAGCCACTGCATTAATCTGCCCAGCATGATCAGATAGTAGGTTAGAATTTGAAATTCATTAATAAAAAATTAATAACAAAACTTTGTAAGCCTTAATGGTTTAATATTTCCGTGTCATTGAAAGTTCCTATTTCAAATTAAACAAACTACAGCAGGATATTTTTCCTTTCCTGTTTCAAAACAAAAACCAGATGAAGAAAAAACAAAGACAAACTCATAGGAGGAAAGCATGGCTTCTCTTCAATTATACTTCTCTTACTCAATATTAGTAACCAAAAAATAAGCAGAAATTCTCCTCTGCCATAATTAAAAGAAAGAATGGCCTTCGACTTAAGTTCTAGTTCCTCAAGCCTGCTTTCCTTGTAAAGTCCATGGTACTAAGAAGCAAAAAATGCAGAGCTGTGGATTGGGAGTGAACACTACATAAAATTTGCAGGGTATCCCAGGACACCCCTCAGTCTTTAATACAAACCAATTTAGTTACTCTGGAGTGAAATGACTTGTGGATACACTGTTCAACCATGACTTCCTTTATGACAAGGAGCACTTATACATGTTTCCAAATGTGAATTAGCCCTTGAATTAGTTTGAAAACTGCTACTTGAATAACTTTTGAAGAGAAAGATTTTCTTTCCGGTAATTTTACTCCCTAAAAAAGGCAAAATACTCAGATGTTCAATGTGAAATTACAAATAGTTGTTTGAAGTATATATACTTCAATAAATAGTTCTTTGTGTATATAAAGTGTTGGTTCATAGCAGTTTCCTTGTCCCTTTTCTTTTTAAAATTCCCAACTGATTATGGGTCAAAAACTCCATCTTATATCAGCGATGATTTCATTTTAACTATTTATAAGGATAATTTAGTATTATAGTATTGCTAACTTTAATAATTCTACCATATCTATATATTACCTGTTAGTGAGGTTTTAATGGCTTTACTTAATACATATTTGTTCATCAGCTTAAAAAATCACTAAATTTTTTATACTCTGTAAAATATTTGCATGGGAATTTTAGCTTATTATGTTTGCTTAACTGGTGTTTTTTTCACTTATGACTGTCAGTTTATGTCTTAATGTATTCTCACAGAAGAATGCATACCATTTTTGTTCCAACAAGAACAATCTGTTAGTTGATAAGCACTGGTAATAAATATCACTGAACCCACCCACCCCCTGATATTTCTTCCTCAAGTTTTCTATCATGCAAATCACAAAATGAAAATTGGTGCTTTTACAAATATTTGAAAGCTCTCAATGCAAAATAATAAAAATGAGATTCTCCCTGGCTTTCTATAATATATTAGGATATGTGACTGAAGGAAATTTAATCTGAATTTAGAGTGTTTTAGGTTTTGGTTGGTTTGAATAATTTGATTTGCATTTTGGTATTAAAATGTGCTCTGATTTCTGCGGGCATTTGTTCTGACCAGTCATTACCTCTTCCCAACAGAAAAAAAAAAAAAAAAAAAAAAACTGGCATTGGCAAGTTTTAATTAATATGGCCCAAAAATTTGACCTTGAAGGATATTTGTAAACCAGAGAGTATTTAATTAACTAAATTTACTGTTTCTGAAAAGCAATATTTTCAAATAACTGCCAACCAAAGTGACACTATAGGGATGTCATTTGTACATGACAATTTTTAACAATGTAATTCTTACCACTCTCGACAGACCTGAATATGTTTACTAATAACTTTGCCAAATTTTTCAACTTCTAGAAAAACAAGAGTGAGTCTTTTGAACTTCATCATTTTGCAATTGAAATAAATCTTGTCCTTTCACCTATATCTTCCATTTAATATATGTAGCAATACTTAGTATCATCCCATCACAAGTATTGTTAGGCGACTTAGTGGCGGAGAAATGTTTGTAAAAAGTAGAATCTGTACAGAAAAAAAACTAGATCAATTGTATTTATTTTTATTATTTTTTAGCTTAGATACTATGTTGATGCTCCCTTTTTGCCAGAATTACTGGAAGTGCCTCTTGGTTTTATATATATAATATATAAATATTACAGTAAATATATACTCAAAATTATTAAAATTATGTCCTAGATTATCTATGTCGATGTTATGAGTGAAGATAATGTATAATATAAAAATAATTCTGCAGTATTATGATTTGTGTAGTATTTGTACAATCCACTTCCTCCAGTCCTCTGAAGGCATCCTTTCCTCTTATATGCAAATACCATGGTGTGGTACCTAACTTACTCTGTTGTGAGACGACATCTATTGGCCTTCCTACAATATCCAAAGAACCTTGTGGGGCTTATATTCTCGTGGTCACATCTTTCTCACTATCACTAATGAATTCATAGCCACATTTAGTCATCATCTAACTTTCTGCAACTAAGTTGTGTCCTTTCTTTAATCAAATAGCACCAAAGCCAAAATACCCACATTTCTGGCATTCAGCTTTAGAGTCCTATAAAATAGACAGTTGTATTTCTACCTAGGTTTCCTAAGAAATTGATTCTTCAATCTACACCTATTATTTCCCCATTACCTATGATATCAAATCCCAACTCCTAAGCCTGATGTTTTCAAATCCCCCTTTGCTCTGGCCTGAAACTACCCTCTCCAGCTTCCTGCTCCAAAAGGAACCTTCCACTTATCATTTATATTTCTTTATCTCAGGCAAATACATCAGTTGAGTTAGTGCACTTTCTATAAACATACACTTTCTCTCTCTCTCACACACACACACACACACACACACACACACTTCCAACTATACACAGCACAAGAAGACGAGATTGACTATCTCTTCTTCAGGTGTGAATTTTACTCCTCTCTCAGGGTTTTCCTCTTACAATCATGTCATGGCTCTGAGTGGACGGGAGATGATTGCTTGGCAGTCTAGTCTGAACCTTTAACGCCATCCTTCAATTAAGTGTTCTTAAAACAAGTCTTAAGGAAGGAAAATTTAAATTACATGGTGTGAGGGATAATAATGGGTAAGTTCTAATGGAGACTAACATCCAGGCCAGAGAAGAGGGATTATTCTGATCATTACCTAAAATAGGAAGCCTGAGACATCAGATTAGTGTGTCCTTGTTCACACCAATTCACACGTAGTCCAGCTTTACAGGTCACCCCCAAGCCTGTAAATTCTACCCCATGTGGTTCAGCAGGCTTTGGGGGTGCTTTCTATCTCTAAAATTTTTGGTTCGACTTGTTCAGATGAAATAATTTCCAGTAAGGGATACTTTCACCAGAATACACAGTGGTTCCATTACCCTGGAGCCAAGGCTACTATTTGGATATTTTTTTATACTTTAAGTTTTAGGGTACATGTGCACAACGTGCAGGTTTGTTACATATGTATACATGTGCCATTTTGGTTTGCTGCACCCGTTAACTCGTCATTTAACATTAGGTATATTTTGTTGTCTCATGTTACTGAACCATCAGGGTAGAAAGTGATTGATCCCAGTTTACTAGGCTGAAGTGTGGTTTCTGATATCAAAACAGTGGCAAGAAAGATTGTGTTTGGAATGCAAAGAATTCTGCATGGAGCCCTTAATGCTTCCATGTTACATAGTGAGTGTGGTGGGACACTGGAGTCACCCAATAAAAACAGAACCACTAAGAAAATTGACCTTGCAAGAATTAACTTGCAGGTCATCCTATCAGTAAAAATGTTCCACCATGAGAAGTCCTAACAGAGGGCAATGAAAACGTGGAATGGATAGTGGAAAACAAAAGTTTTATGTCAACATTGGCTTCGTAGTCAAATATAGAAATAAATTTGGAATTTATCCACTAACACTTTTTAATCTATTTACATATGTGTATATCTGTCTCTGTATCATTTATTTAAAACTCAATATGAAAATTTTCAAATGTATTCAAACAAGAGAGAATAGTAGAGTGAACACCAGGTGCCTATCACCTAGCTCAAACAATTAATATACTGCCAATCTGTTCCATACATACCTCCCAATATTTAGTACATCTCCTCTATATGAAAATATATGAAATTCTATATGAATATATGAATTTCTATATGAAAATATAGAAATATAGAAATATATGAATTTCTATATGAAAATATAACATATCCTTCTATTAGTAAATGATTTGTAAAAAAAAAAAAGAAAAGAAGTGCTATATTTACCTCTAAAACAATTATACCACCATTATCATCCCTAAAAAAAACTAACACAAATTACTCAATACAACAAATATCCACAGTGTTCTCATTTCTGAGGTTATAAAACTTCTAAGAAGATTACAAAGAAGTCTTCTTGTTATAGTTTGTTTCTTTTTGAATAGGTGTACGAAGTCTGTACATTGTAATTGGTCAGTTCATTTCTTAAGTTAAAATATACAATTTCTCCCTCCTCTCCTTTTTTCCTTGTGGTTTTTGGTTGGAAAAAATATTGACTTATTTGTCCTAAATAGATTCTTTACTTTCAATTTTGCTGATTGTATCTTTTGTGGTGTCATTTAACTTGCTCTTCTCTTCCCTATATTTCTTATGGACTGGTACTTAAATCTAATCTGAGATTTGATAAGATTAGTTTTCTTTGGAAGTAAAAAGGAGGACTATTTCAAAGGTGGTGTTTCAAGCTTTTAACTTCCATCAGGATGTTGAAAATGGCTTGAGATTTTTGGTGATATTATTGGTCATTGATTACCTTTCGCTAAATTCATTAATTCATTAGAGGTTTGAAAATTATAATACTCTCACTTATAAGTGAGGCTAAACATTAGGTACACATGGACATAAAAATGGGAACAATAGACATGGCACATTACTTGAGGGGGAGATGGAGGAGAAAGGCAAGGGCTGAAAAACTACCTATTGGGTACCATGCTCACTATCTAGTTGATGGAATCATTTTACCCCAAAACTCAGTGTCTCACAATATACCCATGTAAAAAATCTGCACATATACTCTCTGAATCTAAAATTAAAAATTATAAAATTAAATATCTAATAGCTTAATTCTACTAGAAATTAATCTACTTATTTATAATATAGAATTATAAAAACTTTATAGCGAGGGTCTGAACTGATCATATTAACAGAAATTTTTCAAAATGGTTAGGAATCATCCTTATACAATAACTACTTTCTCAATTTCTCTACTGTGCCACAAAAACCAAGCTATGCAAATAAAATCCATTAGAGCTCTACCAATCTAAAAGCAATTGAAAATTAGTATATTTTCTACATTTTTTTCTTTAACCTTTGCATTTGACTCAAATGAGTTTAAGGATTTTGTATTTTTAATATTGTTTTTATTAAATCTGTTCTAGAAATAAATTTATCATCTCTGGAGAATAGTCTCTATTTTCAGACTATTTGTTGGACTAAACCAAGGTTGCACTGGTATTATTTCAGTAAAACTTCAAAACCTTACCAAAATCCTTTCAGGATACTTTAAGATTGAATTACATTTCAATAAATATTAATTACCCTAAGAAAGAAAAGAAAATTATAATATTCTTATTCTCTCATCCTTTTTTGTTTATTAGTTGGAATTCTATGAAGAGAAATTTGTCTTTACTCTGTAATAACTCTAAGGAAAGAATGGAATAGAAAAGCTAGGATAAACACACAATTTCTCCCTAAATACCACTAGTTTTAAATCTATTAATATTTAAGTTGTGTTTAGAATTACTCCAAAGTGACCATGTGATGTTTTAATAGTGTTTTTAACTCATAAATTTTGTGATTTTATATGTTTCAACCATTACTATTTTATATGTTTCAACCATTACAATTATTCTTACCAATGCTCAAACTTTCCTATATTTGATTAGCAGAAACCTGTTCAGGCTGGCTTCTGAATCCTATTGGCACAATGTAGTCTTCAAGGCATCCCAGCTCTTTTTTATGACAAGATATTCCAGGCCTATCTTATATCTTTACACCTGGTATTAGTCACATATCAAGGATCCATGGTGCTTTTATTTATGGTGCTAGTTGCACTTATTACTACTTAGTTGATCATTGTTTCTAGACCTTTTCAGTGGAGAGAGCTAATACACACACACGTAGATATCTATATCTATCTATATCTATATCTGTATCTACATATCTCCTGTATATATGTATACATTTTTCCAGACTGAAAAACTCAACTCAAATTTGGGTATACAAAATATTCCCTAACCTCATTGGATCTTATATTATAGATTATATTTAAAGCCATGACACCAGATAAGGTCATTAAGGAAGTAAATATAGACAGCAAAGAAGATATTCCACAGACTGAATTTTGGAATATTCTAGCAATGAAGACTAAGAGCAAATGACCACTGAAGTAGGAGGAAAACCAGGGGTGTGTGGTGAAACCAAGTGAATAAAATGTATCAAAGAGAAGGGCACATTAATGACATACAATTCTGCTAATACATCAATTAAAATGAGGTCTGGATATTGATCACTGGATTTATTAGTGTGAATGCCTTTAATGTTCTTGATGAAAATATTTGCATTGGAGTGGTAAAGGCAAAACCTGATTAGAGTTGGTGAAAAATGAACTGGAGGAGAGGAAATATATACAAGGAATGTGACTAAAGTTTGGGCTTAGAAACATGGACTGTAGGAGCAAGAAGGAAGACAGCTAATAGCAATGTACATTTGGGTAGAGAGTAGATGTCATGAGGACAGAGTATAATATTTCTCCTGATATTTCTGTTTAGTTAGTGAATTTCCTAGACAAGATCATCAGCTAATAATCAGGGTGCAGCCAGAAATGAAGATTTGAGAGAGGTAAAGTGATTGGGTCATTAAAAAGTATTACGTCTAGCAATGCCTCTATGACTCAGTGAGTTTAGTGGTTATAAATATAAAATAAGCCCTAAGGGCATGTTACTGAGTTGTTCTTCAATCACTTAAAACAGTGCGGATGCAAATACTAAGAAGAAAGAAAGTGGATTTATCTGAGGTGAGCTTTGCCTGGGAAGATCAATAAATTGAAAGAGAAACAGGAGAATTGAGGGTATACAGAAGGAAGTGATTAAAATAATTGCATGAAAAAATTCAAGTAAGGAGGAAAATGAAAATATGAGTGTACTGGCTTGAATTGTGTCTCCCAAAAAGATATGAGGAAGTCCTAACCCCCGGTACCTGTGAATGTCACCTTTCCTGAAAAGAGAGTCTTAGCAGACCTTATCAAGTTAAGATGAGGTCATGAGGGTGGTCCCCAGCCAAAGATGACTAGCGTTTTTTTAAGTACAGAGGACAGAGACATAAAGGGAGAAGATGGCCATGTGGTAACAGAAGCAGCTGTTGGAGTGATACACCTATAAAACAAGGAGTTCAGGCTGTCAGCAAACACCAGGAGGTGGAAGAGGTAAGGAGGATTCTTCCCTACAGGTCTCAGAGGGAGCATGGCTCTGCTGACACCTTGATTTTTGACTTCTGGCCTCCAAAAGTGTGAGACAATAAAGTTCTGTTTTAGGTCACTCAGCTTGTAGTACTTTGTTAGTGCAGTCTTAGGAAATGCATTCATTTATATGTTGTCTGTGGTTAATTTACCACCAGAATGGCAGAGGTGAGTGGTTGTGATAGAGATTGCATGGTCCTACAAAACCTAAAATATTTCTTATTTGTCCCTTTATAGAAGTTTGTTAACTCCCTCATCTAGAGTTTGGAAATGGGAATGAAAGGCTGAAGTAGGCTACAATCCAATGCAAGGTTGCACATAAGAAGCTCTGAATAAGTGTAAACATTATGTGCATTCAAAACAGTAACATTAACTGTGGACTCTGGAAATAAGAAAAGGAATCGTGTTGGAGAGTGAGACTGAGCCAGTTGGGAATAGACAAAATTACATTCTCAAGGGAGAATTTCATTTCTTGGTGAGGAAAATTATGCCCTTTGGGCTGGTAAATACTGTCTCCTCTTGAATAAAACAGTGGTCTGGCCACCTGTTAGACACTGAGAAGTCTAGACTAACACTCAATGTATTCGGATGTTTGCTCACTATTTCCGATGGAAAAGTCTGGTTTGATTGTTAAAGTAAAATATTTGGCCTTTCAGAGTGTGAAAACACCATTGCTTCATTGCAAGGTTTAATATAAACCCATTTTTCTTGCATTTTCTTTTCTTTCTTTTGTAGTAAAATGTGCTTGAATAATATTAACTATTCTGACCATTATGTGAACTAAATATATATATATATAAAATGATGATACCTTCCGCTCATTTGCAATGTGCTTTTGAATACATTATATAATTTAATCCTTAAAACAGCCCTATAAATCTGTTTTTTTTTTTTTTAAACAAAAAAATTCTGCTTTACAAAGGAAGAAGTTGAGACTCAGTAAAATTAAGTGACCATCCCAGAGTCTCAGCCACTTAAGAGTAGGGTGAATCTTGGATAATTCTGGTAGCAAATTTATTTATTGGTAGAAAATAAATGCAAACTACTACTGCTTAAGATCCTCTAAAGTTTTTCTCTTGGAAAAAGAATGTATTAGAATTGTGGACTTTCTCAGTGCAAGGATTTATTTATCCTTGGAATTAGGCAGAATAAACAATTGAATGCCAAAAATTCAACGTGTTTCTTTTCTGTTTTCAAAACTCATAGAAATTGTAAATATGAGCAACTGATCATGTCTCTGAGAATTAACTCTTTTTGTACAGAGCGCTGCAGAGCTTTGATTGTGACCTGATACTTGGTCCTTAAAGATTCTAGAACACCAATGGAAAAGAAAACCATGTAGCAAATTAGCCCAAGAACCGTTAAAGACAAAACAAAACAAACCAAAACCAAAACACACAAACAAAGAAAACACAAGGATCCCAGTGATGTCCCTAAGGAATAGTTGGCTTAAAAACTTTCTGGAAGGAGGAGGGGTCTCTGTTATAAACTTCCGCCCTCCTCTGGCTTCTGTTCCTTACCCTCTGCCCCCTGCGGAGTTGTGTTTTCTGGGAATCAGCAAGTAAGATCACAAGTGGTCTTTTCTTTTATTCACTCTCTCCCATAAAGAAAGCTTTATCACGTGTGGCCTTAAACTTGCAGCAAATTGCAAAGAAATGGCTCAAAAGCTTCAGCTCTTTCTGTGCCCTGGGAGCTGAGATGCACGTCAGTGGCCTTGCCAGCGTGGCCAATTCTCTGCTGACTGCCAGAAAAAAGAGGCCAGGAAGAAAGAGGAAAGAGAAGAGATCGCTCAGGGGTGAGACCATGCCCTTCATCTTTTCTTTTCCCTAATCTCCTCTGCTTGTGTCCACCCACACTCTCCCCACCTGGCAAAATTGTTCAAAATTGCTGTGGAGTTTACCTCAGTTTCCTCTTTCAGTCTGTGGTGTGTGGTCCATCCTCTTGCTGAGCACATTGAAAGGAACTGGCTATCTTTGATCTCTTCCTCCAGGTAAGACTTGGTTCTCTCATTTTATATTTTGTGACTAATACATCAGATTCTTATGGGAGATTAACCCTTAATTTCTGTGCGATTTATGTTTTATCCATAAAAATATCAGTGAAAGGTGATGATCCCCTCATTAGTTTGATGGAAATAAGAGAGAAGATTGGTTAAAGAAATCAGATAAACTCAAATTTGAGTTCAAATTTTGAGTCTCATGCTTATAAATTGTTTAGCTTTTGACAAGTCACTTAATTGCTTTGGGCCATCTAATTTAAAAAATGGAATTCTAATATTACGTTTGTTGGGTTGTTTTAAGGATTAGAAAAAGTACGTACATTACTCAACACAAAAATAGTACTTATTAAATCTGAATCTGACACAGATAATTTGTATTAGGTGAGAAATTAGTTTCTAAACAACACACACTCCTCTGCAGCAAGTGCCGTGAGGCTATTTTTTAGTTTGTCTGAAGGGAGGCATCCTGGTGTCCAGAAGTCAAGCCAGGACAGAGGTTTTCCTCACAGGAGATGGCCAAGAGAAGAGAGGGAGGAGCGTGGTTGCCTTTAGGACTTTCTCTGTGGCAGTCCTTGGGGACTGATTGCTGGACAGAGTCCGAGTCAGTTGCAGAGCAGAGGGGTTGAGTACATCTGCGGGATCTAACTACAACCTTCCTAAGCCACTTGCTCTCTCCATTTAAAATCTGGAGGGCTGATTTTGAAACTAATGAGGACTGATTATTCAATGTTTTTGAACCAAAGGAAGAGAAACTGCTTGGCTTGTTTTTCTTTGGCCTCCAGAATAAGTTATGCTCCAAACCCAGGGTATTGGATGAAAACTGTCGTATGTCTTTTCCTGGAAGAATCTATTCAAGTGGCCAGAGATCAATTAAGGATTTGCCAAATGCAAATAATTCTGAATAACTGTGTACTCTTGCTCTACTTCTGCAGTTGCAAATGAAGAGAGAGAGCCTGCAGGCCCCAAGGATCTTTCCGTTCATGTCATTGAGCTTCCTTCCCTCTCTTTTTACAGGGGATGAACTGTAGCCTCCTTGGAACATACTACACTTGCAATAATTTGCGCATTAACCATCAAGACACTTCAGTAAAGCTATGCAGTGCCAATAGTTTAAGCTGGATCCTATTTTGCCCTAACACAAAGTGAACTGAGATGACTATATTTATATTTCATTATACTTTTGAATTTTAGTTACAGTGATTTTTGTGTCAACACCTCCATATATTAGATAACTTAAAATGTGCTATAGTATCTCAAGTTTTTCAGTAGTGTTTTTAACATAATTATTTTTTCTCTTTGACATTAGCATTCTAGATGTAACACTTTGGATCTTTTAAAGATAAATTTAGGATAAATGATAGCAGATTTTATTATTAAACAATTTATTTGTATTTTCTGGTCACTGACTTTAATATTATGACTGATGAGAAATAATATGATATCTGAATCCCCAAAAACAGAAGGCCAATTTGAATTATATAATTTAATCCTTTGAAGAATATTGCAATTTAAGCCAGAAATTTAATAATTATCCGTTTCTTATTTTAAAACCTTTCTGGTTTGTATATCTCTTGCTTGGCAATATTTTTACTCATAGTTTTGTAGTAAAGATACCTATTTAACATTGTATAACTCTGCATTTCCCAAACCCTGTTTTCCTTGTCCTGGCAAAATACTGTTCTAGAAAAGTAGTCCTAGTGACTCAGTAGATATAGGAAGTTGGCTGTTGGTATCAGATACTGTTAAGGAAGAATCTCTATATTCTTCATTTCTTAAACTTTGTTTTTTAAATCAGTAATAGATGTCGAATTTTATCAACTGATGTTTTTCATGTAATGAAATTCTATTTTTTATTTTGAATTATTCATGTGGTAATTTAGGTGAATAAATTTCCTGTAATTAACCAATTGTTGCATCTTTTAGAATAATTCTAATCATAGAGCAAGAGTTAATTTGGATTTGCTAGCATTTACTTAGAATTTTTATAATCTATGGGCTTGATCTGAAGTTTTCCTTTCTGTGCTATCTTTGTGCTGTTTTGTTACCAAGATAATGTTATTTTTGTCAAACTAATGGAGACAATGATTATCTGTTTCCATTATCGGCTATCTTTCCTCAAAGAATATCCCTTGATAAAGCACTTCTGGTGCATCATCTATCCTTAGTATCTTTGTTTAGGGAATAGTTTCAGAGTATTTTTGATAATGTCTTTCTTGGCTATTTTCTCTTCTGGTTTTTATCAATATAGGTAATGAATATTTGCTAGAAACTTATCCATTAAGTCAAGATATTAAACTTACTTCAACATTCGATGCATCTTTTTATGTTTTATACTCCTAAATATCTGTGTTTTATCTCATTAATATTATGTATTTATATCTTTGTTTTTTGTCTTGATTAACATTATTAGCTCTTTGTTTTGCTTATTTTTTGTTTTTAAATTTTTCTCTTTCACTCACTCTTCTTTTTCAATTAAAAAATTAAAGTTATGAATGCTTATAAAATGAATCCAAAAGCCTAATAATAATTTTTTTGAAACCAGACCCTTGTCTCATCCTTTCCTTTAGTCAATTCCCACTCCCTAGAGGAATCCACTTAATTTTTAAATTGTTGAAGTCCTCTGATGTTTTAACTTCATATTATTAATACAAAGCAAATCGTTTATACTATTACTTGATTTTTCAGTTTGAGAAAGTATGAATTGAAATGGTGAGGGATGAGGTTTAGTGAACACAAAACAAGCATTGCATAAAGTCAAGGTGATATACTCAGTCAGAATAGATTTCTGCCACAATACATGAAATTTGACTCCTAACATTATTCCTTTAGGAATAACATTATTCCACTCCTATTATGTGGATATAGAAGTCCTCTATTAATGTACAATTGGGTCATCTGATAATATTAGGGAGATTGAGAAATACTTTGTTTGTTGAATTCCTTGATTTAGGTTAGATTATCAGGCAGGCACTGAGCCATGTGGAATCCTAAAGAAGTAGGGGCACAGGATATGTAAATATTGATGTGAACAGGGAGAAAATAGGTTCAGTGTGTGATCCTGTCCTGTGAGGGGCGGTGGGAAATTGAGCATGGGAAGCAAGGCTGTCTTTTTTACTTTAAGGCTGATCAAAGACTGTTCTTTCACCTGAATTAAATCTAAGGCACAAATCATGTTGCTCCCTTATTTATCAAACAAAAACAATACACAAATTGGACCTCTTCTTTTTTGTCATATTTTAAGGCTCACATTGGGTGCTACAGGAATCATAAGGTGGTACAGGGACCTATAATGAATGTAAAACTTCTATTTGTTTTGCTAAGAAGATAGATTTAAAGGCTTTAAAGACTTTATCCTAATGAATCAATATTCAAATAGTTGAATTCCTCTTCTTCCTTTCCTGCTTGCTCCTAGTTTAAACTGGCAAGACCACAAAGTTAGCAAAATTCTGCCTCATTATTTATTCCAAAGGCAACACTTAAATTTATTCTTTGCCATAATGAGGCTTAAACTGGGCAGATTGAGAAAGAATGCTGGCTACAGAGTTCCAATAGCAGGATTAGTTAATCAGATATCCTGGTTGATTTTAATTGAAAACATTTGCCAACTTACTGTGACAACAAAAGGTAGATTCACTTTAAATTGCGTCTATAGAATTGTGGTATACTGTTGAATAAAAAAATTTAATAAATTGCGTAGTATTTATTTATTTTTACTTTAAAAACTAACTTTGACAGATCAGAGTCAAGGAATGTGTTTATAATGGACACTTCATCCAAAGAAAATATCCAGTTGTTCTGCAAAACTTCAGTGCAACCTGTTGGAAGGCCTTCTTTTAAAACAGAATATCCCTCCTCAGAAGAAAAGCAACCATGCTGTGGTGAACTAAAGGTAGAGCAACCAAGAAGTAAATAGTGTTGATGCTCTTAGTTTTCTGTCCAGATATCATCTATATAATGAAGTTAGAATGAGAATTGTTTTCTCCTTTAAAAAAAAAAAAAGATCTTAGATGCAATTTACTAAAACCACACCTTGCCAGGCGGTGCAAGCAATCTCTACCTGACCATGTGGGTTAAATTACTTTCCTGGGCTCATTTAAATGCCCCCCCAAACAGAAAAGAGAGAAATAGTAGAAACTAGTATTTATTGAACTTCTGCCATGTGCCAGATATTAAGCCAAGCACAGATATAACATTTAATTTGTGAAACATCACATTACTCCCATTTTGCAAATAAAAATGGGAATAATGTTACAGAGTAGGGAGAAGAGTTGCTTTTTTTTTTTTTTAGGATTGTTGTATCAAACAATAGTTTTTAGTTTTTTGAGGAACCTCCATACTATTATATTTTCCAAAGAGACTACATCAACTTATGTAACCACTAACCATGTACAAAGATTCCCTTTTCTTTACATTCTAACCAGTTTTTATTTTTTGTTATAGCCAACAGATGTGAAGTGATATGTCATAAAGATTTTTATTTGCATCTCCATAATGACTAGTGATGTTGAGCACCTTTTTCATATACCTGTTGGCCATGCCTTCTTTTAAGTAATGTCTATTTAGATTATTTGCCCATTGTTAAAATCATGCTATTTTTCTTTGCTATTTAGTGATAGAAGTTTCTTTTTTTTAATTATTTTTTAATTATTATACTTTAAGTTCTAGGGTACATGTGCACACGTGCAGGTTTGTTACATACGTATACATGTGCCATGTTGGTGTGCTGCACCCGTTAACTCGTCATTTACATTAGGTATATCTCCTAATGCTGTCCCTCCCCGCTCCCCCAATCCCCCGAGAATAGTTGTTTCTTAAGGGATGCTTTGTGTGCTCCTATTCTTTCTTTATACAAATATTCACTCAACAAATCTCTGCTTTTTTCATATAAATGCTAACCTTCCCTATGAATGTTCTATCACAGACCCATGTCTATCAAAATATATAAGCTAGATATCAAAGACATGTTTTCCATTGAGAAAAATATTTGACTATGAATTTAATAAGTATAAACATAAACACAAGGAATAATAGTTGCACTTTTTCAGTCTGTACATTATGTTCCCGGCTGGTGCATGCACCACCCTGTGAAATACATAATCCCAAGTGCTGGACTTGTTATAGGATGTCAAGTGTTTGGCTTATGGTTTCATTTACTTTCTTACCAATGAATGTCTCACCATACACTGACTCTTCAATGTAAGACTCCTTTGAGTGCCCCTCTGGAGCAGAGTGGAAGAAGACAAAAGATAATTCAATACACATTTCGCATAAAAACCAAATATATATTTTAAATTCCAAGAGAATTTGAACTGTTGAAAACTTACAGTGCTTAAGGCTGATGGAAACCTCGAACAGTGTTTGAATTAAAGTTTCAGTGATAATAAAGTTGATATTATACATTGTTCTTTGTTGTTTGTTTTGTATTTGTTTGTCTATTTACTTAGTTTCCAATTGTGTGTCAAGCTGGAGTCAGACTAAGTGTGACCTGTCATATTTTCCAGGTGTTCTTGTGTGCCTTGTCTTTTGTTTACTTTGCCAAAGCATTGGCAGAAGGCTATCTGAAGAGCACCATCACTCAGATAGAGAGAAGGTTTGATATCCCTTCTTCACTGGTGGGAGTTATTGATGGTAGTTTTGAAATTGGTAGGTATTACAGATGCCTGACTTTAAT
The DNA here is from genome assembly GCF_000001405.40 of Homo sapiens. NCBI lineage: Eukaryota > Metazoa > Chordata > Mammalia > Primates > Hominidae > Homo > Homo sapiens. The sequence continues at coordinate 20,701,488 of NC_000012.12, forward strand.
TTTAAGCCCAAGATCTTCTAGGTGTGGCTAAAGAACACCTTCTGCATTCTATTGTCTGCTGGGATCAGACTCTATTCATAAAATCTTTTTTTTTTTTTTTGGACAGAATTTACCATGATCTTATTCTACAGGAGAGGCAATTTTCTCAGAGCAATCAACAGTAAATTTTTCTCCCCAGGTGTTTGGTATTGTATGGTTCACACAATTCAGAGTTCTACATCAGAGTAAGTGACTTTCTTGGAGGAAAGGGTGAGATGCTAATTGGTATTTTGAGTTATAAATATGTAGAAGTATCTTTACAGAAGAACAATACACCCTGGGAGCACTATGATTCAATTTTAGAGGTGTGGAATAATCCAAATGCGCTCTACAAGAATTTACTGCAATGATGAATAGAAGTTACATCATAAAAGGGATTTTTCCACCCAGTGGTCTAGAAAGAAGAATAAAGGGATTCTATTACCAAGAACACAAGATCAGAGCAGGCAATAAAAATTCAAATCTCAGGTGCCTTTGGTTAGCAATTGACTACAGACTCCTTAGAAATTAAAAAGATCGAGTAATTTGAGTCACTGTTTTAGAAGTAATTTAAAGAGGATAATCCTAGTTAGTCTGCTTCCTGAATTGATAAACTAAAAGGCTTTAATTTTTTGCTGAAGTAAACGAAATAGTACCCTCTCTGGTCCTTAAGGCTTGTTTAGATTCAGATATACACCATAGTAAAACCTCTAACTGCTCCAATTTTAGCTTTACCTGGTGAACTTTCAGAAAAGTGAATAAATATTTTTCAACTCTTTAACAATTTATTTCTTTTCATACATACTATGTGTTTTGGTTCTTACTCTGAATATCACAGAAAAAATAAAATGAATAAGTAACCTTTTGCCTTCAGGCATTTGCTTCCCAAATTCATCTTTTGTCATCCTTCCAGAATGACATTTCTTAGTGCCAAATTTTAATGTCCACACAAATAACTGGGCAATCTTTTAAAAATCTTTTTTTAAAACCTGAATTGGTAGGAACAGGATAAAATTCTGCATTTCTAATAAGCTCCTAAATGATACTGATGCTTCTAGTCAGTAGATCACATTTTGTGTAGCAGGTTTCCAAAACATCTGATCACATCAATCTTTTATGTAATTTGCTTAGATTGGCCCGGATGGTTGATTTATTCCTTGAGCCCTGTTCTACTGATGGCCCTGCACTGAGTGAAGGGCCAAAGAGAATCAAGGTAAAGGGTGATACATTATATCATGAGAGAAAAACAAGGAGAAAGAGGTAACTGGTGCAGATAAAAGAATAGAGCAGATATGAGCAGGCAAAACATTATATATCATGATGTTTTGATGTTTTTCTCACTCTAGATTATTATATAAAAATATTTTAGAGCTGAAGAGGCATAGAAATGATTTGGTCCAAAGTTTTGTTTGGGCTCCCAGGTCCTGATGCAACTTGAGAGACAAAGTTTATATTTGATAGAGAGAGTATACTAAGTTTTCACAGGAAGTAGCAGAAAACCATGACTCCAAATTCACATTAATTCTTCCAGACCATTCTAGGTATATAAATTATTTATTGGATTGGATGCCTTAAAATGGCTTAAAAGTTCTCTTACTTCCATTGAAAACCTTTATCCCAAACATCACAGGTTTGCCCTAATTATTTGAGTTACATAAATTTCCAGACAAATGACTTCGCTGAACATAATCTTAATTTACTTCTTTTGCCTCTTTTTGCATTCCTTCTTTTCAAGATTCTAGAACAAATATCATCCTCCGTCTTTATGTTATTTGTATGTGGCAACTTTGTTGAAATTCTATTAGTTTTAATTGATTTTCCATGGAAACTGTAGAGTTTTGTGGACAAATTGTCTAAAACAAAATATAATTTCGTATCTTTCTTTGCAACTCTTAGATTTTTGTTGTTGTTGTTGATATTACCTTATTACATTAGCCTCAGAACTGTGTTGAAGAGAAGCATTTACAATGGACATCTTTCTCTTGTGTTTGACCTTGATGCAAATACTTTTAAAATTTTAGTATTAAGCAATATGCTTGCTTTGTGGTTTTGATAGATACACTTTAAAAGCTGGTTTGCTCAGATTTGTTTTTTCCTAACATAAATCAATGGTTAATTTTATTTAGTACTTTTACAGTGTCTATTAAGTTAACCATGGAATTATTCCCCTTCCATTTGTTATATAGGGATTTAATTAATAATTTATTGTTAGTTGGTGGTACTCTTGTACTACTATAATGAACTGCGCTTGGTTGGGATATTTTTATTTGTATATACTATTCCGTTTGCTAATAATTTGTTTAGGATTTTTACATCTATCTTCATAATCAAGTTTGGGCTCTAATTGTCTTTTCTTATATTGTCCTTGTCCAGTTTTGGTTTTAAGAAAATAGTAGTCTTACAAGATGAATTGAGTAGCTTTCTTTTTTTTCTGTTATCTCGAGTGTGTCTGTGTGTGTGTGTGTGTGTGTGTGTGTGTGTGCATAGACAGACAGAAAAAGAGAGGAGAGCAAGAATATGTTACTTTAAAGTTTGGTAAGACATATTTCTAAAACTTTCTGTACCTGTTTTTTTGTGAGAGGCTAATGATGGTAGATATGGAATAATTTTTATATCCAATTTCATTTTTTAAAGATTTTGTATCATCATTTATATTTCAAATGTATCTCCTGACAACTCAGAAAGGATACTAAGGAAGCAAAAACTTTGATAGATACAGTATATATATGGTATATAGATATATATATATATCTGTATTACAGGTACTGAACTCATATTGTCTTGTATATGACATGCCCATTAACGTAACACAGAAATAGCTTGTAAACAGAAGTGTTTATTGTGTGGTATTGGTGGAGTGTAGGCGAGAATAGGAGAGAATTACCTATAAAGTGAATGTCAACTTTCATTTTATGTTGGTTCGTTTATTGTGGTACATTAACAAACATATAGATAGAATTATCAAAATAATATGATACACAATGTCTTCTACTAAATACTTAAATTTCAAATGAGACATCTTGTGCTAAATTATTCGTTTTTTAATATGAACATTAAGAAGAGCTTAATTCTTCTTGGAGCCATAAAGACTAGGACCACTGTGCAAGTCATGTTTCTCACTATCATTCTTATTATCCTCAAGCCCACAAAAATTACTGCTTTATTTCCAGTTTACTAAAGCTGGCAATGTGCGTGAACAGTAGTAAATTAGATGATTGCTTACAGATGTAGGGAAACATGCTTTGCTCAAAAATTGGAAATGAGGAGAACTTCAAAGCAAGGCCACCCATTAGCCATCACAATCAATTGCTGGGAAATTGTTAAGATCTTACTGTATTTAGCATGGTACATCTTAAAAACTAAATATCTCAAATAAATATAGCTAAAGCTTTAAAGCCCCTTGAAGTCTAAAACCCTAAACAATGTTTATCAAAGCATGTTCTAGGAATCATCTCCATCAACACACTTGAGTTAGTATTACAAATGCAGATTTCTTGGCCTGACCTCAGATCCATGGAATCAGAAACGTTTGGTACTTGCCAAGAATCGCATTTTTAACAAGTTTTCATTTCCTTAACCGTTTCCTGTCAGTATTTTTACGCACAGCAAAGCGTGAGAAATATTACTTGAAACATGTTTAATCACTTATCACCATCATCAACTAAAAGTAACGTGTCACATGCTTCATTAGAGACATTTTAGAAAACCATAATTTCTACTTTCAAAAAAACCCAATATTTTTAAACCATTTTTCACAAAAGAGATAAATGGGCACATTTTATAGAGATTTTGTATTTCATAAAATTTGCTTTATAGGCATATGTTGAGGTTATATAATTGATGTACACCTGAAGTCGCCTATGTGGAATAATTTTTATTTCTATTTTGAGTCTTAATCTTTTTGTACAAAGTTTATTAACAAATCATAAAGTATCATTTGTGTACATGTGTTTCATCATTTTATTTCATTTAAAGTACAGTTGTGTTTAATTTTTCTATAAAAGATATCAGCTAAATAATTTGTAATGTGTAGTCCATGAGCAATTAGAACACTAATAGAAGTTTTCACATAAATTTTAATGAATAAAGAAAAAATAAGAAGTTTACTTCAAATTTACTAAAAAATATTTGAGAGGGAAGCTAAAGGGAGCCTTCTAGAATTTGACTTACTGATAAAATATTTTACAAGGACAAATAATTAGGTTGGGTGAAGTGAGGTAGAAGGATTGAATTAAAATATTTCGATAAAGGGATAAGGTGATTGAAGTAATGAACATGAGAATTTCAAGGGTCATCTCAGATTAAAGGAAAAAAATTAAATGATGCAGAGATGGCTTAGTTAAAAGAAAACATTGCTTGGTCTGCTGTATACATTCATTCAGTTATGCTGTTGACTTCTTTCTAAGTTCTCTAATTTATGATGTTTTATTCTTTTCCTCAAAGGGAATCTCTTAGTTATAACATTTGTTAGCTACTTTGGAGCCAAACTTCACAGGCCAAAAATAATTGGAGCAGGGTGTGTAATCATGGGAGTTGGAACACTGCTCATTGCAATGCCTCAGTTCTTCATGGAGCAGTAAGTCTAAAGCAATCATCTTTTCCTTGCCTTTCCAAACAACTGCATTTCTCCCTTTTATGATGATTATTAATTATGCAAATTTAAGCTTAACCCATGATAACTTTGTCTTACTTTTATTACATTCTCTTTGGATAAAATTTCACAACAATTTTATAATTTTTCTTCTGACAATAAACTGTAAAAAATTGATAGATTACTGTATATTGATATCAACAAGATTAAAGAAAGATTTTACCTACATGTTTTGAGTCAAATGCTTTAATTTAGCTGTAGGGGCAAAATATATAATTGAAAATAAATTAACATGGTAAATGTCAAATAGGTAATTAATAAACACTGCAGACAATAAATTCTGGATTATGGAACACTGGCTGCTAGACAATTAACTCAGGGATATATTATCAACTCAAACAAGTATTCAATGTCCATACAGTATCTCTTAGACCTTTATCAATGGAAGCAGGGTGTCTGTATCCTCTAACCCTAAAGTCTACTTTTGGTACTTTTGTTAATACATGCACATGACTTTAGTAGTTCCAAAGATTTTTACCTATGTCATTTTTACCCTTATAGCAACCTGTGGGGTAGAAGAACATAGTTTATCTTTTTTACTTTAGAGCTAAGGACAGGACCCCATGACTTGAAAAGTTTGATGACTTTTGTAAATTTAGGTGTCTTGTAATTATGGAATCAGAACCTAAAACAGGTCAGCTGACTTCTCAGGCAGCAGTTTTCATACATATCCATGTCACTGCCCTTCTCTGTGTTTATCTATTGCTGATAAAAGAAATGACTACCAAAAGGTTTTGGAGTAAGAGAATATTTTAGAAGATTATATTTCAAGTGATACTTTATTGTCCACTCTAGATCATTGTATCAGGACAGTTTAGAGCTGGAGAGACTTAGAAATGATCTAGTCTGAACTTTTTCTTGAATTTCTAGACCACTTATGTAAGTACAGTCAGATTTTTGACCTCCCTGGCCAATCTATCAAGGTAGGGCTCAGAATTCTCTGAGTGGGAGCTTTTCTGCCCATTTGGATGAATTCCCAGGACCCTAAATTTCTACTTGGAGGGAGTTCTGTGGTTTGGGCACTTCTGCCTGCTCTTTGGACAACATCCTTTCATAGGTCAGAAGTTTCCTTGATCATTGAGATTCTACAAAAATGTTATGTATGTTCAGCCTGTAGAAAGAATGGGAAGGAGAAGAATGAGAAAATGGGTCTCCAACCTGCCTACTCCCTGCTTGATCTTTAGTTGTGTTGCTGTTATCTGTTGATTCATTGAGCTTCCATGTGACAGTTTGCTCAGGGGGAAAAGCAGTTCCACTACTGAAAAAATTAAAAATGTGAAAGTAGTCACATAGGATAGATAAATCCATTACACCAGACTTAAATCACTCTGCAGTGGATCAGTAGCTCTTCTATGTGACAATGGCTACACTACTTAATTTTTCTAGGTCTCAGTTTCTGCATCTTAAAACAGGTATTAAAAATAATTCCTAGCTGATAATGCCATTGCAAATATTAAGTGAGATAACACAGGTAAAATGCTTATCAAGGTTACCAACCTAACTAGTAGCTATGTCATCATTGTTGTGTGTTATCAATCCTTTTAGCTAATTAAGCCACCTGGTTTTAACCAGCAATGGTTTTGTCTTAAAGCTGCTGTATACAGATGAATAATTTTATTACTTTAAGTTAGTGACAAATATCGAATACCCGTATAAGAAAATCAGAGAAAAAAAAATGTATTAAAAAGAAGGTCGGACAACCAGACAGGCTAGTGTTGACAAAGGATATCAAAGGGACAGAGACAGATTCTTATCCAACACTTTTGACATGGTAGAGGATATATTTGTTTATTTATTATTTAATATATTTGCCAGGTACAATGCCAGGTAAAGGAGCTATTTCTGCGAGAAAACAAAATAGAACAAAAACACACACAATTCTTCCTTCATGAAGCTTGCTCTCTACTGAGGATTATCACTCTAGTTTCTTTCCACCTTTACACAACATTAGTAACTAATTGGGTACTTATCCAAAATATGATTTTCGTTCTCTAAGAGATAACTATGCTCTGTCTCCTTTGCAGAAATATCCTTAATGTCCGACAAAAGCTATTAATCATGGATAGCAACTATTGAGGGCCTATTCCTAATAGGCTGTTTAGTTTTATGTATTAGCTCATTTAACTCATTAATTTAGCAAGTGTATATATATTTGTGATATATGTATATATATATAATTTTTCTAGGCAGTAAAGAAAGAGTAGTGACAAAATAATCTCTGCCCTCACAGATCTTCTGAGGAGGAGACAGAAAATAAACAGATAAATACAGTATGTCAGAGAATGGTAAGAACTATAGAGAAAAATAACCCAGTAAAGACACATAAGGAGTATGTGTGGTGGGTTGGGGGTGGTTGCAGTATCAAGTAGGGTAGTCAACGTATGGCTCACATAGTTGGTGACATTTGAAGAAGACCTGATAATAGTAAAGAGGACAGTCATGTGGATATCTGGGAAAGAAGACTTCTAGCCTAAGTGAACAGTGAAGGCAAAGTTTCTTCAGCAGGAGGAAGTCTGGTGCATGGATGACCTGCAAGGAGGCCTGTGTGGCTAAAATGCAATGACCACGGAGAAAGCACAGAAGATGAATGCTGAGAAGTAAAAGGGAATGAGAGAATATGTCAACGTTGTTTCTCACTTTGATGGGCATTTGAATCACCCGAGGCTCTTAGTAAACTACAGATTGTGATTCAGTGGCCCTGGGGTTGGTTCTGAGATTCAGCTGATGTTGCTGGTCTGCAGACCATCCTTTGAGTCATAAAGTTAGGACAATTACAAGAATTTAGTTTGTCCTCTGAATGAGATGCGAAGTTTTTAGAAAGCTTTAAGCAGAGTGACATGATCTTACTTATATTTTTAATGGATTACACTGACTGCTGCTTGGAGAATTGATTCTGGTGGGAAAGCTTGGAAGCAGGGAGACTATTTAGGAGGCTACTGCAAAATTTCATACATCAAAGTCAAGAGTGCATCAGTCAGGATTTGAATGCGGGTCAGAATTAAAACCCCTAATATAAAAGCATTTATAATATTAGTCCCCGATTTAAATAATTACACTTTTGTCTCTTCTCCAACAGAGTCTCAATAGGTACAGACCACATCCATAGCTCTCATTTTACAACTCAGTTAATTAAAACCTAAACGTTAATTTTTTTAGAGTATCACAGATAGCAATTAGTAACAAAAGTGGCTCTTAGATAAGCTGCCAGTTATTTGAAATCAAAATAATTATGATGCTTGCAACAGTAACCTGTTGACAGAAGGAACTGAGTTAAAATAATGAAAAATTTTCAAAATACTCCATGATCACCATCCATACTTACTTCAATAGTCTTGAAGCATCATAACAGTCAATGGTTTCTCTGTAATTATTAACAATATAAAATTATATTTACCATGATTTCAATGCTAAATGTTCTCATGTGTAGTTAAGAATTGAAAACAGGCCGGGCGCGGTGGCTCACGCCTGTAATCCCAGCACTTTGGGAGGCCGAGGCGGGTGGATCATGAGGTCAGGAGATCGAGACCATCCTGGCTAACAAGGTGAAACCCCGTCTCTACTAAAAATACAAAAAATTAGCCGGGCGCGGTGGCGGGCGCCTGTAGTCCCAGCTACTCGGGAGGCTGAGGCAGGAGAATGGCGTGAACCCGGGAAGCGGAGCTTGCAGTGAGCCGAGATTGCGCCACTGCAGTCCGCAGTCCGACCTGGGCGACAGAGCGAGACTCCGTCTCAAAAAAAAAAAAAAAAAAAAAAAAAAAAAAAAAAAAAAGAATTGAAAACAGTTAACCTCATTAAGTGATTCTTAACCTACTATGGTCAAGGAACCCTTTGATAAAATTATAAAACCTGTAACCCTCTTCTCTTAAGCATTCACATAAAAACATACATACAAAAATGTTCTTACTTTTTCAGTGGGGTTCATGAACCCATTGAGGTGCAGATTGCACAAAACAGATTTAAGGTAACCTGTTTATCAACTTGAATATTTCAGTAATGCAATACATCTTTTCCTTACCATGCTGAATAAACAGTTCTCTACTTTTCTTTTTTTTTTTTTTTTTTTTTTTTTGAGATGGAGTCTCGCTCTGTCGCCCAGGCTGGAGTGCAATGGCGCGATCTTGGCTCACTGCAAGCTCCGCCTCCCGGGTTCACGCCATTCTCCTGCCTCAGCCTCCCAAGTAGCTGGGAGTTCTTTACTATTAATATGCATGCCAATGCATATTCCTGTGATTACTAGCCTTTGGCCAAATAGTGCCTGAATAAAATGAGAATCAAGATGATATTGAGATGTTTTCTTACCAGATACCTCTTCCCCAAGGGGTACAAAGAGTGTGGAGAACGTGGCATATGAAGGATAATTTGAGTGCAAGAGTAGAGCCGGGGGATTGTAGATTAGCATTATCACAGGCTGCCCACTAAGCAATGGCTCTTTATCCCAGTTGCTATCATAACCTTATACACAGGGGAAAGGGTGGAATTAGAAGTAACTTGGTGCTATGCTAGTAAGCAGTAGGGAAAAAGCAGAATCTTATCAGGATAAATGGTACAAAATCCATATGTCATTTTCCATTCTCCAGAATCAGCCTTGTAATTCTACTAAATTTACAACTCTAAATAAAGTATTCTGATGGCAATACATTGTTCAATTATGGCTCTTTCTCTGACTCAGAAAAAATCATGATTTTATCAAGTTGAATACTTTTTCACCTGGGGGGAGGTGATTTATAGTCACTAGTTTGCTTTAAGATGAGCCTCTATGGGTACTTTTTACTTTTATTTTCTGTCATTAATTGACTGGCCCAGGTACGTGTAAAGCAGGAGTGTCCAAATTTTGGGTTCCCTGGGCCACATTGGAAGAAGAAGAATTGTCTTGGGCCACACATAAAATACACTAACAACAGTTGATGAGCTAAAAAAAATTGCAAAAAGAAATTCATTATGTTTTTAGAAAGTTTATGAATTTGTGTTGGGCTGCATTCAAGGCCATCTTGGGCCACATGCAACCCACAGACCGTGGGTAGGACAAGCTTTGTGTAGAGTCTATGAGCCAGATCTTCTGGCTACCTCTTCAGCAAAATCTGCTGTTAAACACTGGCTTGATTTGGTGAATTAGGTTCAGAGACAGCTGCAAGCTCAACCTGGTACCCTAACGATTCGTGTAGCATACACATAATATTCTTAGTATGATGTTAATGAGTCTATCATGAAGAAAACATTCCTCTTATGCAGGTACAAATATGAGAGATATTCTCCTTCCTCCAATTCCACTCTCAGCATCTCTCCGTGTCTCCTAGAGTCAAGCAGTCAATTACCAGTTTCAGTTATGGAAAAATCAAAATCCAAAATAAGTAACGGTAAGATCATTTTTTTGACTTGACTAAACAAGCTTTTAAAAAAAAGACTTTATATGTGCTTTAGGATGGACAAAAGTGTCTATGATTTTTGCTCCCAAAAGCTTTACTACTTAAATTGAGATATCACAGTACCATAAAAATTCCTAGAATATAAAGCAGTATATGATTAGATCCTAAGAAAATATACCAGATGATCAAATCTTATGGAAAAAAAGCATTAATTGATAGTTCCTGGGAAAATCTTTCAAAGCTTCTGAATAAGTGGGTTTTGAAAGCAGGGTGAAACTAGTTTAGCACATACAACTCTCAATCCATTGCTCAGATATGAAAGAAGTATAATTTTTCCCGTAAGTCAACTTAATTTCTGTGTTCAGCTACTTTTTGTCAGAATGGCAAAAATGTAATCTCAATTTGTCCGCAACCTCCCTTTTTGTCCCCAGGGTTTGTTTACATTCTAGGGAGCTTACATAAGAGTAAAATGGGCAGCTATGGTGGGAGCTCTTGGTGTTATCAGTTCCCTGCCAGCTTACATATCTAAAACCCCCGTGGTCACACTGTTTGGTCATACTTGTCAGCATGGGGCTATCTTATGTCCATGTTCATACTTTTTTTTCTCACAGCAGCTCTCTCCAGTACAGAAGTGGCCATCTTAGATACATGGAAATAACTCTATTTTTCACCTGAGCAAGGATGCAGGAATTTTATCAAAGTGTCTAGTGTTCTAGATGGCTGATGCATATGACACAGCAATGCTTTGTCTGAGACACCCTTGGCAATATGGGAATATTCTCTTCTATATCACTGTAGACACTGGAAGTCCTATGAGTCAAAGGCAGGAATGCTGAGCTAGACTGAAGTAGAGTCTTGCCTCCTGCCTGGGCTTCACTTGGCCGAGGTAACACAGATTTTCCTTACTCAGAGTAGCCATGAATTTGTCCATAGGTGTTTACTGTGTCTCTAGGACGCAGTACAGGCAGGGAGAGCAAATCCCCTCTTCTCCCTTCAGCTTCCCTTCAGCATCAATATGCTCCACACTCCTTCCCTGCCACCTACCAATTTCAACCCCTACTCCTAACCGGAGGAACCACATTGTATACAGGCAGAATGGAAGCCTTTCTAAAATTAATATATACCTGCCATCCATCCAAATCTCTTATCTATTCCACAAGACCTTTTCACTCCTCTAATATTCTCATTAGTACATTCTGTTGAGATGTCTTTTTTTCCAGGCAATGAACCCCGGCTGTTTGAATGAAGGGAGGGGCCAAAGGACTAAAAACATATGGAAATGTGGAAGGGGAAGGAAGAGGAAAGCACAGAAATGTAAAAAGTTTACCCTCTCCTGCTGTAGCAAAAGAAGGAACTCATTCTAGACAAAGAGGAGAATATGAAAGGGGGTAATAGATATGTTCAGGAGGATGCATTCAAATCAATGGACAAGAACAGCAGCCTTGTTTATGTAAAAATATAACAGATAATAAATATGATTTAGGTTCAAATAAGGAGGCAGGAAACTGACTGAATGGCTTGTAGTTTCATCTGTATACAATGTACGGCCAGGGAAGATGTTTTCTTTTTTTTTTTTTTGAGACGGAGTCTCGCTCTGTCGCCCAGGCTGGAGTGCAGTGGCGCGATCTCGGCTCACTGCAAGCTCCGCCTCCCGGGTTCACGCCATTCTCCTGCCTCAGCCTCCCGAGTAGCTGGGACTACAGGCGCCCGCTACCACGCCCGGCTAATTTTTTGTATTTTTAGTAGAGACGGGGTTTCACCTTGTTAGCCAGGATGGTCTCGATCTCCTGACCTCGTGATCCGCCCGCCTCGGCCTCCCAAAGTGCTGGGATTACAGGCGTGAGCCACCGCGCCCGGCCAGATGTTTTCTTTTGACAGCACAACTAGTTAGGAAATATTTAAACCTGTAATGTAAAAAGGTGAAAGGTGAAACATAGGGCTTAGACTCAGTAATTAAAATGTGTTTAATAAAGGGAGAAGTTAGCAGACAGATACAGAGAATGACTCATAACTCAATTATTTCCCTTCCTTCAGGTGAGCTCCTGTTCCCTTAAAGTCTGTTTCGTTAGACATAGTGGACACAAGACTCATCCTAAAGCTGATAAGGATCTTCTCAAAACCACTCCACATAGAATCCTCATCTCCCCTGCAACAATCTACAGCAGAGCTGTCCACAGAACTATCTGTGATGATCGGAATGTCTTATATCTTTGCTGTCCAATACAGTAGCCCCTAGCTGCATGTGACTATTGGGTATTTGAAATATAGTTAGTGTGACAGAGAAAGTGAATTTTAATTTTATTTAATTTCAATTTTAATAGTCACATGTGGCTTATGGTTATTGAATTAAAAAGCACAGACCTAAGGTGCCTACACTTCTCTACAAGAAGACTCGCCTACCAACAAGCTTCTTAAAATTATACAATTGCTAGGGCTAGAATGCACATTAGAGTTAATTTTTAGAAAAGGAATTCATATCATATTTTTGGAAGCAGAATAGAAATCCAGAGAAGACAAGTGAAAATTCCATGGTCATTTAAACTTTTCTAGAAGAGGCAGAGTCAGATAGAATCCACGTGAGTGCAAAGGAGTCTTTTCTGTTAGTTATGCAGTCTGATTCACTTGCCCAAAGGTGTTCACCTTAGTTCTTCACATAATCTATTCTTCACAATCAAAAATTAGTTTAAGAGTTATTAACAGGTAAAGATAACTCCTACCTCATAGGATTGTTAGGAAGATTCAATTTAAAAATGCCTGCAAAGCACTTAGTTCAGCACGTAGCAGAGAAAGAACATTCAGCAGTGATGATTGTTGGAGGTTGTTAACATTATCAATTTTATTAAAGCACCTAAACCTTCAAAGCTATGTTTCATTTATGATATGGGGGTAATTATCCTAGTGCACATGATCATATTAAGACATGAATTTTATGAAAGCATTTAAAAATGGTTAGCCTTGAATTTTACTCTAAAAATGCTGTCAAATGATTTCTTTTGTTGGAATAACTATACTGCTAAAGTATAGGGATTTATAATTTTTATGTAAATTTGTTTCCAGAGTCCTAAAAATGGTTATTCACTAACAAACAAATATAAATGTAGGCAATACTGCCCAAATGTTGGAATATCAACCATATAAAAATTTGAATTTCAGATAAAACTGGGTCAACAATAAGATTACTTATGATTTCTGCTGAAAAATAGAACTAAAAATTAAGGTGAGAAAGACTTGTTCAAAAGAACTAAAAATTAAGGTGAGAAAGACTTTGTTCAAAATTTTCTGTTTTGCCCCAGATAGATACTGAATGTCATTGTAGTGTGGGAACTCAAATAGCTCAAGGTAGGAATGAAATGAGAAGAAGAGAGAGAATAAAAAGTAAAGGGATCAGGAACAAGAAGCAATAAAGTTCCTTGGTGAAGTCTCTTGGGGATTTACTCTGCCTAAAAGGTTGAAGGTATAAAACATTTTTAGAACTTGACCAAACTCCCATCAAATTAAGACTATTGCACAAAAACTCCTGCATTCTAGTTCAGTTTAAGATATACGGTAGAAATGCAGAATAAATACTTAACTTTTAAAGTGATCTATTTTCAATCCTCTGGTTTGCCTTTCTTTCAAGAATGTGAAGTGGACACTAGCTCTTCCATGTGGATTTATGTTTTCCTGGGCAATCTTCTTCGTGGAATAGGAGAAACTCCCATTCAGCCTTTGGGCATTGCCTACCTGGATGATTTTGCCAGTGAAGACAATGCAGCTTTCTATATTGGTAATATTGGCATATTGCTTCACTTATCTTCTTGGGAAGCAGGGTGTCTAGTTTTCTGAATTCCCCTCTATGCTAAATTAAGTGGGGAAGCTTTTTATACTTCATATCCAACTCCTTTATTTAGCTCACACATTTCTGAAGTGCACAGTTCAGATTTGGATGATGAAGACACCATAGTTAGAGGGATCTATTGCATTAGAAAAGGAACATCAGATTAAAAGAAAATAACTGCGAGCTTAGCTGCAATGACGTATGACCTTGTGAAAGTATCTTCATGGGCTTCAGATTTCATAGGTTCTTTTTAGTGGGTTAACTGTACAGCTAAAGCACTTAGGCATTTTAGTTTATTTAAAAGTTTGTTCCTTGAGCCCTAGCTTTCCATTTGATAAGCCTTGATAAGCGCTTTCCATTTGATAAGCCCTGATTATTTAAAGCTATGAGGGATAGGCAACAAGAAATCTTGAGATCTCAAAAGCAGGTAGAAATGGATAAAGAAAAGTATATAAAAAATAAAAGCAAGGCCTGAGGCTACCTCATCTCTGGAACACATCCCAGTAAATAGACCAGCAGCTAAAAATCTGAAAAACCAAAATAATATAGCAGAGGCAAAGTCCTAAGGTAAGACACATCTAAACAGCATTTATTGGTTTCCTCTGATGTCTTAATATTAAGCTAGAAATACACGTCAGTCTCTCCTTTTTTAACTGTTATTTTACCCTTTCCTATGGTGTTGACATACATCAGTCTCGATTTCTTGAAATTCTAATCTTTTAAAGGCCTCACGTTCAGGGACAGAAAGGCAAGATTTAAATTCATTGAGGGGCGCTACAGCTAGGTCCACTGTATAATCTTGCCTTGGCTATGCTCTGCAGGACTCCAGGGGGTGCTGGTTACACCTGAATAGGCTATAGTTAAGATCACAGCTCTTACTCTAACAGAAAACTTCAGTAAAATCAGGAACTGGAACTGCAACAAACACTTCATCACCTGCACTAGGCAATTACTCTAGAGACTGGAGGAAAGGTCACAGCCAGGAGAAGCATACAGGTGCTTAGGTGTGCCCTTCTTCTCTAGGAGCTCAGGGCTTGTTCTCTTTTCCTCTGTTCCAAAAAGTATCTGGTAACTGCTGTTTACTCTTCCAGTTAACTTAATCTCCCATGAATATGTGTGTTTTAAGCTTTGTGGTGAAATGAAAAACAGATTGGAGATATTTGGAAGGGAAGAACTACCTTTCTGGTTATTAGAAATGGTGTCCTTTAGGCCATCTGTTCCACCTGGCTATGAAGGTTGGCCTGAATGGTCAAGAGGGTTCCAGAGATAACTTTTCCTGCTCCAAATCCTAGCACCTTTGCTAGCTGCATCTGGGGATCTTTACAGGTCCTGGTCTCACTAATGATACCACAGAACCTTGAAATGAATGGACACACTTTTTTTCTAAGGTGGTAGAAATCCATTTGAATGTCAAAACAAGTCTTATGCTTAACTGAACGTAAAATGTTTTTGACAAACTATCAAAATTAATACAATTCTAATTTTTATCAATGAGGAATCTAATCCTAGGAAATAAAAGTTTTTTCCATTTTGGAAAATTAATTTCCTCAGAGTATTAATGTTATTTTCTTACTAAGACATATTTAATGCCTTAAAATTGTTCATTTTTCTCCCAAAGCAGTGAAGGACTTATTTCCTGATTTGATGTGGTTTTAAAGTTAACTAAACACATGCAAATGAGTTAAAACATTTTGAGCTACTGACTGGATCACACATTTCTTGTTTAAAATTGTATTAATTTATCAAAGTAAAGAAATGACAGCTTTTTTTTTTTCCTTTTCTTTTCTTGGTGCAGGGTGTGTGCAGACGGTTGCAATTATAGGACCAATCTTTGGTTTCCTGTTAGGCTCATTATGTGCCAAACTATATGTTGACATTGGCTTTGTAAACCTAGGTAAGGAAGTTTATTTTTTATTTATTCATGTATTTTAGTCACTGTAACATTTTTAATGGGAACAGTGTGGAAATTATCAAATTGCCTTTTTATAAAATGATGGAGTTGTAATCTTTCATAAACTAAAAATTTTATTATTAATATAGTTATACAGATTAATAAATGGAATATGAAAAATAGGTGATAATTAGAACTGGATGACCAATGGTTTGTTATTAAGATCTATCTTTTTTCACTTTTGATTTGTCAGTTTAAATGCATTCCAGCATAGTTAAGACTGAAAACTGTAGCTACTTGTTGGCTCTTATTGGCTTCAGGTGTGTCAACATTTTTTATAGTTACATCAATTGATAATGTATTTGGGGACTTGACAGAAAGACCAAGGATTTAAAGTCTACTGGCAACCAAACAGCCCTTCTTTTTTTTTTTTTTTTTTTTTTTTTTTTTTTTTTTTTTTTTTTTACTCTGCAAGTCATTTTTAGGTGGAAGCATGTTACAGCACATTATCGAGGAAGACTGGCTTTTCTTCTGGGACGTTGCTTGTGTAGGAAATAAATGGCAAAGGGGACACTGATTTTTCCATAGCTAATAACTTGTTTCTATCTCTGGGAGATGCACCCTTTGGAAATAGATGGCATTTGTCAGTATTTTTTTAAAGAATTCCAAGAGATCCGTTATAAACTAAACAAGCGTCACTTAAACAACAAACATGGAATTGCATTTTGAAGTCCGCATGTTAAAACAGAAAGCAAAATTCTTGCATTTAAATCAAATAAACTACAAGTGAAGCTTCAAAAATGTTATTTATTCATTCATTAGTTCCCATCCAATTATTTTGCATTTACTTTATGCCAGGTGCTATTCTACAGTTCTGAACAAATCAGTTGAGTTCCTTGACTTCAAAAAGCTTAAAATCCACTGATGGATTTTAGAGACAAGAAAGTATAGATGCGATGAGCAGTACAGAGGAAAATTGTTAAGGGGAAGCAATTAACATGCAGCAATAACCTAGTATAAGCATTTTACCCAGTATAATGCAGTGGCAGTTGAGCCTACTTGTCAAGGGCCATGTGTTTATTTCATTCTCACAGTGTGTTATGGTAGAATAAAATGAAATGTTTTCTAGGTTCTTGCCTAGGAAGAAAACAACACCCACTTGGTTTGATTCAAAAACCTGTCAATACTTACTTTTTAGTCAAATGAGAAATGATTTCAAAAACAAACTTTTTATGACGAATAAGATAACTAAAATTTTGCTTACACATACAAATCTTGCTTCATATCTAGAATAGCTCTGAAGTATTGTTAACCATCATTTAATAAAAAATATTCTGCTGATTTGAATGAGTCTCGAATTTAGTATCATAATGAGAGGTTTCCAACGGGTTTGGACTGGAGGGTGCAGAGCATAACTCTTCAAGTAAAATCTCACACAGACATTCAATATGTAAATCAAACGAAAGTGGTGCTGATATAGAGGAGTCGCCACATGAGGTTTTGAGCCTTCAAAATTCTCCCCATGGGTTGCCTTCCTCTTACCAGGGGTCTCTTACAGAACCTGAGAGCACAGTTTGAAAATCATGAAGCCTATTCCGGAATTTAGACTATATTTTTACTCTAATGAACAAAAGAAAGTATCTTGCTCCAAAATGCACTCTCTTTCCTTTAATAACAGAGAAAATACAGACATAGCTTGTTTTATTGTGCTTTACTTCATTGCATTTTGCAGATACTATATATTTTTTAAATTTAAGGTCTGTGGCAACTCTGTGTTGAGCAAGTCTATAGGCACTATTTTTCCGATAGCATGTGTTCACTTTGGGTCTCCGTGTCACATTTTGGTAATTCTCCTAATATCGCAAGCTTTTACTATTATTATTATTATTATTATTATTATTATTAGCTTACCCATTATGGAGATCTGTGATGTGTGATATTTGATGTTAGTATTGTAATTGTTTTGGGGCACCACAATTGTGCCCATATAAGACAGCAAATTTAATTGATAAATGTTGCATGTGTTCTGACTGCTCCACTGACTGGCCATTCCCCTGTCTCTCTTTTTGGACTTCCCGATTCCCTGAGACACAATAATATTGAAATTAGGCCAATTAGTAACCCTACAATGACCTCTAGGTGTTTAAGTGAAAGGAAGAGTTGCACATCTCTCACTTTAAAAGGAAAGCTAGAAAAGATTAGGCTTAATGAGGAAGGCATGTTGAATGCCAAGACAGGCAAAAATCTAGGCCTCTTGCACCAAACAGTTACCCAAGTTGTGAATGTAAATTCTGGCAGGAATTTATAAAAGTGATACTCCAGTAAACACATGAAAGATAAGAAAGTGAAATAGCCTTATTGAGATAAAGTTTTAGTAGTCTGGAGAGAAGATTAAACCAGCCACAACATTTCCTTAAGCCAAAACCTAATTCAGAACAAGGCCTAACCCTCATTAATTCTATAAAGGCTGAAAGAGATGAGGAAGCTGCAGAAGAAAAGTTTGAAGCTGGCGCAAACAGGTTCATGAGGTTTTAGGAAAGAAGCTGTCTCCATAACACAAAAGTGCAAGGTGAAGCAGCCAGTGCCGGTGGAGAAGCTGCAGAAAGTTATCCAGAATATTTAACTAGGATTATTGATGAAAGTGGCTATGCTAAACAACAGATTTTCATCGTAGATGAAATAGTCTTCTATTGGAAGAAGATGCCATCTAGGACCTTCACAGCCATAGAGGAGAAGTCAATCCTGACTTTAAAGCTTCAAAGGACAGGGTGACTCTCTTGTTAGGGGCTAAGGCCACTGGTGACTTTAAGTTGAAGCCAATGCTCATTTAACATTCTGAAATTCCTACACATAGGCTCTTCCTGTGCTCTCTAACTAGAACAATAGAGATATGCTGAATGACAGCACATCTTTTTGCAGCATGGTTTACTAACTATTTGAAGCCCACTGTTAGGATCTGCTGCTCAGGAAAAAAAATATATATATATTCCTTTCAAAATATTACTGCTCATTGGCAATGCACCTAGTCACCCAAGAACTCTGATAGAGATGTACAAAGAGATAAATGTTTTCATGCCTGCTAACATACCGTCCATTTTATACCCCATGGATCAAGGAGTAATTTTGACTTTCAAGTCTTATTATTTAAGAAACGTATTTCACAAAGCTATAGCTATGATCAGTAGTGATTTCTAATGATTTCTAGTGATTTCTAATCTAGACAAAGTAAATTTAAAACCTTCTGGAAAGGATTCCCCATTTTAGATGCCATTAAGAGCATTTGCAATTCATAGGAGGAGGTCAAAATATCCACATTAGCAAGAGTGTGAAAGAAATTGATTTCAGCCCTCCTGGATGACTTTGAGGTGTTGAACACTTTAGTGGAGAAAGTAAGTGCATATGTGGTAGAAACAGCAAGACAACTATAATTAGAAATGAAGCTTGAAGATGCGACTGAATTGCTGCAATCTCATGATAAAGCTTGAACAGGCTGGGCGCGGTGGCTCATGCCTGTAATCCCAGCACTTTGGGAGGCCAAGGCGGGCAGATCACCTGAGGTCAGGAGTTCGAGACTGGCCTGAGCAGCATGGAGAAACCCTGTCTCTACTAAAAATACAAAATTAGCCGGGCGTGGTGGCACATGCCTGTAATCCCAGCTACTAGGGAGGCTAAGGCAGGAGAATCGCTTGAACCCGGGAGGCGGAGGTTGTGGTGGGCCGAGATCGCGCCATTGCACTCCAGCCTGGGCAACAAGAGTGAAACTCCATCTCAAAAAAAAAAAAAAAAAAAAAAGCTTAAACAGATGAAGGGTTGCTTCTTGTGGATGAACAAAGTGAATGGCTTCTTGAGATGGAACCTACTCCTGATGAAGATGCTGTGAACATTACTGAAATGACAACAAAAGATTTAGTAAATTACATAAACTTAGTTGATAAAGCAGTGTCAGGGCTTGAGAAGATTGACTCCAATTTTGAAAGAAGTTTTACTGTGGGTAAAAATGCTGTCAAATAGCATTGCATACTACAGAGAAAACTTTCATGAAGGAAAGAGCTGATCTATGTGGCAAGCTTCATCATTTTCTTATGTTCATACATTGCCACAGTCATTTCAACCTCCAACAACCACTGCCCTGATCAGTCAGCAGCCATCAACATTGAGATGGGATCCTGTACCAGCAAAAAGATCACTATTCACTGAAGGCTCAGATGATTATTAGCATTTTTTAAGCAATAACTTTTTTTTTAAATGAAGGTATGTACATTTTCAGACATAATGCTGTTGCATACTTAATAGACTACAGTATAGTTAAACATAACTTTTGTATGCCCTGGGAAACAAAAAAATTGATGTGATTCTGTATTGTGAAATTCACTTCATTGTGGTGGTCTGGAGCTGAACCTGCAAAATCTCCAAGGTATGCCTGTGGTAAGATCCAGATAAAAAAAAAAATAGCATAGATGAATTATTAGGTATTTTATGATGTTATAGAGTTTTGCAAGAATTTATTTTTAAGTATATTATTTTAACATATTAGCTTTGCTGTTTGTATTACTTAGCCATCCCCTCTGTCTTTCAGATCACATAACCATTACCCCAAAAGATCCCCAGTGGGTAGGAGCCTGGTGGCTTGGCTATCTAATAGCAGGAATCATAAGTCTTCTTGCAGCTGTGCCTTTCTGGTATTTACCAAAGAGTTTACCAAGATCCCAAAGTAGAGAGGATTCTAATTCTTCCTCTGAGAAATCCAAGTTTATTATAGATGATCACACAGACTACCAAACACCCCAGGGAGAAAATGCAAAAATAATGGAAATGGCAAGAGGTAAGTCAAATTCTTGATTTTGAAGTATTTTCATTTTTCTGTTGGGGCTTAAGGAGATTTATAAATTACATCCCTCTCTTCCCTTCGTGTATTAAAAAGTTGAGAAACCATATCAGAAGCAAAAATGGAAATTGATGTCAGCTTTATTACTGAACAACTGATTGCAGTACACGACCAAAGAGCAAAGGCTTGACAGCCATTCCTGCTGATGTCTCCACCCTCTCACACCTCCTCAGTTTAGATCCTACCATTGTCTCTACCCAGGATTGCTGCTTCCTGTAATTCTGTGTATACAGGAAATAAAAGGCTTAATCTTCAAGGTTGGCAGCCTTTCAACAGATAAGATCTATTCATTTGAGAGATGTGTATCAATGCATGTCTCTCACCAATGATCAAAGGGGTGAGTGTTCTGTAGGCAAAAACCCAGTGTTCTAATGAACCCCCTTCATGGAAATGAGCAGCCCCTCATGATATTGGTCCCCCTCTTCTTGTCCCTTCAAGCAATATTTACATTTATAGAAATTCTTCACATGTCTAATTGGTAGGCTACATAATAGGAAAAAGGGAGAACACCAATGCTCATTTCTAACACTAAAATTCATATATTAAATGGAGATAACTCTCATATTTCTTTCTCTTTGACCACAAGCTAAGTTTGAGGAATAGAGACAAGAAAAGTGAAGGTCTTTATGTCCTGCCTGTGGCTCCCAGCTAGATGATGAGGGAGTATTCTCATCCTTTTCGTCTTTTGCCCACATCAGTTAGAGGAATCTGTTCTTGTCTGACTCCTACCTTTAATATAATCTATACTGCATGTCTGTAGAAATGAGTGCCTATGTCTGGATTCGAACCTGGCCAGATCGCAGGCTTGACGCATGCCAGTGGCTTACTATATACATAGTGTATGTGTGTACCACACTGTGACTACTCCCAAACTGTGTGACAATGGGCCCCAGCCCTGTAAGTCCTGCCAGCACGGCTACTTCTTCTTCCATGCGTGACACCAACTTTAATTAGTCTATGTTATTTTTGTTTTACAGATTTTCTTCCATCACTGAAGAATCTTTTTGGAAACCCAGTATACTTCCTATATTTATGTACAAGCACTGTTCAGTTCAATTCTCTGTTCGGCATGGTGACGTACAAACCAAAGTACATTGAGCAGCAGTATGGACAGTCATCCTCCAGGGCCAACTTTGTGATCGGTATGCTCATCTGCCTTTCATGCTTTCTCAGAGGGACTGTCTTAGAGGTACCTGATTAACTCGGGAATCTTCGAGAAGATTCTTCCAAGATTTAGGTAATTTATGACATTTTAGATGAGCTCAAAAAGTAACAAGAATGTTGTAGCAAGAATTATTCACATCTGTGGGTAAGTAACCCAGAGAGCAAGCAGTTCTTGAAGTGATATCATAGAGATGAAACATGCATTTTATGAGGAGTTTGTTAATAATACTGGATATTTGTCTTTTAAGTGCAGCCGAAACCTCAAAACAGTGGCCATTTTACATGAACAGTTTCTAGGATTATATAAAATGCACAATGAGATAGGTTAAAAGATGTTCATTCCAAAACAAAACTTGTATTTTCGCGGTCAAAAAACTTTTCTGACTCCTGGCAACTGAGTTAGTTCAAAGGGTTGTGTTTCTAGCAACACAGTCAATAATAAGATAGAAAAGTATGAAGAAATGAAAGAAGAGAAACCAGAACTTACAAATACATGACCACCACTGTGGAAGCAACTAGATATTTTAAAAATCAAGATTCGTTTCTTTAATCCATGAACATGTCATTTAATGTTACTGTTTCAAGGCATAACATATTTGTTTCTTGGGACATATTCCTTTATGATAGGAGACTCCAGTGGTATAAAATAATTTTCTCTAGTATTGTAAAAATCAGTCTATATTTCTACCTCTGAAAGAGACCTGGAAGGAGAAAAAAACAGCCAAATGTATTTTAGGAGATATAATTTTTCTATGATAATCTTGGGTAATGGGCATATAGCACATGCTAATATAATTGACAGTTTTAAAAGATTTTTCTCCAAAATTCTTGATGTTAAGGTTACGTTACTGAACATTTTTACTTTTAACATCAATTGATTTAAATTAATTTTATTACTTATTGGCTGACCTAAAGAAATATTTTGTGGCTTTTTTCTCCAACACCCCATGCATGCTAATCAATGCTTTATATTGATTTTAACATGAATAGATGAGGATTTAAAGTTTAAGAGAGACTTTATTTTATTTCACTTTTATGTCTACATTGAGATATAACTTATCAACAGTTAAGTCTACAGACCTTAAACAGTTCAGATGGATAATTTTGATATATATAATGTGTGTGTGTGTGTGTGTATATATATATATATATATATATATATATATATATATATATGTGTGTGTGTGTGTGTGTGTGTGTGTCACATCCAGCATCCAGAACATACAGAATATTTTAGTTCCCCAGAAAGCTTAACTCTCCTATCAGTCAAAACTTTTCCCCAAAGCTAATAACTATACTAAACTATATTATCATAGACCAGCCTTGCCTGTTTTTGAACTTCATATAAATTAAATAGTATATTATATACTCTTTTGTGTCTAGCTTTTTTCAACTGAAGTGAAATCTATGAGATTATTTTATATTGTGCATAGCAGTGGTACATTCTTTTTCATGCTATGTCATATCTTATTACATAAATAAACCACAGTTTATTCATTTTATAGTTCATGGACATTTGTGTTGTTTTCTGCTTTCAACTAATAGTTATTTATAATACTATAATAGATAATATAATAATATATATTATAAATATATAATTTCATATACTATGAAAATAATTATACATACAATTATTTATAATAGCATTATAAATCATTATGTATTTATATGTATATTTATAGGTAATATTATAAATTTATGATAGTATAAATAATTACATTATAAAACATATATTTAAAATATCTAACATATATTAATATGTATATAATATGTATTAATTATATATTATATATATTATAATAAATTATATAAAATAATATATACAACATGATATATAACTATCATATATAATATATAAAATACTTTTTATATTAATAATTTTTATAATTATTATTTATATTATAAATCATATAATTATTTATAATAGTATTTTAAATAATTATAGTTAAAGAAAGAAAAAATACAAATAAAAATATGTATTTTAATATGTATTAATATAATATATATTATATTATTTATAATATATTATAGCATATTACACTATAAGATAGTATTATATGCTATATTAAAATTTATAGTATATTACATATAGTACAGATAATATAGTATAATATATGATATATGGTAATACTATAATAATATAGTAACATCTGGTATTATATATAGTATATTATGTATACTATAATATATAATAATAATGCTATTATAAAATTATTTATAATAGTTAAAAGCAGAAAACAACATTCCACATGTACATTGGTGGGCCACTATGCTCATTTTTCATGGTTATACCCTGGAGTGCAATGGACATTTGTGTTGTTTTCTTTTAACTAATAGTTATTTATAATACTATAATAGATAATATAATAATATATATTATATTATACTGCTAAGTGCAGTTGCTAAGTCAGAGGGAGAATATGTGTTTAAATAGAGTAGATATTGCCAAAACACACGGAAGTTGTGCAAATTTATACTCCTATTAGAAACGTAAGAGCATTCCAGTTGCCCCACATGCTTATCAACACTTGGAATTGTCAATTCTTTTCACTGTAACCATTCTTATGCGGTATGGTTGTGGTATTTCATGGTGGTTTAATTTGCATTTACCTAAAACTCTATTCTTCAAAGTTTCTGACATGTCATATCTACAGATAATTCAAATACTTTTGTGAGAGATAAGTAATAGTATCTAACAATTTTACATCGTTATAGCTAGGATTGTTCCTGAGATCATATTGGTTTCACATTAGTAAGTATGGGGTGCAGCCGACTAAGCGTAAGTGGGCCAATTATTCAATATCCTCTCACCCTTACTTTGATTATTTGTACGATGGTGAAAATAAATATATCACTAGGTTGAAATAAAGATGAAAGTATACAGATAAAATGCATAGTAAATGCGTATATCTGTCGTTCAATAAATATTATTTCTCTCTTTCTTTTCTTCTTCTATTCAACCTCTCTTTTTCTTATTTTTTTTTTTTAACTTGGGCTATGGGATAATGATCTTCCTGCAATAAAATATGAGATAGATACAAAGAAGCACATTTCCTTTGCTTCTTTGAGAGAAGGCATTTGACATACCATGGAGGGGTAAATAAACAGAAATTTCCCGACATGTTCAAGGGCCAACTGTTACAACGACAACTTAGTCTTCCTGTACATGTTTTTAAATGTTAGCCACATTCTTTCTAAAGTTTAGAGATAGCATTTTTTCTCAAGTTAATTACTTTAACTTTGTGGAAAAATATTAAAGGAAAATAAATGACAATAAAATTTAAATCCAAGAGCTAGGAAGCATTTGTGAAATGATTTTGCTTTTTAAAGTTTGTGGAATTTTAAAAAGATTTTTAATGAAAGAAATTTGGATAGGCAGCTAGATTTTCATTTTTTCTTTTGTCTTTTATTTATTATTTATTTATATTTTTCAAGTTTTATTTTGGAATAGGGAGTATGTGTACAGTGCAGGTTTGTTACAAAGGTATATTGCATAATGCTGAGGTTTAGGGTATGACTGAACCTGTCACCCAGGTAGTGAGCATAGTACCCAATGGGTAATTTTTCAGTCTTTCTCTTCTCCTTCCTTTCCCTCTCCAGTAGTTCCCATTGTCTGTTGTTCCCAACTTTATGTCCATGTGTATCCAATATTTAGCTCCCACTGATATGTGAGAACATGTAGTATTTGGTTTTCTGTTTCTGAGTTAGTTCACTTAGGATAGTGGCCTCTAGCTCCATCTGTGTTGCTGCAAAGGGCATGATTTCATTCTTTCTATGACTGCATAGTATTCTGTGGTGTATACGTACCACTTCTTTATTCAATCCACTGTTGATGGGTGACTGATTCCACGTTTTTGCTATTGTGAATAGAGCTGTGATGAACATATGGGTGCATGTGTCCTTTTGATAGAATACTTTATTTTCTTTTGGGTTTATACCCACTGATGGGATTGCTAGGTCAAATGGTAGTTAAACTCTTAGTTCTTTGAGAAATATCCAAACTGTTCTCCAAAATAGCTGGACTGATTTACATTCCCACCAACAACCTACAAGCATCCCCTTTTCTCCGCAGCCTCACCAACATCTGTTATTTTTTGACATTTTAACAAAAGCCATTTTGACTGGTGTGAGATGGTTTCTCATTGTGGTTTTTATTTGCATTTCTGTGATGATTATTTATGAAGAGCATTTCTTCATATCTTTGTTAGCTGCTTACACGTTTTTTGCTTTGTTTTGTTTTGCTTTGTTTTTGAGCCAGAGTCTCGCTCTGTCACCCAGGCTGGAGTGCAGTGGCGCCATCTCGGCTCACTGCAAGCTCCGCCTCGCGGGTTCACGCCATTCTCCTGCTTCAGCTTCCCGAGTAGCTGGGACTACAGGCGCCCGCCACCACGCCCGGCTAATTTTTTGTATTTTTAGTAGAGACAGGGTTTCACTGTGTTAGCCAGGATGGTCTCAATCTCCTGACCTTGTGATCTGCCCGCCTCGGCCTCCCAAAGTGCTGGGATTACAGGCGTGAGCCACTGCGCCCGGCCACGTGTTTTCTTTTGTGAAGTGTCTGTACATGTCCGTTGTCTACTTTTTAATGGGGTTATATGTTATTTTCTTGTTGTTTCGTTTAAGTTCCTTATAGTGTCTGGATATTAGATCTTCATCAAATGCATAGTTCGTGAATGTTTTCTCCCATTCTGTAGAATTTCTTTTTACTTCCTTGATGGTGTCTCTTGCTGCGCAGAAGCTCTTTAGTTTAATTAATTTATCAATTTTTGGCTTTGTTGCAGTTGCTTTTGAGGACAAAGACATAAATTCTTTGCCGAGTGTGATACTGAGAAGGGTTTTTACTAGGCTTTCTTCAGGATTTTTATAGTTTAAATTCTTACCCATAAGTCTTTAATCCATGTTGAGTTAATTTTTGTATATGATGATGATAAGGGGTCCAGTTTCATTCTTTTGCATATGACTAGCCAGTTACCACAGTACCATTTATTGAATAGGGAGTCCTTTTTCCATTTCTTGTTTTTGTCAGCTTTGTTGAAGATGAGATGGTTGTAGGTGTGTGGCTTTATTTCAATTTAAGCTTCTCCTATAAATATTAAGTTACATACAAATGATCTTATCTTTTCCTTCTCAATACAGAGACTGTAATAATTTAGTCATTTTTGCATAATTTCTCAGAATGCTTTTTGTAGACAAGATCTCTAGTAGACAAGATATATCAACTATCATTTATGACAATGATTATCATTCTCAATTTTTGGAGGTGTTACACAGACAAGTAGGAAAAAATTAAGAGAATAATTTGAAGGAAAGTTGCTTATAAAAAACATTATTTTTTTTTGTGAAGGTCCAGGATATAACATGAACTTTACTAGGAGAGAAGTTCTAAAACATCTCCAAGTACTATTATTATTATTATAACTCATAACTATTTCAACCCAAGGCATCGGTTTGGAAATCAAAGTTTCTAGCTTGCAGTCTATTGTAATTGTGCTGACCATCTCAAACATTTTACACATCCTTCATAACTCCTTTTTACATCAGTATCAAGGAATAAAATCTTTAACCTGATGAGTGTGCTAAAACAATAATAATTATATAATAAAATGTAACAACAATATAATAATAAATTAGCTCTTAAATGTATCTAAGGTTTTCTGATATCTGGGTAAATATGCATGTTGAATTCAAAAGAAAACACAGAAAATAAATTGAAACAAATTTTAGACGCTAGTGTAAATTAATATTTCCATTTGGAATACTTCCTTGATGGTAGATGGTAAAAATTTTTAGATCAACACATTTTATGATGTGGGTGGAGAATAAATCAAAGTTTAATTTCTATCTCACTGAATGATTTAAAAATACCTAAAATGAAAGAGAAGCCTGGGGAGGGAAGAAACACATCTTATATGATGTGAAGGAAATTTTTTATCAGCTTGACCCACCATGGACAACTTAATACATCCTGTGAAATTTGAAAGGGAGAATCAAGCCAACGTTATATTTGAAATGTACTAATCTTTTTTGGAGTTGTGTTATAATTTAGTTATCTTGAAATAGGAGAGTAAGATATGCAGGAGAAGTGCTATACATACACTAAGGTTTATTCAATTAGCACATTTTATTGGAAACCACTGAAAGAACATGGGATTCAATTCAATTAGCCATTCTTCCTTTGAGGGTTTGGTTGGAGGGTGCGATACATAAACTGAAAAAGCTAGCAGGTAACTGTTAAAGCATCAAGTCTGCTGCCTATGGGCCCCTGCACAAGGAACTCCTGATGAGCAAGAAAATGGGGTTCTGATGACCAAGTTTTGAGCCCTGGTGCCAAATATGTCCCCTGGAAGCCCCATATGGCTGGTGGAACCTGTGAGAAGGAACTCTACTTAGGGGAAGCTCAGAGTACTCTGGGAGAACAAACCTAATCTTGGAACCAGGAAGAATTCTCAAGCAGAAGATGATGATACCTAAATCAAGAGAAAAGGATAAGAAAGTATTAAAAGATGAAAGTGTGAGAAAGAGGGTAGAGGTTTTTATCAGTCAAAGCAAATATCTTGTGTGGAAGGATCTGGAGTCAAGATAATACATGAAATGTTGTGGAAGTTTCAAGAAAACACTAGCCACCAAAAAGAGGTAAATCAGGAAAGGATATTCCTGATTTTTAACAATTTATACTGAGGGTGCAGATGTCCCTAGGATTATCCCATTTCAGTTCTCAGGCTATTCTAGGCTGCTGGGGGTCTGGGAGGTCAATGGAATCCAATACGGCACATAGGTACAGACAAGGTTACACCTTGTGTTATTACTTCTTACGTCCAGGTTCAATTGGTACTTTACAAAATAAAATAAAATGCTAGAAACATGCTCTGAAGGTTTCAGTTCGGAGTTTGGTTTTCAGAAGATACTTTATTCATAAACCAATTTTGGGGATGGAATTGAGAGAGAAAATGTAGGACCCTGCTGTTTGTGTCAGCTTTGGCTTTGTGGAAGGCATTCATAGTCAGGTACTATGTTTTATATATTCAGTGCATGTATGTGCGTGTGTAAAAGTAGGCACTTCAAGGATATATATCAAATTCATAGCAGCACTTACTTCAGGAGAAAGAAGATGAAACCTGAAACAAAGGGAGAACTAATTTTATCTACTTCCACATTTTAAAAAATCAGAAAATTTAGGAAAAAATATTAACATTAATTAAGTTGGGTCCTAAATAACTGGGTTTGTTGATATATTTTCTATAATCTATTCATTATTTTTGAAATAGTAATCAGGTGCCTCTAAGTTGACTTTTGGCTGTTCAAGGTTCCAGATTTTCATCTCTGCTGCTTGCCATACCCAGCAACCTCAGTTCAGCTGGAAAAGCAAAAGTTGGCATTTCTTCTCTTTTCCATTTGACTGACTTCATGATCATGCCCCCTTTAAGGTGGGCTGAGTTCTAATATGATAATTTTAATGTTAACATATACAACCTATGGTCAAATAAAAACAGATGAAACAAAATGACCCTTTGTTATCATCTGTACATGTTAGAAATATTTTGCGGGGGTCTGTCCTGCAGTCCCCAGCTGCACAACGGCTGAGACACATACTCAAACACCGATAATCAGTGAAACAGTGGGCCAGGGGGCTGCCGGCACTAGGGGCCCAAGAGAGTTTGCTGCCCCTCCAGACTGGCAACGCTTGCATTTGTTTAGTACAGATTTAATTGACAAAGGCTTTGAGTCAACACGCCTGTGGGTAATTAACCTGGTTGCCCCCACCCCGGAGATGGCCATCCTGCCTGTGAATGATCAAAGGTTGATTTTAGGACCACATGAATAAATAAGCTATTTAGATAAACTCCCCTATATTCCTTTGTATCTGTGCCTGAAGTTCTCTGGCTCCTGAAAAGAGAATCTGGCTGCCTTCAGCCAAACTATCTGAAGTTATGCAAACCACCCCCAGCCTTCCAAGAGGGTCTGCTTCTTTCTATTCCTATAATTTCTTCTGCCACTCTGACTGATCTCCCACAATATATATTTTTTAAATAATGTAATAGCAAGCCAAAGACCATTGTATGTTGATATTTAAGGTTCTGTGATGCTTTGTTAAGAAACTAAATATATAAACTTAAAAAGAACAAACAAAGGGAAAGAAAGAAGAAAATTTGCATGTCATTATCACTAGATGTCAGTGTTTTCATTTTTATTTTACAATTTCACATGGGGTTGTAAGTCAGACATGGCTACTTGAGATTATTTTTTACTACAGCAAATGCTGATTTTGTCTTTGAACCTTATCTATTGACTACAGTACATGCAAACTTTAGCCCTTTTATTATTCGAAAGAGATGTATTATCTCAAAACCTCAAGAAAACATGGACATCAATGATTGATAGGTAGACAATATGAGAAATAAATTCTAATTAGCAGAGAATTTACTTATTGTTGAGTGCCAGATTGTTCTTCTTTAGAGTTACAATTTACAATCCAACAAATGGCACCAAAGTGCCTCTTTTCCCAAGTCTTTTGCAATACAAGGGTTCCATTCCCCACCCCACCTCCAATATTTTCATCTTTGTAAATCGAATGGATAGAAATTAATTGCATGACATTTTTTTTTACTAAACATTGTGCTGATAACTCTTCACAAATAATGGAATTTAGTTACCTCAATAATGCTATTATTAGCTCCGTATTATAGATGAGGAGACAGGTTTAGAGACATTCAAAGAATTACCTGCAGTTGCACAGCTACTCAGTGGTGGAACTGAGATCTAAACCCAGGCAAGCTGGGTCTCCAGAGTCTAAGCTCTTAACTACTAAATTGAACCTCTTCCTAGTGTTGTTTACAGCTCACAGTTATTAGATTACTAGTGAGGCTGCACATCTATCCAAAAAGATAATGTACATCTATTTATCAAGGATACTATTTCCCAAACCCCTGAAGGAGAGGCAACATAGCAGTGATTGAAAGCATAGGACTTGACATCAGTCTCTTTGCATTCAAATCTGGTTTGCCCACTTACTAAGTGTGGCTATGAACAAATAGCTCTCTGAAGTGAGGCTAATAATATGCCTGCTCTTAAGGTTGTGGGGAAAATTCAGTGTGATAATATTAACATATCAAATGCTTAGTTCAGTGGCTGGTACGTTATAGGCAAGTAAATATAGGTGGTGATTGTTGTTATTAGGAAGGATACCACACTCAAAGCTAGCAAGCTGGATCAACAAAAACAAATTTTGCCAGGGCGGGAGGCAGAAAATAGAAACCAAGACTAAAAAATAAGTTTTCTATATTCTATGTGCCTATTATTTTTTATATACAACATTAAAGAACATTAATGGGCACCTAATTGCTACCTAATTG
The DNA here is from genome assembly GCF_000001405.40 of Homo sapiens. NCBI lineage: Eukaryota > Metazoa > Chordata > Mammalia > Primates > Hominidae > Homo > Homo sapiens. The sequence goes on from NC_000012.12 coordinate 20,732,624, forward strand.
TACTTGTTAATGCTGGAATTGGACCAGAAAGACCAGAAAGATTTATTGATTCATTTGGTATTTATTAATTTAATACTCTCTGCTAGACAGAACCTGAGACTGTGCAGTTGTACCACCATTAATCTATAACCTAGATACTCATCATACACTCTTTGTATATGTCAGTAGATGATAGTGACTATTTCTATAATTTAAAGTGACAAAATAGTCTTTAGAAAGTTTGTGTTAGTACACTCAAATCTTTTTTAGAGATTCACAAAATGATATATTTTTCTTGTTTCTCAGGGCTCATCAACATTCCAGCAGTGGCCCTTGGAATATTCTCTGGGGGGATAGTTATGAAAAAATTCAGAATCAGTGTGTGTGGAGCTGCAAAACTCTACTTGGGATCATCTGTCTTTGGTTACCTCCTATTTCTTTCCCTGTTTGCACTGGGCTGTGAAAATTCTGATGTGGCAGGACTAACTGTCTCCTACCAAGGGTATGTTCCCTCATTAAATAGTTTGAGGATATTGGTTTGTTTAATTAAATCAATTATTGGTGGAGTTGCAAAAAAGGAATTTGATTTTTAAACATCATAACTATGGTAAGCAACTTAGTATTTTATTGTGGAATAACTGACAATACCTAGAATCTGTTATTGTCACCAAAATTTATCATCTCCTTTGATTGTAGAGAAATATAAAAATTGCTAAACCCATATTTTACACTAGAGAACCAACCTGATTAATTTAGAAAAACAACATGATAGCAGAAATACAAACCTTGAATAATGCCTCTGTCTATTCTTAATGAAATGATGTACATGTGGTTTAAACTAATCCAACTTCAATTTTCCCATCTTAAAAACAGAAGTAATAACTACCTTTTAAACTTTTGTAAGGTTTAAGCAAGCTAACATACATGAAAGTGAATGCTACTTGCCTGACACAAGCTAAATGTGCCATTCATGGAAACAATTGTTTTCTTCCTCCTTTGAACATCTGAGGAACTGGAGTTACCTCTTTGCAATCCTCCATAGTTGCTGTTGTGCTTGAATCATGTAAAGTTTCAGGAAACAACGCCTGTCCTTCAACCCAGTGTTCCCCATAAAAGTTCTCTTTAGCTGAGTGTCTTGCAATTGGTCAGGAGAATATTTAGTGATGCCTTCAGGCCTCTCATCTTGTATGGGGTGGGTGATTACATTGCTTGGTTTCCAGAGTCTCTCTCAATACAAGGTTGAATCTTGTAGGAACTATATTGCCCTTGCCCATTGAGAGTCTTTCCCATCACTCTACCACTTCACATGAATTTCCAGAGGTAACTTTCTTCATCATTTCACCTATATATGCATTATTTGTTTTCTAAAAAAATTATCGAGTCTCCATCATGTGCCAGGAAGGCCTTCCCAACTGTATCTGCCTGGCCACCTGAAACTCTGCCTGTGGCTCAAAAGCAAACACTCCTGACACTATATTCTGTTTCCTGCCTATTCTGTGGCTTCTTGCTTACAGCCTGCTGTCCATCTCCCGTCCTACTCTTGCTTCCCTGCTTATCTGTCTTGTCTCTATGTTCCAACTTCCATCACCTTTATTAACCTGGTTTCATCTGCTGCTAAATGAGCGCCTGTTATAGTTTTGGCCATCTACAATGTTCAGGAAGATTGGTGAATGCAAAGTTCATAAATTACGGCTTCTGGGAGTTATCACAGCCACATTGTTAGACTCAGCTGAGTGTAGTGCTGCCTTAGTGAAAGTCAGTGATATGGATTAAGAATGTTAGTTGTAACAATGAAATGGAAGATGATTCTGGAGAGAGCAGAAGCCCAGTGCCATCTTTAACTGTCCCAGAAATCCTCACGGTAGAGGGACAGTTGTAGAGGACTTTATAGTTTGTGATTTCCAAAACACCTTAACTTTCATGATCTCATTATATCCTCAAAACACCTTTATGAGTTTAGTTTTGTTATCCTTGTTTAAAAGAAACTGCATGGATCTGGGGTTTGAACACAGGCGTGACTCAAAGTAGAACATTCTTTCTGCATCATAATTTCTAAGCCAAAAGTAAACACAAAGCAGACAACAAAAGCAAACTTTGAGATTCCCATTAAAAGTATTCCTACATAATCAAAGATTAAATATTTTAAACAAATAAAAGGTAACATTTTCATTGAGTGAGTACTAGCCTCTTCAAAGGAGTCACCTTGAAAGACTATAATTGTATTGCAGTAATGCTACTGTTGTTTAAAATATTCTAAGACTCTTATTTTGAATTTCTTTGTATATTTTTGAGAATATTCTTAACAAGGGCAAAGATTTAACCTTTAAGGAAAAGCTCTCATCTTTCAGCATAACTATCTTGAAAGGAAATCTCATTTGGGCATAAACATTCTGGCATATTTGTTAAAACTCGTCTTATAATTAAAATTCTAAATTACAAATCTACTGTCAGCACATCCTTCAGAAAAGATGTATCCCAATGATTCCTGCCCCTGATGATAAATTAAACTTTCAATACTATAAAGTATTTTTCTTTATAAAATATAAAATGTTTCCCATGGGTTTTTCCATGTTGCTTTATTCCAAACGCTGTCTTGACCTGAATATTCAATAGGAAAACTGAAGACAAGTCTTAGATATGATAATGGAAGAAATCTCTCTTCTGCAATAACAAGGACAACTCTGATGTGGACATAAGAATTTACAATCAAGAAACCTGGCAGGGTTCAGTTTCCAGGTTTGTCACTAGCAAGCAGTGTGAATTTGAGCATGTTACCCACCCACGTAGGGGCTGACTTCCTTGATCTGCCAAGTAAGAGGTTGGCATAGATTACTCCAATGTTCCCTCCAGCTCCAACCTTCTATAATCTCAGCCCTACAGTTTCCAGAGTTAAATGATTCTAGACTTTAAAAGGCAGTTTTATACTTTCAGATAATACAAACAGTCTCAGTTAACAATTAAAATTTTATGGAAGAGAATAGGATTAAACATTCCTATAGCACATCTCAGAAGGCCTAGTTCAGTACCCTTTCACACTATTTGGAGACATCTCAGAGGTCTTTGGTTTGTACTTTTGAGGTGACAAAATTCATCATACCAGTTCTACTAGATGAAGTATTACACTGATTAAGAAATTATGGTTGCCATCATTAATGACAATACTTCTCAGAGGCAGAGGCTCAAGTGATTAATTTATTTCTCCAAAATAAAGTACCATTTTTTAATTGACTAACTTACTGGAAATTTTGTTTCTTAGCTTGCTGTGTGACAGGAATTATTCCTGGTTCTGGACATATGGGAGTGAATACAAAAATAGTTCCTGCCTCTCTTGATTGTACAGTTCAGTGTATTTTTTGTTTGTTTAAGCTCCTCAGCTATCTTTATAAAAAATGGGAGGAAAGATATGAGGAATAAGCAAATAAATAAATTTGAAAATAAGGAGCAGAAAAAATGAAGTATGGAGGGCCAATGAATGGCACATATGGTGCAGATAGAAATGACATACCATTGCAAAAGTTCCTTTTGAGAAGAGTAGAGGAATATGAATAGCAAAAAAAAGGATAAAAGCAGAAGGATTAGGCCATTCAGGTGACAGAAAAAAAAGTGAGGGAGAGAGAATACTGGGAGAGATGAAGGATAAATATAAAAGCGAATGGCAGAGAACAAAAAAAAATGAAGGAGAAAAGAAAGAATGCAATCACAATTTTGTGAAATAACTCAAAAAAACCAATTTTGGGGGGGGGTGCAAATTTTGTCTCATTAATGTTTGTAACCATCTCCTATTCTCCCGGAGCTAGCACTTAGTAGGCTTCCAGTAAAATTTTATCAACAAATAAATGGGTAAGTCATTGAACTTACTTGTGAATTTGAGTAAGAAAGGATGCTATAAGATATGAAAGAGCACTATACACTGGGAGGATACACAGGAGAAAGGTTGAATGAACTGGGAATGCACTTGTTGGTTACACACATGCAAGAGGACATGTAACTCCTGCAAACACTGAAAGAGAATTAACTGATAACTGATTGGCTATTTTTCCTTTTACTGGACCATTAGTAATATCCATTCCACTCATACTTAGACAACAATTCTGAATGAAATTTGCACACACACAACACACACACACACCCCACCTGTGATGCATTGAAGTAGTGTCATAAATTGCTCTAAAAGTTTACTTTTCTACCTTGTTAGCTATTTTTATACACCTTTGCACAGAAGTATATTAGAAGATCCTAGAGGCTGTAGACTGAAAGCTATAAGCTAAGAACTGGACATCATGTGAATTTGTAAACCTCTAAAGATAACTTTCAAGAGAAAGCTGTTTATTAGTAAACTCACATTTCATGACCAGAAGCTGCCATTTCTGATGACAACTGTGTTTCTAAAAGGCAAATTTTGTTCATAGTATCATTTATATCACTCAAGAACATTGATTTTTTGAAAATATTCGGGTGCTACCTGCTAAGAGGTAATATTTTATATTGTTATATTTCTTTTCAGAACCAAACCTGTCTCTTATCATGAACGAGCTCTCTTTTCAGATTGCAACTCAAGATGCAAATGTTCAGAGACAAAATGGGAACCCATGTGCGGTGAAAATGGAATCACATATGTATCAGCTTGTCTTGCTGGTTGTCAAACCTCCAACAGGAGTGGAAAAAATATTGTAAGAAATCACCTCTCAAGTATATGGCGATGGTCCTGTTACAATATAAACAACAAAACTCTATGGGGGCTCACAGCAGACCACTACTAGTAGGAGGCTTGCCTCTTACCTCTGCCTGGTCCTTTTTTGTAGAAAAAGAAAATGTTATAACCATTCCTAGTGGTACTGGAGTTGCTGAAAAAATTAGGGTGAGAATTAGAGTCATCAAATAGGGTGGAAGAGATTTTGTAATTATGTAGTCTATTTCTCTCATTTTGCTTATAAGAAGTGTTAGCCCTGAATTAGAATGTCTGTCGTATGATCATCATAATAAGATATGCTTTCAGATCCATGTCCCCTGGCCCTAAGATCCGTGGTCCTTGGAGGTTTTAGGGAATGAACAAATAGAGGCCAGTATTAGGAGGCTTAGCTCCAGAGATTCTAGACCTTGGGGTCAGGGATCTGATAATGAGGAGGTTGATGGTTCTAGGACAACTTTGGAAAATCAAGCCAATTTGTATAATAATGAAAGGGCAGGTGGGCTGGAATGGAGGGTTTCCATAGGGCAGAAGAGGGAGATGAGGTAGGAAATATAGGTAGGAATCTATTTTAGTCAGTCCAGGCTGCTATAACAAATATACCATAGAATGGGTGGCTTAAACAACAAACATTTATTTCTCATAGTTCTGGATGATGGGAAGTCCAAGATCAAGGTGCCAGCAGAACTGGTTCCTAGTGAGGACCCACTTTCTGGTTTGCAGATGACCATCTTCACCTTTTATCCTCACATGGCAGAGAGCAGACAGGGAGAGACAGGTCTCCTGTCTCTTCTTATAAGGGCACTAAAATCACATTCATGAGGGCTACACCCTCATGAACTAATTACCTCCTAAATGCTTTACTCCAAATACCATCACATTGAAGGTTAGGATTTCAACATATGAATTTTGGGAAAATATTCAATCCTTAACAGAAAGCAATTGTGAAGGATGTAAAGTACTTCAATCATTAACAGATTCACCCTTCTCAGCACACCTTTCCATTCCTGTCCCAAACAGACTCTTCCTTATCCTTGCTCTCTGAGACTGCTTTCTATTTGTGACTGATTAAATTTGCCTTTATTTGACAATCCTAGAGGGCAGAAAATTAGACCACCCATGTATCTCATTTATTTATATATCCTTATCAACTGGATATGAATACTTAGGCTGTATATCCACAGATATACAGTTAAGTTTGTTAATTTACTCTGTTCATTGTATTATTATTTTGACTTATTTACAGCAGAAAGGATTGGTTTCTAGCAACAATGAATAAGACTACCTACTCATCTGAAACATGTTTTCATGCTTCTCTTTTTTTCTTTTCTTTGCTTTCTTCCTTTGTTATTTTTCTTTCAGCTACTGTTATTTTTGCTCACAGCTGCATGAAGGTTTTTTTGTAATGAGAGCTACCATTTATAAAAGACATTACAAGGAAAGGTTAAAGATTGGTGTTAAAAGAACAAAATTACATTTAAATCTCATGGTCCTGAAATAATTTGCATTATTTTCAGTATTTTCTTCATGTGAGAACTGAGGCACTGAGATACAAAGGACTTGCTTAACTCATTTATCTAGTGAGCGACCAGAATTAAGATTCAAAGGTTTCAACTTGACATTACAAAAAATCTATATTGCCACTCTTTCTAGAAAAGTAAATGCCAGCTTTATTTATGGTCTAAAAACTCACAAACTCTTTTGTGATTAAAAATGATAACATTATATATATGCATTCATAAATAAAATTTACAGAAATAAACTATTGAGGGGTTATACAAATTGTCTCTCTTCAGTCAAAATTTAGTTGAGTTTTATGCACCAGAATTATTTTTTTCTCATAGCCACTGTAAATTATGTCATATCCTCAAATTGTTCCCATTTACTTAACTAAGTTTTATCAAATGCCTAAAATGAGAGTCTATTCCATTCCCCAGTTGCATAATAACAAAGCAGCAGTTTCTGCTTTCATGGAGGTTACATTCTGTTGGGAAAGTATGTTTTAAAAATAAGTAAATACAGGATATCCTGATAGGTAGTAAGAAGCACTGTAAAAAAAAGACATACATTAGAATAAGAAGATGGAGAGATGGGAGTTGTTTTTTTTTGTTTTTTTTTTTAAATGGATAGTCATAGAAGGTCTCTATTAAAACCTCTAAACGGAGAACTAAAGTATGGACGCCAGCTGTGTAATCACCGAAGAGAAGAGCTGCCCGGGCAGAGAAAATAGCAGGGCCGTGAGGCATGGATGAACTTGCCAGGTTTGAGGGGATGTTTGGAAAGGGCAAAATGGGGCCTTTGCAAGGGTCATGTGTGTGGCTTACACAGAAGAAGAGAGGGAAGATCACTGAATGGTGAGATTAGAGTGGCATCCAGGTGCTACATGATGGAGAAAGTGTAAACTGTTATAAGGATGTGGGGTTTCATGCAAGTATGATGAGAAACCACTGGCAGGTTGAGGGTAGTGATGCAGTCTGACTGCCATGTTTAAAGGTTCACTTTACTTACTGGGTGGAAAGCAGATACTAGCTAGATAAGATTGGAAACAAGTTGCGCATAAAGGGAGCATTGTAACAATCTAGGCAAGAAATCATGGTTACTTAGCATTGGAAGTGGTAGCGAAGGAGGTAAGGTATGGTTAGATTAGGCAGGATTTGCTGGGAGATTGTTGTACAGGATTAGTAGTTTGTAGATAGTCATCTGCTCTTTAGATAATGAAATGTTGTATCTATATAGATTTTGCTTTGCTCAATATACTGTAATACAAAAAAATAAAAGAATATTTCCTCATTGTTTACATAATGCATGGCTACGGTAAACATTTTTAACATAACTGTCTTTAACTTTATTTAAATGTTACTGAAATAATTGGACTTTTCCCTATCGTGTTACAGATATTTTACAACTGCACTTGTGTGGGAATTGCAGCTTCTAAATCCGGAAATTCCTCAGGCATAGTGGGAAGATGTCAGAAAGACAATGGATGTCCCCAAATGTTTCTGTATTTCCTTGTAATTTCAGTCATCACATCCTATACTTTATCCCTAGGTGGCATACCTGGATACATATTACTTCTGAGGTGAGTACTGATTCTCCCTATTCTAATTTTAACACAAGACACAATCATCTCGAGCAATGATTTAAATTTTTTTCTGTGGAGTCTATGATTCCTCTTAGTTTTTTCAAGAAACTTGTCCCACATCCTTGTTTCACTTTTATATATATCGCACTTTGGGTATTTATACAAAAATGTGGCTGAATAGAAGTTTTCTTAGTTAAAAATGTTTGCAAACTATTGGTCTAGGAAGCAATGTTAGTTTCTACATCACTAGAGTTGCTTAATAAATACAGTATCCTACTTCTAACGCTGGTGATAATAATAATTAGCATAGGTAACATGCATTTTAGATTAAATATAGTTTCACCAAGTCATGGGAAATAGAATTTATAAAATATTTAAGGCTCATCTAATACAACAATGTTAGAATTTATTTTATTTATATATATATATATATATATATATATATATGGCTTTATCTGTATATTTTTGCCATGACTGGAATTGTCTGTGGAGGATTTCATGGCTTTGGGTAAATTGAGGCTCCTAATCTATGATGTTAATGACTGTATTATTCCATTTTCACACTGATATAAAGAAATACCCGAGATGGGGTAATTTATAAAGGAAAGAGGTTTAATTGACTCACAGTTCCGCATGGCTGGAGAGGCTTCAGGAAACTTAAAATAGTGGGGGAAGAGGAAACAAACAAGTCCTTCCTCACAAGGCACAGGAGAGAGAAGTACAGAGGGAAGAGGGAAGAGCCTCTTATAAAACCATCAGATCTTGTGAGAACACACTATCACAACAACAGCATGGGGGAGCCACACCCATGAGCCAATCACCTCCCAAGAGGTCCCTCTCCCAACATGTGGGGATTACAATTTGGATTACAATTCAAGATGAGATTTGGGAACAGAGAGCCAGACCATATCAAGGACTTCAACCATTTTTGCTTATAAAACCCTAAACAAATTTGTAAAAGTATGTAGCTTCTTGCATATTTATAAATTGACACATAAAAATTTTTTATCATAAGTTTAAATAGTAACTGAATATTGATTTCTGGTATATTATAAATATTTTTATTTTAAAAATAACAGTTTTAAATGTAAGTCACTTTCTAATGTAATTAATGGGACCTAAAAAATAGTGATTTGATAACCAACATCACCTGGGTCAGAATTGTATAACAACTACTTTAACAGTGACAAGCATTACATATTTCCTTCTTCCTGTATTTATATCATCATTCAACTTCCCTACAGGTTTTTCTCCTATTAAAACACAATTTGTGCTCGAATTTTTTTTACTGATTTTCCTATCATACATCTGTAACAATTACATGAATCCAAATTGTAAAATAGTTTTGAAAATAGAAGTCTCAGTTATAATATTTTCATTCTAATTGAGTTAGCTTTAGCTTTGCAAATATTTCTATTGTACAACTGATAAAAATCACTTAAAATAATAAAAATTTTGATAAAATTATTAAACATGAAAAGTCAACATTTACTAGAAATCAGTATTTATGAGATGGACTGGGTGATTTTCAAATTAATTCTTATATTCAAGGATAAATACTAATTTTTTTCTAAAGTAAGACTAACCAAAGTATTGTACACATTTTTAATTTCCCACAATTTTTATCATAGAAATTGTTTAGGAATGACAAACAGAAAACAGAACTTATTATCCACAAACCTGCTATTCTCAAAACAGCTTTCACCAAATATGGGAAATACAACATGGAGAATATGAGACAGTTACATTTACAAATGGCAGCCTGAGTTTGACAAAATGGCAAAACATTGACCTAGACTTTCCAGAACATTGTGGCTACTTCTTCAATATCTTATATTGTGCCAAGTGTAGAATCAGGTTGCTTACCACAGAAAGCATCTTTCTAACCACTAGTCCTTCATATTAACTATTGTGAATTTTGATGTCAGAAGGACTCCCTTGGGTTGAAGAAGAAAAGTCATGTTTTTTTTTTTTTGCCTCTTTTAAAGCAGAGACTAAATGATATAATATGTAAGAAGTACTTAGTAGTGTGGTTAACACTCAGTAGTTATATACATCATTATGATTACTATTAAATTTCATAGGCCAATCAGTTTAAGCTTTACAGTCATATTAATGACACTCTTATTATTTAGGTGTTTTTGCACTTTTCTGATTTATTTATTTATTTATTTACTTTTTAGATGGAGTCTCGCTCTGTCACCCAGGCTGGAGGGCAGTGGCACAATCTCGGCCCCCTGCAAGCTCCGCCTCTCGGGTTCACGCCATTCCCCTGCCTCAGCCTCCTGAGTAGCTGGGACTACAGGCACCCGCCACCATGCCCAGCTAATTTTTTTTTTTTTTTTTTTTTAGTAGAGACGGGGTTTCACCGTGTTAGCCAGGATGGTCTTGATCTCCTGACCTCGTGATCGCCTCGGCCTCCCAAGGTGCTGGGATTACAGGCGTGAGCCACCGCGCCTGGCCTCTGATTTTTTTAAATTCCCTTAGCAACAACTTTTATCATGCCACAGTGATTATATCTACTCTGATCACTTTGGCCCTGTGCTTTTAGACAAAAAGCCATAAAAATTTTTTGGCTATTAATTCTTTATTGTTGCTTAAAAATTCTAACAATTTCTTAGGAATTTGAGTTTTATTCTGAATCTTTGCTATTTTGGTAATTAAATTTGACTTTACTAGCACCATTTGAATATGGCATGTATGGGTGATGTAGTTTCTAGAAATATTAATTATAAACTTCTTGTAGCATTGCATGAAATGGAATGTGGCTTTTACGTATTTTGCCCTCCCTATGTTAGCACACCAATGGGTTCAACATAAATGGCACTTGAATTCTAACATGATTTCATGTATGTTAGGCAGATTATCCTTCAAATTTCTATTTGCTTTAATGGATTATATATTTCTTGTAATGGTGCTTTTGTTGATTTTAGGTGCATTAAGCCACAGCTTAAGTCTTTTGCCTTGGGTATCTACACATTAGCAATAAGAGTTCTTGGTAAGTTTAACCTATGCTTTAATTTATGGTAGACACCGTAAGTGTATTTTGAAGACTTTTCTAAATATTTTTACAGAATTGCCATGCATAAATATATGTTGTAGGTGGCAAAGTTCATAGTCTTTTTTATTCCTTTCTTCATTTCTTTGTTCCCTTCCTCCTTTTCTTGACTCCTTTCTTCGTTACAGAAATATATTGCCTCTTTTGTGTTCCAGATACAACAGAGATTTTGTGAAATTAATCATAATTTTTGTTTAACAATCTTACCTTTTCTAGTACTTGTGTGTTCTTACAAAATCCATGGCTTTAACAAGAGAGCTCTCAGAAATTAATAAGTAAGAAAGGCTGAAGCCTAAATATATTTTTTTTCAGTTATTAAAATGGAAAGAATTCCTTTGAGTTACTCTCAATGCTTATCCCTTATGTTATTAGGTAGAAAAATAAGGTATTATTTAAACCATGCAAATAAATTTGAGTAGGTCATACTTTAAATTGTAATTGAAATGTTTTTTCTGACTACCAAATTTTTAAATATATATTGATTAAAACCTATAGAAAACAGTGAATGAGACAAAGTTTTTATCCTTAAAGAGTTTATATATTAAAAAATAAAATAATTTTGAATATTTCACTGCCATTTGTCAGAAAGGAACAACCCAGAAAGAAAAACAAACTCAAAGCTTAAAAAATTTGAAATCAAATTTGGTTTACATAGATCTTGATATAAAATGGTTGCATAGCAAGATAATAGAATCCTGATAACATTGAAAAAGAAACAAAAATAGGGTTATATGGCATCATGACTGGCTCTAATTCTATAATGAAATATGTATTAGCTAGAAAAGTGTCATATATTGAGCCTGTAGTATATGCCTGGCAAGAATTGGCCCCCATATCTACCTGTGTTTGGGAATATAGATGGAGCCTACAGAGCAAAAATTGTTCCAACATAAACAAATGATTTACAAAACTGATTTGACAAAAATAATATTTGAAATTGGCAAAAGTATCATAAGCAAAGTCAAATGGCAAATGACTAACTTGCAATTTATGTAACAGACAATGGGCTAATATTCCTATTAGAAAGAAAACTCCTAAGTTTTGAGAAGAAAAAAACAAGCAACAAAGTAGAAAAATGAGCAAAAGATGTGAATTTTTCATGGAAAAATAAATGTAATTGCCTTTTAATATATAGAAAGATGGTCAAATTAGCTCATAAATAGAGCCAAGTTAGAACTACCTTTCTTATCAGGTTGACAAATTACCAAATTTTGTTTGCAATGTATGGAAAAATAGATTATGTTTATACATTGCTGTTGGGAAAATGATGTTCTTTATTGGGCAATAACTGGTAAAATTATATATAGATTTACCTTTTAACCTAATATCTTTACTTCTAAGAATTATACCAAAAATTTGCTAGCAAAAATTATAAAATTTAATCATTATGAATAGGCGCAATAATTGTGACTTTTTATAATAGCAAAAAACTGGAAGTGATCTAAATGTCCATCGGTAGGAGACTGGTTGAATAAACTGTAGTACACACACGTAACAGAGCTGTAAGGATGAATGGGAAAAATCTATCTAATGTTACCGAGTGATCTCCAGTAAGTAAAAAGAAGGAAAATGGAGAACAATTTTTATTGTATGGTGTTTTTGGTGTTACATGTGGAAAGGTGGAAATATTATATGCATGTGCTAAGGCATTTTGCTCTTTTTTAAAAAAGAAACAATGGAAGCATCAACTAAAAACTAATTTTAAAAAATGGTTACCTGTAGAAGAAAGGGAAGAGGGATAAATTTCAGGATGGAAGTAAGACTTTGTAAATGTAGCTTTTTATATGATTGTTAAATCAAAATTATATAAGGTTTGATATAACTGAAAATAAAATTTAAAATAACCAAATCTTAAACTGAAACTGTTTAACATAAGCATACATTGGTTAAATAAGCATACATGAAAAACTTTAAATGCCTTAAAAAATAAAATTTTTTGCCAAATCTTCATAGATTAACTGGATTTATAGTCATTATTAGTACTAATATCAATATTTTTATGTTGAAACTATTATATATTTAAGATAAAGCAATTGAAATGTTAATATTACTTGGAATTAATATTTTTAGTAAAATAGAAAAGTGATACAAGTATAAAATAAAAAAATTCAAAGGCTGGGTGCGGTGGCTCATGCCTGTAATCCCAGCACTTTGAGAGGCCGAGGCAGGTGGATCAACTGAGGTCAGGAGTCCGAGACCAGCCTGCCCAACATGGTGAAACCCCATCTCTACTAAAAACACAAAAATTAGCCGGGTGTGCTGGTGTGTGCCTGTAATCCCAGCTACTCAGGAGGCTGAGGCAGGAGAATTGCTTGAACCTGGTAGGCAGAGGTTGCAGTGAGCTGAGATCACACCACTGCACTCCAGCCTGGGTGACAAAGCAAGTCTCCATCTAATAAAAAAAGAAAAAAAAAAAGAAATAAAGCTCATTCTTAAATTTGAACTTAAAACATCAATATGAACTCACATATTTTAATTTTAAAATAATGTGTATTTTATAGTTCCATCTCCTGAAAATTCTAGAAACTTTGAAACCCAGAAGAAATGAACACCACGACACTTAATCTGTGATATCTAAATATAATCTCGCAGTAAAAGCATATGGCACCTTGGAGAAATGACTGATTCAAGGCCTAGGGTAGAAAATGCATGAGATGATTATGGGACTTTTTTTATACTAGAAAATGAATAAGCTATCAAAGCCTAAGAAGGCTATATCACAAGGGAACAGAACCAATTTGAGGAGACTGGCCTCAAGGTGAGATAAATTGAAACTCAAAATAGTAGCAACCGTAGTAACAATAATGGCTGCAGTTTATTGAAATACATAGAATATATTAAAACACATGAGTTTATAATGATACTTTAAAAATTTGGAGAATATCAGGACATCAAGTCATTATTCTGAAAATTGAGAAATAAAGGAGAAAAAAATCATTTATCCTGCCTTTCTTCTATTAACTGTATGTCAAAGTAACCAAATTAGTCAATTAAGGAAAATTCCTTCTTCGAGAAAAACCCAAATACTTTCTATAAGAAGCATAGATTAAAAAAAAAAATCCTGCCTTGTAACCTTAAAAATAGCTAAAAGCTTTAGATGAAAGTTGGTGAGCAACTTCATAATGGAGGGATCAGACTGACATAGCCTGAACTTCACACGCATCTTAGCATTACTAAGAGTGGCAACTAGGTAGCATGTGCCTTCTAACTGGGACAGAATAAAAAAATACACAGTACATTTGCCTGAAGTAAACTGAACCTGAATCTAACAAGATCTAACTACCAGATTCTAGGAAAAATGGATGATAGGGGAATCAATTAAATAATGTTATAAAGAAGAATTAAATCCAGAATGTGGCATATCCTATGGGACTTGGTATTGTCTTTTTTTTTTCAAAAACCATTAGTAAGAAAAAAAGTGAAGATTGGATATTGCTCTGAAGAGTCATCAACTAAATACAATGTGTTTATTTGGTTTGGATCCTTATAAAAACAAACGAACTAAAAAAATCCTTGGAGACAATCCAAAAACTTGAATATGTACTACATTTTAGATAAAATTAATAAATTATTATAAAATGTGTTAGGAGTAAGAATGACATAGCGGTCATGTTTTTAAAAAATGTCATCAGGTAGAGATGCATGCTGAAATATACATAATTGAAATGACATGATGTTTGAGATTGCCTTTAAAATATTAAAGTAAGAGTTCAGGCTGGGCACATTTGCTCATGCCTATAATCCCAGCACTTTGGGAGGCTGAGGCGGGTGGATATCTTGAGGCCAGGAGTTCGAGACCAGCCTGGCTACAACATAGCTAAACCCCAATCTCTACTAAAAATACAAAAATTAGCCTGGCATGGTGGTGCATGCTTGTGGTCCCAGATACTCGGGGAGTCTGAGTCACAAGAATTGCTTGAACCCAGGAGGCAGAGGTTGCAGTGAGCCAAGATTGTGCCACTGCACTCCAGCTTGGGTGACAGAGGGAGACTCTGTCTCAAAAAAAAATAGAGTTCAGAATGGGGAGAGAGATGAAACAGCAATGGCAAAACATTAATAATTGTCAAAGCTATGATGGTACATGAGGGTTAATTATATCATTCTGTCTGCTTTTGTGAATTTTTGAAAATGTTCTATTATAATAATCTTAAACCACGTACAGAAAATTGCAAACATTTGAATTTTTTTGGCTTGTCTTCACATCATTAAAGGTAATGTAAAATTGGTTATCACCTGGATTTTTTAAGTGGTAAATCATATATTTGTTTGGTTTTTGAGGCACCAAATAATCCAAATTTAATTCAAAATTTTCTGCTCTTCTTGTTCTTGGGGTTTCAAGCAAAATAGAGGGGATCATTTGTTATTTAAAAATGTAAACATATACAAAGATAGCAAGAACTGTCTTTGTATACAGCAAAGATAGCAATGAACTCCCATTTATCAATTACCCAATTTCAACAATTATCAATACACAGCTCATCTTAGGACATCTGTGTCCCTAACTACTTACCCAACTAGCTTATTTTGAAGTAAGTCTCAGACTACTGTATTTCTTCTATAACATGTTTGGTGTGCTCTTCTAATCAAAACCATAATGACTTGTTTTAATCTGGTGATTCTTGCATCTTAAAAAATAACTTCTTAATATTAGCAAATACCCAATTACTGCTTAAATTCTTTAAATTATCTGATGTTTCCTTACACATGTAGGTTTGAATTAAGAACCAAACAAGGTCCACAATTGCATTAGGTGATATATCTCTAAAATCTTTTTTAATCCATAGGCTTTACTTCCCTCTTTCTCTCCCATTTGTTGCGAAAATTTCAAATCTACCAAAAAATTTAAATTACAATGAATAACTGTATAACTTTTACTGGGATTTATCAACTGTGTCCAAAAACCAGAAATCTCTCTCCTCTGTTTCTCTGAGCATACAAATATTTTGCTGAATCATTTGAAAATAAGTAGTGAACATGCTGACACCTCACTCCCAAAGCCCTCAACTTGTGTTCTTCTACTAGAGCAAATCTATATATAGACTTGTCCTATATAACCACAATACCATTCTCACACTTCAGAAATTCAACATTGATATGCTACTCTATCTAATATAATCCCTCATTCAAATTTCTTTCATTATAACAATAGTGTCTTCTATAGTGTTTTATTTTTTCTTTTGATCCAAGGTCAAAGACCACATATTGCATTTAGTTACCTTTCTTTATCTCCAAAAATTCCTCATTCTTATTTTTTTGTTCTTTTGTGACATTTATATTTTTTTCAAGAGGCAAAGCCAGTTGTTTTGTAAAATATCCCAACTATTGGATGTGTTTGTTTGCTTGTGAGTATGTCCAGGTAAAATATTGTTGGTGGCAATACTACACACGTGATTTGCATGATGCTTAGTAAATCATATCAGGAAGCACATCATTTCAGTTTATACCTCATTGGAATTTTAATTTTGGTCCCTTGGTGAAGGTGGTGTCTACCAGTTTTCTCCATTGAAAAATCCTTCTGCAGTTAATAAGTCACCTATAATTTGACACTTCGAGATTATGTCACCATTCTGTTTCCCAAAAATCTTTCACCCAAAATTTTAGCAGCCATCGATGAGTCTGGATTGAATCAATTATTTACATGAGTATTTGCAAAGTTTAGGTAAACCTTTACATAGAAAATATTTTCAAATATTTTCATTTGTTTTCAAAGAACAAATGGATAATCTCTGAAATTTAGAAGTGTCATAAATATTCTTAGATGACTTTAAAAATTTAGTGAGATTATTTTGTTCAATATAAGCATACAAAGCAATTTTATAACAGAAGAAAACATATACAAAAAAGGTTAAAACTCAAATGCCGGAAACAACCAGACAGTTGATGGAAACGAGTGATGTAGGCAGAGAGAAAGCTGTATGGACTTGTGGTGGACTCCAAGTGTAGGCAGCGGTTGGGGGAGTGAGGCAGCTGCTGCTTAACTCCAGCCAACTATGACCATGGACTGCCAGACAACATGGTTCTTAAGAGAACTCAGAAGTGTGCAAGTTTATATGAAATCTCCTAGGTTTCAGCTATTGGCTACTAACTAAAAAACAAAATCCCAAAGTCTACACAGACTAAATAACCAATGTTAATGAACCACCAATTTAGAACATATAAAATATACACTGAGCTATGAACAACTGCTTAAGATACTTTCGTTAATATTTGCACATGAGAGACACATTTTCTCCCTAAGGAGGGATTAAATTCCTAACATTTTCTGAGAACCTACTAGGGTTTCTGGCATGAATAAGGAGGACATGTTTCCTACCGTGGTGAGCTTACAGTCTAGCAGAGAAGGCAATTCAACAAGCTATTACAGGAGTATTTAAAGTTTGATGAGATGTAAAACAATGAGAATTAATGCAGTTTAGTTTATCAAAATGAACTGAAGGAAAACGTTCAAACTTGGATTTTAAAAGTGAGTGTGTATTAAGAATGTGAATAAGAGAAAATCATTGCTTGGGATAAAGGAAACTACACAAGGCATTCAGACAAGAGGAGAGAACATTTTAGTCACTGAAAGAAATCCAAGAAAATTTGAGTCTGAAATGTAAGACAACAATCTTGCCCAAAGTGAGGCCACAAAAGTAGAAAGACCCAATGTTCAGTTAACTACTCTTCTTTTGGAACAGATGTCTTGGGAAGTCACCTACTTAATTCAGTGATGCAACCTCTGTATGATGTACAGATTTGAGAAGGTTAATGAATGAAGCCAAGGAATCATGAATTGGCTGTTGCTTTAAGTTAGGGTAGAAGGAGTGGCAGTGGGAATGGAAAGAAGAGAAAGTGTTTAAGATATACCTAATAGATAGACTCAGTATGATTCCGGGACAGATTAAATATAGTGATAGCCAGAGAGAGGAGAAAGAAGGATCAATGATAACTCACAAGTCTGCTTTAATGACTGGGCTTCCACTGATAAAGGGACAGGTCTATAGGGGAAGAAGTTGAGCTCATGTTGAGTTTGAAGTGCCTGAGTGACATGCTTCTGGAGATAAATAAATGGCAGTTACTGCATGATTCTGGAGCTTATGAGAAAAGACTGGATTAGAGAGATAGGTTTGGGAGATTTCAGCATGTAATTGATGGCCTTTCATCTCCAAAACAGTAATTAGATTAAAGTAAGTGGTTTCAGATAATCGTTCATAGACAAAAAGATGTGCATATGTTTTTAACAGCAATTATTTGTTTTTCTCACAGCAGGAATCCCAGCTCCAGTGTATTTTGGAGTTTTGATTGATACTTCATGCCTCAAATGGGGATTTAAAAGATGTGGAAGTAGAGGATCATGCAGATTATATGATTCAAATGTCTTCAGGTACCAAATCAAAAGCATTCCCGCATCTCATTGCTACAGCATCCCAGATTTACACAATGCCACTGACACTAACAAGTTTTCATGTCATTTCACTGCTTGTAAGGTAAAGAATAGTCTAATCAAAAAGTGTGATCTGTAGTCATAGAATAATTATATTATTATTTGATTAGATCTTTGATTTTGTCCCTATTCATTACCTTGACCCCCATTTTAAATGAGTAATCATTTTTAAAATATGACAAAAGTGTCCAGAATACAGTAGAATTTTGAAAGTTTATGCACACAAATGGGCAAGTATTTCCCTGAAATTCAGAGGCATTTAAATTTAGGTCACATTTTGGGTTTGATTTTTATTCTTTTTCAAACTGAGCCAAACTGTACCACTTACGTCAGATATAATACCCCTGGGCAAGAGTTGGATTTGGCTCTAAATCTGTCCGGCTTTTATTGCCAAACTAATGTTCAATTATTCTCGTACTTGAAATGCATGAAAGTAAAAGGTTTTCTCTGTGTGGGTGAGTGTATATGGGGGTTGGGTGGCGTGGCTTTTTCACTATGGTATCATTCAGTTCAGCTCATTAAACATTTAGTCCCTTATTGCTTAAAAAAATGCAAAAAGCATTGAAGCAATGGCTTAAAAGCAAGAAAGATTGTTTAAAAGACTTACAAACTGAGCATTTTCTGGAGAAATAAACTTGGTACTGAACCATCTAAGTTGGATGTGAATTGGGCACACCATTTTGAATAAATTTGTTTGAGTTAATAGGTTTTGATGCTATGCGTGAAATTTATTTTGGTCTTTGAAAGGGACCCAATCTGTGAGTATAATTTAGTATTTCCTCACATTTTTGCTAAGGCTGTATTAACTGTAATGTAGAGACAATGCAACTCAATCAGAGATTGAGAGTATGTTTTCAAGGTAACCAGAATGAGACATTCAACCTGTTCTTCCATACCTTAGCATCTTCTGACAAAGCATAGAACTATAGGTTTCTCATGAAATAAACTGATTTAAATCTCTGGTTTATTCTGAAATCATTCTGCTTTACTCAGAGCTCCAATTCCCATTAGCATTTCTTTATGCAAGTTTTCCAAAGAAATGAAGTTGGGAAAGGTCTGAGGATAGGGTAGCCACATAATTTATCATTCAAAACTGGGTACTTTTGAGTGTGAAAAGGAGCACTATTAAAATTATACTGGGCCAGCACTAGCATAAACTGGGGCTGTTCTAGGCAAACAGGGATATGGTTACCTGGTCTAAGGAAATAATTTACAGAGAGGATGAAACTGATTATGTAATTAGTAGTAACTAAAAATGATGGTGCTACTAAGACATTGCTTTATTTTATAAACTGCCTTCAACAGTCTGTCAGTATTTCATAAAACAGTCTTTTATATAAGCCACCAAATCTACATTCTTAAAGAAAACCATCAGTATGATATTATTACCTTTTAAATTTTCTTTCAAGTTGGTTGTTGCATTAATTATAACAGAGATTCTCTCTTCTTCTAGACATATATATCTGGGACTAACTGTGATACTGGGCACAGTGTCAATTCTCCTAAGCATTGCAGTACTTTTCATTTTAAAGAAAAATTATGTTTCAAAACACAGAAGTTTTATAACCAAGAGAGAAAGAACAATGGTGTCTACAAGATTCCAAAAGGAAAATTACACTACAAGTGATCATCTGCTACAACCCAACTACTGGCCAGGCAAGGAAACTCAACTTTAGAAACATGATGACTGGAAGTCATGTCTTCTAATTGGTTGACATTTTGCAAACAAATAAATTGTAATCAAAAGAGCTCTAAATTTGTAATTTCTTTCTCCTTTCAAAAAATGTCTACTTTGTTTTGGTCCTAGGCATTAGGTAATATAACTGATAATATACTGAAACATATAATGGAAGATGCAGATGATAAAACTAATTTTGAACTTTTTAATTTATATAAATTATTTTATATCACTTACTTATTTCACTTTATTTTGCTTTGTGCTCATTGATATATATTAGCTGTACTCCTAGAAGAACAATTGTCTCTATTGTCACACATGGTTATATTTAAAGTAATTTCTGAACTGTGTAATGTGTCTAGAGTAAGCAAATACTGCTAACAATTAACTCATACCTTGGGTTCCTTCAAGTATTACTCCTATAGTATTTTCTCCCATAGCTGTCTTCATCTGTGTATTTTAATAATGATCTTAGGATGGAGCAGAACATGGAGAGGAAGATTTCATTTTAAGCTCCTCCTTTTCTTTGAAATACAATAATTTATATAGAAATGTGTAGCAGCAAATTATATTGGGGATTAGAATTTTGAATTAATAGCTCTCCTACTATTAATTTACATGTGCTTTTTGTGTGGCGCTATAAGTGACTATGGTTGTAAAGTAATAAAATTGATGTTAACATGCCCAATTATTGTTCTTTTATGAATCCAATGAATTTAAAACTATTGTTAAATATAATACTGCCCCACTTTAATATATGTAAGCAACTTCCTACTTATACACGACGTGTTCCTAAAACATGTTTGAAAGGTGAATTTCTGAAAGTCTACAATAAATGTAGGTGTTACAACAGGAATGGAGAGTGATGGATGAATTGATGGGAAGTCTGAGTGTGGTACCTTTTGGTGCTCCACAGGCCCACATCACAGGGCCTAGGGACTCCTGCACAGGGAGTTCCCCCTGGGACAGCCTGCCAGATAGCTCTGTTTCTCTGCAACTGAAAAAGTCAAGCCAAGAGTTTCTTTTCTTTTTTTTTTAAGACATAGTCTCACTCTGTTGCCCAGGCTGGAGTGCAATGGCGCGATCTCGGCTCACTGCAAGCTCCGCCTCCCGCGTTCACGCCATTCTCCTGCCTCAGCCTCCTGAGTAGCTGGGACTATCAGCGCCCGCCACCATGCCCGGCTAATTTTTTGTATTTTTAGTAGAAACGGGGTTTCACCGTGTTAGCCAGGATGATCTTGATTTCCTGACCTCGTGATCCACCCGCCTCGGCCTCCCAAAGTGCTGAGATTACAGGTGTGAGCCACCACGCCCGGCCAAGAGTTTCTTCTTTCCTGACTTCCTGATGCTCTTCTGACGGGGGTTGGTAGGTTCAGCAGTCAAAAATCTTTAATCTTTAGCTCTATGATGAACTATATGTTTCTTCCTCCACCATAGCTGTAAAGAAAGGCTTAATCCTTCCAAGAAAAGCAGACTTAAGACAGAGACCACCCTAGTGAGGTATACTGTTTCTACTGCTGGCTCACCATCCAATTCTGTCCACATTCTGTTAGTCCGGTACAATCCGGAGAAGACTAGATGAAAGGCAAAGTTGGGTTAGAAAAGATAACCTGAAGGACATTGCAGTCTAAGTGAGACCACAGAGTCCTTCAAATGCACAGGAGGACCCTTACTTACTCAGGAGATTTTCAAGTTTACAATGGGAACCCATAATTCTACTATGTACCAGCCACACCAAAAATCGTATTACTTAATCTGTGTAGCACTCTTAGTATCTGAATCCCCATTTTACAAATGAAACAGGCTAAGAGAGGTTAGATACATTGCTTAACCTTGGAGGGGCACAGACAGGATTAAAACTAGGTTAAATCTAAAGTTATCTTTCCACCATACCAACCTGACCCTATAATGTTACACTAAACTGCTACTATTATTTGTAATGTCTCTGCATTACTTTATTTCACTGGATCAGTTTGCGCCTATAGTTGCCGTCATCTGTGTATTTCAGTACCATACAAGTCATCAACAACTACTATAAACCACACAAATAATTTATTTAGCATATTGTTTTCTCCAAATGTTGTTGATTTATATTTTGGAATACTGTAGTGCTAAGCCCAAAACATTTAAGTCGGATGATCGAGGATAATCCTTTAGAATTATGGAAACTTGGAATTGGAACACAGTTTTAGTAGCCTTTAGAACAATCAGCACACGTCAACAGGACACTCCCACCAGAGCAGTCTGTTTGAGGCATTTCTTGAAGCCTAAATCCAACAAGAAGGCCCAGCTCAAAAATATGGCAGCCTCACTCACGTTTCCCCATTATGTTGCCTTCGAATTCCTGAACTCAAGCGATGTGCCTGCTTCAGCCTCCCCAGTAGCTAGGGTTAGGACTACAGGTGCAAACCACTGCTCCTTCAGGTGAAGTGATCATACAGTACAACCAAAATCATTTGCATTCTTTTAATTTTCCCTTTATATATCAATCTTGCAAATATGAATGGGAAAAAAGGAGATAGAAAATTTGGAGTTGGAGAAAGAAGGAAATGTTCTCTAAATGTATATTAACTTTGTCAATTTATTTGAATTGGTGATGCTTGTTTTATATTTTGCTATTTTTGAAAATAAAGACTTTTTAATTTTTATTTCCAGTTTTGCTTCCAGCAGGCCTACTTCAGACCTGCTGCTCCCCTGCTAACTTGTGAGCAAGAATCCTTTTTGTCATCCCTGTATGAATCTTACCCATAATAAATATTTACTGATTGGGGTGAGGAGTACACTTGTCAAGAGATTTCTTTGTGGAGAAATAATTTAACTTCAAATTCTTCATCCTGCCTCCTACATGCTCTTTATTTTTCAAGGCTTTTTATCACAATATCTTGAAAAATAACTTCTTTACAAGTAAATTTCCAAACAGAAGAGTTTCCAATTTATTCTTGAATAACTTGAAAAATAAAAAACACAAAGGATGAATAAATGATGATCTTCTTATGAAAGAACTGAAGGTCAATTTAAAGGAAGCGTATTTTTATGCACAACCATTAATTTTAAAGTGGAATTACATACATTAAACTCAGCTGTATAACAAATGAGGGTATCATTTAGTGGGAAATTGAATTTACTAAGAGGAACCCTCATATTTTAGATAAGTAAACTCATTTGACAGAGGTAAGCAGACTTTTTATGCCTCAGAAAGCACAATTAGTTCTTTATTTTTTAATTAAACCAAACTCCTTTTCAGAAGTCAAGGAAATTCCCTCAGTTCCAAGACCAAACTTTTGAGGTAGAGCTGTGATTGATGTGTAGGATCCCACAATTGCTCCAAGTTCAATGGCAACATTATTCTCTTATTTTGCAGCCATGGCCCCTAAAGGTGACCAGCATCCCCACTGAACATCTGATTCACTATAACCTTCAGACAGGTAAAGCTACAGCAATGTCATTTTATAGGTGGAGTGACTTAAATTGGATTAAATGACTTCCCCAATGTGGGTGTGTGCAAGCCAATGCTGGGTTCTTTCATTACATCATGATTTCTATTAAAAACTAAAAACAATCTGAAGCCTCTAAAAACTGCTGGAAGAAATGTGACCATTAGCATTTATGGAATTTACACTTAAATATTACATACCTATACTTGTACATAAAGAGAGATTCAAGAGATAAATTGACATATACTTGAGACTTGACATATACTTGATAATAATATATTCACTATTATATTAAATGAAACAATTTATATTAAGTGCCCTCTGTATGTGTGCTAAATGCCTTAGACATTCTCAATTTTAAAGATTAAAATAGCTTTATGTGTAAGGTATTGTTACTGATATTTTCAGATAAACAAACTGAGGCTTAAAGAGTTAGTGATTTGTCCAAAGCCAGTGAGTTTTAGCAGTTGGTGGAGCAAAGACTTAAACTGGAGTTTATCAGCTTCAAAAAGCCATGTTGTGCCTGCATTAATCTATATCCCAAATCACTGGCTTTCACTAACTCTGCTAAAAATCAAAATTTGGACATCGCAATTAGAAAAGTTTTAACACACTAAAACATATACATCGTTTAAAAAATGAAAAAAAAAATTGAAATGAGAAGTAATAGTCCTCTAGCCCACCTTGACTTCTATTCCTCAAAGACCTCTAACCCACCTCTAGCCCACCTTGACTTCTATTCCTCAAAGGCAACAACTGACTACTCACTAGTTTAGTTTGTTGGCTTTTCTTTTCCTGTTTCTTTTTTAAAATGTTTATTTTTAGAAACAAGGGTCTCACTATGTTGCCTTTGAACTCCTGGGCTGAAGCCATGCTCCTGCCTCAGCCCCCCAAATAGTTAGGACTACAGGTGTGAGCCACTGTGCCTGGCTTGTTTGTTGGTTTTTTCGATGGTCACTTTCATATCTTTAAATGTATACTCATATGACTACTCTTGATTTACCAACTTTAGGCAATGTCTGTTGACTGTCTACTCTGATAGATTGGTACTAATGTCACTCACAAATCCTCCATTGTTCTTCTGTTACCTGTACATAGTAAGGTCACTAAGTACAGAGGTCACTATGTGCATTTTGCAAAATGAAAAACTTAGAACTTCCTAACTTCTCTCCAGGTCTTCAAACCCTCTTCCATCTCCCTCTTTATGCTAACTGTACCTTTACTTTTACATTGTTGAGAACAACATTTTTAGTCAGCTCTGTAGTCATACTAATCTAGGAAAGGCCTGAATAATCACCATGAAGATCAACGCCATCCACTCTCCATGGTATGAAAGCTCAGCACTTGAAAACAGAATGAGAGAGGGTAAAAAAAAAAAAAAAAAAAAAAAAAAAAAAAAAAAAAAATTGAGGACCTACTACGTATCAGGCATTAGAGTCATATAACATTTAAATATTAATGTGTAATATTAAAATGTGTTTTCTGTCCAAATAATTTTGGAATATGTTGAGTTAATGATAACACTTATAACTGCAGAATCATAGATTCTTTATTATGATGGTGTACATTGTTGAACTTCTGCAGGGGATGATTATCTCACACTTCTTTGGCATTGAATTCATTTTTCTATAACAAGTCTTGAACATAATTTTCAATACAATATATTTAAAAAATACAATTTCATCGTTTTTTGTATTTTGCCGTCTTTGTCAAATTCTGGTATCAGGATTATGCAACTTTATAAAATTAACTAGACAACTACTTAATTATTAATGTTTTGGAACAGTTTTTATAGCATAAGAATAATCTGTTCCTTTTACGTTGGAAAGAATGTCTTAGCCTTTTTGAAAAATAATACTTTGAAAAGCTTTTGATTGGACATTGTAGCTTTTAAAAAATATATGCTTGTTAATTCAACTTTGAAAATTTGTACTTTTTCTAGAAAAATTTAGATTTGTTTGTTTGTTTGTTTGAGACGGAGTCTCGCTCTGTCGCCCAGGCTGGAGGGTAGTGGCGCTATCTCGGCTCACTGCAAGCTCCACCTCCCAGGTTCACGCCATTCTCCTGCCTCAGCCTCCCAAGTAGCTGGGACTACAGGCGCCCACCACCACGCCCGGCTAATGTTTTATATTTTTAGTAGAGATGGGGTTTCACCGTGTTAGCCAGGATAGTCTTAATCTCCTGACCTCGTGATCTGCCCGCCTTGGGCTCCCAAAGTGCTGGGATTAGGGGTGTGAGCCACTGCGCCCGGCCACGTGTTTTCTTTTGTGAAGTGTCTGTACATGTCCGTTGTCTACTTTTTAATGGGGTTATATGTTATTTTCTTGTTGCTTCGTTTAAGTTCCTTATAGTGTCTTGATATTAGACACTATTAGACACTGGCCAAAAATTTAGATTTTTTAAAAGATAATTTCAGCTTTATAAACTTGGAGCATCCAAACTTAGTATTTCTTATTATGTTTCTTCTTTATTCCTAATTTGGTGTATTGAGTTTGTCTTTTTTGTGCATTATGCTTGTCAGTTACTTATTTCATTGAATTTTTCAAAGAAATGGCTTTTAAATTGTTTGCTAATTGATTAATTTTTTGTTTAATTTTGTTACTTTCTTCCTTCTATTTTCTTTAGACATACTTTTTAAAATATTTTCCTAAATGATTGATTTGTAGGCTTGTAACTGTATTCTCTGGTGTAATAATTCAAACATTTATTTGCTGCAATGTACAGCTTTATGATTCAAAAGGTTGAACATGCTGTAGCATCAATGATGTTTCTCAAATTGTTTACAAATGCATTCTTGATTTTCTATTTGACTCAAAATTTCTATTTACTCTAGAAGGAGACTATTTAAAAATTTTCTTCTGTTTGGATATTTTAATTTAAATTTGTCTTTTAAAATCATCAATTTGTAAAAATGTTTTGGATTTTGAAGAAAAAGTATATTCTCTTATCATAGAGGAAAATAATGGAAATATATTTATCAAATCTAATTATGCTATTTGCATATTTGGTACTTATTCTGTTTTCTCTCTCAAGGCTTGAGAGTAGTAATATGCTAAAATTTTCCAATATAATCAAGTTTTTGTGAATTGTTTCCATTAAAAAGTTATTTTTATTTGTAGAATTTAATGTTATGTCTTATAACTATCATATTATGTATAGATTTGATTTTAAAAACTGCTATTCTTAATTTTTTTAAATTCTATTTTAATATTAATATTGCCATTTCTGCTATTTTATTGATTGATGTATCTTTGGTCCTCCCTTTACTTTTTAAATGTTTCTGTGTTTTGTTTATGGTTAGTTATTTTTTAACAGCAAGAAATTGGATTTTATTTTTACTTTATCTAAAATTTTGTCTATTATTAAATAAGTTTAATTGTCATACCAGATGTTTGCCTTTACTTCTGTTTCATTGTTTATTACTTTTTTAAATGTTTCCTTATGGTTTTTCTTTTATTCTTTCATATGCTAAATGTACCATATTTTTACTTTCTATATTTCTGCTAGAAATATGGAAGTATTTTAGCAAACTGAAAATTGTTTTGTAATTAATGACCCACAAATTATAAAAATCTATCATAACAATAACCATCTCTACTTAGAAATACCAAGAATTGAATAATAAATACTGTTTATTGATTCCCTTTGTATAAGATTAAAAGTCTTAAATATTTTTACTTCCCGTCTCCTTTTTTACCCACGATGCCAAGATTTTTTGCTAATATAATCAAGAATTTAAGAACAAAATTATTAATAAATTAATTCTACTTCATATGTTTTCTATTGGCTGTATAAACAAATCTACAAAGAATATTTTATGCATTTACCTTTTTTTCCTCTCTTCATTTATTTCTTTAAAATGGATTCCTGGAGACAATGTTTCAAACATATTAACCAATAGCATTCAAGAAAGGAAAGGTAATAGAGTGTAACACAAACAGCATTTAAAATATTAGCTTCTCCTAAACTTTCACCAAGTTATTGATTTATAAGTTAAAAATAGCATTTCAATGTTTTACTTTTAATGTATTTGCATAAAAATACATGAAATTGTGTATTTTCACAAATACACGATTTGTGAATAGTGAGTTTGAACTTTTATTAGTGCACTGGTCAAATCCACTTTTTTAATAAATAAGTTCACAGTCTCTTAAAATATTTTTCTCTGGGTATTTATCTAATCAATGATATTAGCCTTTGACAGGTCCCATGTTTTCTAATTATGTTTTTTAATTTGAAGTCTTAATTTAAAATTTTATTTTATGTAATTTTGACTCACAGTTTTTAAAAATGTTTATATAATTTTATATCTCCTTTCTCAACAGATTTTATACTTGCATGTGTGCTTAAAATTGTTTTCTTACCTTAAGATGGATAATTACCTACATTTATCTACACTTTATGATATAATTTCTAAAATTAAGATGTTTAATACACATGGATTTATTTCGACGTTCTATTTTGAAATAAGGAAACATTATTTGGATGATGGTTGGCCACTTGTTCCAGTTCTGATTATTGAAAAATCCCTGTTTTATATGTTTAAGAACTCTACTATATTATGAGTGTTTGGAGACTTACGAATCTCATTAATATGCCTATTTCTGACCATTATTATACCATGTAAGAATTACATATGTATATTATAAAAATACATTTTAATTGCTGGCAGCGCATATCCTCCTTTGAATGATTCAAAGTTTCTTAAATATGTTCATTCATATTTATTTCTTCTGGATGCATTCAAGATTTTTTTTCAGTTTCTAATAGTACCAAGGTTGGGCATGGTTGCTCATGTCTGTAATTCTAACATTTCGTGAGGCTGAGGTGGGAGGATCAATCACTTAAGGCCAGAAGTTCGAGGTTACAGTGAGCTATAATCATGCCACTGCACTCTAGACTGGGCCTCAGAGCAGGACACTGTCTCTTTTTTAAAAAGTTTCTGGCCTGGCGCAGTGGCTGACGCCTGTAATCCCAGCACTTTGGGAGACCGAGGAGGGCAGATCACGAGGTCAAGAGATTGAGACCATCCTGGCCAACATGGTGAAACCCCGTCTCTACTAAAAATACAAAAATTAGCTGGGCGTGGTGCCTGTAGTCCCAGCTGGTTGGGTGGCTGAGGCAGGAGAATCACTTCAACCGGGAGGCGGAGGCTGCAGTGAGCCAAGATTGTGCCACTGCACTCCAGCCTGGTGACAGAGCAAGACTCCATCTCAAAAAAGAAAAGAAAAGAAAAAGGCAGAAAAAATATTCCAGGGAAGCAGAAACCAAAGACATGCAGTAGTAGCTATATTTATATAAGACAAAAAGACTTTAAGCAAAAAGAAATTAAAATAAAAATATAAAAAGAAACAAAAATGGCCATTATTTTAGATAAAGGGCTCAATTCAGCAAGAGAATATACCAGTCATAAATATATATGCCCCCAACACTAGAACACCCAGATATATAAATATTATTACAGCTAAAAAGAGAGACAGACCTCGATGCAGTAATAGTTGGACACTTCAATAACCCACTTTAAGCGATTAGATAGCTCAGCTAGACAGAAATTTGACTAGGAAACATCAGGCTTGATCTGCACTACCGACCAAATGAACCTAACAGACATTTAAAGAACATTATTTCCAACAGCTGCTGAATACACATTATTCTCATTAGCATATGAAACATTCTCCAGGATAGACTATATGTTAGGCCATCAAACAAGTTTCAACACACTTTTAAAAAACAAAATCTCATCAAGTACGTTCTCAGGACATAATGAACTAAAAGTGTAAATTAATAACAAGAGGAAGTTTAGAAATGGTACAAACACAAGTAAATTAAGAAACATGCTCCTTACGGATCATTAGGTCGGTGAAGAAACTAAGAAGAAAATGTAAAAAAAATTGAAAGAAAAATGAAAACACAACATACAAAAATCTATGAGATATAGCAAAAGCAGTGCAAAGAGAGGTCAACTTATAGCAATTAATAAATAAAAAACAATTTTTTCACACTGTTATAAAGAAATAAAAGGAATTCTCACAGTATTTCAAAAAACATTGATGAGGGAATTCCTACTAAGTCATTCTATAAGGCTTGCATTACTCACATTCGAAAACCACACAGGAGCACAAAAAACAACAAAAACAAACTACACGAAAACTATCCCTGATGAACATAGACAAGTCTTTAACAAAATATTTGTACACTGAATTCAAAAACTCATCAAAAAGGTAACACACCATAATCATGTGGGATTTGTCCCAGAGATGCAAGGATGATTCAACATATGCAAATCAATGATTGTGATACATCACATCAACAGAATAAAAAACGAAAACTATATGATCATCTCAATAGATGCAGAAAAGTACTTAATAATATTAAACATCCCTCTCATGATAAAACCGCAACAAATTAGGAACTGAAGGAACACATTTCAGCATAATAAAAGCCATATATGACATCTCCAGAGCTAACATCATACAGAATGGAGAGAAGCAGAAAGCTTTTCCTCTAAGTACTGGAAGATTAGAATGTCTAATTTCGTCACTCTCATTCAATATAGTAATGACTGGAAGTCCTAGCCAGAGCAGTTAGGAAATAAAATAAAAGACACGAGAGCATGTGTTTCAACACAGAGCTCAGCCGGCTACCTCTCCCAGCTGCTAGAAAACACTTTGTGGAAACACATATTTGGTGAAAAATCACATTTCACTAAAGACAGTTCGAATTCTGAAGACAATTTTCTTTGCTATGGCTGAAAACCACACTTTCCCAAACCAAATTACAGTGAAGAACACAGCATAGGCACAGAAGAAAATGTGTAAGAACCTGGAGTCCAGAGGAGCCAAGATGGCCGAATAGGAACAGCTCCGGTCTACAGCTCCCAACGTGAGCAACGCAGAAGATGGGTGATTTCTGCATTTCCATCTGAGGTACCAAGTTCATCTCACTGTCAGGCCTCTGAGCCCAAGCCAAGCCATCGCGTCCCCTGTGACTTGCATGTATACGCCCAGATGGCCTGAAGTAACTGTAGAATCACAAAAGAAGTTAATATGCCCTGCCCCACCTTAACTGATGACATTCCACCACAAAAGAAGTGTAAATGGCTGGTCCTTGCCTTAAGTGATGACATTACCTTGTGAAAGTCCTTTTCATGGCTCATCCTGGCTCAAAAACACCCCCACTGAGCACCTTGCGACCCCCACTCCTGCCCGCCAGAGAACAAACCACCTTTGACTATAATTTTCCTTTACCTACCCAAATCCTATAAAATGGCCCCACCCTTATCTCCCTTCACTGACTCTCTTTTCAGACTCAGCCCACCTGCACCCAGGTGGAATAAACAGCTTTATTGCTCACACAAAGCCTGTTTGGTGGTCTCTTCACATGGACACACATGAAATTTGGTGCCGTGACTCGGATCGGGGGACCTCCCTTGGGAGATCAATCCCCCGTCCTCCTGCTCTTTGCTCCATGAGAAAGATCCACCTACGACCTCAGGTCCTTAGACCGACCAGCCCAAGAAACATCTCACCAATTTCAAATCCAGTAAGCGGCCTCTTTTGACTCTCTTCTCCAACCTCCCACACTATCCCTCAGCCTCTTTCTCCTTTCAATCTTGGTGCCACACTTCAATCTCTCCCTTCTCTTAATTTCAATTCCTTTCATTTTCTGGTAGAGACAAAGGAGACATGTTTTATCCGTGGACCCAAAACTCTGGCGCCGGTCATGGACTGGGAAGTCAGCCTTCCCTTGGTGTTTAATCATTGCAGGGGTGCCTCTCTGATTATTCACCCACGTTTCAAAGGTGTCAGACCACACAGGGATGCCTGCCTTGGTCCTTCACCCTTAGCAGAAAGTCCCGCTTTTCTGGGGAAGGGGCAAGTACCCCAACCCCTTCTCTCCTTGTCTCTACCCCTTCTCTGCTTTTCTGGGAGAGGGGCAAGTACCCCTCAACCCGTTCTCCTTCACTCTTAGTGGCAAGTCCCACTTTTCTGGGAGAGGAGCAAGTACCCCTCAACCCCTTCTCCTTCACCCTTAGTGGCAAGTCCCACTTTTCTAGAGGGCAAGAACCCCCAATCCCTTATTTTCATGCCCCAACCTCTTATCTCTGTACCCCAATCCCTTATTTCCATGCCCCAACCTCTTATCTCTGCACCCCAATCCCTTATTTCCGTGCCCCAACCTCTTATCTCTGCGCTCCAATCCCTTATTTCCGTGCCCCAACCTCTTATCTCTGCGCTCCAATCCCTTATTTCCGTGCCCCAATCTCTTATCTCTGTGCTCCAATCCCTTATTTCCGTGCCCCAACCTCTTATCTCTGCACCCCAATCCCTTATTTCCATGCCCCAACCTCTTATCTCTGCGCTCCAATCCCTTATTTCTGTGCCCCAACCTCTTATCTCTGTGCTCCAATCCATTATTTCTGTGCCGAACCTCTTATCTCTGCACCCCAATCCCTTATTTCCGTGCCCCAACCTCTTATCTCTGCACCCCAATCCCTTATTTCCACACCACAACTTCTTATCTCTGCACCCCAATCCCTTATTTCCACACCCCAACCTCTTATCTCTGTGCCCCAATCCCTTATTTCTGTGCCCCAACCCTTTCTCTGCTTTTCTGGAGGGCAAGAAACCCCCACCCCTTCTCCATGTCTCTACTCTTTTCTCTGGGCTTGCCTCCTTCACTATGGGCAAGCTTCCACCTTCCATTCCTCCTTCTTCTCCCTTAGCCTGTATTCTTAAGAACTTAAGACCTCTTCAACTCTCACCTGACCTAAAATCTAAGCGTCTTTTTTCTTCTGCAATGCCGCTTGAACCCAATACAAACTTGACAGTAGTTCCAAATAGCCAGAAAAATGGCAGTTTCAATTTTTCCATCCTACAAGACCTAAATAATTCTTGTCATAAAATGGGCAAATGGTCTGAGGTGCCTGATGTCCAGGCATTCTTTTACACATCAGTCCCTTCCTAGTCTCTGCCCAATGCAATTCATCCCAAATCTTCCTTCTTTCCCTCCCGCCTGTCCCCTCAGGCCCAACCCCAAGCGTCGCTAAGTCTTTCTAATCTTCCTTTTCTACAGACCCATCTGACCTCTCCCCTCCTTGCCAGGCTGAGCTAAGTCCCAATTCTTCCTCAGCCTCTGCTCCTCCACCCTATAATCCTTTTATCACCTCCCCTCCTCACACCTGGTCTGGCTTACAGCTTTGTTCCCTGACTAGCCCTCCCCCACCTGCCCAGCAATTTACTCTTAAAAAGGTGGCTGGAGCCAAAGGCATAGTCAAGGTTAATGCTCCTTTTTCTTTATCCCAAATCAGAAGCGTTTAGGCTGTTTTTCATCAAATATAAAAACCCAGCCCAGTTCATGGCTCATTCGGCAGCAACCCTGAGATGCTTTACAGCCCTAGACCCTAAAAGGTCAAAAGGCCATCTTATTCTCAATATACATTTTATTACCCAATCTGCTCCCGACATTAAATAAAACTCCAAAAATCGGAATCTAGCCCTCAAACCCCATAACAGGACTTAATTAACCTCACTTTCAAGGTGTACAATAATAAAACAAAGTTGCAATTCCTTGCCTCCACTGTGAGACAAACCCCAGCCACATCTCTAGCACACAAGAATTTCCAAACGCCTGAACCGCAGCGGCCAGGCATTCCTCCAGAACCTCCTCCCCCAGGAGCTTGCTACAAGTGCCAAAAATCTGGCCACTGAGCCAAGGAATGCCCGCAGCCTGGGATTCCTCCTAAGCCATGTCCCATCTGTGTGGGACCCCAGTGGAAATCGGACTGTTCAACTCACCTGGCAGCCACTCCCAGAGCCCCTGGAATTCTGGCCCAAGGCTGTCTGACTGACTCCTTCTTGGCTTAGCGGCTAAAGACTGACACTGCCCAATCACCTGGGAAGCTCCTAAACCATCACGGATGCTGAGCTTCGGGTAACTCTCACAGTGGAAAGTAAGCCCGTCCCCTTCTTAATCAATACGGAGGCTACTCACTCCACATTACCTTCTTTTCAAGGGCCTGTTTCCTTTGCCTCCATAACTGTTGTAGGTATTGATGGCCAGGCTTCTGAACCCCTGAAAACCCCCCTACTCTGGTGCCAACTTGGAAAACACTCTTTTGTGCACTCTTTTTTAGTTATCCACACCTGCCCAGTTCCCTTATTAGGCCGAGATATTTTAACCAAATTATCTGCTTCCCTGACTATTCCTGGACTACAGCTGCATCTCATTGCTGCCCTTCTCCCCAACCCAAAGCCTCCTGTGTATCTTCCTCTCCTATTCCCCCACCTTAACCCACAAGTATGGGACATCTCCACTCCTTCCCTGGCAACCGATCACATGCCTGTTACCATCCCATTAAAACCTAATCACCCTCACCCCACTCAACGCCAATATCCCATCCCACAGCACGCTTTAAAAGGATTAAAGCCTATTATCGCTCGCCTGCTACAGCATGGGCTTCTAAAACCTATAACTCTCCTTACAATTCCCCCATTTTTCCTGCCCAAAAACTGGACAAGTCTTACAGATTAGTTCAGGATCTGCGCCTTATCAACCAAATTGTTTTGCCTATGCACCCCATGGTGCCAAACCCATACACTCTCCTATCCTCAATACGTGCCTCTACAACCCATTATTCTGTTCTAGATCTCAAACATGCTTTCTTTACTGTTCCTTTGCACCCTTCATCCCAGCCTCTCTTCGCTTTCACTTGGACTGACCCTGACACCCATCAAGCTCAGCAAATTACCTAGGCTGTACAGCCGCAAAGCTTCACAGACAGCCCCCATTACTTCAATCAAGCCCAAATTTCTTCCTCATCTGTTACCTATCTCGGCATAATTCTCATAAAAACACATGTGCTCTCCCTGCCAATCATGTCCGACTGATCTCTCAAATCCCAGCACCTTCTACAAAACAACTCCTTTCCTTCCTAGGCATGGTTAGCATGGTCAGAATTCTTACACAAGGGCCAGGACCACACCCTGTAGCCTTTCTGTCCAAACAACTTGACCTTACTGTTTTAGCCTAGCCCTCATGTCTGCGTGCAGCGACTGCCACTGCTTTAATACTTCTAGAGGCCCTCAAAATCACAAACTATGCTCAACTCACTCTCTACAGTTCTCATAACTTCCAAAATCTATTTTCTTCCTCATACATGATGCATATACTTTCTGCTCCCCGGCTCCTTCAGCTGTACTCACTGTTTCTTAATTCTCCACAATTACCATTGTTCCTGCCCCGGACTTCAATCCGGCCTCCACATTATTCCAGATACCACATCTGTCCCCCATGACTGCACCTCTCTGATCCACCTGACATTCACCCCATTTCCCCACATTTCCTTCTTCCCTGTTCCTCACCCTGATCACACTTAGTTTATTGATGGCAGTTCCACCAGGCCTAATCACCACACACCAGCAAAGGCAGGCTATGCTATAGTACAAGCCACTAGCCTGCCTCTTAGAATCTCTCATTTCCTTTCCAGCATGGAAATCTATCCTCAAAGAAATAATTTCTCAGTGTTCCATCTGCTATTCTACTACTACTCATGGATTATTCAGGCCCCCTCCCTTCCCTACACATCAAGCTCAAGGATTTGCCCCAACCCAGGACTGGCAAATTAGCTTTACTCAGCATGCCGCAAGTAAGATAACTACAATAACTCTTAGTCTAGGTAGATACTTTCACTGGATAAGTAGAGTCCTTTCCTATAGGGTCTGAGAAGGCCACTGCAGTCATTTCTTCCCTTCTGTCAGACATAATTCCTCAGTTTAGCCTTCCCACCTCTATACAGTCTGATAACGGACCAACCGTTATTAGTCAAATCAGCCAAGCATTTTTTCAGGCTCTTAGTATTCAGTGACAGACTAATAGTCTATTAAAAACACACCTCACCCAGCTCAGCCACCAACTTAAGAAGGACTGGACAATACTTTTACCACTTTTGCTTCTCAGAATTCAGGCCTGTCCTCGGAATGCAACAAGATAACAGCCCATTTAAGCTCCTGTATAGATGCTCCTTTTTATTAGGCCCCAGTCTCATTACAGACACCAGACCAACTTAGACTGTGCCCCCAAAAAACTGGTCATCCCTACTATCTTCTGTCTAGTCATACTCCTATTCACCGTTCTCAACTACTCATACATGCCCTGCTCGTGTTTACTCTGTTTCTCCAAGCCATCACAGCTGATATCTCCTGGTACTGTCCCCAAACTGCCACTCTTAACACTTAAAGTAAATAAATAATCTTTGCTGGCAAGGCTATGCTGAACCTCCTTAGGCACTCTCTAATTAGATGTCCCAGGTCCTCCCAATTCTTAGTCCTTTAATACCTGTTTTTCTCCTTCTCTTATTCCATTTAGTTTTTCAATTAATACAAAACTGTATCCAGGCCATCACCAATAATTCTAAATGACAAATGTTTCTTTTAACAACCCCACAATATCACCCCTTACCACAAAATCTTCCTTCAGCTTAATCGCTCCCACTTTAGGTTCCCACGCCACCCCTAATCCCGCTGGAAGCAGCCCTGAGAAACATCGCCCATTATCTCTCCACACTATCCCCCAAAAATTTTCGATGCCCCAACACTTCAACACTATTTTGTTTTATTTTTCTTATGAATATAAGAAGGCAGGAATGTCAGGCCTCTCAGCACAAGCCAAGCCATCACATCCCCTGTGACTTGCATGAATATGCCCAGATGGCCTGAAGTAACTGAAGAATCACAAAAGAAGTGAATATGCCCTGCCCCACCTTAACTGATGACATTCCACCACAAAAGAAGTGTAAATGGCCAGTCCTTGCCTTAAGTGATGACATTACCTTGTGAAAGTCCTTTTCGTGGCTCATCCTGGCTCAAAAACACCCCCACTGAGCACCTTGTGACCCCCACTCCTGCCCGCCAGAGAACCAACCCCCTTTGACTGTAATTTTCCTTTACCTACTGAAATCCTATAAAATGGCCCCACCCTTATCTCCCTTCACTGACTCTCTTTTCGGACTCAGCCCACCTGCACCCAGGTGAAATAAACAGCTTTATTGCTCACACAAAGCCTGTTTGGTGGTCTCTTCACACGGACGCAAGTGAAACTCACAAGGAAGTGCCAGACAGTGGGCGCAGGTCAGTGGGTGCAGCATACTGTGCACCAGCCAAAGCAGGGCGAGGCATTGCCTCACTCGGGAAGCACAAGGGGTCAGGGAGTTCCCTTTCCTAGTCAAAGAAAGGGGTGACAGATGGCACCTGGAAAATCGGGTCACTCCCACCCGAATACTGTGCTTTTCTGACCGGCTTAAAAAATGGCACACCAGGAGATTATATCCAGCACATGGCTAGGAGGGTCCTACAGCCACAGAGTCTCGCTGATTGCTAGCACAGCAGTCTGAGATCAAACTGCAAGGCAGCAGCGAGGCTGGGGGGGGGGGCGCCCGCCATTGCCCAGGCTTGCTTAGGTAAGCAAAGCAGCCGGGAAGCTCCAACTGGGTGGAGCCCACCACAGCTCAAGGAGGCCTACTTGCCTCTGTAGGCTCCACCTCTGGGGGCAGGGCACAGACAAATAAAAAGACAGCGGTAACCTCTGCAGACTTAAATGTCCCTGTCTGACAGCTTTGAAGAGAGCAGTGGTTCTCCCAGCACGCAGCTGGAGATCTGAGAAAGGGCGGACTGCCTCCTCAAGAGGGTCCCTGACCCCTGACCCCCGAGCAGCCTAACTGGGAGGCACCCCCCAGTAGGGGCAGACTGACACTTCACAGCCGGGTACTCCTCTGAGAAAAAACTTCCAGAGGAATGATCAGACAGCAGCATTCGCGGTTCACGAAAAACCCCTGTTCTGCAGACACCGCTGCTGATAACCAGACAAACAGGGTCCGGAGTGAACTTCTAGCAAACTCCAACAGACCTGCAGCTGAGGGTCCTGTCTGTTAGAAGGAAAACTAACAAACAGAAAGGACATCCACACCAAAAACCCATCTGTACATCACCATCATCAAAGACCAAAAGTAGATAAAACCACAAAGATGGGGAAAAAACAGAGCAGAAAAACTGGAAACTCTAAAAAGCAGAGTGCCAATCCTCCTCCAAAGGAATGCAGTTCCTCACCAGCAATGGAACAAAGCTGGACGGAGAATGACTTTGATGAGTTGAGAGAAGAAGGCTTCAGATGATCAAACTACTCTGAGCTACAGGAGGAAATTCAAACCAAAGGCAGAGAAGTTGAAAACTTTGAAAAAAATTTAGACGAATGTATAACTAGAATAACCAATACAGAGAAGTGCTTAAAGGAGCTGATGGAGCTGAAAGCCAAGGCTCTAGAACTACCTGAAGAATGCAGAAGCCTCAGGAGGCGATGCAATCAACTGGAAGAAAGGGTTATCACTGATGGAAGATGAAACAAATGAAATGAAGTGAGAAGGGAAGTTTAGAGAAAAAAGAATAAAAAGAAATGAACAAAGCCTCCAAGAAATATGGGACTATGTGAAAAGATCAAATCTACATCTGATGGGTGTACCTGAAAGTGACGGGGAGAAGGGAACCAAGTCGGAAAACATTCTGCAGGATATTATCCAGGAGAACTTCCCCAACCTAGCAAGGCAGGCCAACATTCAGATTCAGGAAATACAGAGAACGCCACAAAGGTACTCCTTGAGAAGAGCAACTCCAAGACACATAATTGTCAGATTCACCGAAGTTGAAATGAAGGAAAAAATGTTAAGGACAGCCAGAGAGAAAGGTTGGGTTACCCACAAAGGGAAGCCCATCAGACTAACAGCAGATCTCTCAGCAGAAACTATATAAGCCAGAAGAGAGTGGGGGCCAATATTCAACATTCTTAAAGAAAAGAATTTTCAACCCAGAATTTCATATCCAGCCAAACTAAGCTTCATAAGTGAAGGAGAAATAAAATACTTTACAGACAAACAAATGCTGAGAGATTTTGTCAACACCAGGCCTGCCCTAAAAGAACTCCTGAAGGAAGCACAAAACATGGAAAGGAACAACCGGTACCAGCCACTGAAAAATCATGCCAAAATGTAAAGACCATTGAGAGCAGGAAGAAACTGAATCAACTAATGAGCAAAATAACCAGCTAACATCATAATGACAGGATCAAATTCACACATAACAATATTAATGTTAAATGGAAATGGACTAAATGCTCCAATTAAAAGACACAGACTGGCAAATTGGATAAAGAGTCAAGACCCATCAGTGTGCTGTATTCAGGAAACCCATCTCATGTGCAGAGACACACATAGGCTCAAAATAAAGGGATGGAGGAAGATCTACCAAGCAAATGGAAAACAAAAAAAAGGCAGGGGTTGCAATCCTACTCTCTGATAAAACAGACTTTAAACCAACAAAGATCAAAAGAGACAAAGAAGGGCATCACATAATGGTAAAGGGATCAATTCAACAAGAAGAGCTAACTATCCTAAATATATATGCACCCAATATAGGAGCACCCAGATTCATAAAGCAAGTCCTGAGTGACCTACAAAGAGACTTAGACTCCCACACATTAATAATGGGAGACTTTAACACCCCACTGTCAACATTAGACAGATCAACGAGACAGAAAGTCAACAAGGATACCCAGGAATTGAACTCAGCTCTGCACCAAGTGAACCTAATAGACATCTACAGAACTCTCCACCCCAAATCAATAGAATATACATTTTTTTCAGCACTACACCACACCTATTCCAAAATTGACCACATACTTGGAAGTAAAGCTCTCCTCAGCAAATGTAAAAGATCAGAAATTATAACAAACTGTCTCTCAGACCACAGTGCAATCAAAATAGAACTCAGGATTAAGAAACACACTCAAAACAACTCAACTACATAGACACTGAACAACCTACTCCTGAATGACTACTGGGTACAAAACGAAATGAAGGCAGAAATAAAGATGTTCTTTGAAACCAAGGAGAACAAAGACACAACATACCAGAATCTCTGGGACACATTCAAAGCAGTGTGTAGAGGGAAATTTATAGCACTAAATGCCCACAGGAGAAAGCAGGAAAGATCCAGAATTGACACCCTAACGTCACAATTAAAAGAACTAGAAAAGCAAGAGGAAACACATTCAAAAGCTGGCAGAAGGCAAGAAATAACTAAAATCAGAGCAGAACTGAAGGAAATAGAGACACAAAAAACCCTTCAAAAATTAATGAATCCAGGAACTGGTTTTTTGAAAGCATCAACAAAATTGATAGACTGCTAGCAAGACTAATAAAGAAGAAAAGAGAGAAGAATCAAATAGACACAATAAAAAATGATAAAGGGGATATCACCACTGATCCCACAGAAATACAAACTACCATCAGAGAATGCTACAAACACCTCTATGCAAATAAACTAGAAAATCTAGAAGAAATGGATAAATTCCTCAACACATACACTCTCCCAAGACTAAACCAGGAAGAAGCTGAATCTCTGAATAGACCAATAACAGGATCTGAAATTGAGGCAATAATCAATAGCTTAGCAACAAAAAAGAGTCCAGGACCAGATGGATTCACAGAATTCTACCAGAGGTACAAGGAGGAACTGGTACCATTCCTTCTGAAACTATTCCAATCAATAGAAAAACAGGGAATCCTCCCTAACTCATTTTATGAGGCCAGCATCATCCTGATACCAAAGCCAGGCAGAGACACAACCAAAAAAGAGAATTTTAGACCAATATCCTTGATGAACATTGATGCAAAAATCCTCAATAAAATACTGGCAAAGTGCATCCAGCAGCACATCAAAAAGCTCATCCACCATGATCAAGTGGGCTTCATCCCTGGGATGCAAGGCTGGTTCAATATACGCAAATCAATAAATGTAATCCAGCATATAAACAGAGCCAAAGACAAAAACCACACGATTATCTCAATAGATGCAGAAAAGGCCTTTGACAAAATTCAACAACCTTCATGCTAAAAACTCTCAATAAATTAGGTATTGATGGGACGTATCTCAAAATAATAAGAGCTATCTATGACCAACCCACAGCCAATATTATACTGAATGGGCAAAAACTGGAAGCATTCCCTTTGAAAACAGGCACAAGACAGGGATGCCCTCTCTCACCACTCCTATTCAACATAGTGTTGGAAGTTCTGGCCAGGGCAATTAGGCAGGATTAGGGAATAAAGGGTATTCAATTAGGAAAAGAGGAAGTCAAATTGTCCCTGTTTGCAGATGACATGATTGTATATCTAGAAAACCCCATTGTCTCAGCCTAAAATCTCCTTAAGCTGATAAGCAACTTCAGCAAAGTCTCGGGATACAAAATCAATGTACAAAATTCACAAGCATTCTTATACACCAATAACAGACAAACAGGGAGCCAAATCACGAGTGAACTCCCATTCACAATTGCTTCAAAGAGAATAAAATACCTAGGAATCCAAATTACAAGGGATATGAAGGACCTCTTCAAGGAAAACTACAAACCACTGCTCAATGAAATAAAAGAGGATACAAACAAATGGAAGAACATTCCATGCTCATGGGTAGGAAGAATCAATATCATGAAAATGGCCATACTGCCCAAGGTAATTTATAGATTCAATGCCATCCCCATCAAGCTACCAATGACTTTCTTCACAGAATTGGAAAAAACTACTTTAAAGTTCATATGGAACCAAAAAAGAGCCCACATCGCCAAGTCAATCCTAAGCCAAAAGAACAAAGCTGGAGGCATCACACTACCTGACTTCAAACTATACTACAAGGCTACAGTAACCAAA
Organism: Homo sapiens; assembly: GCF_000001405.40. Classification (NCBI taxonomy): domain Eukaryota; kingdom Metazoa; phylum Chordata; class Mammalia; order Primates; family Hominidae; genus Homo; species Homo sapiens. The sequence goes on from NC_000012.12 coordinate 20,773,717, forward strand.
ACAGCATGGTACTGGTACCAAAACAGAGATATAGATCAATGGAACAGAACAGAGCCCTCAGAAATAACGCCGCATATCTACAACTGTCTGATCTTTGACAAATCTGAGAAAAACAAGCAATGGGAAAAGGATTCCCTATTTAATAAATGGTGCTGGGAAAACTGGCTAGCCATATGTAGAAAGCTGAAACTGGATCCCTTCCTGACACCTTATACAAAAATCAATTCAAGATGGATTAAAGACTTAAACGTTAAACCTAAAGCCATAAAAACCCTAGAAGAAAACCTAGGCATTACCATTCAGGACATAGGCATGGGCAAGGACTTCATGTCTAAAACACCAAAAGCAATGGCAACGAAAGCCAAAATTGACAAATGGGATCTAATTAAACTAAAGAGCTTCTGCACAGCAAAAGAAACTACCATCAGAGTGAACAGGCAACCTACAAAATGGGAGAAAATTTTCGCAACCTACTCATCTGACAAAGGGCTAATATCCAGAATCTACAATGGACTCAAACAAATTTACAAGAAAAAAACAACCCCATCAAAAAGTGGGCGAAGGACATGAACAGACACTTCTCAAAAGAAGACATTTATGCAGCCAAAAAACACATGAAAAAATGCTCACTATCACTGACCATCAGAGAAATGCAAATCAAAACCACAATGAGATACCATGTCACACCAGTTAGAATGGCAATCATTATAAAGTCAGGAAACGACAGGTGCTGGAGAGGATGTGGAAAAATAGGAACACTTTTACACTGTTGTTGGGACTGTAAACTAGTTCAACCATTGTGGAAGTCAGTGTGGCGATTCCTCAGGGATCTAGAACTAGAAATACCATTTGAGCCAGCCATCCCATTACTGGGTACATACCCAAAGGACTATAAATCATGCTGCTATAAAGACACATGCAGATGTATGTTTATTGTGGTACTATTCACAATAGCAAAGAATTGGAACCAACCCAAATGTCCAACAATGATAGACTGGATTAAGAAAATGTGGCACATATAAACCATGGAATACTATGCAGCCATAAAAAATGATGAGTTAATGTCCTTTGTAGGGACATGGATGAAATTGGAAATCATCATTCTCAGTAAACTATCACAAGAACAAAAAACCAAACACCACATATTCTCACTCATAGGTGGGAATTGAACAATGAGAACACATGGACCCAGGAAGGGGAACATCACACTCTGGGGACTGTTGTGGGGTGGGGGCAGGGGGAAGGGATAGCACTGGGAGATATACCTAATGCTAGATGACGAGTTAGTGGGTGCAGCGCACCAGCATGTCACATGTATACATTTGTAACTAACCTGCACATTGTGCACATGTACCCTAAAACTTAAAGTATAATAATAATAAAAAAAATAAAAGACATTAAAATTAAAAAAGAGGAAGTCAAATGATCACTCTTTGCAGATGGCACAATTTTATATATAGAAAACCTTAAAGACTCCTCAAAAAACTCTTATAACTGATAAAACAAATTTACTAAAGTTCCTAGGTATAAAATCGACATGCAAAAGTCAGTAGGATTTGCATATGCCAGCAATAAACTAGCTGGAAAATAAATTAAGACAACAACTACATTTACAATTGCTAAAACAACAAGAAAAAAAGATAACTACCCTAGAAATAAATGTAACCATGGAGGTAAAGACCTCTTCAAAGAAAACCACAAAAGAAATGAAGAGGACACAAATGGAAATACATCCCAAGGCTTAATACTGTTACTATGACATTACTATCCAATTCAATCTACAGATCCAATGTAATCCCTAAATAACATTCTTCAGAGAGATAGATAGAGAAAAAATTCTAAAATTCCTGTGGCACTGCTAAAGGCACCACAAAACCAAAGCAATCTTGAGTGAAAAGAACAGAGCTGAGGCACCACACTACTTGACTTCAAATTATAATACAAAGCTATAGTAGTCAAAACAGGATGGTATTATTATAAAAAACAGACACATAGGCCAATGGAACAGAATAGAGAATCTAGAAATAAACCCACATAGTTACAGCCAACTGATTTTTGACAAAGGTGCCAAGAACATACACTGTGGATATGGCACCCTTCAATAAATGGTAATGGTGAAATAATGGTGAAACTGGATGTCCCATACACAGAAGAATAAAACTAGACCCAATTTTCTTACCATATACAAAAATCAACACAAAATGTATTAAAGACTTAAATATAAGACCCAAAGCTATAAAACATCTTCAAGGAAATGTAGAGGAAATGCTTCAGGATATTGCTCTAGGCAAGGATTTTATTGCTAAAACTTCAAAAACACAAAACAACAAAAGGAAAGACAGACAAGTGGCACAAACTAGACTATATTAAACAAAAAATATTCTCTACAGCAAAAGAAACAATCAACAGAGTGAAGAAAAAAATCTTTAGAATGGAAAAAATATTTGCAAACAAGGGACTAATATCCAGAATATAGAAGAAATTCAAACAACTCAACAGTTAAAAAAACAACAAAAAACAACCATCTACCTTCTCTACCTCCATGAGTTCAACTTTTCTAGCTCCCATATGAGTGAAAACATGCAATCTTTGTCTTTCTGGCCTGGCTTATCTCACTGACCATAAAGACCTTTAATTCCATTCATGTCGCTGCAAATGGAAGATTTTTATTCTTTTTATGACTGAATGATACTCTATTGTGTACATACACATTTTCTTTACCCACTCATTTGTTAATGGACACTTAGGTTGATTCCATATCTTTGTTATTGTCAATTTAGTGCTGCAATAAAAATGGGGTACAGGTATACTTTCGATATAATTACTCCTTAAAGTTGTGTATAGATGTCACAAAATAGAAGGTAAAAACTTAAAAAAAAAATACTGTGTCTGGAATTGGTGGGTTCTTGGTCTCACTGACTTCAAGAATGAAGCCGCAGACCTTCGCAGTGAGTCTTACAGTTCTTAAAGGTGGTATGTCTGGAGTTTGTTCTTTCTGATGTTCAGATGTGTTCAGAGTTTCTTCTTTCTGGTGGGTTCGTGGTCTTGCTGGCTCAGGAGTGAAGCTACATGCCTTTGTGGTGAGTGTTACATCTTGCTGGCTTCAGGAGTAAAGCTGCAGACTTTCACGGTGAGTGTTACAGCTCATAAAGGCAGTATGGACCTAAAGAGTGAGCAGTAGCAAGATTTATTGCAAAGAGCAAAAGAACAAAGCTTCCACAGTGTGGAAGGGGACCTGAGCGGGTTGCCACTGCTGGCTCGGGCAGCCTGCTTTTATTGTCTTATCTGGCCCCTACATCTTCCTGATTGGTAGAGCCGAGTGGTCTGTTTTGACAGGGCGCTGATTGGTGCATTTACAATCTTTGAGCTAGACACAAAGGTTCTCCACGTCCTTACTAGATTAGCTAGATACAGAGTGTCGACACAAAGGTTCTCTAAGGCCTTACTAGAATAGCTAGATACAGAGTGTCCATCGGTGCATTCACAAACTTTGAGCTAGACACAGGGTGCTGATTGGTGTATTTAGAAACCTTGAGCTAGATACAGAGTGCTGATTGGTGTATTTACAATCTTTGGGCTAGACATAAAGGTTCTCTACGTCCTCACCAGACTCAGGAGCCTAGCTGGCTTCACCCAGTGGATCTTGCACCGGGGCTACAGATGGAGCTGCCTGCCAGTCCTGCGCCATGCGCCTGCACTCTTCAGCCTTTGGGTGGTCGATGGGACTGGGCACCATGGAGCAGGGGGCGGCACTTATCAGGGAGGCTCTGGCCGCACAGGAGCCTATGGAGTGGGTGGGAGGCTCAGGCATGGTGGGCTGCAGGTCCCGAGACCTGCCCTGCGGGAAGGCAGCTAAGGCCTGGTGAGAAATCGAGCACAGCGCCGGTGGGCTGGCACTGCTGGGGGACCTAGTACACTTTCTGCACTCGCTGGCCTGGGTGCTAAGCCTCTCATTGCCTGGGGCTGGCAGGGCGGGCCTGCTGCTCTGAGTGCAGGGCCCGCCAAGTTCACGCCTAACTGGAACTCCAGATCGCCCGCAAGCGCCGCGTGCAGCCCCGGTTCCTGCTCGCGCCTCTCCTTCCACACCTCCTTGCAAGCTGAGGGAGCCGGCTCCGGCCTTGGCCACCCCAGAAAGGGGCTCCCACAGTGCAGCGGTGGGCTGAAGGGCTCCTCAAGTGCTGCCAAAGTGGGAGCCCAGGCAGAGGAGGCGCCGAGAGTGAGGGAGGGCTGTGAGGACTGCCAGCACGCTGTCACCTCTCAATCTTCTTTCTAAACATGACACTTTAACAGCTGTTGGGAATTTGGCTGATGACTGCTTTAGCTACTTCTTGCTGTATAGGGGTGAAGAAGGGGCCCTGCAGTTGTAGTGTCTTTCAGAGGGAAACTTTCTAGGCCAAGAGAAGTGCCAGCAGGTGGGTCCAGGGGTCCTCGGTAGAAGTTGTTGGTTGAACTTATTTGGGGTTCTACTTGTAAGACTATCTGTAGCTTGATGGCCTTGATTCTAGAGGAAACAAATTTGACAAGAAGGTTAAAAATACAGGGCCTAAAGGCAAGTAATACCAATATGGCTGCTACGGGACTTAGAAAGGGGAGAAGCTATGTTGCCCAACTCCAGAGGTTGGTATAAGAATATGAAAGGCGTTGTCTGATTTCAGAAGTCTTTTTCTGTAAACGCTGGGCGGCATCTTGTACTATCTTCTACTGGTTAGTGTAAAAACAACACTCTTCCTTTAAGAAGGTGCAGAGTCCTCCTTTCTCAGCAGTGAGGAGATCTAGGCCTCGGCGGTTTTGGAGAGTCACTGCTGCCAAAGAGTCTATTTGGGACTGTAAAGTAAGAATAGATTTCGTTATTTCTTGCAAACTGTCTGAGAGGCAGATATGGGTTGAAGATCTACATAAGTAGAATATGCCTTGGCTGGGTAGATAGAAATTTACTTTGGCTTTTAAAGGAATAGGGTACTCTGTTTTTTCTTTATTAATTCTATCTTTCTTTTTCTTTCTTTGACTTCTTCTTTGTCTTTTCCTCTTTTTTTAACTCTCTTTGACTTTCTGTGTCTGTCTTTCCTTCTTTTTGACTTCTTTTTTGTCTCTGTTTTTGACTCTTTCTTTGACTTTCTGTTTGTCTTTTCTTCTGTCTTTTTCTTTGATTTCTTGTCTTTTTCTTTCTTTTTTGCTGCCTCTGCCAGCCGCTTATGCTGCTGTTCTCCTCTCTTATTCCTATTTTGATGGCATTGGCAGTGTAAGATTTTTACCTCTTTGTGTTTTTGCATTGCGTGCAATAACTTTATAATTTCTTTGTGGTATTTAATGGGGGTTTCTTCAGAGGTTAGGAACTCCCTCTCTTTCCATATTGCAGCATGGGGATGTAGGATTAGATAAGCATACTTGCTATCTGTGTACATATTTATTTTTTTCCTTTTGTTAGTTCTAGGCCTTGGGTAAGTGCCACTAGTTCTGCTAACTGGGCACTGGTCCCTTGGGGAAGAGGCTTGCTTTCAAGTATGGTTACATCACTAACTGTGGCGTAACTTGCCTTTCATATCTTATTCTCCACAAATGAACTTCTATCATTATATAGGTTAAGGTCAGGATTAGTTAAGGGGGCTTCTAAGAGATCATCTTGGGCAGCATAAGTCTGGACTATAATTTGTTGGCAGTCATGCTCGATTGGTTCCTCATCCTCTGGGAGAAAAGTGGCAGGGTTGAGGGCCACACATGTGCGTATTTGAAGCACCGGTCCTTTAAGGAGGAGCGCCCAGAATTACTGCCTCATTGATGAGTCTAAGATCTTCCACTAGTCTCTACTGACCATTCGGTTTTTGTACTCCCAGAATTGGGTTGTTGCAGGGACTGCTGCATTTCTTTACTAAGCCTTGAGCTTTCAAATGTTTACCAATATTCTGTAATCTTTTATGAGCTTCAGGCTCTAAGGGATATTGCCTTTGATAAGGAAAAGTGGTGGGATCTTTTGATTTGGACTGGGCAGGCATTTTTTGCCCTTCCAAATTGTCCTTCTAATGCCCAGACTTCAGGGTTGATTCCCTCCTCAAGTAGGGGACAACAAATGGGTAACTGGTTCTTCATATTCATGTAGATAATAGCTCTAGCCTTGGCTAATATATCCTTCCTCAATAAGGGTGTGGGACTTTCAGGCATAACAAGAAAGGCAAGTGAAAAGAGCAAAGTCTCCTAATTACAACTGAGAAGGTGGGAGAAATACCTGGTTACAGGCTGTCCTAGGATTCTTTGGATGGTAACGGACCTTGAGGACAGTCATCCAGGACAGGAGATTAACACTGAGAAGGCTGCGCCAGTGTCCAGGAGGAAGTCAATTTCCTGGCCTTCAATAGTTGAACATACCTGGGGATCAGTGAGGGTGATGACATGAGCTGGCACTTGCCCCAGGCACCCTCAGTCCTGTTGTTGGATCATCTGGTTGGGGGCTTCTGACCTAGGGAACCTTTGTCCTCTGGGGCAGTGCACCTTCTAGTGATTGCCTCAGCATAGTGGACATGGACGAGGGGGCAGCTTGTTTCTCATTGGACAATCTTTTTTAAAGTGTCCTAGTAAACTACACTGATAACAAGCCTTACTAGGTGATTGGCCTGCCTTATTTTCTGTCCTCTCTGAACCACTAAGGTTTGTTTGTCTGAGGGCCATGACTAAGGCTTCGGCCTTTCTCTGATCTCGCTTTTCTTTTTGGGCCTGTTCCTCTTGGTCCTTATTATACAATACTGAGGTTGTCAGGTTTAATAATGCCTCTAGATTTTGTTCAGGGCCTAGGGCTTGCTTTTGGAGCTTTCTCCTGATATCTGTGGCTGATTGGGTAATAAACTTATCTTTTAGAATCAATTGACCCTCGAGTGATTCAGGTGACAGAGGAGTATATTTTCTTAAGGCCTCTCGTAGCTGCTCGAGGAAGGCAGAAGGATTTTCTTCCTTTCCTATGGTGGACATCATTGTATAATTCATGGGCTTTTTTCTAATTCTCCTTAGTCCTTCTAGAACACAGGTCAACAGATGTTTATGACTCTAGTCCTTATGATCTGAGTCAAGGTCCTAGTGGGGATCCATACTGGGGATGGCTTGCTGACCGGTAGGGACTTTGTCCTTTTCTTCGGCTGTCATTCTATCATTTACTTGACTAAGATACTAGGTATCTCCAAACTCTCAGGCTGCAGCTAAAGCTGCATTCTTTTCATTAAAGGCCAGGGTTTGATCTAACAGTGGCATGACATCTCTCTAAGCGAGGTCAAAGGTTTGCCTTAGACCTTGTAGGACAGCTATGTACTTATCAGGATCATCTGAAAACTTCCTTAGGTCTGCCTTGATCTGCTTTAAATCAGAGAGGGAGAAGGGGACATGTACCTGGGTTGGGCTAGATTCCTCTCCCCCTACAGCTTGAAGGGGACATAACTGATAGCCTGGGGTTTTTTTTGGTCCTTTGGAGATTTCTTTGCTTACTTCTTTCTGGGCAGGGGAGATTAGAGGAGGATTATCATTAATAGGAAGGGGAGCTATAGGGAGGCTAGGATATGGGGGTAAGCTGAGAGGTCCTCCTATGGGATGTAAATTGCAAGCTTTGCATAGTTGTGTATTCTCCTTCAATGAAAAGAAAGCTTGAACATAAGGTATTTCACTCCATTTGCCTTCCCTCTTACAGAAAAGGTCAAGCTGCAGGATAGTATTGTAATTTGTACTTCTTTCAAGTGGCCATTTTTTCCTATCAGAGAGAGAATATTGGGGCCAAGCCATAGTGCAGAAAAAAATGAGCCACCTCTTTTTCAGGGTTTGTGGGTTAAATTGGTCTTAATGGCTTAGCATGCATTTCAAGGTTGAGCCTGTTGATGCCTGAGTGTTTCTTATATGAAAGACAAAACCGCCCATGGTTTTGGTTTATTTTGTTTTTCCTCCTGCCTCAGAACTTGCAACAGTCCTTGGACCTTGCTGATCAGAATAGTTGCACTCACCAATGCAGCAGCAGAAACAACCCCTGCCTAAGAACCTGCAACGGTCCCTGGACCCTGCTGATCGGAATAGTTACGCTCACCAACGCAGCAGCAGAAACACCAGTTTTCCTCCCAGACCACAAGGAGGACTGACGAAGGTTGGATTTAGTGGTCCTTACTGATGCATTCTCGAAAACCTGCACCTCTGCCTGTCCTCCTAGACCACAAGGAGGACTGACTGAGGAAAATCGGATTTAGTGGCCCTTACTGATGCATTCTTGAAAACCTGTTAGAGTCCTAAGCATTCTCCTGTTAGTATTGGGACTTTACTCTTTTCCTATAAAGATGTTATGCCCCAAAAATGAAGTGGAGGGCCATACCCTGAGGGAGGGAAGGGATCTTCAGGGTTGGAAGAGTGACACCTTTTGTCCTCACTTATATGAATAGGAAGGATACAATTTCTGAGGCTCCCCACATCCTAGCTTCAGGAATAGCTTTTGTTAGGCCTATTAGTCTGAGAAGGGATCCTAAATTCCAGGTAGTCCCCGGTATGACGGGGCTTTGGGCAAAAATTATGTCTTTCTGATTGGTGAGCCCAGGTGCCTAAAGAAGGTAACAGAGTCCTGGAGTTTATACTAGAAATCATTCTTATAGGAGAAACTAGAAAAGCACCAGAGACAGGTAGCAATTTTTAGAAGCAGGTCTAACCTCAAAGAAGAGAGGCGAGTGGAAGTTTGTCTGGCAGGCATTAGGACCCAGGGGGCAAAGGTCAGGATAGATAGGATAGATGGGAGAGTCTCGCTTGGGCGACATGCCTTTGAGAGTTCCACTCATGGCCACAGGGTCAACCAACATGTTGTTGGGACCCCGGAGCTGCATGGCTTTCCTCTCTATTGACCCTCGGCTCAGCCCAGTAGTACAGGAAAAGTGGAAGCTGGTTCTAGGCAAACCAACAGTCCCAACTCTGAAGAGTCGGGGGTTGTTAGAGAGCCCTTTCCCAGAAAGCCTGACACCCGTGTCTATAGTCCGGCAGCCGCGCTAGTCACTTTTAACTGGCCAACAGGTGCCCGGTATTAAGCCCCTGAATTCTAAGGAAAAACAGGACAGAATAGCAAGCAAAAGGGGTCTGATGGTACTCACTGCTTGGCGATAGGCGATTGTCTCACTGCTCGGCAATAGGCGATGGTCTCACTGCTCGGCGATTGTCTCACCGCTTGGCAATAGGTGAAAGTCCCTTCGTGGTCGCCAAAATGTGTCCAGAATTGGTGGGTTCTTGGTCTCATTGACTTCAAGAATGAAGCCGCAGACCTTTGCGGTGAGTGTTACAGTTCTTAAAGGTGGTGTGTCCGGAGTTTGTTCTTTCTGATGTTCAGATGTGTTCAGAGTTTCTTCCTTCTGGTGGGTTCATGGTCTCGCTGGCTCAGGAGTGAAGCTGCAGGCCTTTGCGGTGAGTGTTACAGCTCTTAAGGTGGTGCGTCTGGAGTTGTTCATTCTTCCTGGTGGGCTTGTGGTCTCACTGGCTTCAGGAGTGAAGCTGCAGACTTTCACTGTGAGTGTTACAGCTCATAAAGGCAGTGTGGACCCAAAGAGTGAGCAGTAGCAAGATTTATTGCAAAGAGCAAAAGAACAAAGCTTCCACAGTGTGGAAGGGGACCTGAATGGGTTGCCACTGCTGGCTTGGGCAGCCTGCTTTTATTCTCTTATCTGGCCCCACCTACATCCTGCTGATTGGTAGAGCTGAGTGGTCTGTTTTGACAGGGCGCTGATTGGTGCGTTTACAATCCCTGAGCTAGACACAAAAGTTCTCCATGTCCTTACTAGATTAGCTAGATACAGAGTGTCGACATAAAGGTTCTCCAAGGCCCCACCAGAATAGCCAGATACAGTGTCAATTGGTGCATTCACAAACCCTGAGCTAGACACAGGGTACTGATTGGTGTATTTACAAACCTTGAGCTAGATACAGAGTGCTGATTGGTGTATTTACAATCCCTGGGCTAGACATAAAGGTTCTCCATGTCCCCACCAGACTCAGGAGCCTAGCTGGCTTCACCCAGTGGATCTTGCACTGGGGTTGCAGGTGGAGCTGCCTGCCAGTCCCGTGCTGTGCGCCTGCACTCCTCAACTCTTGGGTGGTAGATGGGACTGGGCACCATGGAGCAGGGGGCGGCACTCATCAGGGAGGCTCTGGCCACACAGGAGCCCATGGAGTGGGTGGGAGGCTCAGGCATGGTAGGCTGCAGGTCCTGAGCCCTGCCCTGCAGGAAGGCAGCTAAGGCCTGGTGAGAAATCGAGCACAGCGCCAGTGGGCTGGCACTGCTGGGGGACCTAGTACACCCTCTGCAGCTGTTGGCCTGGGTGCTAAGCCTCTCATTGCCTGGGGCCAGCAGGGCTGGCTGACTGCTCTGAGTGCAGGGCCCGCCAAGCCCATGACTACCTGGAACTCCAGCTGGCCCGCAAGCACTGTATGCAGCCCCGGTTCCCGCTCGCGCCTCTCCCTCCACACCTCCCTGCAAGCTGAGGGATCCAGCTCCAGCCTTGGCCAGCCCAGAAAGGGGCTCCCACAGTGCAGCGGTGGGCTGAAGCACTCCTCAAGTGCTGCCAAAGTGGGATCCCAGGCAGAGGAGGTGCCGAGAGTGAGCGAGGGCTGTGAGGACTGCCAGCACGCTGTCATCTCTCAATACTTTTTTTAAAAAAAGTATTTTTAATTTTTTGGGTACCTAGTAGGTAGATAAATTTATAGGGTACATGAGATATTTTGGTACAGGCATACAATGCATGATAATCACATCATGGAAAATGGAATATCTGTCCTCTCAAACATGTATCATGTGTGTTAACATACCATCCATTAGTTATTTCAAAATGTACAATCAAATTATTATTGACTATAGTCCCCTACTGTGCTATCAAACACTAGGTCATCTTGATTCTTTTATTTTTTTTCTACCCATTAAACATTGCCACCTCACTCATTGCTTCCCCCTTCCCCACCAACTTCTGGTAACCATCCTTCCATTCTCCATCTCTGTCAGTTCAAATGGTTTTGATTTTTTAGGTCCTACAGATAAGTGAGAACACGTGATATTTGACATTCTGTGCCTGGCTTATTTCACATAACATAATGACTTTTAGTTTCATCCATGTTATTGCAAATGATAGGATCTCATTCTTTTTGTATGGCTGAGTAGCACTCTATTGTGTATAAGTACCACATTCGTTTAATCCATTTGTTGGCTGATGGATACTTGGGTTGATTCCAAATCTTGGCTATTGTTAACAGTGCTACAACAAACGTGGGAATACAGGTATCTCTTCTATCAACTGACTTCCTTTCTTTGGGGTATAACAGGCCAAACAGTGGGATTGTTGGGTCATATGTTAGCTCTATTTTTAGTGTTCCAAGGAACTGCCAAACTGTTCTCCTTAGTGGTTATACTAATTTACACTTTCACCAATAGTGTATGAGGGTTCCCTTTTCTCCGCATCCTCACTAGCATTTGTTATTGCCTGACTTTTCAATAAAAGCCATTTTAACTGAGGTGTGGTGATATCTCATTGTAGTTTTGATCTGCATTTCTCTGATGATCAGTGATGTTGAGCACCTTTTCATATACCTGTGTGCTATTTGTATGTCTTCTTTTGAGAAATGTCTACTCAAATCTGCTTATTTGTAAAACAAATTATTAGATTTTTTCCTATAGAGTTATTTGAGCTCCTTATATATTCTATTAATCCCTTGTCAGATGAGTATCTTGCAAATACTTCTCTCATTCTGTGGGCTGTCTGTTCACGTTGTTGATTGTTTCCTTTGATGTGCAGATAGTTTTTAACTTGATGTGTTCACATTTGTCCATTTTTGCTTTTGTTGTCTGTGCTTGAGGGGTATTACTCAAGAAATTTTTGCCCAGACTAATGTCCCAGAGAGTTTCCCACTGTTTTCTTTTTTTAGTTTTATAGTATAAGGTCTTAGATTTAAATCTTTAATCCATTTTGATTTTATATTTATATAAGGAGGGAGATGGAGATCCAGTTTCATTCTTTTGCATATGGATAGCCAGGTTTCCCAGCACAGTTTATTGGAAAGACTGTCTTTTCCTCATTGTATTTCCATGGCATCTGATGTGTTTTGGCTCTGTGTCTCCACCCAAATCTCATCTTGTAGCTCCCATAATTCCTACATGCTGTGGAAGAAACCCAGTAGGAAATGATTGAATCATGGGGATGGGTCTGTGACCTGCTGTTCTTGTGATGGTGAATAAGTTGCATGAGATCTGATGGTTTTAAAAACAGAGTTTCCCTAAATAAGCTCTCTCTTTTTGTCTGCCACCATCCATCTAAGATGTGACTTGCTTTTCCTTGCCTTCCAATATGATTATGAAACCTCCCCAGCTATATGGAACTGTAAGTCCATTAAACCCTTTTACCTATATGAATTTCCCAGTCTCAGGTATGTTTTTATCAGCAGTATGAAATGGACTAATACAGTAAGTTGGTACCAGTAGAGTGGAGCGCTGCTGAAAAGATACCTGAATATGTGGAAGTGACATTGTAACTGTATAAAAGGCAGAGGATGGAACAGTTTGGAGGGCTCAGAAGACAGGAAAAGGTGGGAAAGTTTGGAACACTCTAGACACTTCTTGGATGGCTGATAAATGAAATGGACAATGACATTCAGGCTGAGGTGGTCTCAGATGGTGATGAGGAACTTGTTGGGAACTGGAGCAAAGATGACTCTTGTTATGTTTTAGTAAAGAGACTGGTGGCATTTTGCTCCTGCCCTAGAGATTTGTACAACTTTGAACTTGAGAGAGATGATTTAGGGTATCTGCCAGAAGACATTTATAAGCAACAAAGCATTCAAGATGTGACTTGGGTGCTGTTAAAGGCATTCAGTTTCAAAAGCAAAACAGAGCATAAAAGTTCAGAAAATGTGCAGCCTGACAATGCAGTAGAAAAGAAAATTCCATTTTCTGAGAAGAAATTCAAGCCAGCTGCAGAAATTTGCATAAGTAATGAGGAGTCAAATGTTAATCTCCAAAAAAAAATGGGGAAAATGTCTCAAGGGCATGTCAGAGACCTTTGAGGTAGCTCCTCCCATCACAGGCCCAAAGGCCTAGGAGGAAAAAATTGTTTCATGGGCTGGGCCCAGGGCCTCCCTACTGTGTGCACTCTAGGGACTTCATACTCTGTATTCCAGATGCTCCAGCCATGACTAAAGGGGTCAAGGCATAGCTCAGGTCATAGCTTCAGAGGGTGCAAGTGCGATCCCCAAGCCTTGGCAGCTTTCACATGCTATTGAGCCTGCAGGTGCACAGAAGTCAAGAATTGGGGTTTGGGAACCTCTGCCTAGATTTCAGAAGATGTATGGAAACACCTGGATGTCCAGGTAGAAGTTTGCTGCAGGTAGGACCCTCATAGAGAACCTCTGCTAGGGCAGTGTGAAAGGGAAATGTGGGGTTGGAGCCCTCACACAGAGTCCCTACTGGGACACCAACTACTAGAGCTGTGATGGTGAATGAATGTCACAAGATCTGATGGTTTTAAAAATGGGAATTTCCCTGCACAAGCTCTCTCTTTTTGCTGGCCACCACCCATGTAAGATGTGACTTGCTTCTCCTTGCCTTCTGCCATGATTATGAGGCCTCCCCGGCCATGTGGAACTGTAAGTCCATTAAACCCTTTCCTGTATAAATTACCCAGTCTCTGGTATGTTTTTATCAGCAGTGTGAAAATGAACTAATAGAGCATCTTTGTCAAAAATAGGTTAACTGTAGCTGTGTGGATTTCTACTTTTACTCCATTGTGGACAGAGAAGATGCTTGATATTATTTTAATTTTAGAATGTTTTGAGACTTGTTTTGTGACCTACCATCTAATCTATCCTTGAGAATGAACCATGTTTTGAAGAAAATAATGTGTATTCTGCAGCCCTTTGATAAAATGTTCTGTAAATATCTACTAGGTCCATTTATTCTATAGTGCAGATTAAGTCCAATATTTCTTTGTTGATTTTCTTTCTGGGAGATCTGCTCAATGCTGAAAGTGAGGCATTGAAGTCTCCAGCTGTTATTGTATTGGTGTCTAACTCTCTCTTTAGCTCTAATAATATTTTCCTTATAGATTTGGATGCTTCAGTGTTTCGTGCATATATATTTATAATCATTATATCCTCTTAAAGAATTGACCCCCTTATTAATACATAATTACCTTCTTTGTCTCTTCTTACAGTTCTTGTCTTGAAATCTATTTTGTCTGATACAAGTATAGATAATCCTGCTCTTTTTTTGGATTCCATTGACATGTAATATCTTTTTCTACCCTTTTATTTTCAATCTATGTGTATCTTCATAGGTGAAGTGTATTTCCTGTAGGACACAGGTCATTAGGTATTGTTCTTTCATCCATTCAGCCACTTTATGTGTTTTGATTGGAGAGTTTAGTTCATTTACATTCAATGCTATTATTGATGAGTAAGGACTTACTCCTATCATTTTATTATTTATTTTCTGATTGCTATGTGGTCTTCCCTTCTTTTCTTCCTTCCTATCTTCCTTTTAGTAAAGGTAATTTTCATTGGTGGTACACACTAATTTCTTGCTTTTTATTTTTTGTGTATCTGTTGTATGTTTTTTCATTTGAGTTTAACATGAAGCTTACAGATCCTATCTTATAACCCATTATTTAAACTGATGAAAACATAACACTGATTAGATAAACAAACAAACATGTAGAGAGGAAACTAATAAAAATTCTACACTTTAACTTTGTCTTCCCAATTTTTAACTTTTTGTTGTTTCTCTTTATGTCTTATGCTACTGTCTATGTGTTGAAATGTTGTAGTTATCATTTTTTATTCATTCATCATTTAGTCTTTCTATTTAAGTCGAGAAACTTACATATCACAATTACAGTGTTATACTAATCTATGATTTTCTATCTGTTTACTAGTACCAGTGATTTTTTTACCTTCTGATGATATCTTCTTGCTCATTGACACATTTTTCTTTTAGCATGAATAACTCCTATTAGCATTTCTTGTAGGACAGGTCTGGTGTTGATGAAATCCCTCAGCTTTCATTTCTTTGGGAAGGTCTTTGGGTTTTTTCATACTTACAGTATATTTTCACTGGACATACTATTCTAAGGTAAATGTTTTTTCTTTAAGCACTTTAAATATGTCATACCATTCTCTCCTGACCTGTAAAGTTTCCACTGAAAAGTCTGCTGAAAGAAATATTGGAACTCCATTGTATGTTATTTGTTTCATTTCTCTTGATGCTTTTAGGATCCTTTCTTTTTCCTTGACCTTTGACAGTTTGCTTATGAAATGCCTTGAGGTAATCTTCTTTGGGTTGAATCTGCTTGGTGTTCTATAACCTTCTTGTATTTGTATGTTGATATCTTTCACAATGTTTGGAAAGTTCTATGATTTTTTCCCTTTGAATAAACTTTCTACTTCTATTTCTTTCTCCACCTCCTCTTTAAGGACAATAACTCTTAGATTTATCCTTTTGGGGCTATTTTCTAGATCTTGTAGGCTTGCTTCATTGTTTCTCATTATTTTTTGTCTCCTCTGATTATGTATTTTCAAGTAGCCTATTTTCTAGCTCATGAATTCTTTCTTCAGTTTGATCAATTCTGTTGTTAAGAGACTGGTATATTCTTCATATCAGCTGCATTTTTTCACATCTGTAATTTCTACTTAATTCTTCTTAATTATTTCAATCTCTGTTAAATGTATCTGATAAAATTCTGAATTCATTCTCTGTGTTATCTTGAATTCCTTTTAGTTTCCTCTAAACAGCTATTTTGAATTATCTGCCTGAAAGGTCATATATCTATGTTTCTTCAAGATTGGTCCTTAGTGCCTTATCTAGTTGATTTGGTGAGGTTATGTTTTTCTAGATGGTGTTGATGCTTGTAGATGTTCTTTGGTGTCTGGACATTGAAGAATTAGGTATTTATTGTAATCTTCACAGTCTGGGCTTGTTTGTGCCTGTCCTTGGGAAAGCTTTCTAGGTGTTTCAACGGACTTGTGCCCCAGCCCAATGACACTGTGGTGTTTGCAGACTCATAGACGTACCACCTTGGTAGCCTTGGATAAGATCTGGAAGAATTCTCTGGATTACCAGGCAGAGACTCTTGTTCTTTTCCCTAACTTTCCCCCAAACATATGAGTCTCTCTTTCTGTGCTGAGTCACCTGGAACTGAAGCTATGGTGATTCAAGCATGCTGTTGCCACAACTGGGACTGTGCCTATTCAGACCCAAAGACAGCACAGCAGTGGGCTTTGTGCAAGGTCCTTTTCTTTATGGTGGTGAGTTTCCCCACGCTGTGGGCGTGTCTAGCAATGCTGTTTGGGAGCCAGGAATTGGAGTGAAAAAAATCTTAGTAATTTACCTGATGTTCTATTCTTCTGCAGCAAAATTGGAACTCAAACCACAATACAAAGCCCTTTCCACTCTTTTCTCTCCTTTCCACAGGCAGAGGTGTCTCTTCCTGTGGCCACCATCACCGCTAGTCTACAGGGATTTCTCCTAGGCCACCTCCCATGTTTGCTTAAAGCCCAAGAGTTCTTCCATCAGCTTGTGGTGAATACCGCCAAGCCCTAGGTCTCATTCTTCAAGGCAATGGGCTCCCCTCTGGCCCAGACAGGTCCAGAAATGCTGTCCAAGAGCCAGGCCTGGACTTGGGGACCCCAAGACCCTGCTTGTTGGTCTATCCCTCTATGGCTGAGCTGGTCCTAGAATGCAAGATGAAGGCCTATTTACTTTTCCCCCTGCTTTCCTCAAGAGAAGGAGTCCTTCATCTTTGTCACCACAGCTGGGAATGTGCTGGGTCTCCCCTGAAGCCAGCACATCTCAGAGCCCAAGGCCCATGGTGTACTTCCTGAGTATCGCTTCTGGTTATTCAGGGCCCAAGGGCATTTTAGTCAGCAGGTGATTTTTCCTGATAGGACTGGGTCCTTCCCTTTGAGGTTATCTGGTTACCTTTTATCCCAGCGTGTCTCTAGAAATGTCAGGGCATGGAATGGGGGCCTCATGACTCTGCCTCGTGACTTATCCTACTTTGGTTGTGCTGGTGTGCAAAATGCAAGACCAAGTCCTCTTTACTTTTCACTCGCTTCTCCTTAAGAAGGAAGGAATCACTTTTATTGTGATGAGCTGCACTGCCTGCAGTTGGGGAAGTGATGGAGCAAGTCCTTCTTTAGCCATGTCAGCTAGTGTCTACCTAGGTCATGTGACACCCTAGTTCACTGGCTCTAAGCACAGCCTAACCCCAGGAATTGCCTAGGAATTGCAGTCCTTGTACCTTACACTGCCTTTCAAGTTTACTTAGGATCTCAGAACACTTCACCCTGTGGTGGCATGGCTTGCTGAGTAACTCAATTTCCAATGGCTGGGATGAGTGAATCCCCTTTGGCTAGGACTGGTCTGAATTTTCCCTCTGTGCTTTGCTGCAGGATGATTTCAGCATGATTTTATTCTCCACTGTGACAGAGCAGCACTGAGTTGAATGTAAAATCCCCCAGTTGCTGTTCTTTCCCTCCCCACAGTGCACAGATTCTCTCTGCTTCCCTCAGGCTGCTGCCAGAAATGTGGGAGGGGTAGCATTGGCAATTTGAAACTGTTGCTCCTGCCCTCTTCAATGCCTCTTTCCATGATACAAAGTTAAAACCAGATACTGTGATTGCTCACCTGAATTTTGGTTCTTGTGATGGTGCTTTTGTGTGTGCAGATAGCTTTTAAAATATAGTGCTCCAGCAAGGGGGATGAACTGTGTAGGCTTCTATTCCACCACCTTGCTCCATTTCAGTAACAACCTTTTAACTCGTAAGTTTTACATGATGGACTCTTACAAAAAGGGCTTATTAAGGTATTATTTACAATTAATTTGAATTTACTGCTGAGGTTACTCAAGTGGATCTACACATAAGATCTTTTAATAGATTGTGTTTTCTAACATTCAGCCTCCAACATAAATTCAACTCAATCTTAGGTTATACAGTGCTTTAGGCCAGGTTTGGTTTGGATTAAATCCATATTTTAAAAATTCAAGCATTTATTTATTCCACGCCTAAGGCCAATGTGATTGAAACACAACGTACCTCAAAAGCAAAATCCAAAGCATTGAAAGATTCCAATTCAAAAACAGAAATGTATTCAGGAGACTAACAAGTACATCTGTTTTTCTTATTTAGAAAGAGATACCCCCCCCCCGCCCGCACACACATGAATCCTTCCAGAATCTTAGCCATTTTGAAAGTATAGAGTTTACTGCAATTCTATGTGTGGTGAGTGTTTATTATTGTGCATTTTTAAATGTGTGTGTTTTCAAATGGATTCGTTGGCATTCTAAATCTGGGCCAGGATTGCCTGAGAGGTGGCAAAGTGCAGTATCTATAATTGGATGCCACTGACCCTCCTGCCCATTTCCCTTGTACTCAAGGAATCCAGTTGCTGTCGTATCAAGGGCTTCTTGATTCTTTGACTTCATCAAAACATTTTAAATTCCTTTGGAAATTCTCGGATACCCAGGAGTATCAAGAGCTGCTAATGTACAAAAAGAGTGTGCAGCACTCTAGTATGCCATATTCTGAGATAGCCAAGACATACTGTCTGCCTGAGCTCAACACACATTAATTGTACAAAACACTGTAATCTGATTTCTAGATAATGAAGTTTCCTATTCAATAAATAAATTTTATCCCTCATTTTTTCTATCTTTCTTCAGAACTATCTTTCATTCTTTTTTTTTTTTTTTTTTTTTTTTTTTTTTGTGATGGAGTCTCCCTCTGTTGCCCAGGCTGGAGTGCAGTGGCATGATCTCGGCTCACTGCAAGCTCCACCTCCCGGGTTCACACCATTCTCTTGCCTCAGCCTCCCGAGTAGCTGGGAGTATAGGTGCCCGCCACCACGCCCAGCTAATTTTTGTATTTTTAGTGGAGACTGGGTTCACCGTGTTAGCCAGGATGGTCTCAATCTCCTGACTTGTGATCCGCCCACCTCAGCCTCCCAAAGTGCTGGGATTACAGGCGTGAGCTACTGTGCCCAGCCCTTTCATTCTTTCTTTAACTTGATATTACCTGCTCTCTTGGCTTCTGTGACTATATTCTCTCTTGGATATCCTTCTACATCTCAGACTGTTTTTTCTCTGTCTTTTTTCATTATCACATCTGCTGAATTTTCATGTGTTTACATACATACGTATACCCTCACCTGGAAAACTTACTTTATCTTCAAAGATTTCTTTTACTATTTATATGTTGATGACTGCTAAAAGTGACACCTCTAATCCAGAACTTTCTTATAACCCAAAAGTAAAACTCTAACCCACCTATCCCCTCCATTAACCATATGAGCGGACCCCTCCTCTCAGCCAAGGGCATCCCAAAGTTAACCTGAAAAACTCAGGCCATGATGGGAAGTGGGGATCAGACATGTCTCATTATACTCTCTTCTCTTTTGGAATTCAAGCACAGCTGGCCAGCATTAACATCAATACAGAAACCTTGAGACTGACAGAAGAAACTCTCTTTCAGTCTATTCTCTCTGAAGCCTGCTACAGCTTCATCTGCATGATAAATCCTTGGTCTCCACAACCCCTTATCTTAACCCAGACATTGTTTTCTACTGATTCCAGGTTTTTTAGGTAATAACTTTTTCAAACCATTGCCAATCAGAAAATCTTTGAATCTCCTATAACCTGGAAGCCCCAACTTCTAGTTGTCCCATTTTTCTGGACCAAACCAATGCAAACCTTACTTTCTTTATTTTTATTTTTTGAGACAGAGTCTCACTCTGTTGCCCAGGTTGGAGTGCAGTGGCGCAATCTCAGCTCACTGCAAGCTCCACCTCCCTGGTTCACACCATTCTCCTGCCTCAGCCTCCTGAGTAGCTGGGACTACAGGCACCTGCCACTATGGCTGGCTAATTGTTTGTATTTTTAGTAGAGACAGTGTTTCACTGTGTTAGCCAGGATGGTCTTGATCTCCCGACCTTGTGATCTGCCTCCTCGGCCTCCCAAAGTGCTGGGATTACAGGCATGAGCCATCACACCCCGCCAATCTTACATGTTATAGTTGATGTCTTATGTCTCCCTAAAATGTGTAAAACCAAGCTGTAACCCAACCACTTTGGTTGCACATTCTCAGGATCTACTAGGATTGTGTCACGGGCCATTGATCACTCATATTTGGCTCAGAATGAATCTCTTCAAATATTTTACTGAGCTCAACTCTTTTCATTGACATTCTCCTGGGCTGAGATCCTGAGCTGCCGATAGAACACGTCTTCTGAATTACAGATACCTCAAATTCCCAACCAGCTTTGAACCTGTAATGTCAGACAAATTATGTGCTTCCAAAATACAATGGTGAAATGGGCATAGGATAGACATTCCCATTCCAAATGCAAGAAATTGGAAGAAAGGATGACAAGTCCTAAACCAGCCCAAAAACTAGCAAGGCAAATTTCTTTGGATCTGTAGCCTTAAAAATAATATTCTCTGGTTCAGTGTTCTGCCCTCCAGGCCCACTTGAACAACAGCATTACCCGCCTTCCTAGGGCTCTCTGGAAGGACATCTCCACCCTGAGGCACTGGATGGGGGCATTTTGACCCTCTAAAAACTGAAGAGATTTGAAAACCCCACTCTTTGAAACTAAGGAGGAACTAGCCCTGCAAGCTTTGGGAGTGGTATCCTTGATGATCTCTGAATTGCCTTTAGGGTCACTCTTGCCTTTTTTGAAGGATAAATCATGCTCATAGCCAAATAACTCTATAATCTTACCTTGTAGAATCTAAGAAGTTCAATACATTTCTTTCATTCTGTTCAATTTTTTTTTCTCCTTTGCCACAGTTGGCAGTGTTTCTGACACTTTATAATAAGAACCTTTTGGCCGGGCATGGTGGCTCACTCTTGTAATCCCAGAATTTTGGGAGGCTGAGGCAGGTGGATCACGAGGTCAGGAGATTGAGACCATCCTGGCCAACATGGTGAAACGCCGTCTCTACTAAAAATACAAAAAAAATTAGCCAGGCCTGATGGTGGGCACCTGTAGTCCCAGCTACTCGGGAGGCTGAGGCAGGAGAATGGCTTGAACCTGGGAGGCTGAGGTTAGTGAGCCGAGATCACACCACTGAACTCCAGCCTGGGCAACTGAGTGAGACAACATTAAAAAAAAAAAACAAAAAAAAAACCTTTTCTCCATTTTCCAGTCACATGATCTGATCTTCATTACTGTATGAGACCTTACTAGAATGGCATTTCATGTTCATACTTCTATCAAAATTTTGTTTATGATTATATGTAGGCTTTCTCTTCAGCTCTCCTCTTTTCTTTTTGAGCCCTCACCATAATTGCTGTTACTGTCCAAATTACTACCAACAGTCACTTCATGGTAATCTCATCTTTTTCTAGTGCCACTTCAAAATTTTCTAGGCTCTACTCTTTACCCAATTCCAAAGCCACTTCCACATTTTTAGGTATTTGTTGCAGCATCACGCCACTCTATGGCAACAAACTATGTACTAAAGTATTCAGGCTGCTATTACAAGATACTGAATACTGAATGGCTTAAACAACAGAAATTTATTTCTCATATTCTGCAGGCTAAGAAGTCCAAGGTGAAGGTGCCAGCTGATTCAATTCCTGGTAAGTGCCCTCTTCTTAGCTTGGAGACAGCTACCTTCTCCCTGAGTTGTTACATGGCCTTTTTGTTGTGATCACTTGGAGAGAGAGAGAGAGAGAGAGAGGAAGAGAGAGAGAGCACTTCCTTTCTCTACTTATAAGGCCACCAGTTCTTTCAGGTAAGGGCACACTCTTATGAGCTCATTTAATCTTAATTATTTTCTAAAGACCCTGTCTCAAATTACAGTCACTTTAGGATGAGGGCTTCAACATATGAATTTGGAGAAATGCAATTCACTACATAGCACCTCCTTCTGAAGAAGGCCCTGAAGAGGATGACCAGAAACATTGGTCTCAATAATAATTTAAAATAATCACAATACAAGGGGCCAGCATTATTTTTTGGTTGATATATCCTTTATGATAAAATTTACCTTTTAAAGGTATACAATTCAGTGGTGTTTTTAATGTATTCACAGAATTGTATACCCATCACCACTAACTCATTTTAGAATATTTTCATCACTCCTAAAACAAACTCAGCGCCTATTAACAGCCATTTCTTTCTCTCCTTCTCCCAGCCCATGGCAACCACAAATCTAATTTTCATCTCTATAAATTTGAGTATTCTGGATTTTCATACAAAAGCTATTATCAAGTATGTGATCTTTTGTGACCAGCATTGTTTTAAATGCTTTAAATAGTTCACTTATTTAATCTTCAAAATAATCATATATATATATATATATATATATTTTTTTTTTTTTTTTTTTTTTTGGAGACAGAGTCTCGCTCTGTCACCCAGGCTGGAGTGCAGTGGCACGATCTCGGCTCACTGCAACCTCCACCTCCCGGATTTAAGCAATTCTCCTCCCTCAACCTCCCGAATAGCTGGGACTACAGGCGCATGCCACCACGCCCAGCTACTTTTTTGTATTTTTAGTAGAGATGGGGTTTCACCGTGTTAGCCAGGATGGTCTCGACCTCCTGACCTCGTGATCTGCCCATCTTGGCCTCCCAAAGTGCTGGGATTACAGGCGTGAGCCACTGCACCCAGCCTCTTATTTCATATTTTATTATTACTATTAAACAGATAGAAAAACTGAGACATGGTTTAGTGAGTTGATCAAGTCACACAGTTCGTAAGTGAAAGACCTGGGATGTAAGCCCAGACCATCTGTATTCAGAGTCTGTGATCTGAACCACAACACAACTTCTTCCTCATCTAAGGAGATTCATCAAATTTTGTCTCCAGGGTGACCAAGAATGGGCAGAAAAGCAACCAGAGTCTCCAGGAAAATAGAATATCTATGGTTGAGTGAACAATATTATTATAATACCCTAGTGTAGAGAAGAATCTCAATCTGAAGTGACAGTGAACAAAACATATTCAATTTCTTGGAAGAAAATGGGCTAAACAGAACTATGGTCAATGGTCTAGATGACTAGGAAAAGTTCCGGAATAAAGCGCTATTAAAAATAAAACTGGATTTTGTTTAAGATAGCAAATATATTAGGTCTCTAAGAAGGAAATAACAAAATGGGATTAAATGTGCATGAGACCATTGGTCAATTATGCTCATGTAGTTAGAGTTGTGTGAGGTACATTCTCAAGGACACCAAGACCAAAAGAAAGCATGGTAACTTAGAATAATAATAATCATAACAAAAGGAAAGAGTTAAGAATACTTTTTAATGGTGGAAATACCAGCTCTTGGTTGGGTAGGTCCCTGGAGCCCACCTTATTGACTTGAATCCTGTACTATAACAACAGTAATCACACACTCTAATCTCATAAGAGTGTGTATAAAATATTCAGGGGGTCTTGATTCAATATTTCACTATTGACAGTCTCTGAAAGAGATAGGAGTGTGGGAGCTAGTGGAGGAAGAGAGATGATTAGGGACAAAGAAGGCAGTTACCATCTGTATTATTTTCCTATTGCTGCTGCTGTAGGAGTATCACAAACTTGGTGGCTTAAAATAACACAAATGTATTGTCTTACCCTTATGGAGGCTGTAAGTCTGAAATCCTTTGTACTGAGCTAAAGTCAAGGTTTTAGCAGGGTTGGTTCCTTCTGGATGATCTGGGAGGAGAATCTGTCTCCTGGTTTTTTTCCAGCTTCTAGTGGCTTCCTGTATTCCTTGACGTGTTCCCTTTCTCCATTTTCAAAGTGCATTGCACAGATTGGAGCTATAACCTGTGGATGTTAAAAAAAAATTGAATGATAAAATAGAAGTCTGTGTGGCCTCTGTATAGCAGATTGGAGCTATAACCTATGGATGTTAACAAAATGTTGAATGATAAAATAGAAGTTTGCCCAACCAGATAATCCAGGATAATCTCCCCATGTTAAGATTCTTAGCTTAATCACATCTGCAAAGTTACTTTTGCCATATAAATTAATATCCACAGGTTCCAGGGATTGGAACATGGGTATTTTTAAGGGTCATTATTCAGCCTACCATACCACCAATCTTCACTGCTCTTCACCTTTCTTTTATATGTTGCCTAATTTTTATTTTTCTTTTTTTAGACAGAGTCTTGCTCTGTCACCGAGGCTGGAGCGCATTGGCACATCTCGGCTCACTGAAACCTCTGCCTTCTGAGTTCAAGAGATTATCCTGCCTCAGCCTCCCTTTCTAGTAGCTGGGACTACAGCCACGCACCACCACACCTGGCTAATTTTTGTATTTTCAGTAGAGATGGGTTTTCACCATATTGGCCAGGCTGGTCTCAAACTCCTGACCTCAAGTGATCTGCCAGCCCCAGCCTCCTAAAGTGCTGTGATTATAAATGTGAGCCACAACACACGGCATAATTTTTAAGGGAATATTCTGATATATCAAATCCTGGGAACAAAGGCCATGCATACTTCTAGTTTGTCATTCAACATTTTATTCACCAAATATTTAATAGGTATGCCCCAGGTATCCAGAATTTTGTTAGCCTTTGAAGCAAACCTCATAGATATATTCTTACCCTCATGGAGCTCACAGGTTATGTCATCCTTTTTACTCAATTAAGTATGTCATCCTGCTCACTACCTTTTCTGCTAGTATGAATTTATCCTTTCTATTCCAGTCTTCTCTTCCTAACTCTAAGACAAATAGGACCAATATTTGGGGAGGACGAGACAATAACAGCATTCATTTTAACAAGGAACCTTTGTAACACAATTTGTTAGCATTAAACACCTACTAAGATGATGATTTAAAGTTTATTTATTAGGCTTATGTCCCCTAACCTGAGTTGCCTGGGAAAATATTGCAATAGCCCAGGCATGAGTTAAATTTGTTTAGGCAACTAATCTCCTTTGAGTAGGGATTAGTGGTTGCATAAATATATCCCCAAGAAACAGCTGATTCCTGATTGCTGAAAAGTGAAAGTTTTATTTGCTGCAAGTGCTAAATGACTTAGCATACTCAGAAGTGCGAACTGCTTAGACTATCCATCTCTATAGATAGGAGTCTGCTTCCACCTACTGGCTGGAGAATCTCACAATTATCAATACTATACAGGTAATTATGTGAATCTTCATATTTGTTTCTGATTTGTAGGCATAATGTCAACTCTTTTCCATGTAAGCCTTCTCCTTTACTCCAAAACCTACCACATCTCTGTATGTATAGCCTCTGGGATCAGTGATAAAACTAGCCAGAATGTTGTGTTATAAAAAATATTAAGAAGCTACAGATATTCAAGGTATCTGAGAGGACATCAGAAGGCTTAACAAAGTTCATAGCACACAGAATACATGGATAGAGGCCTGAGGAAAATGGGCAGGGTGATCCAAGAACGTATGGTCACAACTGGAATTTCACAAGACACTTGATTATCAGGAGTTGAGGACAGGAGTATGCTGTTGTCCAAAGAAAACCTAGGTAATAGTGCCTGGTCTTGGTTATTTCATGTGGAAGCAGATGATTTCCTAATTCTCTAGGAAAGTTGAAATTTCCAGAAAAGAACTATTTTTTTTGCTGCATATTGAGCAAATATCTTAAAACTGAGCATTAATTTGGATTTCTATTAGAGAAAACCAACGTCATGCTGGTGCTATTCAAGGGATACACATGTTCTTGCCATTTGAGTATAACAAAAAGTATTCTGAGTTTGTGCCCTAGAGAAGTAGTAAGAGATGAGTGATGAAAACTCTGTATCATATGAAATATATTAGAGAACTCTATCACTGATTCTAGCATGAATGTGGTCTATAATCAAATAAATGCAAAATAAAACAATAGTAGATTCCATTTTGCAACCAATTTTTCAAGTGCCCTAGAGAAGTAGAAAGAGATGAGTGATGAAAACTCTGTGTCATATGAAATATACTAGAGAACTCTATCACTGGTTCTAGCATGAATGTGGTCTATAATCAAATAAATGCAAAATAAAACAATAGTAGATTCTATTTTGCAACTAATTTTTCAAGATAGAAAAATATATGACTAGTAGATATGAATTAAGAGGTGCCATTTGTATAAAAAACTATTATTGATAAAATCTTTCTGGAATGCAATTTGAAAAGCAAATTTTAAAAAATTGTATGCTCTTTGAATCAGTAATTTTGGTTTTAAGACAGTTTACTGTAGAAGTAATCCCAGATGTATTGAAGTAATTGCATAAAAGATACTCATGATGGTATTGTATATAATTTGAAAAAGACTGTTATAACAGCTACACTGTATTGAATGATCATAATGTTTTTGACATTGTGCTTGGTGACTGACCCTGAAAGGAGGACATGAAGGAGAGAGAAAACAAAAGACAGGAAAGAAATAATATGAGAGAAAGAAATAATAGAGCATTGCCTAGTCCCTCTATTTCCTAACAGCGTAGTGACTTGGTATTTCAGAACTTGAAAAAATGTAGGTGAAAGGTGAAAGACTTAGAAATGGTTTAAGTGAAATTTTGTGGGATCCTCAGGGAAGAAAATGCTCTACCACCTCAGCCATGGTGAAATTGATAGCCGGAAGTTATGCTGTGCTACATGGTAGTCACTAGCTACAAGTGGCTATTTAAATCTAAACTAAATAAAAAATGAAACTAAAAATTGAGTTTCTTGGTCACACTAGACATATTTGAAGTGCTTAATAGCTACATGAAACTAGTTGCTACTGCATTTAAGAATACACTGATATTACATTTTCATCATCTCTGAAAGTGCTATGCCCAGCACTGCTCTAAAGACACAATAGAGACAGCCTTGAGTAGAATTACTATGCCTTGTTGCTCAATGGAAAAATTTTACTCCTCTATTTTACTTCAATCAACCTATCCTGTAGACACTTTTTGGTATTTGTCATCACTCGAAACTACTCCAAAATAATACATTTAGATTTCTGCTTTCCTTCATCTTATTTTCAGTTAATCTTAGTATGCTCTTCCTTCTAATTCATGGGACCTCCAGTCTATTGAGCCCTTCATTCTCTTTCTATTCATTAAGATATTCATATTCAATAAACATATAATGAAGTATGATGATTCTGTAGTAGTTTTTGGTAGATACCCTTTATCACATTAAGAAAGTTTTTTTTTTTTAATTTGGGGTACATGTAATAATTTAATATATTCATTTGATTTGTACAGGTAAAATCAGTATAATTAGAATATGCATCACCTTAAATACTTTTCTTTATGCTAGAATAGTCTCTTCTATTTTGAAATATAAAACAGATTATTGTAGATTATAGTCACTCTACAGATCTATCAAACACAAGGCCTTATTTCTTCTATCAAAGTATACATTTCTACCCATTAACCAACCTCTCTTTATCTCCTACTTCCCCATACACTTCCTAGAAGTTCTTTTCTATTTATAGTATGCAATTGTTTTCATCATGAGTAGTTAAATTTTATCAAATATTCTTTGTACAACTTTTGAGATAATGTAAGTATAAGGTTTTCCCATTATTCTGCTGATACAGTGAATTATATTGATTTTTAAATGTTAATTCTTTCATTCACCATTTTAAAAAGCAAGTGAACAAAAACTTAACCACAAAACTGAAAGAAAGAGTACTTTCTTAATCTGAATGTACAAAACCCTATAGCTAGCATCATACTTCATTATGGAAGACTGAAAACTTTTTCCCTTAAGTTTGGGAACAAGGCAAGGAAGTCTGCTCTCATCACTTCTATTTTGAGATATGGTAGTCTGGAGATGGCACTGGTGGTTCTGGACAGTACAGCAAGTCAAGGAGTAAAACATATCCAAATTACAAAGAAAGAAGGGCAACTCTTTTTATACAACGTGATAATCTACCTTAAAAGTAGATTAAAAGTAGAAATACTTACAGGATCTGATTCCAAGACTTATTATCACGCCACAGTAATGAAAATAGAATAATATTGACATAAAATTGAACATAGTAGTAAATGGAACAGAATAGAGAGTCTGGGACAAGATCAAAACATTTATGTTTAATGGATTTTTACAAAAATACCAAGTCAAGTTTAACAAATGATGCTGAAAAAATTGGATGGCAATAGACAAAATAAAAAACCTTGGCCCTTACCTTATGTCTTCTACCAAAATTAACTCAAAATGGAGCATAAATGTAATAAGTAAAATATAAAACCTCTAAAACAACATGGGAAAATCATATTCACTTTCATTTTGGCAGTGCAAACCCTATCTGAAAACTCTCTTACATAGAATACAAAAGGGAAACTGTAAAGATAAAATTTATAAGTTGGACTTACTCAAAATTTTAAACATTTGCTTTTGAAAATATTTGCAAACATATATTCAACAAACATCTTGTTTGAAGACATATAAAAAACACAGCTCAATAATAAGACAAACATACCGATTAAAACTGGGCAAAACTGGCCAGGTGCGGTGGCTCTCGCCGGTAATCCCAGCACTTTGGGAGGCCAAGGCGGGCAGATCACGAGGTCTGGAGGTCAAGTCCATCCTGGCTAACACAGTGAAACCCTGTCTCTACTAAAAATACAAAAAATTAGCCGGGTGTGGTAGTGGGCACCTGTAGTCTCAGCTACTCGGGAGGCTGAGGTAGGAAAATGGTGTGAACCCGGGAGGTGGAGCTTGCAGTGAGCGGAGATCATGCCACTTCACTCCAGCCTGGGTGAGAGCGAGACTCCATCTCAAAAACAAACTAAAAAAAAAAATACTAATCGGCATTGAAGGGAATAAGTATCATATCTACGACAATATGGTTGAACCTGAAAGTAATTAAGTTGAGTCAAGTAGAAAGGAGTACCTATTGTTTGACGTATCTTAATATAAAATTCTTTAAAATGTAAATTAATCTATAGCGACAAAAGCAGTTCAGTGATAGGGTCTGAGGTGGGCAGTGGTAGGAAGGGACAGAAGAAAACTTCTGGGATGACCATTATCTTCAGTATCTTTGTTTCATGGCTGAATGCATATGTCAAAATTCATTTAATGATATACATTATGTATGTGCATTTTACTGCATATAAATTGTTCTTCCATGAAATTGTTAATTTTTTTCTAAAACTTTATCTGTACTTGCATATCCTTTGGAAAGCCTTCTCATTTCTGTGAGAGAATGCATGTCTCACATTGAAGACCACATGGCTAAAGTATTAAAGTATAAGAAGCAAGGAGAGATGCTAATCTTTCCGTGTGTCAGACATGTTCAGGATCCATACAGCTGGCATAATTGACTCATTGATTCAAAATGTCTATTGTTTCAATAATATAACAAGCACTATACCAGAAAATGATGGAACAAAAAAGATGAAGTTCCTGCCATTTTGTGGCTTATATTTACTGGGGAAAAGACAATATACAAACATATTTTATAAAATCATGTAATTTTAAGAGATATGGAGTAGGCAATAGGGCGAGACATTAAAGAATTACAAGTGTTACATTTTTATATAGGTCAGGGAAAGCATCTGCAAGGCAGCAATGGTTAAGCAGAAAAATAATTGAAATGAAAAATGGACATCTGGAGGCAAAATCGTCCTTCTAGAAGGAAAAAGAAGTGACAAGGACTTGAGGCAGGTATATAAATGAAATGTTTATGGAATATCAAGGAAGCCTGTTGCTGTATAGTAATGGCTGAGTAGGAAATATTTGTAGAAAATATTATCAGAGGGATAACCAGGGAAAAGATTCTGTAGATTCTTGTGGGATGTAGAAAGGACTAGGGTATTTATTTTAAGTGAGCTAGGAAGCCATTGGAAGATTTTGAATAGGATTTTCTTGGAGAATTTCTTAACGTGGTATGCATCAGTGTTATGTCCGACTCTCTAAGCAAAATGAATTGACTGTTTTCAACTTTTTAATATCATGACCATTGATGACTGGGTAACTGTGTCATTATACAATTACAGCCAACTTCCTTACCATTTTAAATACTATTCCAGATAAAATCTTGGTTTCAACATCACTTAGTTGCTATACGTTGTTTAAAATGGAAATTTCATTTATACATTCCTTTTAAAATATTTATTGTGTATCTGCTAGGGAATAGATATTATTCTAGACACAGAGGATACAGCAATGAACAAAAAAGAGAAAAACGCATCCTTGCACTTCTAGAGCTTACTCAGTAGTTTAAATTTATAGCTGCTGAGGCAAATGAAGGGTAACAAACAAAATATGTGAGCGAAAATCATAGACTGATGAATAATGAGAAAATTTAAGTAGCAAAAAAGGTATATTGAGTGTCAGAGGGAGTAATAAAAAAAAATGGTCACAGAAGTCCTCACTGAGAAAGTGTCATTTTTTGTGGGTACTAGAACATGGTGAGGGAGTATGCAGTTGTTGGGAAAGTACATTTCAGACAGAAAGAACAACAGGATCAAAGATGCTTAGTA
This sequence comes from Homo sapiens, assembly GCF_000001405.40. Lineage (NCBI taxonomy): Eukaryota > Metazoa > Chordata > Mammalia > Primates > Hominidae > Homo > Homo sapiens. The sequence goes on from NC_000012.12 coordinate 20,804,116, forward strand.
TTGGAGGTATACTTTATAGGGCCTTCAGGTTGTTCTTTAGATTTTATGCTGGGCGATGTGGGTAGCCACTGGTGGGGAGGGGGTGGGCATCTGAGCAAAGCAGTGACATCATATGACTTGTTTTCACAGGATGACCCTGACTGCTGTTTTCAGATTTACACAGGGGAATGAGGTTGGGGAAGCGGGGCTGTGAGTGGTCAGGAGACAAGCTGAGGTACAAGTTTGAGCGTATTGCAATAATTCAGACCAGGGTAAAACTTGTGGAGGTGTTGAAAAGTAGTCAGATTCTGGGTATGATTTGAAATTCGAGCCTGATATGAGCATGACCAACAGAGGAATAGGAATTATTTCAATATTTTGCATGTGTATGTACAACTGGAAGGATAGAATTGCCTTTCCTAAAGTAGGGATACTCCAGGAGAGGTCTGAGAAAGGAAGATGAGGATATCTGTTCAGAAAATGTTAAGTATGAGATACCTATTACAGATATACAGGGAACTGGTGAGGTGACGAGATAAATCTAAAGTTCAGGAGTAAGGCTTTGGCCACAGATACAAATTTTGAAATTATCAATATAGAGATCGTATTTTAAGACATGAGACTAGACGAGGTCCATACACATACACGTAAAAGTTGAATACTGAAATGCTTCAATTAAGAAGCCTAAGAAATGTAAAAAAAAAAAAAAAATTAGTAAATGACATGTAAATGGAGAGGTCAGTGAAAGTTACAAGACAAACCACAAAGAATAGTGTCCTGGAAAGTATTGCCAGCGGAGGGAATCCTCAGCTCTGAAAAATGCTGTGAATAGTTCAAGTCAGATGAGGATCATTACGTGTCACATTCAGGTAATTTATGACTTAGGAGGAGTAATACTATTAGGAAATTGGGGGCAAAATCCTGATAGGTGTGTGCTCAAGAGAGAATGCAAGGAGAGAGACTGAAAACAAGAATTATAAATCAGCCTTTTTTTTCTGGAAAAATGGCACAAATTGGGCAATATCAATATAAAAAGTGGAACCCAAAGAGAGATCTTGAAAGATGGGAAAATGAAAGCATGCTAACCTCCTGCTGGGGATATTTCTTTAGAAAGGGGAAAGTGATATCCTTGCTAGCACAAGGAAAGAAGGCAATCTGATACAGAAGTGTAGGTTGGCCTTAGCTTACACATGGACAGTTCTGGTACTAGTGCTTTTCCTGTACAGACGGGGTCCAGGAAGCTTTTGGCAAGTTTCTTCTTCATTTTTTTTGCCAGTGAAATAGGTCATCAGCTGAAGGTGGAGAGAGGAAACTACATGTTAGAATTTTGAGGAGAGAGATGAAGGTACAAAACAGTTACTCAGAAAACGAATGACATGGATTAGAAAAAAACTGTGACCTCTAAGCAAAATAAAAGGTCCATTTTGGCTTTATGATAATAAATTTAAAGTCAGCATGGTTGCTGAATTTTCTTCAGCTCCATCAGCTCCATGGGTGGACAGGCAGAAACAAATAAACAGTGAAATCTGTGGCAAAGTTAACCTATGGATCATAGATACTAGTCAGTGAAAGCTTTGTTGTATCCAGGGTACTACTGAGTGTGAGCTAGAAAAATAGGCAGTGGTGCTCCATTCCTTGAAACTGATATTAAGGAGGGCTTGCTGTTATTGATGTGGTGATGTCTATGATATGTCCATAGGAGTGAGGAGAATGCAAGATCATTGGAGAAAAGAGGGTTAAAAGAAAACCAAGAAGCTAGAGAATTAAAACAACTATTTTCATGATCGTTGAAATCACCAATAATTAAAACAGAAGTAGTATTTTGACAGATTTCCTTTGACCCAAGCACTAAAATTGTTGTGAAGGGTGTGGGAGTGACTGAGGGTTTGTGCATGATCTCAAGAATAATAAATGGTAGAGTCTTTTGATATGAGATTCAAAACTATAAATTCTGAGGGTAAAGGGTAGGAAAATGAGAACAAAGTAGTAAAGTAAGGCAAACAGGAAACCAGTCCATCTGGTTTGGAGCAATATGGAAGATAAAGCAACCCACATTGATCACGGCTGCAGAAGAGACAGGAAGGGCCAAGTTATAGCTAGAAAAAAAAGAGAAACAGAAAAATTCTTACAAGAGGCTGAAAGTATGGAGAATTTCATTTATTATTAGCTATGCACTCCAGAAAGCTCAAGAAAAGAGTTTTGGTTCAGGATTGGGAGAGAGATAGGAGATGGGGGCAAAAGCAAAAATGTGCATAGCCACACTGGGATTAGACAAGAGGTAATGAGTGATCAGGAAGTACCTACTTTTTTTTTTTTTTTTTTGAGACGGAGTCTTGCTCTGTCACCCAGGCTGGAGTGCAGTGGTGCGATCTCTGCTCACTGCAACCTCTGCCTCCCAGGTTCAAGCCATTCTCCTGCCTCAGCCTCCCGAGCAGCTGGGCTTACAGGCACATGCCACTAGTGTCCGTAATTGGGGGGTTCTTGGTCTCACTGACTTCAAGAATAAAGCCGCAGACCCTCACGGTGAGTGTTACTGTTCTTAAAGGCGGCATGTCTGGAGTTTGTTCCTTCTGATGTTTGGATGTGTTCATTCCTCCCCGTGGGTTCGTGGTCCCGTTGGCTCAAGAGTGAAGCTGCAGACCTTTGCGGTGAGTGATACAGCTCATAAAGACAGTGCCAACCCAGAGAGTGAGCAGCAGCAAGATTCATTGCAAAGAGCGAAACAACAAAGCATCCACAGCGTGGAAGGGGACCCAAGCAGATTTCAATGCTGGCTTGGGCAGCCTGCTTTCATTCCCTTATCTGGCCCCACCCACATCGTGCTGATTGGTCCCTTTTACAGAGAGCTGATTGGTCCATTTTGACAGGGTGCTGATTGGTGCGTTTACAATCCCTGAGCTAGACTCAAAAGTACTCCAAGTCCCCACTAGATTAGCTAGACACAGAGCACTGATTGGTGCATTCAAAAACCCTGAGCTAGACACAGGGTGCTGACTGGTGCATTTACAAACCTTGAGCTAGACACAGAGTGCTGATTGGTGTATTTACAATCCCTTAGCTAGACATAAAGGTTCTCCAAGTCCCCACCAGATCAGCTAGACACAGAGCACTGATTGGTGCATTTACAAACCTTGAGCTAGACACAGAGTGCTGATTGGTGTATTTATAATCCCTTACCTAGACATAAAGGTTCTCCAAGTCCTGGCTAGACTCAGGAGCCCAGCTGGCTTCACCCAGAGGCTGCCTCACCTGGGGCTGCAGGTGGAACTGCCCGCCAGTCCCGCATGCCCTGCGCCCCGCCCTCCTCAGCCCTTGGGCGGTCTATGGGACCAGGTGCTCCTGGAGCAGGGGGCGGCGCTCCTCGGGCAGGCTCCAGCTGGCGCAGGAGCCCGTGGTGCGTTGCCGTGTGTGGGGCGGCGGGGGGAGGAGGGGCGGCAGGGGGAGAGGGGGAGGCTCAGGCATGGCAGGCTGCAGGTCCCCAGCCCTGCCCCAGGGGGAGGCAGCTGAGGCCTGGCGAGAATTCCAGCGCAGCGCTGGCCGGCCGGCACTGCTGGGACACCTGGCGCACTTTCCGCAGCTGCTGGCCCAGGTGCTAAGGCCCTCACTGCCCGGCGCGGCCCGCCGCTCTGGGTGCAGGGCTTGCCGAGCCCACGCCCACCGGGAACTGGCGCTGGCTCGCAAGCGCCGCACGCAGCCCGGGTTCCGCCCGCGCCTCTCCCTCCACACCTTCCAGCAAGCTGAGGGAGCCGGCTCCGGTCTCGGCCAGCCCAGAAAGGGGCTCCCACAGTGCAGAGGGGGGCTGAAGGGCTCCTCAAGCACGGCCAGAGTGGGCGCCAAGGCGGAGGAGGTGCCGCGGAGAGGGAGCAAGGGCTGCCAGGACGCTGTCACCTCTAACCACTACGCCCAGCTAATTTTTTGTATTTTTAGTAGAGAGGGAGTTTTACCGTGTTAGCCAGGATGGTCTCCATCTCCTGACCTCGTGATCCGCCTGCCTCGGCCTCCCAAAGTGCTGGAATTACAGGTATGAGCCACCGCGCCTTGCCCCTACCTTCTTATGGTGGTGACTGACATTAAGAGAGAGAATTGCCATAAGATTAGTCATAATGATACCAGAGCTTTGACCCTTAGTGGGTATGGAGACATGGGGGTTCTTTCCAGGGAGTGCAGCTTTCTGTAATTACGTCTTGACCAGCTAAGGAAGGTGGGGTGGGTAGGCAATGGCAGGTCTGCTTTGAGCCTGAAGTTTCCTTCTGGGAATACGCACCCAGTACCCATCTGAGAACTCAGACTAAAAACTATTAGGAAAAATTGCTGGGGACGTGTTTCAGAGACTTGACTTTTACTCTTGTAATATGAATTAACTGCTTTAAAAATGGACAATATGCAAATGCCATACAATGACTCTATTTAGGTATGGAATCTATAATGTGCCAGGTACTGGGTGAGGCAGTTTACACAGAGCAAATCTTTATTACAACTATAGCCTTCCCACTTAATGGATGAAAGCATAGATACTTAGAATGGTGAAACAACTTAGGAAATTTATACTGCTGTCAAGTAGCAGAGACATTGGTATCAAAGTTTATCAAACTTCAAAGCCCATAATATTTCATCAGAACTGTGATGATTATTGCGGCAACAAACAGCAGATTGTTTTAAGCAAATTTGGAGTTGTATTGATCCACAGCTGTTAGCATAATATTTATCTTGAAAAAAAGTGTTGCAATGTGTTTCCTCTGACCACTCTTATTTTTTCCACAAGTCCCACAAAAAGGGAAGTCTAATTACTTACATAGGAAGAAAAAAGGGCACAGAGAATGCTCTTTGACTTCTGAAAACATTCCAGAATTTTACCACTGATAGCGTTAGTTTAGGGATTAGAAAGTTTCTCAGTGCATTTGTACTATTTTATCTTCATTCTATGCATGTATTTGTCCCAAATGAAATTGATGTGTCTTGAATGAAATGGATGTGTGAGGAGAAAACCATTAGCATGAGAATATCCAAACTGTCTTCCCATTCTGAATAAAAGAAAAGCCATAAAACTGATAATTAATGTTTAGTATCTCTGCTATGATGGTTCTCAAAAGCTGACAGTATGTAAAAATTATTCTAAGTGCTTATTTAAAAAGCATAATCTCCGAACTCGTGAATCAGAATCTCTTGGGTGTGGGGCTGGATCGCACTTTTGACAAAGGCTCCCCAGTAGATTTTGACTCAACAGAGGGGTGTTTGGGAGCCTATATCTAATTTTCCCTGCCCCAGGTCTACACTTCAGTGTTCCCCACATTTTCTAATCCTTCTCTCCCTCCACACTCCGGTTCCTTTCATTATTCTAATACTTCCATGAATTAACCAGGTATAGAACTAATCTAGGCTGGGCGCAGTGGCTCACGCCTGTAATCCTAGCACTTTGGGAGGCCGAGGTGGGCAGATCACGAGGTCAGGAGATCGAGACCATCCTGGCTAACATGGTGAAACCCCGTCTCTACTAAAAATACGAAAAAATTAGCCGGGCGTGGTGGCGGGCGCTTGTAGTGCCAGCTACTCGGGAGACTGAGGCAGGAGAATGGCGTGAACCCGGGAGGCGGAGCTTGCAGTGAGCCGAGATCGTGCCGCTGCACTCCAGCCTGGGTGACAGAGCAAGACTCCGTCTCAAAAAAAAAAAAAAAAACTAGTTTATCAAATAACTGTGATATAGAAATTAAATACATATTGCTGCAACTGTATCAACAACTGTCCTGTCAGTGATAAGGGGTAACAATGTTTTCATACATGCATTCTCTCTTTGCTATATACATACACACATACACATAAATACATATATACATACACTCATGCATGTGTGTGTATATATACATGTGAGAGAAGACTCCGTTTATTATTTATATTTTTATAGTACACTTCTAAAACACAGCCATGTGCCTGAGATATAGTAGGGAGTCAAATATGTTTGAGTTACTGAATTAATTAATTTGACTTCATCCTTACTCAAGAAAAGTTTCAACTGAGTGAAGGTCTTCCATTCTCTAAAGAGCAAGTCAATAGAAGGAGATCATTCTTCCTTTACACATTGATGTAAGGAATATATCATACAAACTAGTCTTGATTTTTGTCATTTAGAAGACTAGTCTTGTAATTAATTGGCAATTTAGTATTCCATGTGAGATATCCAGTGTCCATGTACGTCATATTAGATCCATACACATGTAACAAGCAAAGAGGGTATGTTTTATTTTTTGAATGCTAATGTAACATGTAGGGACATTTTAAAAAATCGCCTTGACATATTTTCTATTTGGAATAGTTTTAAATACTTTGGATAATGTGTTGTATTTGTATTTCTAAAGAAGAAAATCTTATGCAACCAACTTAATTGAATAAGAAATAAATCATTCCCAGAAATAATTTATTTTCTAATGTTAACATAATGTGTACATTCTGAGAAATTATTAATAAAATGTTTAAAAGATAGGCTTCTGGGGTGAACTCCTAGAATTAGCTAGGTATGTTTTTTCTGTTTGCCTAGGACAATGACCTAATAAGATGGTTAATCATCATTGGACTCATAAAAACAAACAAATAAAAAGCCAACTAACCATTTAAAGTGAGACTTTAACATCAGAAAAAGGATGGACTTGTTGCAGTTGCTGTAGCATTCAAAGTCAAGGTAAGAACCGTCGAGGTTGTCTAATTAAAACATTTCTTTTATGTAAGAAATTTTAACAAATTTCAGTGAAAATGTTTTTGGTAGTTATGATAAATATTACAGATTTTATGCTCTGTGTCTTCTCCACACTTTTGTTCTGAGCCCTTAAAGCCTTGTAAATATCCCTTCTAGAAATAGAAGAGCCTCAGATTTATATACTCAAAAATAAGAGTAAATCATACCTTTATAAAGTGAAAAATAAAGTTTGGAGTCCTATTTCTATTGCTTTCTAAACAAATGAAACATGAAGTCTGAAAGGATGGACTTCTAGTTACTCTCTTAAAATATACTATAAGATAATTATTTGTATAAACTGTATTGAATTACTATACCAGGCTCCCTATTTCTTTGATTTCACTTTAACTGGATAAGTAGGAGTGGGCGGGTGGAGGGGTGGAAAATATGTTTCAAAGTCACTTAATCACCTCACTTTCCTCCATTCAACTCGTTTGATTTAGGGTGAGGGGAAAGAGATTTTCTAGATAACTTTTTTATCTCTGTTCAAATAAGAGAAAAAAATCTTCTGGGCACAGCTCTTGGAAAGAATTAACAGCTCAATAAATAATGGTCCCCTTCACCCATTCAGGAAGGTGGCTTCCCTGATAAGACAGTTATTTTTATTGTGAAAGTAAGGTGGGGATGCAGAAATTCTCTCCTCTGAACAATCTAAGAAGTTAGGAAATGCTGTTTTCCCTTTTATCCTCCTCAGTTCCATAGGTACATGCTAGAAACTGGGTCACTTGGCCTGCACTGGTTTTCTATAACCCCTTAAATATGAAAAGCTAAACAGAAATAAGCAGAGGCTGGTAAGATTCTGCCCTCTACTTCAGCCCAATCAAACTGTGAAGAACTGACCTGTTCTGTTCAGGGAAGAGTTGCAATGCTGCATACAAATGCCTGTGGCTCTGTCTATAAACATATTGTGTCCTCAACATTTATTTATGTCAATAATTTGGAACTCAGAAATAATATGTTCAGAGCAAAATATATTAAACGCTTCTAAATAAGGCTTAAAATGCCACAATGAAGTAAAAAGTGTGGTATTTATTCAAGGCTAAATTGATATTCAAGTTTTGTAGGTACTTTGTACTTACTTGATACATTTTTTTTTTTTTTTTTTTGAGAAGGAGTTTCGCTCTTGTTGCCCAGGCTGGAGTGCAATGGCGTGATTTCAGCTCACCACAACCTCAGCCTCCTGGGTTCAAGTGATTCTCCTGCCTGAGCTTCCAGAGTAGCTGAGATTACAGGCATGTACCACCACACCCAGCTAATTTTGTATTTTTGGCAGAAATGGGGTTTCTCTGTGTTGGTCAGGCTGGTCTCGAACTCCCAACCTCAGGTGATCTGCCCGCCTCGGCCTCCCAAAGTGCTGGGATTACAGGCATGAGTCACTGCTCCCGGCCTACTTGATACAATTTAACCTTTCTGAGAGATGAGAAACCAAGTGCCCACATTTCTTATTTTTCTGGATGGGTATTTTATCTGAACATAAAAGAGAGAGGTGTGGAATAGTTGTCTTGGAAAGTACGGGAAATAACAGAAAAAAGTAATGATTATTCGGGTATGTTCTCCAGTGGTACAGAAGGATGAGAGGATGAGAGAGTTTATTTCAACTAGAGGTAAATAGGGAAACATTAAAGTGGTGTGATTTGGAGCCGCATTACAGCCAAGAGATAGGGAAGGACATTCCAGGAATGGAAGACATATACATGAAGGTAGAGAGCTTTTCTGTTGGGACAGTGGTTCCATACATCTGCAAGTGCTTATGGTTGTATTGGGAAATGGGACTAAAAACTTGGATTCATTTAGGCTGTGAAGACCCTCAAATAGGAAGTGTAAGTTTTATTTTTGTTGTAAGAGGGATCTTTGAATGATTCCAAGAATGGACATGATATGCATAGGAAAGAAAGCAAGCTGGAAGACAGGACAAGTAGAAATTAATCAATTGAAAGAAACAAGGCTTGAGTGGTGAGATAATAGTCTTCAAGCCTTCAAGAATATTTGTTTAGTATAAAGAAAAAGAAAACTCTAAAGCTGAAGGAAGACTATCTGCCTTGCAAGTCGTTCAAAAAGATTTGCAATTATAGAATTAATTGGTAAAAAATAAATATTTTCCAACTTTTAAATTATGAAGAAACAGAGATATTCGTGGAAAAAGTGGTGTAAATTTATTAAGGGGCTGCTTATTACCTTGAGACCACCAAATTATTGATTTTTTTCCTCACTTTACCTACAAAACACATACAAAAAGTGGAATAATTGAACTTCTCTTAGAGATACATAGGTATGGGTTTCTCCATTCATGAGTGTATTTATATACACTCGCATATACATAAGTGATAATATCTTCAGATATTGATTTTTCCATATTCATGCATTATCCACTAAATATGCATGATATATATTTATGGTTTTTATGCATTTATAATATAGAGAATCAATAAATCCTTGTTGAGTAAATTAATGCATAAAATATGCAGTAGATCTTCATTATTCACAGATTCTATATTAGAAAATTTGTCTAAACACTAAAATTTGTTTGTGACACCAAAATTAATACTGCTGGGCTTTTGTGATCATTGGCATGCATGAGCAGAGTGGTGAAAAATTTGAGTTGCTCTGTTTCCAGTTGAAGTGGAACAAAGTGAAGCTCTGCCTTCCTCTCTCAGCTCCCATACTATAAACTTCACAGTGCATTTATCGCCACATTGTTTCCATAGTTGTGCTTTGCGATGCTGAGTTTACTGTTTTAAATGGACTTCAAGCATAGCCCTGAAGTGTTGTCCCGTTGTTCCCACCTCCTAGAGGGCCTGACAGAAGAGGTACATATGCTATGTAAGTTTCCCTCAGGCATGAACTACAGTGCTATTGGCCACTAATTCAATGTTAATGAATCAACAGTATATACTAAGGTGTCTTTAAACAAAAACATACATAAAACATTATGTATTAAGTTATGTATTGATCCGTTGATTAAAATATTGTGACCAAAGCCACACAGTCACCTAACACTGTATCTCTTCTAGGAATGATGGATTAATATTTGCAAATTCAGTGTTCCCAGCAACTTTATGGAACATAATTATTGCAAAACGTGAGAATCAATTGTACATATAACCTATATCATACATATTATATAATCAGTATCCTATTACAAATCGGATGCTTATATAGATAACATTGATATTTACATACTTAGATATTTACATATCTAAGGTATCTATATGAGCAGCTACATAGCAAGTATCTACATAGCATGTATCCACATATATATGCTATATACATAACATATACCTATATCTATGTTATGTGTCTGCTTATATACTTTATATACATAAATATGTGTTATGCATATATGTATGAACAAGAATACATCTCTAAACCTTATAAATATTCCACTGTTCTATATAAAAGAGTCAACTGACGTAAAAAGTTGACTCATTTTACTGGTCTTTAAAATAGGGGCTTAATAACTCTGAAACTTATGATTTCTCATATACTTTGACTTCAAAACTTCACTTGTAGGAATTTATCCTACAGATATGACCACACAGAAAATGACATATAACATATTAAGAACATTTTCTAATATGAAATAATTAGATATAAGCTAAATAGTTAACGATATAGAACTAGTTACATATATTATGAACAACAGAATACCCTGCTACCATAAGCAAAATGAGGACTTTTATTAATATAAAGTATATACAGAAGATAAAAAGGTAGAGTGCAGTAATACTGGTATGCTTACATTTATATTAAAAGAGAAAATATTATGTATTTAATTAAAAATGCATATTAAGGCTGGGCGCGGTGGTTCACGCCTGTAATCCCAGCACTTTGGGAGGCCGAGGCGGGCGGATCAGGAGGTCAGGAGATCGAGACCATGCTGGCTAACACGGTGAAACCCTGTCTCTACTAAAAATACAAAACAATTAGCCGGGCGTTGTGGCACGCACCTGCGCCTGTGGTCCCAGCTACTCAGGAGGCTGAGGCAGGAGAATGGCGTGAACCTGGGAGGCAGAGCTTACAGTGAGCCGAGATCACGCTACTGCCCTCCAGCCCGGGAGACAGAGCAAGACTCCGTCTCAAAAAAAAAAAATAAAAAAGCATACCAGATTTCTGGATAAGGGGACAAAGGTTATAAGCAGAATCTTGCCTTTTCTTTTCTTTTCTTTTTTTTTTTTTTTGCATTTTTCAACTACATGCATGTATTTTCTCTTGAAAAATAAGTGGATAAACCCTAAATACAGTAAGATCATGATGATGGTAAGGTCAAGCATGGCCAGAGTCTCTCTGAGAGATACTTGGAATATATTTTGCTCTTTTAAACAAATCCAAACTTTATCTGCTTTTTGAGCCTTGTTCCATAGGCATCTCCTCTATGAAACTGACTGAGGCTATCCTAATCATTATTATTTACATTATTTTTCAACCCATTTTGAGTATCCACTATGTGCAAGTCATCATTTGGCACTTTATAAACTTATAAGGATAACGTAAACATAAATTTCCTTTCATAAATCTTGTAATCTGGATATGTAGAAAATATAAAAATTTTAATTTCTATAATTTAAAATTGTTGTTCATACAATCTAGTGTGTGGTTTTATATTATTTACTTGTTTCAAATTTCTCTCTATGAAAATTATTTTTCTAAGCAAATTATAATCTCTTTAGGCTAGGAGTTTGTCTCTGTCTTTCCTCCTCTGTGTCCAGCATTGACCTAGTCCTGTGGTCAGGAAATAGCAGGCCCTGAATGAATATTAGAGAATGATTGATTGATTGATATTGAGCTTGTGGCTTTTCCTATTTTTAAATTGTATATTGTTAAAGTAAAATAAATTATACTTTTTCTTTTTTAACAGGTGATCATTTCAAACCAAGCATCAGCAACAATTAAAAATATTCACTTGGTATCTGTAGTTTAATAATGGACCAACATCAACATTTGAATAAAACAGCAGAGTCAGCATCTTCAGAGAAAAAGAAAACAAGACGCTGCAATGGATTCAAGGTAGAATGGGTTTTATATTTTCAAACTAAAATAAGTTAATGGAAAATTTTTATGTATAGAAAGGCCACTAACTGTCAAAAAGAACATTATATCTCATATTACAATTTTTCCATTGAAGCGTACATTAAAATATTAACAAAATAATCCCTATATTGATTTAAATCAGTTTTTAATCTGATTGAAGTTATTTCTTTGCTAGAATTTTTTGATGAATAAAGGTTTATTTATTTTTAACTTTTTAATTTTTAATTTTTGTGGGTATGTAGTAGGTATGTATGTTTATGGGGTACATGAGATGATTTGGTACAGGCATGCAATGTGAAATAAGCAAATAATGAACAATGCGGCATCCATTTCCTCAAGCATTTTTTCATTGAGTTGCACACCATCCAATTATACTTTATTTTAAAAGGTACAGTTAAGTAATTGACTATAGTCACCCTGTGGGCTATCAAATAGTAGGTCTTATTCATTCTTTTTAACTATTTTTTGTACCCATAAATCATCCCCATCTTCCTACCCCCACACCCCCATGACCCTTTCCAGCCTCTGGTAACCATCCTTCTACTCACTGTGTCCATGAATTCAATTGTTTTGATGTTTAGATCCCACAAATAACTGAGAACATGCAATGTTTGTCTTTCTGTGCCTGGATTATTTCAGTTAACATAATGATCTCCAGTTCATTTTGTTGCAAATGACTAGATTTCATTCTTTCTATAGCTGAATAGTACTCCATTGTGTATATGTCCCACTTTTTTTTACGCATTCATCTGCTGATGCACACTTACATTGCTTCCATATCTTAGTTATTGTAAACAGTGCTGCAACAAACATGGAAGTACAGATAATCTTAGATATACGAATTCGCTTTCTTTTGGGTATATACCCAGCAGTGGGATTGCTGGATCACGTGGTAGCTCAATTTTTAGTTCCTTGAGGAACCTCCAGACTGTTCTTCATAGTGGTCCTACTAATTTTTATTGCTACCAACAGTGTACAAGGAATTCCTTTTACTCCACAACCTCACCAGCATTTGTTATTGCCTGTCTTTGGGATATAAGCCATTTTAACTGGGGGTGAGATAGCATCTCATTGTAGTATTGATTTGCATTTCTCTGATGATCACTGATGTTGAGCACTTCTTCCTATGCCTGTGTGCTATTTGTATGTCTTCTTTTGAGAAATGTATATTCAAATATTTTGCCTACCTTTTGATCGGATTATTAGATTTGGTCCTATAGAATTGTTTGATCTACTTAGACATTCTGGTGATTAATTCCTTGACAGATGGGTAGTTTACAAATATTTTCTCCTACTCTGTGGGTTGTCTCTTCACTTTGTTGATTGTATCCTTTTCTATGCAGAAACATTTTAACTAGATGTGATCCTGTTTGTCAATTTTTCTTTGGTTGCCTGTGTTTCTGGGGTAAGAAATTTGCTCAAGAAATTTTTGCCCAGATGAACGTCCTGGAGAGTTTCCCCAATATTTTATTGAGGTAGTTTTATGGGTTGAGGTCTTTAGATTTAAGTCTTTAGTTCATTTTGATTTGTTTTTGTATATGGCTAGAAATAGGGGTCTAGTTTCATCCTAGCACCATTTATTGAAGTGACTGTCTTTTCCCCATTGAATGTTCCTGGCACCTTTGTCAAGAATAAGCTCACTGTAGGTGTGTGGATTTGTTTCTGGGTTCTCTATTCTGATTCATTGGTCTATGTGTCTGTTTATATGCCAGTACCATGCTGTTTTGGTTACTATAACTCTATAGTATAATTTTTTTTTGAGATGGAGTCTCGCTCTGTCACCCAGGCTGGAGTGCAGTGGCATGATCTCGGCTCACTGCAAGCTCCACCTGCTGGGTTCATGCCATTATCCTGCCTCAGCCTCCTGAGTAGCTGGGACTACAGGCACCCGCCACCACACCCAGCTAATTTTTTTTTTTATTTGTAGTAGAGATGAGGTTTCACCATGTTAGCCAGGATGGTCTCGATCTCCTGACCTCGTGATCCGCCTGCCTCGGCCTCCGAAAGTGCTGGGATTACAGCTTGAGCCACCGTGCCTGGCCACTCTGTAGTCACTCTTCTAGAGTGGCAGTTTGGGGATAGCACCAGGAGATATCAGCTGTGATGGCTTGGAGAAACGGTGTAAACCAGCAGTGTAAACAAGAGCAGGGCATGTATGAGTAGTTGAGAACGGTGAATAGGAGTATGACTAGACAGAAGATAGTAGGGATGAAAAGTTTTTTTGGGGCACAGTCTAAGTTGGTCTGGTGTCTGGAATGAGACTGGGGCCTAATAAAAAGGAGCGTCTATACAGGAGCTTAAATGGGCTGTACCTTGTAGCATTCTGAGGACAGGTCTGACTTCTGAGAAGGGAAAGTGGTAAAAGTAGTGTCCAGTCCTTTTTAAGTTGGTGGCTGAGCTTGGTGAGGTGTGTTTTTAATAGACTATTAGTTTGTCACTGGATACTAAGAGCCTAAAAAAATGCTTGACTGATTTGACTAATAAGGGCTGGTCTTTTATCAGACTGTATAGAGGTGGGAAGGCTAAACTGAGGAATTATGTCTGACAGAAGGGAAGAAATGACTGCAGTGGCCTTCTCAGACCCTATAGGAAAGGCCTCTACCTATCTAGTGAAAGTGTCTACTTAGACAAAGAGGTATTTTAGTTTTTGGGACTCGGGGTATGTTGAGTAAAGCTAATTTGCCAGTCCTGGGTGGGGGCAAATCCTCGAGCTTGTTGTGTAGGGAAGGGGCCTGAATAATCCTTGAGGAGTAGCAGATGGAATAGCAGATGGAACACTAAGAAGTTATTTCCTTGAGGATAGATTTCTACGATGGAAAGGAAATGAAAGGTTCTAAGAGGCGGGCTAGTGGCTTGTACTATAGCATAGCCTGCCTTTGCTGGTGTGTGGTGATTAGGCCTGGTGGAACTGCCATCAATAAATCAAGCGTGATCAGGGTGAGAAACAGGGACGAAGGAAATGTGGGGAAATGGGATGAACATCAGGTGGATCAGAGAGATGCAGTCATGAGGGTCAGGTGTGGTGTCTGGAATAATGTGGGAGGCTGGATTGAAGTCCGGGCCAGGAACAATGGTAATTGTGGGACTTAACAAAGAGTGAGTACAGCTGAAGGAGCCAGGGAGCAGAAAGTATATGCGTCAGGTATGAGGAAGAAAATAGATTTTGGAAGTTATGAGAAATGTAGAGAGTGAGTTGAGCATAGTTTGTGATTTTGAGGGCCTCTAAAAGTACTAAAGCAGCGGCAGCCGCTGCACGCGGACATGAGGGCTAGGCTAAAACAGTAAGGTCAAGTTGTTTGGACAGAAAGGCTACAGGGTGCGGTCCTGGCTCTTGTGTAAGAATTCTGACCACATTAACCATGCCTAGGAAGGAAAGGAGTTGTTGTTTTGTAAGGGATTGAGGTTTGGGAGATTAATCGGACACGATCATCAGGGAGAGCATGTGTGTTTTTACGAGAATTATGCCGAGATAGGTAACAGATGAGGATGAAATTTGCGCTTGACTGAAGTAATGGGGTCTGTCTGTGAAGCCTTGTGGCAGTGCAGCCCAGGTAATTTGCTGAGCCTGATGGGTGTCAGGGTCAGTCCAAGTGAAAGCGAAGAGAGGCTTGGATGACTGGTGCAAAAGAATAGTAAAGAAAGCATGTTTGAGATCCAGAACAGAATAATGGATTGTGGAGGGAGGTATTGAGGATAGTAGAGTATATGGGTTTGGTACCATGAGGTGGATAGGCAAAATAATTTGGTTGATAAGGCATAGATCCTGAGCTAACTTGTAAGGCTTGTCTGGTTTTAGGACAGGTAAAATGGGGGAATTGTAAGGAGAGTTTATAGGCTTTAAAAGGCCATGCTGTAGCAGGCGAGTGATAACAGGCTTTAATCCTTTCAAAGCATGCTGTAATGGGATATTGGCACTGAGCGGGGTAAGGGTGATTAGGTTTTAATGAGATGATAAGGGGTGCATGATCGGTCACCAAGGAGGGAGTAGAGGTATCTTATACTTGTGGGTTAAGGTGGGGGAATACAAGAAGAGGATGCAAAGGAGGCTTTGGATTGGGAAGAAGGGCAGCAATGAGATGCGGCTGTAGTCCAGGAATAGTCAGGGAAGCAGATAATTTGGTTAAAATATCTCGGCCTAATAAGGGAACTGGGCAGGTGGGGATAACTAAAAAAGAGTGCATAAAAGAGTATTGTCTAAGTTGGCACCAGAGTTGGGGAGTTTTAAGAGGTTTAGAAGCCTGGCTGTCAATACCCACAACAGTTATGGAGGCAAGGGAAACAGGCCCTTGAAAAGAAGGTAATGTGGAGTGGGTAGCCTCCATATTGATTAAGAAGGGGACGGACTTACCCTCCACTGTGAGAGTTACCTAAAGCTCGGCGTCCGTGATGGTCTATGGGGCTTCTGAGGTGATCAGGCAGCATCAGTCTTCAGCCGCTACGCCAAGAAGGAGTCAGTCAGAGAGCCTTGGGCCAGAGTTCCAGGGGCTCTGGGAGTGGCTGCCAGGTGAGTTGAACAGTCCGATTTCCACTGGGGTCCCACACAGATGGGACACGGCTTAGGAGGAATCCTGGGCTGCGGGCATTACTTGGCCTGGTGGTCAGATTTCTGGCACTTGTAGCAAGCTCCTGGGGGAGGAGGTTCTGGAGGAATGCCTGGCCACTGAGGTTCAGGCGTTTGGAAGTTCTTGTGTGCTGGAGATGTGGCTGGGGTTTGTCTCACAGTGGAGGCAAGGAATTGCAACTTTGTTTTATTACTGTACACCTTGAAAGTGAGGTTAATTAAGTCCTGTTATGGGGTTTGAGGGCCAGATTCCAATTTTTGGAGTTTTATTTAATGTCAGGAGCAGATTGGGTAATAAAATGTATATTGAGAATAAGATGGCCTTTTGACCTTTTAGGGTCTAGGGCTGTAAAGCATCTCAGGGTTGCTGCCGAATGAGCCATGAACTGGGCTGGGTTTTTATATTTGATGAAAAAGAGCCTAAACGCTTCTGATTTGGGATAAAGAAAAAGGAGCATTAACCTTGACTATGCCTTTGGCTCCAGCCACCTTTTTAAGAGTAAATTGCTGGGCAGGTGGGGGAGGGGTAGTCATGGAACAAAACTGTAAGCCGGATCAGGTGTGAGGAGGGGAGGCGATAAAAAGTTTATAGGGTGGAGGAGCAGAGGCTGAGGAAGAATTGGGAACTAGCTCGGCCTGGCGAGGAGGGGAGAGGTCAGATGGGTCTGTAGAAAAGGAAGATTAGAAAGACTCAGCGACGCTTGGGGTTGGGCCTGAGGGGACAGGCGGGAGGGAAAGAAGGAAGATTTGGGATGAATTGCATTGGGCAGAGACTAGGAAGGGACTGATGTGTAAAAGAATGCCTGGACATCAGGCACCTCAGACCATTTGCCCGTTTTACGACAAGAATTATTTAGGTCTTGTAGGATGGAAAAATTGAAAGTGCCGTTTTTCTGGCAATTTGTAACTACTGTCGAGTTTGTACTGGGGTCAAGCGGCATTGCAGAAGAAAAAAGACGCTTAGATTTTAGGTCAGGTGAGAGTTGAAGAGGTTTTAAGTTCTTAAGAATACAGGCTAAGGGAGAAGAAGGAGGAATGGAAGGTGGAAGCTAGTCCATAGTGAAGGAGGCAAGCCCAGAGAAAAGAGTAGAGACACGGAGAAGTGATGGGGGTTTCTTGCCCTCCAGAAAAGCAGAGAAAGGGTTGGGGCACGGAAATAAGGGATTGGGGGTTCTTGCCCCCTAGAAAAGCGGGACTTGCCACTAAGGGTGAAGGAGAAGGGGTTGAGGGGTACTTGCCCCTCCCCCAGAAAAGCAGAGAAGGGGTAGAGACATGGAGAGAAGGGGTTGGGGTACTTGCCCCTCCCCCAGAAAAGCGGGACTTGCGGCTAAGGGTGAAGGACCAAGGCAGGCATCCCTGCGTGGTCTGACACCTTTGAAATGTGGGTGAATAATCAGAGAGGCATCCCTGCAATGATTAAACACCAAGGGAAGGCTGCCTTCCCAGTCCGTGACCGGCACCGGAGTTTTGGGTCCACGGATAAAACATGTCTCCTTTGTCTCTATCCGAAAATGAAAGGAATTGAAATTAAGAGAAGGGAGAGATTGAAGTGTGGTGTCAAGATTGAAAGGAGAAAGAGGTTGAGGGATAGTGAAGGAAGTTGGAGAAGAGAGTAAAAAGAGGCCGCTTACCGGATTTGAAATTGGTGAGATGTTTCTTGGGCTGGTCGGTCTGAGGACCTGAGGTCGTAGATGGATCTTTCTCACGGAGCAAAGAGCAGGAGGACGGGGGATTGATCTCCCAAGGGAGGTCCCCCGATCCAAGTCACGGCACCAAATTTCATGTGTGTCCATGTGAAGAGACCACCAAACAGGCTTTGTGTGAGCAATAAAGCTGTTTATTTCACCTGGATGCGGTTGGGCTGAGTCCGAAAAGAGAGTCAGTGAAGGGAGATAAGGGTGGGGCCGTTTTATAGGATTTGGGAAGGTAAAGGAAAATTACAGTCAAAGGGGGTTGTTCTCTGGTGGGCAGGGGCGGGGGTCACAAGGTGCTCGGTGGGGGAGCTTCTGAGCCAGGAGAAGGAAATTCAAAGGGTTAGTCACTCAGTTAAGGTGGGGCAGGAACAAATCACAATGGTGGAATGTCATCAGTTAAGGCGGGGCAGGGCCTTTCACTTCTTTTGTGATTCTTCAGTTACTTCAGGCCATCTCGGCGTATACGTGCAAGTCACAGGGGATGGGATGGCTTGGCTTGGGCTCAGAGACCTGACAGTGGCAATGTATGGCCACGTTACTGAATCTACATGTTGCAAGAGAAAAACTAGCAGGTAAGGGAATGGTCAGTTATTTATTTGTCTTGTGCTCAGTAAATCGGCACTTTACACAATATAAGGTGAACATAGACTAGCTACCTGTGGAAATATTTAACCTTTTATCTGTAGCTATCTGCTTAAGGAAGGGCATCTTTTTGCAGAACTCAGCTTTTAGCTTAATTTTGTTTCTTATGTCATAGTGAATTGGGGTCTCAAGTTTTTATTTTCCTTTCATACCCCTGCCTTTTTCCTTTTAAAATCTTTTGAAGAAAGCATTTTAGAAGAAAATTACTCCCTGGTCTTGAATTTTGTCTGATCTCGCATGGCTGTGATGTTTTATTCCTAGACCAATAGATCCCACGTTATTAGGAATGCTCATTTTTAGCAGGTTGTGAAATCTTATGTCCTGCAAAGAAAAAAATAGGAGGAGGAAGAGAGACAAACACACAGTAGAAGGAACAATCCTGGAAAACTGATATAGGCCATATCACTCTGAAGTGTGTTGTCAGTAGGCACATATGAAAATGTTTCGTGTGTATAAATCGGTTTCTGTTATTTTCTTCTGAAGTTTAAGTTGTCTAGTTTGCATCCCCATGGCTTAAGAAAATCACAGCTTAATATTTAGTAATTTCAAATTGGACAATAGGGGGAAAAGGAAAATGAAAGGAAAGGAGAAAAGAAAGAAAAAATTGAAAACATTATTTGGAGACTTGTAGTCAGGAAAAATTTTAGACTTTATTTCATATTGTAGAAAATAATAAAAACTGATAAACCTTAGGCAAGACTAGAATCAAACAACAGGTACTATAATTTATAGAAGCATAATTTTTCTCTCTTCAATTCCCCAGTTTTATTAAACAGAAAATCATAGTAGGACCAATTTATTGGTAAAATAAATTTTAGTACTTTTACACTTGGTTTAATTATTTGTATAAAGTGCAACAAGAATAATCATTTGCCATATAGGAGCTCTCTCTCTTTTTGTGAATTGGCTTTGCTGGATCTTTTTGCACTACGAATGTAAGATTAGACGTTTGTGAATGCCTGAAGCCTAGCCAAGGATTTATCTGTGCCTGCAGATACATATGTGAATTGGGTGAATTCTTCTCTTTCTGAGGTCTTAAGAAAGCTTGGAGTTCCTGGACCAGTCAAAAAGTGACATTCTTTACTTACCACAGGTCATGACCCTG
The DNA here is from genome assembly GCF_000001405.40 of Homo sapiens. Taxonomy (NCBI): domain Eukaryota; kingdom Metazoa; phylum Chordata; class Mammalia; order Primates; family Hominidae; genus Homo; species Homo sapiens. The sequence continues at coordinate 20,823,849 of NC_000012.12, forward strand.
TAAAGGATAAGATATGGGGCTAGTTTTTCCAAGGGGCTTCTATTGGCTCTGTAGGTCAGCCTCCTTTTCTCAAGGCAATCGGAAAATGTCATTCCAGTCAAGGACTTAGTAAAATAACGAGTGTCTCGAATTACGTCCTGTGATAAAAGAAAATATATTCTTATTAAACTTATGCAAATAATTATATTGCCATAAATTGAGAATACTCTCAAAATAGTTTTCAAATTTTGGAGAAATTAGGTTGAGAGAAAGGAATTATATTTTTAATTTTGCTCATAAGAACAAATTTTAGTGAATTTACTAAATTCACTTTATTAAATTGTTAAAGCTGTAAATAGCTTAAAAGGAAAGTTTTCTTGACTCTGAAAAATAAAACCAATCAGCAAATGTTTTAAACAAAATCTTATACAAGATTATTTCAGTCTTCTATTAGTTTGGTCCATGCAATTAACTCCATGTTCTGCTCAATATTGGATCAGCAAGACTTATTAATACATGAGCTCTCCATGAAAGGCCTGGACATTTTCCTATCTATTCCAATGATGCTATATCTAAATTTATCAAAAACTTATTTTTTAGGAGTACTCCTCAGAGTTCAATAGCAGATTACAAACTGTCCTATAAAAGGATTAAAGTAAAACAACAATTGTGAATGACAAAAATCTTAGAACAGCCATGGTTAAAGACACCATTGACAAGTAAATTTGGTTTCTTCTGTGGCATACAGCAATTTTCCATAATAATCATAATTACTACTGACAACATCTACTAAGACATATTAGAATCACAGGAATTGCATATATTTTTGAAACACATAATAATAACACATTCACATAAATATAATATAATCCAAAGAAGGTTAAATGTCATTGTTTATTTGACAGTGCTTCCTGTGTGACTTTACTATACCAAATAAGTCAAATATGTCTCTTTTGGACTTCCGGTGACCTATTATTAATAAATATATGAAGTCAAAGTACTAATTTTACAATTTAATTTTGGAAAGTCTGTCAAATGTCAGAAGTTTAAAATACTTAATATGATAATATAGGCTCATAGGTCATTGTAAAAGAAATCATTCATTTAGTCAAAGTGATAACTCAAAGTTTTTTTAAAAAAGGCAAAAATCTTTATTTTTTGAGAGAGGAGACTTAATTTCCCAAACAATGAGCCCTAAGAGAGACTGCATGAGGCCAATTAAATCTGTCTCTCAAATCTTATAAACAAATCTATTAAATTTTAATCATTTTGACCATAAGCTATAATTTCCATAAACCTTTAAATAACCTTTTAATGTTTTTTTAAATTAAAAAGTGGGTTAATGCTATAAGAACCTTGTTTATCTAACGCAGGGGTCCTGATGCTGGTCTTTCATCAAACTATAATATTAATGTGTAATTTATATGGAAACTCTGAACTAAGTTTATCTCTCAAAATTGGCCCTTATAATTTCACAGACGCATGTCTTCTGTGACAGTCCCTGGGATTAGAGGGGTTCAGCAGTTTTAATTTCTGGCACTGTGTCTCATGAATGCAGTTTATTTTGATTATCATCTTTTCCTGGGTCTGAAGATGAGGGTTTGACTGGTGTTACGGTTTAAGATTTAGCAGGACTTGGTGTGCTTTTTAGACCCAGAAGTAAAAGCCCTTTAATTTAACAGAATAGGCTGGCCACGGTGGCTCATTCTTGTAATCCAGGTACTTTGGGAGGCCAAGGCGGGCAGATCACTTGAGGTCTGGACTTCAAGACCAGCCTGGCCAACATGGTGAAACCCAGACTCTATTAATAAATATACAAAAATTAGCCAGATGTGGTGGTGTGCGCCTGTAATCCCAGCTGCTCAGAAAGCTAAGACAGGAGAATTGCTTGGATTTGGGAGGCAGAGATTGCAGTGAGTCGAGATTGTGGCACTGCACTCCAGCCTGGGTGACAGAGCAAGACTCTGTCTCAAAAAAAAAAAAAAAAAAGAAAGAAAGAAGAAAAACCATGAAAACTTAATAGAATTAGGACTTTAAAAGCAACACAGAAAGTAAAATGGACATGATAACCTTAATTTTTAAAATCTGTAAATCTCAATTTTTCTAAGCAAATAAAAACTTAATAAGAATAACGAATTATTTTGATAAATGTAAAATCTGTTAGACAAGTTAACAAAAAGAATAAAAAAGATCTTCTATATTATGTTTGCTTTTTCCTATGAGGAGTACATTTAAATAACATGCAATCAAAACTAATGTAAACCGTACTTGAATTAGTTAGATATAGAAAGAGTGTGTTCCGGGTGATAAATGAAAATTCTTGGTTTCATAGAACAATTAAAGCCAAGAGCACAGAGGGTTATGTTAGAAGAAAACATTTTATTTAGACCTTTAAGGTAAAACTTTTTTTTTATAATGTCAGGCCACAATAGCAGAACCTGAGGGAAAAAAATTACAGAAGCTATTGACAAAGTTGAAGGAGAAAGTTATTATCTCAATCCTTCTCAAAGGGAAGAGAAAGCTGAAAGCAGTGGGACACAATAAAAGTTGAACTTTTGGGTTAAAAAATTAAAATCTCTTGTAATTTTATTAAGAGTGAATCAATACCTTAAGAAAATGTTGTTCTAACCAATTCTTTAGTGAATTAATTCTTTTTTAATATCAAGTCTCAATCTCTGGAATGACTATTATAAATAATTTCCCTTTAATTATAGCAAACTTGATCACTTTTTTTTTTACTCATAAATCCTCTTCTTACAAACCTTATTACAATTTATACAAATCATGTATGATATGCTTGGACTTTCTGTGTTATCCTAAAGGTACCTCTTTCTTAAATAACCAGTCATTTTAGAAAAAAAAAATTAATCACACAAGATTCTTTCTCATATAAAATTATTTTCCCTTCAGCTTTTCTTACCAAAAATACCTCTTTATACCTACAACTTTCTGTGTATCTCTCTTATATACTAGTTTCTTTCACTTTGTTTCATAAACTTTAGCCTTTGTATTAGACAAAAATTATTTTCCTTTAAATAAGAACATATTTTTTAGAAAAATGTCTCCCTATATTTTTTTAAATTGGAAATAACCCAGATACTTAATGTAACATAACTTTAGATTATAAATGGTCATCATTTAAAGTTATTTGTCTGTTAATCATTTTTATAGCCTGTGATTTCAGATGTTTACCTAAGAACCTTAAGGTTAAATAACTTTTTTCTTGTTGTTGTTTTGCCAATAACTCAAAAGTTAGCTGTTTTATTAAGCCAACAATTTTCAATGCATTATTTTTACAAAAATTACACAAAGATGACCATGTTTTGGGTTATAAGCTTTATAACCCTCATGCCAAATTTGGACACCTTATAATATTTAGCAGGGATAAATATTAAACTGCTTGATCAAGAAATCTAAACAATAATGTGAATTGACAATTCTAAAGACATTTCTAATTTTATTTTACCAGCAATTAAAACACACTTATTTATTAAGGATTTTCTTAAGTCACATGAACTTGAAAAAGCATTTGGGCTTTTCTGTCTTCTGTTTTTCTGATAAAGTATTTGATTTAAATGCTTTTGTAAATCCAATTAATTACAGCTCCTTTATATATTTTTAGTAGTGAAACGTACATGACACATAAATACGTAGACTTATTAGTCATGAAGATAAAAGTAGATCTTAAAGATTCATATTTTAGATATTTTAGACTTCCAATTTAGATATTTCAGACTTCCAATTTCTTTTTTTTTTCTTTTTGAGACAGAGTCTCACTCCGTTGCCCGGGCTGGAGTGCAGTGGCATGATCTCAGTTCACTGCAATCTGTATCTCCTGGGTTCAAGCGATTCTTCTGCCGCAGCCTCCCGAGTAGCTGGGACTGCAGGCACATGCCACCATGCCAATCTAATTTTTGTATTTTTGTAGAGACAGGGTTTACCATATTGGCCAGGCTGCTCTCGAACTCCTGACCTCATGATCCGCCCGCCTTGGCCTTCCAAAGTGCTGAGATTACAGGTGTGAGCCACGGTGCACAAGCTCCAATTTCTTATGACCTGTTTAACTAGATAGCCCTAAATTTGCATACTAAAGGAACAACTCTTAGGTGAAAATCAGATAGCAAAATTTACATCTCAAGGTACAGAGAGAGAGTGGTGTGCTAGAGGGAGATTAAAAATGGATACCAAGTCAAACATGAAATTGTAGAAATCTACCTTATGATTGTATAGAAGACCAATTTTATTTAGATAGGTAGTTTTAAATTTAGTCTCTATCTTTTAATTGGATCTCTGAGCTCTTTGCACAAAGCTCCACTGAATCCTAGGTCTCCAAAAGGAAAGAGATTCATGAGACTAGGACATGTAATGCTTTTACGGTGCACTTGGCTACAAAGACATTTCTCTAAGTGTCTAAACCACACCCTTTTGTATCTTAAACACCCATGAATAGCACCTGTTGTAAGAACTATTTTAGTAAAAAAAAAAAAAAAAAGGTAACACAATACAAAAACAGGCATTAAGAACTGAGAAACTTGTCTGATTGCACTCTTGGGGTTCCATAAGGAAAAACAGAGATTTCTCCCCAAAAAGGAGTCTGGGAGGAAACCTGTATTTTCTTAAGGAATCCCAGGCTGTTAGAAATGATTTTAGGTCCCTCACACAGTGGAGGGTGGCAAGAAGAAGGAAAGACATGTAGAAGTAAATGAATGAAACAGTCAACTGAGCTGTTTCTTCTCAGCCAACTGAGAAGAAAAAAGAACTTTTTCTCAAAAAACAAGATCCTAGGAGAGAAAGAAAGCATAAAGGCACACACACACATACACACACACACACACACACTCACACACACATCTTGGATATTAGCTTTTAATTAAGCTGATTTTTAACCATGGAACTAAATACATCCTTTTAAATTTCATTACCATATTTTAGCTGTGACAAACTGCTGATATTTCAAAAGTAACACAACTATCAACCCAGAAAAGATTGGATTTAGGAACCAAACCCAGGCTGTCATGGTGAAAAAAGGGCAGAATCTTAGCTACTGAACTACAGCATGGGGTAACTACCATTGCTCTGTCCTCTTGGCTTGGCTAGGAATAAATGGCCCTGTTATGTACATAAAAGCCCCTCAGGTAATTTTTTCCTTTTGCTGGTTGTTTTTTAATTTTTCTTTCCTTTTACAGAGGCAGGAATTTAATCAACTCAGTAGCCTTTTTCCCCATAATTTGGAACTTTTCTTTGGCTTTGACCATGTTGAGTAGAGTTGGTCAAACCTAACGGGAAAAAGACTGAAACAACAAAAACAAACAAACAAAAACCAGTTAAGTCAAACAAACAGACAATTGTACAATTTATAGGATCGCTGAGTGATCTAATCGTACGGAGAAATTAAGGCCAGCTAGTTGCTAATCTTAACTTTTAGTAATTAAGGAGAATTTCCAAGACAAAAACTACAATTCAGCTACTGCCTAGGAATGGGGCCCAGGCTGAACACTGCTCTCTACCATCCTAGAAGCAGGGAAAACTCAAACTCACCTTCCCTGCGGGAAGTGGGCTGAAACTTCAGAAAGGAGTTGTTGGTCTCCTTCATCATCATGGAGCAGGAAAACTCCCCTTCTTTGTTTGAAGCAAGTGAAACTCCAGAAAAGGTGTTGCACAACAAAATAAATCTTAGATCTTAACCAAATTTTGAGAGATCAGGCATTCTCTCTGCAGTGGGAGCCCCCTGACCTTGGCAAAATGTGCAATTGGTTTTGTTACAGGAAAGGGGTCCCAATCCAGACCACAAGAGAGGGTTCTTGGATCTTGCTCAAGAAGGAATTCAGGGCAAGTCCACAGTGAAAAGTTAAAGCAAGTTTATTAAGAAAGTAAAGGAATAAAAGAATAGCTATTCCATAGAGAGAGCAGCCCCGAGGGCTGCTGGTTACCCATTTTTATGGTTATTTCTTGATGATATGCTAAACAAGGGGTGGATTATTCATGCCTCCCCTTTGTAGACCGTATAGGGTAACTTGCTGATGTGGCCATGGCATTTATAAACTGTCATGGCGCTGGTGGGAGTGTAGCAGTGAGGATGACCAGAAGTCACTCTGTGGCCATTTGGTTTTGGTGGGTTTTGGCCAGCTCCTTTACTGCAACCTGTTTTATCAGCAAGGTCTTTGTGACCTATATTTTGTGCTGAACTTCTGTCTCATCCTGTGACTTAGAATGCCTTAATTGTCGGGGACTGCAGCCCAGTAGGTTTCAGCCTCATTTTATCCAGCCTCTATTCAAGATGGAGTTGCTCTGGTTCACATGCCTCTGACAGTGTGAGCAATGAAGATAGCTCAAGCTTGCACCTGGCGCCCGTAAGAGCCTTGTGAAAGGTTAGGGCCATCTCCACTAAGAGTCCTTCCCTTGGTCACCAATTTACAAATTTGTAAATCAAAAGGTATGAGAGATAGGTCTTAATCAATTTAGAAGTTTATTTTGCAAAGGTTAAGGATGCATGGGGGAGACAGGCCTGTGCCTTTCTCAAAAGATTATTTTGAGGGCTTCAATATTTAAAGGGGAAAAATAGGTTGAAGGGGAAGGAGAGGTGAGGGTATGTTCACAATTCTGAATCCACAGGTTGCCAGAGAAAAATGAGCAGGTAGGTAAATAGTCAAGTATGTATGCATCTTGCACTTAGTAAACTGACACTTTAAACAAGATAAAGTGAACATAGAGTACCTACTCCTGGAGATATTTAACCTTTATACCTGTAGCTACCTGCTTAGGAACAAAAGAAAAAGCCGCTTTTGGTGACTCAGCTTCATTTTGTTTCTTTTGGCATAGTAAATTGGGGTCCCAAGTATTTATTTCCTTTCACAGAATTCACTTGCAATAATGTTAAACAAGGTTCCTTTTAACTTTGTCCAGGGAACATAGAGTTTGTTTGTTTTCTGAGCTATCTGGTAAAGTCTATTGTGATGAAATATTTGAATAATATTTCAGCAGAATGGCAATCATAAGGAAAAAGTATTGGCTAATGCAAGTGAATTATCTTCTATTGTCTAAGGGTAATATTAGGCTTAATTATTTTTACTTTTAAATACTGAGTGTTACAGTGATTTCACTTTCATGTGCATAGCAAAGTGACAACAAACTGGTGGAAGAAATAAGATTTCCAGAATAATCCCTTAAAGCATATTTGGAATAGAAGCTAGGAGTTAGGAAGATAGCAGTGTATGTAAGGCACATTACCTGCAGTCCAATAAAGAAGCCAGGCCGGGCGCGGTGGCTCACACCTGTAATCCCAGCACTTTGGGAGGCCGAGGCTGGCAGATCACGAGGTTAGGAGTTCGAGACCAGCCTGGCCAGTATGATGAAACCCTGTCTCTACTAAAAATACACAAATTATCCGGGCGTGGTGGCACGCGCCTGTAGTTCCAGCTACTTAGGAGGCTGAGGCAGAAGAGTCACTTGTGCCTGGGAGGCAGAGGTTGAAGTGAGCCGAGATCCCACCACTCCACTCCAGGCTGGGTGACAGAGCGAGACGCCATATCAAAAAAAAAAAAAAAAAAAAAAGCCAGGGGAAAATGTTTGAATAAGGTTAACATCATCGAAACCATTGCTAAATTGATTAATCATATCTACAAGTGATGTTTAAAGGAATCTTTTCACTAAGTTAAATTGTTAACATTGAAAGAATATTAACCTCAACAATCGCATTACAACAATTTTGTAAAGACTTGTGTGTCTGCAGTTGAATTTAGTTGCATTTCTGTGCCTACTTTGTATTCATGAGGAACAAAAATGTAATGCGATAAAATTTTTAAATTATCAGTATTTTAATTTTTTATGAAGTTTGGGACATCAAACTATCAACAAAGTACTGTTTCAGTAAAAATAATTACCAAAAATCTTATTAATTTTGAAATCTTGTGAATTAGGAGTATGCGCACATACAGACAGAGATAATTAAAACAATGGTAAAAATAGATCTAATTCAGCAACATAAAAAGAGATGGTGAGAGAAACAATAATAGTGGCTAACATTTGTTGAGCACTTACTATATATGAGATATTGCGCTAGTGTTTTGTTTGCGTTAATAGATTTTCTTCCTTACCACAGTTCCATCAACCAGATGTTATTATCTCCCTTTGCAGATGAAAAAAACCTAGGTATGGAAAAGGCAAATGAATTTCCCTAGTTCTCCCAGCTCGTGAAAGATGGAGCCAAGGTCTGAATTCAGGCAGTCTGATTCCAAATTCCATGCTCTCAACTCTGTTTCACATTGCTAAAGTAACTGTGGACTTTTGTGCTATTAGTACCTTTAAGCGGTGTGGCCTATTTAATGATATACCTTATTCCATATTATTCAGTATCAAACAACCATGGGACTTGGTTTACGTGCATGTGCGCACACTAATACACGTTGTTACTGAGTTGCATATACAGACTCAGTGGATGGAAATGTATAAAAGCCCAAGTAGATTACAAACCCATTTAAATAAAACGACACACTTTGATTATTTTCTACCATTATTTGATTATTTTCCCTCAGTTTTTTGTATTGAACCAACTGTGTTACACAGAATCTGCCAGTGTATACTTCTTCATTACACTTGTCTTTTCTGCTCTTCAAATTACCTGTACCCCTATATTGTAATGAAAATCTTTAACAACAAAAAAGTAATGATTATTAAAAAAAAAATAGAGCAAAAGAAAAAGTCTCCCCTTTCTGCCTTCATTGTCACTCCCTTTCTGGAATAATCACTCCACATATGTAACTGCCACCAAGATCCATATCCCACAGGTTTTATTCTGGGTCTCTTTTCTCCGGCCATGGTGGCCTTTTTGCTGTTTCTCAAACATGCCAAGCACACTTCTGACTTGGGGAATTTTGCATTTCCTTGTTCCTCTTCTAAAACGTTCTTCTTCCAGATGTCTTGTACTTTCATGTCATTCAGATCTCTGTTTAAAGATTTCTTTACTCCTGAACACCCCATATAAAATAGCATTCCCTATCCATAACTCTTTAACCAGCTTGATTTTCATAGTATTTATCACCAGCTGACACTAAGACCCCAAAACGCACCTGTGTAGAAGTGCGTGTTTGCGCACGTGTGTTTAATGGCATAAAACAAACAAAAAAAATTATCTTAGAGATCTAAAATCCAGAAATCAGAAATAAGTGTCAGTGAACTAAACTCAGGGGGTTGGCAAGACCATGTTTCTTTCTGAAAATTCTAGGGACAATACACTTCTTTGTTTTCTCCAGTTTCTAGAGGCTGTCTGAATTCCTTGGCTCATGGCCCTTTTCCGTGTTCAAAGCTAGTGAAGTCCACGTCACATGGATGCTTCTTTCACATTTAAAGGAGCCTTGTGATTACAATGGATTCACTAGGCCAGGTCAAGTCAATCTCTTTGTTTTAAGTCATCTGTTTAGCAACCTTAATTCCATGTGCAATTTTAATATCTCCTTGCCATGTTACCTAACATATTTACAAGTTCTGGAGATTAGGACCTGGATGTCTTTAAGGGTCATTACTCTACCTAAGGTTATATTATATATAACATTACATCTATATATTCTCCATATATATGAAGAATACATATATATAGTTTATATATGTTTACTATATATACACACATATATAGTTTGATATATAAATATATACACACATATACACAGATATATACATATGTTTACTATGTATGTATATACATATATAGTTTATATATGTATATTGTACACATATGTTTACTATATATACATGAATATATACATATATTGCATATATACACTATATATAGTATATAAAATAGAGTATGTAAACTATTATATACACACAAACTGTGTGTGTGCATATATACATACACTTTATGGTATAGAGAGAGATGATAAATTACATGTATATTACATATATTTACATATGTAATTTATTTATGTAATATGTATTACATATATGTAGTTTATCATCTATCTCTCTATTTCATAAAGTGTGTGTGTATATATCTATATATGCACACACACAGTTTGTGTTTAAATAAGTTTATATACTCTATATACTATATATAGTGTATGTATACAATATATATATTCATGTATATATAGTAAACATGTGTACACATACATATGTACACATATACATATATAAGCTGTATATGTATATACATACATAGTAAACATATATGTCTATGTGTGGATATGTGTATATGTATTATATTTATATATGTATTTATATATTATATGTGTGCATATATAAAAATATAAATATATATAAATATATACACATATATAATATATAAATGCATACATAGATATAATACATACATACACATATAAAATATATGTATTTATATATCAAACTATGTATGTATATAGTAAACATATATAAACTATATATGTATTCATATACATGGAGAAAGTGTGTATATATAGTAAACATATATATAACCTGTATACATAGTCTTCATATACATGGAGAATATATATATATAATTATATATAGGTTGTATATATACATATATATGTTGTAAGCTATATATGTAGTCTTCATATACGTGGAGACTATATATATATATAATTATATATAGGTTATATATAATATAACCTTTGGTAGAGTAACAGGTTATATATAATATAACCTTAGGTAGGGTAATGATTATATATGTATATATATTATAATATATATTATGATATGTAACATATGTATTTATCCTATATTTATATATAATATATATGTAATTTATTTAGCATCTATCTCTCTGTACCATAAATTAAGCTCCATGAAAACATAGGTGTTTGATTCACTGTTCTCTCTGGCAAACATCAGTGCTCAGTGTGTATAAG